>NC_000005.10:107609807-108234807 GCF_000001405.40 Homo sapiens | reverse complement strand
TTTACTACCACTAATGCAGCTTCTTCAACACCTCTGAATTAGATTCCCCTAACTCTCTACTATGCTTCCATGTTTTGGAGCAGTTCTCAGGACATACAAGACTATCATACCATCAGTACCACACCGATTCTATCTGCAGGAGATGAAAACAGTAATCAAGTGGTAACACTTCTCTCAGAAAATTCCCTAGAAAGTAGACCCATTGTGCCTTGATATCTGCCACTCTACTTCTCTGGAGGTTAAAGGAAGGCCTTGGATTTGCTCTTGCATTTGAGTGAGATTAGTTCCATGAAAAGAATCATATCCTAATTGGTATAACATACAAAGCATAGGTTTTAAAGCCTAAAAGGCCAGTGTTTAAAACCCAGTTTTGCCACCTGCTAGTGGTTTGATTTGGAGGAGGAAGTCAATCCATTAAGTGGGGATAATTATGCCTCTCAATATTATTATGAGGCTCTCAGATGATGGATAGAGAGGACTTAGCTGGGCACACGTTAAGGCCTTAGTAAATGTAGCTATTTTTATTGTCTATTCTCTCTTCAACCCGGTGGCAACTAGTACCCCAAACCTCGGCTGAGTGTGAGCCGTCTAGAGACTGAATCTCCAAGTTTATAAGTAGAGTAATCCACAGTCCCAAATCATGTTTAGAAACAGTAACTCTCCAAGCAAAATTGGTGACCCTGTACTGCCTGTCTTCTCTTTATCCTTCTTCTAGCCAAGAGTTTCTTAGTTATATATGGCCATTTCTGCCACAGTCGCTATTACTGTTGTCCCCCAACTCTGCATTTTTCTAAGCCTATTATTTCCACCTCCTGCAGGGGCTTTTCTTTTGTCCCTACATTTGATCTCACAGGAATCCACCCTCAAAAGATTTCTGATTGAGTGCAGCCCTCAAGAGCTTATGAGAACCAACATTCTCCTCCTCTTCCCTTTTGCACCCTGGGTATCTGGTTTTCATTTGCCTTAGGTTTAGCAGCTTAAGATTTCTAAACTGAAGCTTTACTAGGATCTTGATGTGTGTTGACATTATGCAGGCTTTTAATGGTCCTTTTGACTCTAGTACAACAGACATTCCTTATCACCAGTGCTTTTCCTGGTGTAACACTAAACGTGCCTACATCCATTTCATGCAGTTATAAAAGTGTAGCTTGGCTTTGAGAATGCCAACTTAAGGAGAAGATCGTTCTTTACCTCTGCCATGTGAATCATGTTGAATCTGAGGGTTATCTTTCTCTTTGTCTCTATCACAGCATTGACTGACTGAAAGATCAAAATGTGCTTTGCAAGCTGATCTCATTCTTCCCTGATTTTCTGATGCTTCTTTCCAAATCCTGAGTCACATTTTCTCTGCGTACTAATTCTTACCTATTGCCTGGTTTTCCCATAGCCTGTGAGTATGTATGATTCTTCAAGGTGTTCCAGGCAGGAGCTTTAAAATTCCTCTATAGTGTATCGTCTTTTCAACAAATGGTGCTGGCAAAATTGGTATACATATGCAAAAGATGAACCTTTACCTTTATTTCACACCATAAACAAAGATGAACTCTGAGAACATCATAGACCTAAATGTCAGAGCTAAGAACACCATTAAGAAAATTAAAGATAAGGCACAGAGTGCAAAAAAAACAATTGTGAAACAAATATCTGATAAGGGTGTTTATTCAGAATATATAAAGAACTCCTGCAACTTAGTAAGACAAATGACCCAATTTTAAAAATTGGTGAAAAATTAAACATACATTTGTGTGACTCACCAGTTCTACTCCTAGATATTTACTCAAGAGAAATGAAAATATATGTCCATACAATACTTATGTTTGAATGATCACAGCAGCATTATTTGTCAAAGCCCCAAATTGGAAACAGTTCAAGTATTTATCAACTGGTGAATAGATACACAAGATGTAGTATATCCATACAGTGGAATTCTACTCATTAATAAAATGAATAAACTGTTGTGTTAGTCAGGGATCCCTAGAGGGACAGAACTAATAGTATATATTATATATATATATATATATATATGTGAGAGCTTATTCAGTATTAACTTACACAAACACAAGGTCCCACAATAGGCTGTCTGCAAGCTGAGGAGCAAGGAGAGCCAGTCCGAGTCTCAAAACTGAAGAACTTGGAGTCCAATGTTTGAGGGTAGGTAGCATCCAGCACGGGAGAAAGATGTATGCTGGGACGCTAGGCCTGTCTTGCCTCTTCACATTTTTCTGCCTGCTTTATATTCACTGGCCGCTGATTAGATGGTGCCCACCAGAGTAAGGGTGGGTCTGCCTTCCCCAGCCCACTGACTCAAATGTTAATCTCCTTTGGCAACACCCTCACAGACACACCCAGGACCAATACTTTGTATCCATCAATTCAATCAAGTTGACAGTATTAATCATCACAAGTCCACCCCTTGCCAACTTGAACCCATACACATCTCCTGAGATCATACATAATATTCAAATAAAGACAATAATAAGGTCATAATTACACCTAACTTAATGCAACTATCCTTTGTACAACTGGAAACACACCAATCCCCAACCCAAATACCATTACATAAAGTTAACAATACTTAAATGCTTATGTAAAGTCAATAAATCTTATGTCACATGATGAAGGAAAAGGAAATAAAATTAAGCTATTTTCTTAGCACAAGTGTATACATTCACAAACATGTTTTTAACAAAAGAAGGAGGAAATACTCATAACAGTTACAGTCCTTGTTTCTGTCGCTGGTCACGTGGTCACAGCTGGTACTGATGACTACCTTCTGCTACCCATTCTGTATTCCTTTGCCTTCAGCAAGCACCTCAGCAGGTCATAGTTTTTTTCCTGGTACAGTGACCCAAACCTTCATCCCTGTGGAGTCTGGACCGTTTGTAGTCCTACCTGGATTGGGCTGTTGTAGTTTCCCATCGACCTTAATCACAGGGCATGGTAATACTAAAAGAAGCCCTAATGGATCTCCTGTACTCCATGCATTCCTGTATCCTGTATGGATCTCCTGTGTTCCTATCTCTTTTATGGAGTAGTAGACTGAGTTCATCTTGATAGTCCTGTCAGTCACCCCAGCCAACACTGTAACCCCCTTCTTAGCCTGTTGACTTAAAGGTAGGAGGAGCTCAAGATGAACAGGTGGCAATTTTAACTTCCTGTTTAATGGAATCATTGTTGTGTCTCTTGGTGGCAGTGTTTCCTCTGGAACTAAGACCTCTAGGCCAGCAGAATGTACTGTTGCGGGAACAGGAAGCACACATTTTGCTAGTGGATCACTACGGGTAATGGTGAGTGGTGCCACTTCCACAACTCCTGATACATGGACTAACATGGATAAACCTCAAAACCTTACATTAGTGAAAGAAGCTAGAGACAAAAGACTACTTATGACACAATTCTATTTATGTGAAGTTTCTAGAAAAGGTAAAAGTATAGAGATAGGGAGCAGATCAGTAGTTGCCTGTGGGTGAGAGCTGTGATTAACTGTATATGAGCATAGAATATAGAGGGAATTTTTTGGGTGGTGTGATGAAAGTGTTCAAAACTGGATTGTGGTGATGATTATATAACTGTATAAACTTATTAAAACTTGACGAATTATACTCAAAATGGATGGATTTTATGGCATATAAGTTGTACCTCAATAAAGCTGTTTAAAAATTATGCGTAGTGCTTGGATTATGGCATAGCCATTTAGTTTTTGCTTCATCTCACCCCAAGAAGATGACATAGTTCTTTATCACTTGAGCAGTATTTCTCAAACTTTAAGGTGTATAAGAATCACCCTAGGATTTTTCTAAAATGCTGATTAAGATTTAATAGGTCTGTGCCAGGGCCTACTATTTTGCTTTTTTTTAAAAAAAATTTCCATAACTTATTGGAGTACAGGTGATATTTGGTTACATTTGTAAGTTCGTTAATAGTGATTTGTGAGATTTTGGTGCACCCATCACCCGGGCAGTATACACTGCACCCTATTTGTAGTCTTTTATCCCTCGCGCCCCCCAACCCTTCCCCCAAAGTCCCCAAAGTCCATTCTATCATTCTTATGCCTTTAGATTTTGCTTTTTTTTTTTTTTAAATTTATTTCCATAGGTTTCTGGGGAACAGGTGGTATTTAGTTATATGAGTGAGTTCTTCAGTGACGATTTGTGAGATCGTGGTGCACCCATCACCCGAGCAGTATACACTGAACCCAATATGTAGTCTTTTATCCCTTACCCCCCTCCTACCCTTTCCTCTGAGTCTCCAAAGTCCATTGTATCGTTCTTATGCCTTTGCATCCTCATAGCTTAGCTCCCACTTATGAGTGAGAACATATGATGTTTGTTTTTCCATTCCTGAGTTACTTCACTTAGAATTATAGTCTCCAGTCCCATCCAGGTTGCTGTGAATGCCATTAATTCATTGCCTTTTATGGCTGAGAAATATTCTGTTGTGTATATATACCACAATGTCTTTATCCCCTCATTGACTGATAGGCATTTGGGCTGGTTTCATATTTTTGCAGTTGTGAATTGTGTTTCCATAAACATGCGTGTGCAAGTATCTTTTTCATATAATGACTTCTTTTCCTCTGGGTAGATACCCAGTAGTAGGATTGCTGGATCAAATGGTAATTCTGCTTTTATTTCTTTAAGGAATCTCCACACTGTTTTCCATAGTGGTTTTACTAGTTTTACATTCCTACCAGCAGTGTAGAAGTGTTCCCTTTTAACCACATCTACGCCAACATCTATTACTTTTTGATTTTTTTATTATGGTCATTTTTGCAGGACTAAGGTGGTATCACGTTGTGGTTTTGATTTACATTTCCCTGATCATTAGTGATGTTGAGCATTTTTTTCATGTATTCGTTGGCCATTTGAATATCTTCTTTTGAGAATTGTCTATTCATGACCTTAGCCCACTTTTTGATGGGATTGTTTGTTTTATTCTTGTTGATTTGTTTGAGTTGCTTCTAGATTCTGGGTATTAGCCCTTTGTCAGATGCATAGATTTTGAAGATTTTCTCCCACTGTTTGGGTTGTCTGTTTATTCTGCTGACTCTTCCTTTTGTTGTGCAGAAGCTCTTTAGTTTAATTAAGCCCCACCTATTTATCTTTGTTTTTGTTGCATTTGCTTTTGGGTTCTTGGTCATGAGGTCTTTGCCTAAGCCAGTGTCTACAAGGGTTTTTCCGATGTTATCTTCTAGAATTTTTATAGTTTCAGGTCTTAGATTTAAGTCCTTGATCCATCTTGATTCGATTTTTGTATAAGGTGAGAGATGAGGATCCAGTTTCATTCTCCTACAAGTGGCTTGCCAATTATCCCAGCACCATTTGTTGAACAGGGTGTCCTTTTCTCACTTTATGTTTTTGTTGGCTTTGTCTAAGATCAGTTGGCTGTAAGTATTTGAGTTTATTTCTGGGTTCTCTATTCTGTTCCATTGGCCTATATGCGTATTTTTATACCAGTACCATGCTGTTTTGGTGACTGTGGCCTTACAGTATAGTTTGAACTTGTAATGTGATGCCCCCAGATTTGTTTTTTGTTTTTGTTTTTTGCTTAGTCTTGCTTTGGCTATGCGTGCTCTTTTTTTGGTTGCATATGAATTTTAGGATTGTTTTTTCTAGTTTTGTGAAGAATGATGGTGGTATTTTAATGGGAATTAAATGGAAGCACATCCCATGCTCATAGATGAGTAGAATTAATTTTGTGAAAATGACCATACTGCTAAAAGCAATCTACAGATTTTGCATTTTTAACAAGCTCCAAAGTGACGTCAGTGCTGCTGGAATGAGAACTACACTTTGAATGGAAGGCATTAGAATTTGTTCATTAGAATCTCCTGCGGAGCTTTTAAAATAAAATTGCTGCAGAGCTGTACCCAACAAATTAAATTAGAAATCTTCTTTGGTGATTCTTGTGTGCAACTCGGTTAAGAGCCTTAACAAAATGGCATTCTTTCTACCATAGGGAGTCAGTAACAAACTTTCACCTATGTCTCCCTTACAGCCATCCCATAGTTTAGATTATAACTGAAAACCCCCAAATTATGATCAGGATCTCTTGTGATAACCAGGAGAAGAAACTATAATGCTTTAAATACACTCTTTTTGAATATTCTCTTATGCATTTCAACCCTTTAGTCCTGGCTAAGAATCGGAATACAGAAGAAAGGGGAACCTGGAGTGATTATCATAATAGCTAAAATCTATTGAACAATTACAATGTGCCATGCATTGTTCAAAATATTTTACATGCATTATCTTATTTTACCCTCACATTTTACCCTGTGGGGTAGGTACTGTAATTTTCTCCATATTATAGAATGAACAAAGTGTATAGAGAGGAGAAATGACTTGTTGAAAATCACACAGCTAGTAAGTGGTCCAGTTGGGATTTGAAGCTAGACAGTGAGACTCCAGGGTCCCAGAGAAGCTAGAAGTGAGACTCCAGGGTCCCAGTAGCTGCATCCTGTAGTCTATAGTCTGTTTCTTCCAGACCTTCTGCCACAAATCCCTAACTGATCTTCTATCCTTGGGGAGTGGAGCTGGATGCCACCCAAATCTTCAAGGCCCTTTTATTAGTCTCCTAAAACATACCCAAGCCTGCTAAGAGTGTTTCTGTATCCCCATGACACAATCTTGTCTTGCTTTCCAGGGCTCTGTTGATGTTAGAGGCTCCTCTGAGCTATCTTATTCTGATTGCTTGAGCTGAAAGAGAAAGACCCAAGAAGCACATTTTCAAACCCCACTTTTTCTCTCTGAATGCTCTGGCCTCTTGGACCTGAGTTTTCTTGTGTCCTTAATCCTCATCTGAGTTCTTCTCCTCTCCTCGAAGATGGATATAGGAAAAACTTAATGTTAGACTGAAATTGAGCAGGGTGTTTAACCAACTGACCATGTACTTAACCTCTGTTACCCCTTTTTGTTTTTAATAGTGATTGAGTTTCATTGAAGCTTCCAGCAATTTTAGTGCCTTAAAAATTCTTTGTTAACATAATGCCTTTAGAATGCTAAGTGTCAGGAAAGCCTATTTTAAATTTATCAATGGCATCCTTAGTCTTAATATGCTTAAGCATACTTTACTTTTGAGGGGAGAATTAATCTTTTATCACATGTACCATAGATGCTGTTGGTTTCATTATTTTAGGAAAATGTTCTTATGATTGTTTTAGCATTAATGCTACTCACATACTTCTTTCTTCCAATATCTGTTCAGCATAGGTAAGGAAGATACAAAAAGAGTCACCCATGCTAAAGCTAATGCCAAAGAGATGTAAGTTGCTATTGTTTGAAAAACTAACAAAGATGTTAAATTTGTCGATCTCATCTTGACTGTGAAGAAAGTGAATCTGAAATTAAGCATATGATAGAGAATATTTGGACTTTCTTTTATAAGCTACATCTTTGGGAAACATGAAGAAAATTTAAGCACAATTACAAGAAGATAATTTTGTAAATGGAAATTTTTTTGGAGGTGCGGGAGACGAAAAAGGAATTTTATTCTGCCATTCATTTAAAGCAGGGCTGCTTAGAAATACAAAACACTGTCAGTGTAACTTCTTTGAAGCACTGGGGGCCTCAAGTTTTCACATGCTTAAGAGTCACTTGGGGGCTTGTTGAAAATACAGTTCCTTGGGCCCCACTCCTTTCAGCTCTGAGTTTTTAATATAATAAAACTTGGGATTGTAATACTCAAGGTATTAGTCATGGTTCTCCACAGAAACAGAACCATTAGGATATTGTCTGTACGTCTGTCTGTATATCTTTCTAGAGATTGTTGTAAGGAATTGGCTTACATGATTATGGAGACTGAGAAGTTCCAAGATCTCCATTTGTCAATCTAGAGTACCAGGAGAGCCATTGGTATAGTCTCAGTCCAAGTCTGAAGGCTTGAGAAGTACAAAAACTAATGGTGTAAATTCTAGTCCAAGTTTAAAGACCTGAGAACTGGGAGAGCCAATGGTGAAAGTTCCAGTGCAAGTCTGAATCAAAGGCAGGAGAAGACTGATCTCCTGCTTGGAAGATAGTCAGGCAGAGAGAGCACCAATTCTCCGTTACACTGACTTTTTATTCTATTCAGACCTTTGACAGACTAGATGAAGTTTCTCTCCATTGAAGAAGGCAATCTGCTTCACTCAGTCTACTGATTGAGCTGTTAATATCATTCAGAAACTCTCTCACAGGAATACCCAGAATAATGTTTAACCAAATATTTGGGCACCCCATGGCATAGTCAAGTTGATATAGAAAATTAACCATGGTACAGATCAAAGTTGAGTCACTGGTGTAAAAATGTGCCTCCTCCCAGTTCTTTAAAAAAAGACTTCTTAAGACACATGAACTGTATCAGAAAATAAAGCCACTAGTACAATGACATTTAAAAAATCATATATTAAAATGATACAAATATATCCTTTGTCTAAAAATAAAATAAAGTAGAAGTAAAAGGTATGATGGAGGACATGGAAAGAAGGAAAAAAATTCATTTATTTATTTCAATATTTTCTACTAAGTGCCAGGGATTATTCTAGGTGCCGATGGGGAACTAAGTGGTTTTCCGGGTCATAGGACTTTTCAGTGCTAAGACTGAAACTGTCCGAGGCAAATCAGAATGGTTGGTTATTCTAGGGGAGAGGGAGGGAAGAGTTATTTTGAGAGGGGAAGAGTGACAAACTAATATGTGAGTAAGTGTGTAATGTGATCAGTAGTGATAAGTGTTATGAAGAAAATCAAAGTGTGGTGAGACACAGAGAGGGACTAGGAGAGTTATTAAGGAGCCATGCAATTAGTTTTGATCACCTAAGGAATGAAGTAAGACGGAAAAGAGAAATGAGCTGAGGACTGAGATGAGGTAGACTCAACCAAGTGACCAAGAGCCAAAAGTAAGGAAGGAGGAAAGCCATGATAGTTGATACAAGAAGCAAATGAATTGTTTCCAGAAGAATCATCAGTTGTGTCAGATACTGCTGAAATGCTGGGATAATTGAGATTGACCATTTAATTGATAGGATAGTGACAATGAATGAGAGGGACAAAACCTTGATTACTATGAGATCAAGAGAGAGTGGAAAATGTGTGTATTAGCTTGCTAGGGCTGTTAGAACCAAGTACCACAAACTGAGTGGCTTAAACAATAGAAATTTATGGTGTCACAGTTCTAGAGCCTGGAAGTCCAAGATCAAAGTGTTGGCAGGGCCATGTTTCTTCTAAAGTGCTAGGAAAGGATCTGTTCCAGGCCTCTTGCCTAACTTCTGGCACTCTTTTTGGCAATCTGGTGTGCCTTGGCTTGTGCAGCATAACTCCAGTCTTCACATGGCATTCTCCCTGTGTGTGCATCTCTGCTCCGCCAGTTATATTGAATTGGGAGCCCACTTCACTCCAGTACAACTTCATCCTAAATTAACTATTTACTTCACTATTGGAAATAGCTGCCCCATTTCCAAATAAGATCACATTCTGAGGTAGTGAGGGTTAAGATTTCAAAATATGAATCTTAAGGAGACATAATTCAACCCATAAAAATGTAGTATATCCATACAATGGAATATTTTTCAGCCTTGAAAAGTAAGGAAATTCCAACACATATTACAACATGGATGAACCTTGATAACATTATGCTAAGTGAAAGAAGCCAGTCATAAATGGTCACAAACTGGTAGTTCTTTTTATATAAAGTGTTCAGAATAGGAAAATGTAGATTGCCAGGCTTGGAGGTAGTGGGAAATAGGGGAATGACCGTTAATGGGCATGGGGTCTTTGGGGGGTGGTGAACATGTTCTGGAATTAGATATCGGTAATGGTGCATAAACTTGCGAATATACTGAACTGTACTCTTTGAAAGGGTGAATTTTATGGTATGTGAATTAAATGTCAATAAAAAAATATATATTGGTTGGGTGTGATTGCTTACCCCTGTAATCCCAGCACTTTGGGAGGCCAAGGAGGCTGGATCACTTAAGGTCAGGAGTTTGAGACCAACCTGGCCAACATGGTGAAACCCCGTCTCCACTAAAAATACAAAACAAAACACAACAACAACAACAAAAAAAACCAAAAAAACTAGTTGGGTGTGGTGATGCATGCTTGTAGTCCCAGCTACTTGGGAGGCTGAGGCAGGAGAATCAGTTGAACCTGGGAGGCGGAGGTTGCAGTGAGTCGAGATTGTGCCACTGCACTCCATCCTGGGCAACACAGTGAGTCTCTGTCAAAACAAAACAAAACAAAAAACCCCAAAACAAACCAACCATATATGTGTGTGTTTGTGTGTGTGTGTGTGTGTGTGTGTGTGTATACATATACATATATATACACACACAGAGGGAGGGGAGAAGGTAAAGAATTGGAGGTAGCCAGTGTCAACATGTCTGAAGAAGTATAAAAACATGGGGTGATAAGAAGTGGATGTAGGGTCAAGAGATGACTTTTAAAAATACAGGAATATTATAGCATGTTTGTATGCTGATTCAAATGATCTAACAGGGCAGGAAATAGTAATGATGCAAGGTGGGGCTGAGAGGATTTTCAGGAGCCAAATCCTTGAGTTCACTGGACTATTACCTTGAATAATTTCATCCATGTCTTTTCCCTAGGTGACAGATCAGTCAGTGAAAGCATTTGCTGAACACTGTCCTGAGCTTCAATATGTAGGCTTCATGGGTTGTTCAGTCACTTCTAAAGGAGTCATTCACCTAACCAAGGTAGGTACTATGGCTGCTTTTCCTTGGTATTTTTGAGTATCATACAGGTGATGAGCCCTAAATTGTTTAATTTACTTGAATAAGGGACAGTCAGACCATTATAGAAGCCTACTAATGTTTGATAAAAGTTAAAATGAGTTGAAGAAAGCAATACCAAACTTATCCTTTCTGAAATGGAATACTCATTTAAACAAGAAGCTTTTTGCTTTTTCATTGCTAATGGCTATGAAATATATATCAAAGAAATATATATGAAAAGAATCATTTAAATGTTAATATATTGTGCTTAGAAGATATTTGGTTGAATTTTAAGTGCTCATATATCACTAGATCTTATGAGTATTTGGCTTTAAAAAGTGAATATGGTCAGTGCATATTATCAAGCTGAATATGTAAGGTGAAAAGAGAGGTGAATATATGACAAAAATTTACATTGTGGCTCAGAGAGTTCAATAATATAACAATTATATGAAATTTCATATTTTTAGAAATGATCAAACTGCCAGTTCTTTAGTAATCTCTCACTGATGTGTCATCTCTACTGCGATGTGTCATCTCTACTGCTTTCCAGAGCTTTAAAATAATTAAAAGCCAATTCTTACATTTGTGTAATGGAAAAGCTGGCTACTATAAAATTTACCTATGTGTTATCTGAAATTTGTTACTGTATAAATTTCAGTTCTATCCTATAGTACTTAGGAAAATGAATGTGATTCTTGCCTTTTCCGACTTATTATAGCTGAGCAACCTTTTCCTTCAACCTTCCTTCATTTCACAACTATTAGAAAGTTGCTGTATTGGCAACACAATGATGAAAAAAACCAGGTAAGATCCCAGGTCTCTTTCAGTTTGATGTCTTCAGATCTCTTTGAGCTTACAGTTTAATGGGAAATAATGTCTTTCTTTACTCCCTAGGAGAAGAGCAAATGTTTATGAGTTACCTAGGACTATGGTAGGATCATACAGTGAATAGGACCCTGGGCGCCATTATAACCTCAGATTGGATTATTGGGTCTATCACTTAGCTAAGTGGGAAAATTATTTTTTAGGGTATTAAATAAGGTAATATATATAAGGTACTTGATTCAGAATAGAGACCACAGTAAATGCTAAGTAAATTTTAGCTATTAATATTAAAACAGATGCGGGCCAGGCACAATGGATCACTCCTGTAATCCCAGCACTTTGGGAGGCCGAGGCAGGTGAATCACTTGAGGCCAGGAGTCTGAAATCAGCCTGGCCAACGTGGTGAAACTCCATCTCTACTAAAAGACAAAAATTAGCTGGGCATGGTGGTGTGGTGGCTGTAATCCCAGCTACTTGGGAGGCTGAGATGGGAGAATTGCTTAAACCCGAGAGGCGGAGGTTGCAGTGAGCCGAGATTGCGCCACTGCACTCCAGCCCGGGCGACAGATGAGACTCTGTCTCAAAAAAAAAAAAAAAAAAAAGATGCCATAGTATCTAAATTGCTAGAAAATTAGTACGAAGTTTGATTTTAAGAAATCAAATCACTATTCTAGTATAGTGTATCTGAAAGAGAGCCTGTGGTTGTAGTATGTCTTAAAGGACTGATTAGCTTTAATTTTATTGTGAGGATCAGAGCCTAAAGCTAGAGGAGAGGATAGGCCTGTTATTCTCAATTATTGCTGTATCAGAACATCTTAGTGTAACCAAGACCATATGTAACCATAATTTTTAATTCATTTCCTATAACCTTGGCCTGAACATCTTGGTAGATGAATGTTTTTCTAGTCACACCTAATGCTGTTTATGTTGTAGAGTAAAAATGCCTTTGGTTGAACAGATTGTGCACAACAAGTGTTGTGATGGCCATATGTGGGCTTTTTATGATTACTTGAAATTGTACTCATTAAAGACAAAACAAGACTTATTAGATCAGTAAGTGCTTCCCTCAGCATTTTGAGATGGCCAAAAATTATGGTACACTGGTACTTAAAAGATCACAATTATTCTCTGTGATAAAACACAGCTACAGCAAATGTCTGCATTGGAAAGCTCAATTTGCTGAAATGGTTCTTCTGAAGATTTTAGGCAAGGATTGCTGGTTTGGTCTATCAACAATCAGAATCTATTGGACTTGTATTACAGTTAGTCCTCAAAGTTCTGAGGAACATCTTTGTTCTTCAACAGAGCCTTTTCTTTGATGAGAAAACTGGTGTGTACAACTAAGCAATGAATGTTGCTTAGTTTTCTGGATTCAAGTAAAGGCAAAAGAGGACATTTTATACATGCATCGGTTCTGCAAAGCTATTTTAGCTATTTTAATTGGTTTATCTCTTGAAAACCAAGGGTAGACTCAGTTTTTAATAAAATTAATGCTTTTTATTTTATGATATTTGCATTCTGGCAATGTTTTCATACTGGTTACTAAGACATTCACAAAAATGTTTGTAATCATATAAACACCCCTTAAAAAGTTGTGTTTTCCTTATCATCATAGTACATAATAAATAATCAAGAGGATGTGAGATATAGAGTGTTAAGAGTTATCAGCCTAAATATGTTTTTACATGCTTTAGAAAATCTCTTTAATACATGATGTCACTAAATCCCTGGCTTTCTAAGTTTGCTAAGAGAGAGGCAAAGAGCATAAAATTTCTGTACCTTAGTTTCCTGTCTTTGAAATTATGTGCCTGTATTAGATGATCTGTCTTCAGATCTGCAATTTCTTGCACCCTGAAGAATCTATGAATTTAGGAATTATTGGCCTAGAAGGGACTGTTAGGGGCTCTCATGGAAACTAAGAAATATCAAGTCTAATTTAGTAGGTTAGAAGGGAAAATTGGGGATTTGTGACATCTTGATTTTTAAATCAAGGGCAAGAAAACAGAGGATTGGGAATAGATGGAAGGACATTGATATCCTCTTGTGGTCCCTTTGATTTAATTTTATTTTGATTTTCTCAGGCTTGACTGGATTCCCGTTTACTTTGTAATATTTACTGATGACATGCCATTATTACTTAGATTCTGCTAATCTCAAGCAATATTGGGATAAGAAGCCTTTCTAAGCTGCTATGACTGTGTTAATGAGAGTCCAGAATAACCAGACTGAATGCACACAGGTTGATAAGATAAAGTCATATTTATGGGACTGTTTGGAAACTTAGAGGTCTATATTTAGGAAGCAAAGATAAGAATTTTTGAGGTCTACATTTACAGTTAAGAGTATTAGTGACTTGTATGTGGGAGAATTGGGTCTACTCTAACACAAGTGTGTTCTTTTCATTGTAGTGTACCTGTTATATAAATATAAAATCTGTATATCTTGCTCTCTCTCCCACTTTTAAAAACAAGTTCAGCAAATGCAAATATATAGTTACCTTCAGTGTTTAGACTGTGGGACCTGCATGTCATTTGCCACTAAAGAGACTAGAAGGAACATGTCGAAGGACCCAAAAGCCAACGTGAAATGGCTCCTACTGACTTAGGCTGGGATATTTTGAGCATTGAAAAGGAAGATTCTGCAATGAATTAAAAGAAATAAAATATATAAAAATGGGTTTATAATGATATAAGCAAAACGAAACTGGACTTCTTCCAGCTTAGGTGGCGTAACAGGGGCCAAATTTACTCTTTCCTGAAACAACTTTAAAAAAACAGACAAAATATAGGAAACAATGGTTTTTAAGACACTGGGTATCAGGCAACCAAGGACAATGATCCCTATGATACGGGAAACAGGCAGGAGGAGCTCTGGGATTGTCTCAGTTTAGTGCATTGAAAGAGTTTCCAGACTGCAGCACAGGTTGGGGGGTAACTCAGGTAACACACAGCAGACTGTCTGAGTTGACAAAACAGAACAGAAAGGCCAGGGAGACCAAAACAGCCAGATTTCAGAGGACTGAATACTGGAGTGGAGAGAACTGCATAGAAGAATCCCAGGGATTTGTGGATGACCCTCCTTATGCATTCAATCCTAAATAACCCATGAGTAAAGACAAAATCAAAAGAGAAATTAGAAAGTATTTTGAAATGAATGAAAATGAAAACACAATGTATCAGATTTAGTGTGATGCTACTAAAGTACTACTTAGATAAAAATAATGAAACAAATACCAATATGAGAAAAAAGAAAGATTTCAAATCATGACTTCAACTTCCATTTTATGAAATTTGAGAAAGGAGCAAACTAAATCCAAAGTAAGCAAAAAAAAAAAAAAAAAAAAAAAGGAAATAGTAAAGATCAAAGAGGAAATCAATGAAATGGAAAGCAAAAAGAAGAGAGGAAATTAATGAAACCAAAAGCTAGTGATTTGATAAGATAGATAAAATTGATAAATCTCTAGTCACACTGATCAAAAAAAACTTGCCAATGTTATAGCTCAGAGGGTTGACAAAACTACAGATACTACAGGCATTAAAAGGATAACAAGGTTATTATTATGAACATCTTTTTTTTTAATTTTAATTTTTGAGATAGAGTTTCAATCTTGTTGCCCAGGCTGGAGTGTAATGGGATCTTGGCTCACTGCAACCTCCACCTCTCGGGTTCAAGCAATTCTCCTGCCTCAGCCTCCCAAATATCTGGGACTACAGGCGCCCACCACCACGCCCGGCTAATTTTTTGTATTTTTAATAGAGACGGGGTTTCACCATGTTAGCCAGGCTGGTTTTGAACTCCTGACCTCAGGTGATCCACCCATGTCAGCCTCTCAAAGTGCTGAGATTACAGGCGTGAGCAACCACATCCAGCCAGTGAACATCTTTAGGCCTATCAATTCAACAATTTAGATGAAATGGAAAATTTATTTGAAAAACACTGACTACCAAAGCTCACTTAAGAAGAAATAATAACTTGAATACCCCTGTATTTCTTAAAGAAATTGCTTCTGTAGTTAAAAATTTTCCAATACTCCCATCCCAGATGACTTCACTGTTGAATTTTGCCAAATATTTAAGAAAGAAATAATACCAATTCAACACAAGTCTTCTAGAAAAGAGACTATTATTACCCACATTTTAAAAACTTGATAAAGACACTCTAAGTGAAGAAAATTGAACATCACTATCTTTCATGAATATAGGTTCAAAAATTGTAAACAAAAGTTTGGAAAATCATGTCTAACAGTATTTTAAAAGGATAATTATGTCATGACCTAATTAGAGTTTATCCCAGAAAAGCAAAGTTGATTAGGCACTCAAAATAAATCAAAGCTAGGAAATCAATACACAAAAATCCATTGTATCTGTATAGCAGAGGAAACAACAGAGTGAAAAGACAACCTATGGAATGGAAGAAAGTATTTCCAAACCATATATCTGATAAGGAGCTACTATCCAAAATATATAAGGAACTCGACTCAATAGTAAGAAAACAAATAACCTGATTGAAAACTGGGCAAAGTACCCAAATAGACATTTTTCAAAAAGAGACATACATGTGGCCAGCAAGTATATGAAAAAAAATGCTCAGTGTCACTAATCATCAGAGAAATGCAAATTAAAACCACAATGAGATATCACCTTACACTTGTTAGAATGGCTGTTATTAAAAAGGGGAAAGATAACAAGTTTTGGTGAGGATGTAGGAAAAGGGGAGCTCTTGAAAATTCTTGGTAGAAATGTAAATTAGTATAGCCATTGTAGAACACAGTATGGAAGTGACTCAAAAAAATTAAAAATAAAACTGCCATATGAGCCAGCAATAGTACTGCTGGGTATGTATCCAAAGGATATAAAATCAGTATGTTGAAGAGATGTCTGCACTCTTACTTTCATTGCAGCACTATTCACAGTAGCCAAAGTTGATATGGAATGTCCATTAAAGGATAAATGGATAAAGAAAATGTTGGCCAGGCGCGGTGGCTCACACCTGTAATCTCAGCACTTTGGGAGGCCGAGGTGGGCGGATCACGAGGTCAGGAGTTTGAGACCATCCTGGCTAACATGGTGAAACCCCATCTCTACTAAAAAAATATAAAAAAATTAGATGGGCGTGGTAGCAGGCGCCTATAGTCCCAGCTACTCTGGAGGCTGAGGCAGGAGAATGGCGTGAACCCGGGAGGTGGAGCTTGCAGTGGCCACTGCACTCCAGCCTAGGCGACAGAGTGAGACTCTGTCTCAAAAAAAAAAAAAAAAAAAGAAAAAAAATTAGAAAATATGGTATATACACACAATGGAATACTATTCAGCCTTAAAAAGAAGGAAATTTCTGTCATTTGCAACAACATGGATGAACCTGGAGGGAGATTATGTTAAGTAAAATAAGCCAGGCACAGAAAGACAAATACTGCATGATCTTCTTACATGTGGAATCTAACAAAGTCAGACTCATAGAATCAGATTAGAATGGTGGTTACCAGATGCTGAAGGGAGGGAAAGGATTGAGGAGGTGCTGGTTGAAGAATACAAAATTTCAGTTAGGCAGCAAGAGTAAGTTCAAGAGATCTATAGTACATCATAGACTATAGACTATAGACTGTAGTACATATAGTACATAGTACATATAGTACATATTTACTATAGTAAGTAACTATATTGTATACTTGAAAATTGCTGAGAGAATAAATTTTAAGTGGTCGACCACAAATAATATAATATTGAAACAATGTTGAAATGGAAAGCAAAAAGAAGAGAGGAAATTAATGAAACCAAAAGCTAGCGATTTGATAAGATAGATGAAATTGATAAATCTCTAGTCACACTGATCAAAAAAAAAGTTGCCGGTGTTACAGCTCAGAGGGTTGAGAAAACTACAGATACTATAGGTATTAAAAGGATGACAAGGGTATATATTGTTTCAATATAATATCGAAACAAACTTTTGTTGTCTGAGATAATGCTGGGAGTTCTTGTCCTACCTCCAAGACTATTAAGGAGCATGGTCAAAGGTGAGGTTAGAGCGAAAGTTTAATAAGCAAAAGAAGAAAGCTCTCTGCCAGCAGAGAGGGGGTCTGGAATGGGAGTATCCACTGTGGGGCTGGGGTCCAGGGTTTTTATGGACTGGGAAGGGGAAGGAATGTGCTTAGTCTGTGGGCTGTCTTGGCGAATGTGTGACTCAGCTTGGCCTGGGAACAATCGGGCTGAGGTGATGATTCATAGAGGCCAGACTTACAGTCCAAATAAAGGAAAGTAGAGTGCCCACTGGAACCCACCGGAGCCCACTGTGCCCATGCCCACAAAAGGAGAAGAAACTTTTTCTGGGATCCCACTGACTATACAAAGGACAAAGGCATTTCTGTGCCTGGCCTTGTTCCCTTATCTGAGTTAGCTGGAGGTTTGTGCAAGTTTTTATCCAAATGGGCTGGAGGTTTTTCTATCTGTGCAGCCGTGGGCATGTCTCTAGGTATAACACCCCGTGCTAGTTCCCTTATTGGTACCTGCCGCTTGAATTTTTTCTCAGGCTGCTTTTTATGTTATGTGGGGATGAGGCACTGACCCACAGGCGGGGGCCTCTCTGGGACCCTTCCCTTGTTATCTACCTAAGGCAAGCTAACTAACTCCTTTCAGTATATGAGGTAAGGCATATATTAATTATCTTGATCTGGCCACTCCACAATGTATACTTATATCAAAACATCATGCTGTACACCATAAATATATACAAATTTTGTCAGTTAAAAAAATTAAAAAGACATTGAAAAGAAGCATTAAAAAGTTATAATTTTATATGCTGGCAATGAATAATCTGCAAATGAAATAAAGGAAAACCTTTCATTTACATTATTATCAAAAATAATAAAACATTTATAAATACATTTAACCAAGGATCACTGAAACCCACAAAACATTACCGAAAGGAATTAAAGAAGACCTACATAATGAAAAGGCATCCACTATTCATCTTAAAATACTTAATATTGTTAAGATGGCAGTATTACTCAAAGCACTTTATAGAGTCAATGGAATCTCTGTAAAAATCTCAGCAGCTTTTTTTAATGGAAAATCTGATATTGAAATTATTATTGAATTGCAGGACAACTGAAGAGCCGTAACTATCTCAAAAAAAGAAAAACAGTGTTGGAGGACTCATATGTCCCAATTTTAAAACTTACTACAGAGCTATAAGAACCAAAACAGTATAGTACTGATGTAAGGATAGACACGTAAGTCAATGGAAAAGGATCGAGCGTCCAGAAATAAACTCACACATCTATGTCCTATTAATATTTGAAAGGGTGCTAAAACCATTCAATGAGAAGAGTCTCTTAAGCACATGGTGCAAGGATATCTGGATATCCGTATCCAAAAGAGTGAAACTAGACCTCTACCTCAGACCATATATAAAAATTAACTATAACATGGTTCAAAGACCTAAATGTAGGAGTTAAAACTATGAAACATGTAGAAGAAAACATGGGAGAAATCTTCATGACCTTGAATTCAGTAATGGATTCTTAGATATGACACCAAAAGCATGAGCAACAGAAGAAAAAAAAGGTAAATTGTACTTTATCACAATTAAAAATTCAAAGGATACTCTCAAGAAATTGAAGAGGCAATCGACAGAATAAGAAAAAATATTTGCAAATCACATATCTGGTAAGTGTCTTGAATATATAAATAACTCATATCTTAGCAACAAAAAGACAGCCTAATTTTTTTAAATGTGCAAAAGACTTGAATAGATATTTCTCCAGAGAAGATATACTTGGCTGCCAAGCACATGAAAAGCTGCTCAACATTATTAGTTATGCAAATGACTGGGAAATGCAAATCGGAAACCCCAGTGAGGTACAGCTTCACACCTACTAGGATGGTTGTAATAAAAAAAGTGGACAACAGCAAGTGTTGACAAAGAAGTGGAGAAATTAGAACCCTTGTACATTAATGGTGGGGATATAAAATTATGCAGTTGCTATGGAAAACAGATTGGCAGTTCCTCACAAGTTTAAATACAGAATTACCATATGATCCAGAAATTTCAATCCTAAGTATAGAATCAAAATAATTAAAAACAGGATTCAAAGAGAAACTTGTACATGAATGCCCATAGCAGCAACATACACAACAGCTAAAATGTGGAAACAATGTAAATGCCTATCATCTCATGTATGTATAAGCAGAATGTGGTATATTCATACAGAGGAATATTATTCAGCCATGAAAAAGAATGATGTTCTGAAATATGCTATAATATGGCTGTAACATGGCCTTGGAAGCATTATGATAAAGAGGATAGCTACAAAGGCTATTTTTCTATATGATTTGTTTATATGAAATGTCCAGAATATGCCCATTTATACTGGGTTTCTTTTCAGTCTAATGAGAATGTTCTGAAATTAGATATTGGTGATGGTTGCACACGTCACTCAATGTACTAAAAACCATTGAACTGTACAATTTATGAGGATGACTTTTGTAGGAAATAAATTTTATATCAATAAAAAAGTTCTAGAAGAACAGATAGGAGAAAACTTTTGTGATCTTGGGTTAGACAAAGATTTCTAAAATAGGATACCAAAAGCCTGATCAAAATTAATAAATCGGGCCAGGTGCGGTGGCTCGTGCCTGTAATCCCAGCAGTTTGGGAGGTCGAGGTGGGCAGATCACGAGGTCAGGAGTTTGAGACCAGCATGGCCAATATGGTGAAATGCTGTCTCTACTAAAAATATTTAAAAAAATTAGCTGGGTGCAGTGGCATGTGCCTCTTGTCCCAGTTACTCGGGAGGCTGAGGCAGGAGAATCTCTTGAACCCGGGAGGTGGAGGTTGCAGTGAGCCAAGATTGAGCCACTGCATTCTGGCCTGGGCGACAGAGTGAGACTCTGTCTCAAAAAAAAAAAAAAAAAGTCAATTAATAAATTTACTAATTAATAAATTACACTTTATGAAAATTAAAATATTCTACTCTTTGACATATACAGTAATTCCCCCTTATCCTCGTGGGATATATTCCACAACCCC
The DNA here is from genome assembly GCF_000001405.40 of Homo sapiens. Classification (NCBI taxonomy): domain Eukaryota; kingdom Metazoa; phylum Chordata; class Mammalia; order Primates; family Hominidae; genus Homo; species Homo sapiens. The sequence goes on along the minus strand of NC_000005.10, from coordinate 108,214,253 downwards.
CAGTGGATGCCTTAAACCATGGATAGTACCAAGCCTTTTGTATGCTATGATTTTTCTTAGCCATTCATACCTATGATAAAGTTTAATTCATCAACTAGGCACAATATGAGATTAATAACAATAACTAATAATAAAATAGAACAATTATAACAATATGTTGTTATAAAAGTGATGTGAGTGTGGTCTCCCCACCCCTTCAAAGTATCTTCTGGAACTGTACCTTGGGTAACTGGTACCACTCGTGGAAAGTGAAACTGCAGATAAGGGAGAGGGACTCCTGTATTGTTAAGGAGACAAGCCCCAGATTGGGAAAAATAATTGAAAACTGTATATCTGATAAACTATGTCTAGAATATATTAAGAACTGTCAAAACTAAGTAAGAAAATAAGCACATGAAAAGATGTTCAGTAGCATTAGGGATTAGGGACATGCAAATTAAAACTATATTAAAATACCACCACACACGTATTAGATTGGCTAATGTTAAAAACACTTGCCATAGATTGCTGGCAAGATGGCTGAATAGGAACAGCTCTGGTCTGCAGCTCCCAGCGAAAATGATAGAGAAGGCAGGTGATTTCTGCATTTCCAACTGAGGTACCCGGTTCATCTCACTGGGACTGGTTGGACAGTGGCTGCAGCCCATGGAGGGCAAGCTGAAGCAGGGTGGGGCATTGCCTCACCCAGGAAGCGCAAGGGATTGGGGAATTTTCTCCCCTACCCAGCGGAAGCCATGAGAGTCTGAGCCTGAGGAACTCCAGCACAGATACTGCGCTTGTCCCATGGTCTTTGCAATCTGCAAACCAGGAGATTCCCTGCGGTGCCTATGCCACCAGGGCTCTGGGTTTCAAGCACAAAACTGGGCGGCCATTTGGGCAGACACCGAACTAACTGCAGGAGTTCTTTTTTTCCATGCCTCATTGGGGCCTGGAACACCAGCAAGACAGAACCATTCACTCCCCTGGAAAGGGGTGCTGAAGCCAGGGAGCCAAGTGGTCTGGCTTGGTGGGTCCCACTCCCATGGAGCCCAGCAAACTAAGATCCCCTGACTTGAAATTCTCACTGTCAGCACAGCAGCAGCCTGCTGTGGCTCAAGCTCGGTAGGGGGAGGGTCACCTGCCATTGCTGAGGCTTGAGTAGGCGGTTTTAAGCTCACAGTGTAAACAAAGCCACTGAGAAGTTCCAACTGGGTGGAGCCCAGTGCAGCTCAGCATGGCCTCTCTAGATTCCTCTTCTCTGGGCAGGGCATCTCTGAAAAAAAAGACAACAGTTCCTGTCAGGGACATATAGATAAAACCCCTATCTTCCTGGGACAGAGCACCTGGAGAAAGGAGCAATTGTGGGTGAAGATTCAGCAGACTTAAATGTTCCTGCCTGACAGCTCTGAAAAGAGCAGCGTACCTCCCAGCACAGCATTCAACCTCTGCTAAGGATCAGACTGCCTCTTCAAGTGGGTCCCTGACTCCTGTGTATCCTGACTGGGAGACACCTCCCACTAGGGGCTGACAGACATCTCACACAGGAGAGCTCTGGCTGGCATCTGGCAGGTGCCCCTCTGGGACGAAGCTTCCTGAGGAAAGATCAGGCGGCAATCTTTGCTGTTCTGCAGCCTCTGCTGGTGATATCCAGGCAAACAGGGTCAGGGGTGGACCACCAGCAGACTCCAGCAGACAGCAGCAGAGGGGCCTGACTGTCAGAAGGAAAACTAAGAAACAGAAAGGAAGAGCATGTCGACTCAAAGACCCCATTCAGAGGTCACGAAAATCAATGAGCAAAGGTAGGTAAATCACAAAGATGGGGAGAAACCAGCACAAAAAGGCTGAAAATTCCAAAAACCAGAAAGCCTCTTCTCCTCCAAAGGATCACAACTCCTCGCCAGCAAGAGAACAAAACTGGATGGAGAATGAGTTTGACGAATTGACAGAAGTAGGCTTCAGAAGGCTGGTAATAACAAACTCTTCCGAGCTAAAGGAGCAGGTTCTAACTTAATGCAAGGAAGCTAAGAACCTTGAAAAAAGGTTAGACGAATCGCTAACTGGAATAGAATAACCAGTGTAGAGAAGAATGTAAATGACCTGCTGGAGCTGAAAAACACAGTATGAGAACTTCATGAAGCATACGCAAGTTTCAATAGCTGAACTGATCAAGTGGAAGAAAGGATATCATTGATTGAAGATCAACTTAATGAAAGAAAGAGAGAAGACAATATTAGAGAAAAGAATAAAAAGGAACGAACAAAGGAACAAGAAATATGGGACTGTGTGAAAAGACCAAATCTATGTTTGATTGATGTACCTGAAGGTGATGGGGAGAATGAAACCAAGTTGGAAAACACTCTTCAGGATATTATCCAGGAGAACTTCCCCAACCTAGCAAGACAGACCAACATGCAAATTCAGGAAATACAGAGAACACCACAAAGATACTCCTCGAGAAGGGCAACCCCAAGACACATAATCATCAGATTCACCAAGGTTGAAATGAAGGAAAAAATGTTAAGGGCAGCCAGAGAGAAAGGTTGGGTTACCCACAAAGGGAAGCCCATCAGACTTAACAGGGGATCTTTCTGTAGAAATCCTACAAGCCAGAAGAGAGTGGGGGCCAATATTCAACATTCTTAAAGAAAAGAATTTTCAACCCAGAATTTCATATCCAGCCAAACTAAGCTTCATAAGCAAAGGAGAAATAAAGTCCTTTACAGACAAGCAAATGCTGAGAGATTTTGTCACCACCAGGCCTGCGTTACAACAGCTCCTGAAAGAAGCACTAAACATGGAAAGGAGAAACCAGTACCAGCCACTGCAGAAACATACCAAATTGTAAAGAACATCGATACTATGAAGAAACTCCATCAACTAACGAGCAAAAGAACCAGCTAGCATCATAATGACAGGATCGAATTCACACATAACAGTATTAACCTTAAATTTAAACTGGCTAAATGCCCCAATTAAAAGACACAGACTGGCAAATTGGATAAAGAGTCAAGACCCATCAGTGTGCTGTATTCAGGAGACCCATCTCACGTGCAAAGACACACATAGGCTCAAAATAAAGGGAAGGGATGGAGGAATATTTACCAAGCAAATGGAAAACCAAAACAAAAACAAAAAAGCAGGAGTTGCAATAGTAATCTCTGATAAAACAGACTTTAAACCAACAAAGATCAAAAGAGACAAAGAAGGGCATTGCATAATGGTAAAGGGACCAATGGAACAAGAAGAGCTAACCATCCTAAATATATATGCACCCAATACAGGAGCACCTAGATTCATAAAGCAAGTCTTAGAGACCTACAAGGAGACTTAGACTCCCACACAATAATAGTGGGAGACTTTAACACCCCACTGTCAATATTAGACAGATCAATGAGACAGAAAATTTACAAGGATACTCAGAACTTGAACTCAGCTCTGGACCAAGAGGACCTAATGGACATCTACAGAACTCTCCACCCCAAATCAACAGAATATACATTCTTCTCAGCACCTCACTGCACTTATTCTAAAATTGACCACGTAATTGGAAGTAAAACACTCCTCAGCAAATGCAAAAGAGCAGAAATCATAACAAAGAGTCTCTCACACCACAGTGCAATCAAATTAGAACTCACGATTAAGAGACTCACTCAAAACCGCACAACTACATGGAAACTGAACAACCTGCTTCTGAATGACTACTGGGTAAATAATAAAATGAAGGGAGAAATAAAGATGTTCTTTGAAACCAATGAGAATGAAGACACAACATACCAGAATCTCTAGGACACATTTAAAGCAGTGTGTAGAGGGAAGTTTATAGCACTAAATACTCACAAGAGAAAGCAGGAAAGATCTAAAATTGACACCCTAACATCAAAATTAGTAGAACTAGAGAAGCATCAGCAAACAAATTCAAAGTCTAGTAGAAGACAAGAAATAACCAAGATCAGAGCAGAGCTGTAGGAGATAGAGACATGAAAAAACCTTCAAAAAATCAATGAATCCAGGAGCTGGTTTTTTGAAAAGATCAACAAAATAGATAGACCACAAGCCAGAATAATAAAGAAAAAAGAGAGAAGGATCAAATAGATGCAATAAAAAATGATATAGGGAATATCAACACTGATCCCACAGAAATACAAACTACCATCAGAGAATACTATAAACACCTCTATGCAAATAAACTAGAAAATCTGGAAGAAATGGATACATTCCTGGACACATACACCCTCCCAAGTCTAAATGAGGAAGAAATTGAATTCCTGAATAAACCAGTAACAAGTTCTGAAATTGAGGCAGTAATTAATAGTCTGCCAACCAAAAAAAAGTCTGGGACCAGACGGATTCACAGCAGCATTCTACCAGAAGTACAAAGAGGAGCTGGTACCATTTCCTCTGAAACTATTCCAAACAATAGAAAAAGAGGGAATCCTCCTTAACTCATTTTATGTGGCCAGCATCATCCTGTTACCAAAACCTGGTAGTGACACAATAAAAAAAGAAAATTTTAGGCCAGTATCCCTGATTAACATTGATTCGAAAATCCTCAATAAAATACTGGCAAACCGAATTCAACAGCACATCAAAAAGCTTATCCACTATGATCAAGTCGGCTTCACTCCTTGGATGCAAGCCTGGTTCAACATAAGAAAATCAATAAATGTAATTCATCACATAAACAGAACCAATGACAGAAAACACATGATTATCTCAATAGATGCAGAAAAGGCCTTCGACAAAATTCAACACCCCTTCATGTTAAAAACTTTCAAAAAACTAGGTATCGATGGAACATATCTCAAAATAATAAGAGTTATTTATGACAAACCCACAGTGAGTATCATACTGAATGGGCAAAAAGTGGAAGCATTCCCTTTGAAAACCGGCACCAGACAAGGATGCCCTCTCTCACCACTCCTCTTCAACATAGTATTGGAAGTTCTGGCCAGGACAATCAGGCAAGAGAAAGAAATAGAGTATTCAGATAGGAAGAGAGGAAGTCAAATTGTCTCTTTTTGAAGATGACATGATTATGTATTTAGAAAACCCCATCATCTCAGCCCAAAATCTCCTTAAGCTGATAAGCAAGTTCAGCAAAGTCTCAGGATACAAAATCAATGTGCAAAAATCACAAGCATTCCTATACACCAATAACAGACTAACAGAGAGCCAAATAATGAGTGAACTCACATTCGCAATTGCTACAAAGATAATAAAATACCTAGGAATACAACTTACAAGGGATATGAAGGACCTCTTCAAGGAGAACTACAAACCACTGCTCAAGAAAATAACAGAGGACACAAACAAATGGAAAAGCATTCCATGCTCATGGATAGGAAGAATCAATATCATGAAAATGGCCATACTGCCCAAAGTAATTGATAGATTCAAAGCTATCCCCATGAAGCTGCCACTGACTTTCTTCACATAATTGGAAAAAACTACTTTAAAATTTATATGGAACCAAAAAAGAGCCCTTATAGCCATGACAGTCCTGTGCAAGAAGAACAAAGCTGGAGGCATCATGCTACCTGACTGCAAACTATACTATAAGGGTACAGTAACCAAAACAGCATGGTACTGGTACCAAAACAGATACATAGACCAGTGGAACAGAACAGAGACCTAAGAAATAACACCACGTATCTACAACCATCTGATCTTTGACAAACCTGACAGAAACAAGCAATGAGGAAAAGACTCCCTATTTAAGAAATGGTGTTGTGAGAACTGCACAACATATGCAGAAAACTGAAACTGGACCCTTTGCTTACACCTTATACAAAAATCAACTCAAGATGGGTGAAAGACTTAAACGTAAGACCTAGGTCCATAAAAATCCTAGAGGAAAACCTGGGCAATACCATTCAGGGCATAGGCATGGGCAAAGACTTCATCTCTAAAACACCAAAAGCAATGGCAACAAAAGCCAAAATAGACAAATGGGATTTAATTAAACTAAAGAGCTTCTGCACAGTGAAAGAAATTATCATCAGAGTGAACAGACCCTACAGAATGGGAGAAGATTTTTGCAATCTATCCATCTGACAAAGGGTTAATATCCAGAATCTACAAAGAACTTAAACAAATTTACAAGAAAAGAACAACTCCATCAAAAAGTGGGCAAATAATATGAGCAGACACTTCTCAAAGGAGACATTTATGCAGTCAACAGACATATGAAAAAAATGCTCATCATCACTGGTCATTAGAGAAATGTAAATCAAAACCACAATGAGATACCTCCTCACACCAGATCATTAATGGCAATCATTAAAAAGTCAGGAAACAACAGATGCTAGAGAGGATGTGGAGAAATAGGGACACTTACAACACTCGGTAGGAGTGTTGTTCAACTATTGTGGAAGACTGTGGTGATTCCTTAAGGATCTAGAACTAGAAATACCATTTGACCCAGCAATCCCATTACTGGGTATATACCCAAAGGATTATAAATCATTCTACTATAAAGACACATGCACACGTATGTTTATTGCAGCACTATTCACAATAGCAAAGACTTGGAACCAACCCAAATGTCCATCAATAATATACTGGATAAAGAAAATGTGGCACATATACACCATGGAGAACTATGCAGCCATAAAAAGATGAGTTCATGTCCTTTGCAGGGTCATGGAGGAAACTGCAAACCATCATTCTCAGCAAACTATGACAAGAAAACCAATCACTGCATGTTCTCACTCGTAAGTGGGAGTTGAACAATGAGAACACATGGACATAGGGAGGGGAGCATCACACTCCGGGGCCTGTTGGGGGCTGGGGTGCTAGGGAAGGGATAACATTAGGAGAAATACCTAATGTAGGTGATGGGTTGATGGGTGCAGGAAACCACCATGGTATGTGTATACCTATGTAACAAAACTGCACGTTCTGCCATACGTACCCCAGAACTTAAAGTATAATAAAAAAAAAACACTTGCATATCAATTGTTGGTGAGAATTTAGAGAAACCAGAACCATCTATTAATTCAACAGCTTAGATGAATGGAAATTTCATGCAAATTAAGGAGAGAGTCCCTTTTCCCTTATCTGCAGTTTCACTTTCCATGGGTGGTATCAGTTACCCAAAGTACAAAACAAGAAGATATTTTGAGGGGGTCGGGGAGACCACATTCACATCACTTTTATTACAGCATATTGTTATAATTGTTCTATTTTATTATTAGTTATTGTTATTAATCTCATGCCTAACTGATGAATTAAACTGTATCATAGGTATGTGGTCCAGTTACACATACTTGTGGTCCAATTTTACACATTGTGAGAATGTAAAATGGTCCAAAGTGTTTACTTTGGTAAACACTTTAGTAATTTCTAAAACTGTTAAATGTGTACCTGCTATATGATACAGTCATTTCACGACTCGGTATTTACTCAAGATCAATGAAAGCACAGGTACATGCAAAGACATGGATCCATATAGCAGCTTTATTAGAAACAGTCCCAAACTTAAAACCACCCAAATGTCTGTCAGTTGGTGTATGTATAAACAATCTGGTATATTTATACAATGGAATACCACACAGGGTGTTAAAGGAATGAATTACTGATACATACTATCACATGGATTAATCTCAAAATAATTTTGCTGAGTATAACAAGCCAGATAAAAAAAAGAGTTCTGTTTCATCTGTGAAATTCTAAGAAATGCAAATGATTGTCAAGTTACAAAGAGCCCACCAGTAAGGGAGGGGAGGGAGGAGAGAGGAACAAAAAGGAAGGAGTACAATGGAGCATGTGACGACTTTGGGGGATGACATATATTATGTTGGTTGTGGTAAATATTTCATGGTGCATATGTCAAAACTTACCAAATTATACATTTTAAATATGTATGTGCAGTCTTTGGTATGTCAGTTTTTCTTCAGTAAAGATGTTTTTAAAGAAAAGCGCATTGGTCATCTTTGGAACTTAATAAGGCAGCAGTTTATTACTCTAAAAATGAGTAAACAAAATGAGAATCACATATTTATCCTTTTTTTCTTATAGGAATTACAAAAAAGTAAACACATAATTCATAAGGGAAAGTTCTTCTGAATAGGATTCTAGTGACAAATGAAAAGAGGAATGATAGAATTAGAAAATTATAATTTTGCAGTTATCTTGAAATAATGGACCGAGGCAATGATCATCATCAATGAAAGCAAAAGCGATTATATGTGGATTGATATTCCCATGTAGGAATATCATAATGGAGGGAAGAAGTTGATAGCATTTAACTCACTGATCAATCTTAGCATGAAGAAAAGTGAGACAGCAGACCTTAAGTACTCTTGAGGTGATGCAGTAGAGAGTACACAGCATCATTTATATAGTATTCTTGCTACTAAATATACAAAAATTAGCCAGGCAGGGTGGGGAGTGACTGTAATCCCATCTACTCGGAAGGCTGAGGCACAAGAATTGCTTGAAACCCGGGACCGGGAGGCAGAAGTTGCAGTGAGCTGAGATCATGCCACTCACTGCACTTTAGCCTGGGTGACAGAGCGAGACTCTGTCTAAAAAACAAAACAAAACAAAAAGCCTGAATCTAATCTGCCTCTGTATTTACCTATTTACAGGAAATAGTAGGATTAAAGCATCATGTTAAATAATACCACAAAAAGACAATCAGCTAAATCTAGATTTGTCTAACGCAAATGACCCAGTTTCTCTAAGGAAAAAACATTGTAGAAAAGAAAGAGAGACATTTTTATAGAAAACACTCAAGACAAAACAACTAAATGTGATGTGGAGATTTTGCTTGAATCCTGACAGTAACAAAACAACATTAAAATATATATCCTTGAGATTATTGAGAAAACTTGAATGTGAAGTGGTCATTGAATGATAACAAAGTATTATTGTTAGTTTTGTCAAGAATGATAGTGGTATGCTTGTTAAATTTTTATCAGTAAGAGACACATACTTTATTTACTGGTAAAATGACACAGTATTAGGGATTTGGTTTAAAATATTACAAAGGGACTAAAAACAAGAAAAAGATAAAAGTGCATAGGCCAATAAAGGAAACAAAAATCGTGAAAATATTGGGCCAGCAATGTAGTTTTGTGCCCGTAATCTCAGATGCTTGGCATGCTGAAGCGGGAGGATGGCTTGTATGATAATAAAGGATGTGACTTTTAGAGACAGGGTAACAAACCCTGTTTCTAAAAAAAAAATTAGAAATTAGCTGGGCATGGTGGCACATGCTATGGTCCTAGCTGCTTGGAAGGCTGAAATGAGGGGATCTTTTGAGCCCAAGAGTTAGAGTCTGCAGTAAGTTTCGATCACACCACTGTGCTCCAGCTTGGGCAACAGAATGTGACCCTGTTTCTGAAAGAAAAAAAAATGCAAAATATTGATAATCGAGCTAGGTTTTAAGACATGAAGGTTTATTATACCTTCTCAATACTTTTGTTTATATATGAAAATTTCCATAATGATTAAAAAACTTTTAAGGGGTAAAAAAATTAAAAATGTTGATGTTAGTCTAACATGATAAAATTGTACTATTCAATATTATACTTTTCAAGAATACGTAATGACATGGAAAATGCTTAGGATAATATGTATTAACATATATTATTTTATATGTTGAATAGGCTACCTGTAGAGTCTGAAATGCCAAAAATGGCAAGTTATTTTTACATGTAGTTCAAAGGCAAGCCTTAGAAATGCTGTAACTTCATCAATATAATGTCACAAATCTCTTGTGTGTTTATTTATATCAAATCAGTACAAATGATTTCAATCAGTAGTCAAGAAGACCTTTTTTTAGGGTGGGTGTGTTGGCTCATGCCTGTAATCCTAGTACTTTGGGATGCTGAGGTGAGAGGATTCCTTGAGGCCAGGAGTTCAAGACCAGCCTGGGCTATTAATATAGTAAGACCCATCTCTACAAAAAATTAGCTGGGTTTGGTGGTGTATGCCTGTATTCCCAGCTACTCTGGAGGCTTGAGGTGGGTGGATTGCTTGAGCCCAGGAATTTGAGGCTACTGTGAGCCATGATCATGCCACTGCAATCAGCGAGATCCTATCTCTGAAAGGAAAAAAGAAAAAAGAAAAGACCTTATATTAAATAACTATTAAGATGGTAGAGAATTTTTATTTATATTTATAATATTTATTTATCAACAGCTTACAAACATTAACCGAGTATTTGGGATGTGTTGCGTATGGGTTTGGTTGAGTTTTGTTTTATATTGTTTTTTAAAAACAGAGTTCCTTAGGAAGGTAACAGACAGCTAGATAAAACTTTTGATATTTTCTTGTATCATAATCACATTTAAAGAACTTCAAGAAAAGCACATATTTTAAAAGTGCTTATGGTTGGAAATGTTAAATGTTTTTAAAGGAAAACAAAATTGATTTTTTCAGTTGATTTAACATAAGTAACTGAAAGAATGTTCATTCATGCAGCTAACTCAATTTTCATCCTCCTTTTTTTGTTTATTCAGAGACTAGAAATGAAAAATTAACTTTCTTGCCTTTTAAATTTTCAAACAATCGATTGGTTTAGATTGCCTTACTCTACAGAAAGAACACACTGTTTTACTACTTAAATGGTAATATTGCTGCTTTGTCATAGGTTATCATTTCATTTGTTTCTGATTAATTATAGGTGCTTGAGTGATATTCTGAGATGTAAAAAATATGTTCTTAAATTCATTCAGCTCTGAAATATTCCCTAATGAATATGACCTAGTGAGTACTGTATTATGAAAGGGTTTTTTTGGATGACCATGCTTTTGCTACTTTTTAGCTTTTTAGCAGTTAAGAGTTGAGCCAAAAATCAAGTGTTGAGAATATAAGCTTTGATTATCTAGGCCTGATGTGATCCATTAATTGATATTTTTTTCTTAGAAGTTTGCCAAGGCCAGCAACGCATTTATTGCAGTCAACAAAGCTAATTGTATGATTACTGATTGTATGACCTAGGACAAATCACCTAATCTCTCTGCCTCAGTTTCCTCATCTGTAAAAGAAGGATAGTAATACCATCTACCTGCCTCTAGGGATGCATGAGGAAGAGTTCTTGGCACATAACTAAAGAAGTGGTTGAACAATGAAAAAAAAAAGCTAATTAAAAAATATTCATCATGATGTACGAAAGTTCCTCATAACTTGTTAGTCCTGACATACTTATGTTCTTTCATTAACATAAGATACAATAATTTTATGAAAATAAAACTTACTTAAAAACTTTATGACCTTTTTTCTACCTGAGTGTCAGTGCTGAATGTTAAGATTAATAACTATGTTTGTTTACTCTTTGTTGTATAATTTTTTTCTTTTCCTGCTGACCCATTAAAGGTTGCTTAATTATTTAAGTTAAACGCACTGTGTAACTAAAATAGTATTTTTTAAAAAGCATTTAAAAAACTCGTACTATAGCAATACACTGAATAAGGGGATCCAGTAGATCCCACCATCTGCTGTTTCATTTTCCCAGGTGTCAGTTACCTGCAGTCAACCACAGGCCGAAACTGTTAGATGATAAATTTCAGACATAAACACTTAGTAAGTGTTAAATTGCAGCTGTTCTAAGTAGTGTTGAAATCTTGCACTGTCCCACTCCCTCCTGCCAGGGCTATGAATCGTCTTTGTCCAGCATATCCATCCTATATATGCTACCTACCTGTTACTATATAGGAAAAAATATAGTATAGATAGAGTTCTGTATTATTCTCAGTTTCAGGCATCCCCTGGGAGTCTTGGATTGCATCTCCCTTGGCTAAGGGGAAACTGGGATATACTCTTCTACCTTATTATTACTGCCCAAATTAGTGACTTTGATGTTTTCATAAATTAGTATAGACAACATCTACATAAGCAATAGAAACTTACCACTTTTATTTTTTCATGCTGTTTAGTCAGTAATACCTGATCAGTGAGGGTACTCTTTTATAACTCTATTACTTACACTCTAGTTGTAATGTGTATTTGTTTGTGCTACATTTTCATTTCAGCAACTTCAATGGTAATAGGTATCAGTATCACACTAGTAAAATAAATGAATTCATCTTTCAAATGACTCAGTTTATAAAAGTCCTAACAAATAAAGTGAGTCGATAAGTTTCTTTGTGGCATCTGTCTTTTGATAAAATGGTTGCTTCAGGCTTTAACATAAACATATAAATATAAAATGAAGAGAATTGGCAATTGTTTTTGAAAGAGCCTTTCTTGGATCATGGCTTTATATTTTAAATATTATTTTGCTTTGCTTATATTATCCTCAGTCCACTCTGAATGTTTATCACACACTTGTTTGTAAATTGTGGTTTTTGTTGAAAATACTCTTGTAAAAAGGATATCAACTCTATTTTATCTGGTCTCTAACACATGAGGTCAGTCTTTATCCAAGAAAGAGATTATGAGCTGTTGCTTTCATTTTTTTTTTTTTTTTTTTACTTTCAAATTCATTCACAGTGTTTTGTGGCAGAAATTTTATTTAAGGATCAGTGTCACTCTACTTCCCCTAGTCTTGTGGTTTATACATAAAGAGTGATATTGAACATGGAAGGGGTCCCATTTCTAAATCAGCAGAACAGACTGCCCGAATTAGAGAAACCAGGTTTGGAGCTTAATGAGAATAAATTAATGATTTAATTTAATGAGAAAATATACTACTGAGAAAAAAATAAGCATATCTCATTTATTAACTTGAAGTAAGCATGTATTGAGAATTACAGAGTTAAATATAATCCAATTTATTTTAAAAACATTAATTTAAAACATTTATTAAAAACATTAATAGTTATAGGCAATTGCTTTGTACATGTATAAAATACTTAACTGTATTTTATTTTTAATTAATTAAACTATCTTATTTCAGAACCATTTTTACTGCACCTGGGCAGATCTTGTCTACCACAATCAGCCACAGGGAAGTACCTGTGTCTATACATATTGTTTATTCATTTACATGCATACTTCAACACAGTACATACATTCACACTGCGCCAGTTGTTAATCATAGCTAATCCAAAGAATCTATGTATTATCTTTTTCTTTGCAATTTTGTTTAATGTTGTGTGAAGTCTATACTGATGAACGAAAGTGTTCTCCATGATTCTAAAGGGGCTCCTGGATATTGAAAGCAAGATAAATTATGTTGTGTCTTTATTGTAGTTGCATTCTTTAAATATAGGGAATTCATTTTCATAGTAATTCCCTGTTATTAATCGTTAGAAGTTAGTTATTTATGAGACAGTAGAGTGTTGTAAAATTTTAGCTTGGAACCTCAACATTTTAGCAGAATTTGGGCTTACATGTTATTACTCATTATTTTCTCTAATAATTTTGGGATTAGAGTTTGGTTTTGAGATCCCGCTTCTCTAGACACACTTGCCCAGTAATAGAGTCCAATAGAGTACATTGACTAAAGGCAATTGAGCTCTTCACATGTTTGCTCTCTAGCCCAGACGTATTACAGGCATTTACACAAAAGCTGTTGATCACAGTGTATTTACAAAACCTTCAGGAGCATAGCTGCTTCCCCCACTGTAGACTTCTGTTCAATTGATTGTATCCCAGTGGGATGATTGGCCATCAATTTTTTTTTTTTTTTCAAGAAAAAGCTTCCCACTGGAACTTTCTCTGTTACATTCACCAGAGGAAATGCTTGGTTATTGTGTTTTATCAGAGGCCCTTTTGAACATGCAATTGACTATCAATCTTGAATCTTTAACAGTGAAACAATATTCCTGTGTCTAAGAAAGCAGCTTTCATCTGGCTCAAAGAAGAAAACAAACTTGGTCAGCACTGTGGGTTTCTCAGGCAAAGTACAGGAATACTCTGGCAATCATTCCTGTTTCTGGATTGTTATAAAGAACTCCCGTTAGAGTGACTTTGTTTCTTTTAATTGCTGGAAACCTGTGCCCCCCTTCCTCCTTCTTTTCTTTTGCTTCATGCTGCTTGCCCTCAGAACCAGGCCTCCTTCCCCTCAGAACCTTTCTTCTCTCTAAGCATGCTCTTCTCTATATATATTCTATGGGGGGCTTAACTTTGCAGGCTGCATTTAGTGGGAGACAGGAATGCCACAGGGAGGCAGAAGCTACAATAAATGTTTTTCTCTCTCTCCTTCTCTAACTCAGGTAGCATTTCTGGCAACACCTCTGTCTCCTCCGTGGTTCCAGCCCTGGACTGATCTGCAGCTCCAACTTGTGTTGGCTGACTGTGGCTTGTGGGTCCCAGTAACACTGACTCTTCCTTTTGTGTCTTCAGCTTTGGGATGCTGAAGGGATCAGCTTCAGTGTCTTCAGCTTTGGGATGCTGAAGGGATCAGCTTCAGTGTCTTCAGCTTTGGGATGCTGGTGGTTTCCTGCTGTTGCTAAGTTTCTGGCTTACGCTACCATATCCAGTTTGTCTTCTTAGCTGCTCCTTCACCAAAATAACCAATTCCCTTAATGAAATTTCCTTTGTGTAATTTCATATTTATAGTAGTTTCTATTTTCCTAATTATACCTTGACCAACACATCTTCCTTTCTGTGTCATTCTGCGTTTCTTTCATGAAATCACATTTAAGACAATAGAAATGATATTTATTTTCTTTAAGAGAATATTGGAACAATTGGCATCAAAGCACAAGCAGAGAATTGAACATAATATAAGATTTAAATTAGACCTGACTCTTTCTTAGACTACCACTAACTCTATACTGCCATCCTGAATCCAGAAAAGCTGTAGCTAGAAACGTAAGCTCAGGCAGTTACATGACAATTAAGACTAATAAAGCTACAAGTTCATGATGAATTCCAAGAATAGGTTGGAGTGCTAGCTGCTTAATTATAGAAAGATCATTTTCACACATGCTTCTAGCAACAACAGAGTTGAAATGTTTTCTCAGTGCTGTAATCTATAATGTCAATCTATAGAAGCAAATGTAAAGAAAAATATTTGACTAAAGAAGTTAACTGTTGTGAACTAGTTATTTGAGTTATTGGTTACTAGTTATTTGAAGCTGTATCTTGGATAGTTTTGATTGACAATTAAAAGACAATTCATGTTATCCTGTCTGTACTTGTTTATTTGTTTTAAAAAAATCTTCGTCATGTTTTTGTATTGGTGTGAGAAGTTATAAGTGACCCAAAGTATGCAATATTAAGGTAAATGATAAGTTGATATTTAAAGTCCTACCTTAGATGTATACTAGATATTGTTATTTTTAATTTTATTTCAATTGGCTGAAGCTTTTGAATTCATAGGTGGTTAAAATTGGTTGAGAGAGCAGTTTTACAGTTGGACATTTCTTTGTTTCAGAAAGTAGTGCTTTATTATATAAATCAAAGTTATAAATTTTTGCACCTCATTTCAAAAATACTTTTATCATCTTTAATAATTTCATATTCCATATTATTTAATATCAAGGAAAACTTTAGAGAGATCTTTCTGATTACCATTTCTTACTGATAACTGATATACTCCCTGTAGCATAGTCATTAACCTAGAATTTTAGCTCATTCACTTCCAGCTTATAACATTGAGTATAATTACAGAAGTCAGGAAGTAAAACTTACTAATTTCAAATTGAAATACTTGGTGGACCAAATGCTGTTGCCTCTTGGAACTGTTTATAGAACAATGTAAAACTAAGTAAAACAAATGTGATCTGATTCAGTGTTTGGGGAGTTCTTGACCTGGATTTCAAATATGAATCCTTACTTGCCCTTTAAAATGTTTGACTCTTCTAAGATTTTTCTCACCTGGAAAGTGTTCATTCCTTCACTATCCATGACAGGTGACTGGGAGCACTTTGGTAATAACCATGAAAAATGAAATCAAGTACAATGCTGAAGATTGTGGAAGAAATACTATTTTTTTCAAATCTGCATAGTTATTTATTTTAGGACCAGAGTCTGTGACTCCTGTTTCACTAGTATGGATGACCCAACTGATTTATTTTTAGATTATTAATATTAGACTTGTGGCTTTCTTTGCAGACTTTGGAGCATGGGTTGGGGGAGAATTATGTATACATTTTGGAATTTTTTATCATAAAAACGACTTAAAATTAGAAGGAGAGAAAGCTGCTGCTGAATGCCTAGGTTATTTAGTTTCTTCCTAGGTGACTTAGAGTGTTCTAGGTCTATGCAGTAAACCTCTTCTACAGAGAGAAGCCATAGGGACCTGTTGACGGGGGCCTCATGGTGTTTCTCCACATATTAGAGAATCCTTTTGTGACAGTGTGGAAGACCCAAAGATTGCAGGTGGCTCAGCTGATGGTTATCATCCTGTGCACTACAGCTTTTTGGCTCAAAAGACGAAAGTTTCTCATCCACTCTTTGAAACAGTATCTGATCACGGGATAGAAAAACTGATTTCTGAAATTAAGGTTTAGGCATTTTTTATTAACTTGGGGTTGAGACCAATAAATGAGAATGTAAGGCCATGAGATTTTCCATGTGAAGGTGAGTCCCAGTTGCATACTGTAAACCAGGAAAAAAAAGATATTTTATTTGAGAGTGTAGATACAACATTTCTGTAACATTTTTGGAATGCCAGAAAATAAAAATATATGACATAACATTCATTAAGTTAAAAATCATTACTATCATTCCTTTGTTTTTCAGCTTAACACATTTAGAAATAATGAGTGAAATGATTTGACTGTATTGCTTTAATAGACAGTACAAGATCAAGAGGCCAGTGTACAGGTCACTTGGCTTGGATATGGTAAGCTTTCGTCTTGGGCTAATGGCATTTTAGTTATTTCACTACTTTAAAAAATAAGATTATAAAACTTTCATTTGGAATATATTTCCAAAACTTTTCACCCTTTGAAGTGTGATCCATGAGTGCAAGTGACTGAAATTGGTTCGAAATTTTGTGAACTGTCTCTTTTTTTTGTAGATCTCTGAACTTGATATGAGGAAATGAAGTATACAACCAGTCCAATTAGTTGAAGCAGTCTTTTCTTGCTTGCATTCACATTTGACTTAATTTACCCTTAATTTACTTAAGCTTTGATTTGTTTTCTTCTTTAAGTGAAACAGTGTGAATATTTTATTTTTTAATTGAAGGGAAATTTTCATTCTTAGCTCCTGCTGGGTAAAAAAGTGACAAGGCTGCTTAGCGCTGCTAACTTTAAGTGCTGTTTGTAGTTTGTTATGAGCTCTAGAAATCTTATGTGGAGGAAAGAAAGAGATTTGGTGGAAAGAAAAGTCCTAGGAAAAAAACTCAATTAGAGACTGTGTGACTGCCAGAGTGAAAGAGGAGGAGCAGAGCATCCATTCTGAATTGGTATATTGAGAAGCAGAAATCCAATTAACAAATTCACATTTCTGCAGCAGCAGACAGTGATTAAAATTTTGGTGAACTACTCAAAATTCCTGCCACATACTTCAAACTGATAACTTACAGAGGCTCTTAAAAAAAAGTTTTGAATTTTAAGAACAAATATGTAAATAGAGAACTCATTATGCTTCTTGTTCTGAAATGACCTCTAATTGTATGCTATGAGAAAGTAGTTTTTTATTATTTAATGTTTACATATTACTTTATGTTCAAATAGAAGAACTTTAAAAGCATGTAGCCGCAGAGCTGCAGATCCTGCATTTGATGGAGTTAAGAGAATGGAGAACTGATTTCTGGAAACTTAAATAAATAAAGTCATATCTAAAGTTTTGATCCTGATTTCAAATTTACTCATTCAGTTCTAAGCATTTAATAAATGTTTTTAATGCACCTAGTACTGTGTTAAGCACTGGTGACACAAAAGTGAGTAAGACATGGTCCTGACCTGCAGTAGCTTCCTTTTGACTCTAGTGGAAGGAACATATGCTTAAATTAGACCAGATTATAAAGCAGCTTGGTTAACAACATGGTGAAAGAGTGAGCAACATCAGTGGGTGTACAGAGGGCAGAGTCTCCTGCTCTGAATGCTGGCATCCCAGGTAGCTTTACAGAGGACATACACTGGGGCTGAGAAGGCTGAATTATGCTGTTACAGACTAAGGAAATGAATTCTGCCTTGTAACTGCCTCACATGGCCTGGGGGACACTATTGCTATAAGCGTTTTTTTTTTGTTTGTTTTGTTTTGTTTTTTAAAGAATTGGGCTAGGCTGTTTGTGTTCTATTTTATTACTGTGAGATGTATGCCTGCACATTAATTCAATCAATTAATTCAGAATTTATTCACTATAAATTGTAAGACTACTCTTTCTACCTAGCTAACTTAATGAATTTAACACATTTATATATAATTAATACAATTATATATTAAATGTAGAGGCGTAAATGTCATTTATGTGCTGCTGGCTCCTAAATTTATTTGACATCTCTACTTGGTTATCTAGGCATCTCAAGCATAGCATATTCAAAACAAAACTATCTTTTCTGCCTGCCCCCAAATTGTCTTTGTTAGTTGCAACAATATTTTCTGATTGCTCAAACCAAAACTCTTGGAATGGTCCTTGACTCCTCTTTTTCTCTCGTGCCCCATAAGATATTTGTCAAAAAATTCTGTTGATTCTACTTTCAAATACTGTATAGCCAAAATCACTTCATACCACCTCCAACTGCTGTCACAGTGGTCCAAGTCACTGATAACTCTTGACTGGATTAATTCAATATAGCTTCTGTCTGCTTCCACCCTTGGATCTATGTTCTGAATTCAACACAGAAGCTTGGGTGATCATTTCAAAACTAAATTAGAACATAGTACACTCCTGTTCAAAATCCTCCAGAGGTTCCCCAAATTTCTCAGAGCAAAAGCTAAAATCCTTACAGGACCCACAAGACCCTATGTGATCTGTCCTTCTTAGATCTCCTCTTTGACCATGTCTCCTGCTAGTCTTCATTCCATTCACTCTGCTGCAGCACCTTACTCATCTTCCAAAGTGCTGGGACAGTTTCCATCTCAGGGCCTTTGCACTGTCCTAACTCTTGCCCCAGATATCAGCCTGGCTTTGTTTGCTCCTTCATTTCCTTTAAATCTTTGCGCAAATATCATCTTTTCAGTAAGATCATCCTTGACTGCCTGTTTAAAATTACACCCATCTTCCCTCCCTCTCTTTTCCATCCAGCTTGTCTTGCTTTATTTTTCTCTATAGTACTTAACACCTTTTAACATATTTGTTTATTTATTTTATTTATTGCCCCCTCCAACCCCCTAGCTAGGAATATAACCATTCTATGGACTGAGATTTTTGCTTTTTTGTTCTCTGCTGTATTTTTATCAGCTGGAGAAGTTCCTGGTACACAATAGCTGCTTAATCAATAGTTATTGACTACATGAATAATACTTTTTGCATTTTTTAAGTGATTAAAGAGACTAAGCTTTACAAATTATTTTTGTACTTTCAGTAACTGGATTTTTAAAAATCAATTATGCTGCACCAGAGCAGTGGTTACCAGTCCAGGTTGAGATCAACTGGGTATCTTTTTCAGAAATACTGAAGGCTCGCCCTGTTCCAAGACAATTAAATCAAAATCTCTAAGTATGGGGCCTGGCCGTCAATCTTCTTTTTTATGTTCGCTGGTTATCCTAACTTGGAGCCAAGGTTAGAGCCAGGTGCTCAGGAAACATTTAAATGAATGTGAATGAATGAATCAAGAGTCACCACAACTGCTACCTCAGAGACTCAGATTAGGCCAAGCATTAAGATTAGATTTCAGATGTTTGTGATGAGAGATTGATCCTGAGCAGCACAGTCTAGGAAAGGCTAGAAGGGGAGAAGGAAGCGATCAGGGAAGGGAGGGTGAAGAGATGGAGAAGTCAAAGAGGGCATTCCTAAGTAGTTGTAGCAGGAAGGAAAGATTGTTACCTGGTTCCTTGGCGGCTGTTGCCAATTAATGATTCCCCATTTAAAGAGCATAGATATGTTGGGAACTGCCTAGTTAATAATTTGCATTAAGGCAAGTATATTTCGAAGACTTTTTTTTTTCCTCTCTATATTAATCAAAAAGACTTTGTGGAGAAGATGAGATTTGAACCAGGTAGTGGAATAAGAGGAAGGGAGAGGAGAACAGATACTTCTAAGTTATCAGAATAACATAAGTGAAGTGAGAGCAGTTTTAAAATAATAAGCACAGTTCACCGAGCGTAGTGAGAACAACTTCTCAAAATCTGGGGAAAGAGATCCCAGTTGGCTTAACAGATTTCAGGGAATGGTAGGGATGGACAATGGAGGGCCTTGATAGGGAAGCTCTGGGATTCCTTTTTGCAGCAGAAATATTTTTGTTCCCTAAAGGCTTTGGAGAAGGTGGGAGATTTGATCAAAGTTGTTTCAAGAAGATTAATCTGGCTAGTGATGTGGCAAAAAGGAGTTAGAAGGGACAGCTTTGAGGAGAAGCGGGCCGTAAAATGTCCTAGAAAGCAAAACAGAATGAATAAAATGGAGAATAATGTCAGATCTAGTAGGAGAATGGCAAAACCACACCTTGGATTTGAAAATAATGCAAAGAGACAAAAGCCCAGTGTGATTAAGAAGGCAGTGGGTGAAAGAGAATACATAGAGAAGGTGCCTGAGAATTAAGATCATAGCTACTATTAATTCCAAGACCCTGTAAGTCCTATTTTCATAGTACTAGCAATTGCTGTTGTCTCTGTGAAGCTTTAAGGCTATTTAGAGCCTTTCAGTTCTACCCTCAGATGCTGGGAAGGATTTGCCTGATGTCCAAAATGAATGTGGCTTATTTAGATTTTTATTACATTTTAATACCCTAGCTGAGATTCCAGCCTAGTTAGTCATACCCCTTGTTCCCTCCCTTGTCCAACCAAGTCCTTCTCTAAGTGTAGATAACAGACCTTCTCAAGGATGGAAGTCTTTCTAGGCTTGGGAACAGAAATTCTCCCTGCCCCTTTTCTTTTCATTCCCAGCAGTCTTAGTTTCTTTACTTTTTTTCTACTTTTATACTTCAAGATCTATTGCTACCACCCCTTTCCCTTTCTCCTTGAGTCACTCTCCCTGTCTTTAATAGGAAGCTCTTCCCAGTTTTCTTATAACTGCCTTTCTCTGACCCTTCTCTCTTCCTCTGCCTTTAGGATCTCCCTTGGTCTCCATCTTGACAGCCTGACAGCTGTTTGGCGGATTAGTGTGTCGTGCTAATCTATGCCCAGCAACCCCTTCATCAGCAAGGCAGCCTGTCTTAACCCTTGACTTTGCTCCCTAAACATTACAATTACTTAGAAACCTGGTCCAATAAAGTCAATATGTGCAGTACTGGCAAGAACTAATTTAGGTACTAATTGACATTTGAACATATTTAACTATATAGAAGTTTTCATTATTTTTAAAAATTAACACTTCCAACTTGTGTCACTTAAATTATCCTCAGAGTCCTGAAGTGATAGAACATCCATGCTGCCTTTGCTAAGGTAATGTGAGTCCTCTTTCGTTAATTCATCCACTTCAGTCAGTCTTTACAATTGAGGGTTTTGTTTCATTTTTAACTTTTGTAGGGTCTTAAGAAAATTTGGAAGCCATTTGAGGTCTGGTCTGATCTTTTCTTTTCTTTCTTTCTTTTCTTGCTTTCATCTCGCTCTGTCACCCAGGCTGGAGTGCAGTGGTGCGATCTCGGCTCACTGCAACCTCTGCCTCCTGGGTTCAAGCGATTCACCTGCCTCTGCCTCCTGAGTAGCTGGGATTACAGGTACGCCTGACCATGCCTGGCTAATTTTTGTATTTTTAGTAGAGACAGGGTTTCACCACGTTGGTCAGGCTGGTCTCGAACTCCTGACCCATTTGAGGTCTTTCGATAATCCACCAAGCTTATGTTTCCTAGGTAACATTTTAGTGTCTCATTTTATATTTAAGTACATACATGGCCATACCAATCATTGACTAATTTTAGTCTTTAACATGAATTAATTAGATGTCACTTTTTTTCTAATAAAAGCAGTATTAAACTGAAAGATGATTACCTACATTCTACATTCTGACTTGGGTTTCTGTTAAAATACCTTACTAAATATTTAAAAATTGGAGTGAAACATTTAGATCTTGATTGTAAGGCTTTGCTTATTCAAATCCTCTGTGATTTTTAAAACTCACAACTACCAGTGAATTATAAGGAAAGTAAGTTTAATTAAAATGTCAGTTTCCTAAATGTAATTATCTGTTTGAGACTATGAAGGATTATTTTATGTAGCTTTTTATGAAACACTGGGGGCACCATTATGAAATTCCCATAGTGAAGGAAGGAATGTGATGAATTTGACAGAACTGTTTGTGCAGTTTTGAATAAAAATGCCACATCTCTTAGAAGTGCTAGTTTTGTGTCTTGTAATGATGCTGGTTACTGGGGATTCGTCTCTTGGAACTGCCTTTGGATACTGTCATATTTCAAGTTGAGTTGGCCAAAGTGGTTATAGGGAAGGCCATGTGAATGCAGTGACTGTCAGCTCATGAAAAAAGAAAAGTAAAATACTCTTTAAGGTTGCTGTAGAAGCCTGGAGCATAAGAGCTCAAGTAAACCTGTTTCTTCATGTATACATTTGTGCTCCACTGGAAGAGTGAGAAATGTTTTATTTATGGACAGTACATACAGGCAGTAAGAGTCACAAGTATCCCAGTGTCATCCGTCATCTAGTCTACCTTATTGTGAGGAGTAGGCCTGGATGCAAGCTTTCTAAAAGTTCAAGAGTCAAATAGAACTCAAATTTTAGATATTTTTGGATTTTCACAAGTCTATAAAATAGCTCAGATTTGCCAACATCTCTCTATCAAGTATCTGCAATTTGATAAGTTATCCCAGCCTTGTTGACACTCAGTTATCTTTCCTATGATGAAGGACTGAACTGGCACAAGCAGCTTTATATTTTCTTCTCTACACAATTTTTATTATATGCTCTCACCATCTTCTTGTTGATATGTGATATTTTTATTGTGGTAAAATGTACATAACATAGAATGTGCTATTTTAACCATGTAAAATGTACAGTTTAGTGGCATTAAGTACATTTAAACTGTTGTGATGGAGAGATAACATTACAATGAAGGAAGGCAAGAGATGGGTAAGAATTCACATAGAAACTCTGTGTCAGAAGCTGTGCTAGAACCCCAAATATGCATGTGTAGGAGATATTTATGTAGCTGGATAAAATTTTTGTGACTTCGAATCTTCCTAGAAACTATGGTAAAGGATAAATTGGGAAAATAAAGTCATGCTATATGTGTATTTTGCATGGTTCTATTCAGTAGTTCACATATGCATATAGCTACAAGTAGCAAAATTAATCCTTAATGTTTATAGGTTTAAGAGTCATATGTCAAAGTATTTACAGGCAGCCCTATGGGTCCATTTAATGTAGTTTATTTCTTATTTTCCTGTGATACCAACATGGGGCTGCTGTCAGCACATGAGCCCAGAAAGCTGCCCAGCATCTGCAGTTCTCAAGGGCTGTCTGGTTCTTTTTACATGTTACAGAACAGTATATTTCCAACAGTGATAAAAACTTTTTGGGTGTGGAGATCAAAAACGCCCTATAAAGAAAGCTAGCTGTAAAGACAATGTGGTTTAAAAAAATGGTGATTTTTAGGTAGAAAATAGAAGTGTGGGGGACAGTAATATGAGGATTATCAAATTTAAGAGTGACTCAGATCCTTGACACATACAAATTCATCTTTGCTCAATCAAAAACAAGAGAACTTGACCAGTGAAACCATTTTATCCACCTATCTAGCCCTAATGCAAAATCTTGTGAAAAATAAAACTTTAGGGAACATAAAAAGACAGTTAACCTGTGTTAAGATATATATGGAAGCATGTGACTATTGACAAGTATGAATTGAGTAAAAGCCAGAAGCTGTGCAAGTATTTTCATAAAGTGTTTCCATTAAACCCATCTTCCCATGAGTAAGGGTTGGTTTAAGAAATTTAGGAAGACCTCCCCACTTTCTAGATATCTCTGTCTGTCTCTGTCTCAGACTCTCTGTCTCTCTCTATTTCTCTTTCTTCTGACAAGAGTGGCCACATCAAAACTGACTGTTTTCTAGGAAGTATTTTCTTGGAAGCTGAAGACAAGCCTAGAGGAGAAGACTGAATGGACTAAGCCTCTCACTCTGTGCTTTTGTGAGCATAAGTATCTGAAGAGGGACAGAGAGCTTCAGCATTTAAAGTGGGCAAGGATATTCCCCTTGTCTTGAGTGAAGCCTGGCTTTTCTTCAGCAATACAACGTCACCGCAGCCCTCCTGCATTTGTTTTCTACTGATACACAACAAATTACTACAAGTTTAGCAGCTTAAAACAATGTACATTTATCATCTCACTAGTTCTGTGGGTCAGAAGACCAGACAGACATAGCTTAGCTGTGTCCTCTGCCTGGGGTTTCACAAGGCAATCAAGATCTCAACTGGGGCTGTATTTCTTTCTAAAGCTCAAGTCTTCTTACAAGCTCATGTAGTGGCTTGAAGAATTCAGTTCCTCGTGGTTGTAGAACTAACACCCTTATTTTCTTGCTGGCCCTCAGCCAGTGGCCAATCCCCAGAAGGCTCTCATAGTCTTTTTCACAGCACAGTTGCTTAGTTCTTCAGGACCAAGCAGGATAATTTCTCAGACCTCTAGATCCTTTGTAAGGGCTTAACTGATTATGTCAGGCCCACCTAGGATACTTTCCCTTTTGATTCATTCAGTGTCAACTAATCAGGAACCATAATTATAGCTGCTAAATCTCTTTGCTGTGTAAGGAGAATTTCCATCCTAATCGTGGGTCCTGTCCACACTCAAGGGGGCAGGGATTATGATAGAGCATAGGCCATTGGGATCATCTTAGAATTTTGCCTACCATACCTGTTTATTTTCTCACTGTGTTTCTCTCAGGGTCAGGAGGTGGGGGCAAAGATCCTCTTTGCTCTGCATAGCTGCTTTCAGACTATTATTTTCCGTCCTCTCATGAAAAATAACAACAAAAAAACACTGAGTCTGAGACTTGTGCTTTTTTTCTTACCATTGTCTCTTTCATTTTATTGCCATCCCATCCCATCCCATCCCATCCCATCCCATCCCATCCCATCCCATCCCATCCCATCCTATGAATTCTTCCAGCAACTACATGAGCTTGTAAGAGAACTTCAGCTCTAGAAAGAAATACAGCCCCAGTTGAGATCTTGATTGCCTTGCGAAACCCTAGGCAGAGGACACAGCTAAGCCATGTCTGGTCTCCTGACCCACAGAACTAGTGAGTTGATAAATGTACATAGCCATCTATCCTTCTGGTGTCTCCTGTTCATAAAAGATGTTGGCCTTCCATTTTGCTCCAAGCCCAGCCATGACTGTGGGTGATTTCAATTTCTGTGCCCACCACATGCAGATCACATATTGGAAAGGAAGAAAGCACAGCAAAGAGCGTTCATATCAGCCCTTTGTTCCCTTAGGTGAATTCTAGTGAGGTCAGAAAAGTTATAGAAACTTATTTGCTATTTATTTTGTATTTTATTTGTCTGTCTTTTTTATGTACCTTTAGATACTTAAAAAAAAAGCTACAATGAGAGGTAAGATATAGGAAACAGGCGCTATGTTTGCAGCAGAACTTTAGAGCCCAAACAGCTCACCTTTGAGCCCTGGGCTTAGTATTGATTATAATTATTTCAGTAAGGTGAACCTTGAGGAAGGGGAAACTGAGGGAGTTGACCAAGGTTCTGACTGGTCAGTTGCCTGAAGCTGCTGAGACAGCCAGAAAGGTCTGTTTTAACAAGAATGAGTCCGTTCCTGTGTGCTTTGGTTGCCAAGTACCAGTTATGTTCTGATGTTGCTAAAACCCTTAACCTGTGGTTATTGAATAGGAACTTTGTAAGAACCCATTTCTTTGCTTGACCTGCCTCTGTTCTGGAGCATCATTTTGCTGAGTCCCATACTAGACTGGACGTGACTTCCTTGAACATCTTACCTGATAAGCCAATTGCAGAGAGCTTTTCCTGAAGCTCTGCCTTTACTAATGCCTACAACCTAGCCCTTAGAAGAAGCTGGTACATACACTTTCTGTCTCAGTTAGAAAGAATTTACCTGCTGTTGTGGACCTTTTTGTGTTTTATCTGTCGCAGCTATCTCTATTTATCTCCATAGTTGGGCAGCATGCTTCAGAGAGCATTGAGTAGTGACTCTATGAACTCTCTCTGTATAGCTTCTCCCATTGGGAGCTGAGGTGGAAAGAGTGTGAGTACTGCCTGGCAATTTACCTCCTACCCTCCCAATGACCATTCTTTTGAGCTGTCCTGTCCACCAACACTGTAGCTGTTAGCCACATGCAGATATAAAAATTAAATACAAATTAATTAAAATTAAATAAAATTAAAAGTTCAGGTCCCCTGTCACACTGGTCACATTTTAGGTGCTCAGTAGGTACAAGTGATTAGTGATTACTATATCAGACAGCAGAAATATAGAACATTTTCATTGGAGATTCAAGTGTCTAGTCTTCTCTTGGAGTTTAAGCTGAACTGACTTAAATTCTCACATGCTTAGCAACTTAAAACAGTACCAGTTTATTATTTCACTATTCTGTAAGTTAGAAGCCTGTCTGACACAGGTCTCACCAGGCTAAATTCAAGGTGTCAGCTGGATTGTGTTTCTGAAGGGAGCATCTGTTTTCTTGCTCACTCCTACAGGTTTTTTGGCAGAATTAAATTCCTTAAGGTTGTAAGTCTGAGGTCCTTATCTCTTCCCGGCTGGCAGCTGAGGGCTGTTTCCAACTCTAAAGCTGCCCATGTTCCTTGACTCCTGGCCCCTTCCTCAATATTTGAAGCTAGTAAAGGTAGCTTGAATCCCTTTCATGATTGAAACATCTCCTGTTATCTTCCATTTCATCTCTCTGGCTTTCTCTGAGTAAGCCTGTGCTTATAAGGGTCTCCAGTGATTACACTGGGACTACTCAGATAACCTGGGATAATCTCCCCATCTTGAGATCCATACCTTTAATCACATCTGCAAAATCCCCTTTGCCTTATAAGGTAACATATTAGAGCATAGGTATCTTTGGTGGGAGGGGTATTTGTGTTATTTGGTCTATCATATGCCTCCAGATTAAGTTTTGCATATTATTAAGCAAAAATAGCTTAATATTTGAAAAGGTAGCTTATTTGAAGAGGATAATTAAGATCCTACCACCTTTATGTAAATATTATCATTAATTTGCTTTAGAGGCTAAACATCAGCGGAAGACAAGAAACTTAAAGAAATAGAAAATGAAAACATGGAGAAGGTGGAACCTGGAGAAATTTTTGCTTCTTAAGCCACATTTTATATCATTTTATGATGAAACACATACCCATAATAGTACAGTTTGGAGTACATTGATAATATATCACCAAGCTATCTCTGAATTAACCATTTAGTCATATTTCATCTTTAAAAAAATAAAAAAATCTATACAGAAATGGCATAATTATGAAGGTAATATCTGAAATTGAACAATGTTAGAATAATCTTCTCAAATTGTAGGTACTTAATGTAATATATTCAATACCTTGCCTACCTATTAGACAATAGATTGCTAACTTGATTTTTAGGATACTTAAGTAAAATCTACTTTCTTTTTTTTTTTTTTCTTTTTTTGATACGCAGTCTCACTCTGTTGCCAGGCTGGAGTGCAGTGATGCGATCTGGGCTCACTGCAACCTCTGCCTCCCGGGTTCAAGAATTCCCCTGCCTCAGCCTCCCAAGTAGCTGGGATTACAGGGATGCACCACTACGCCCAGCTAATTTTTTGTATTTTAGTAGAGATGGGGTTTCACCATGTTGGCCAAGATGGTCTTGATCTCCTTACCTCGTGATCCACCCGCCTCAGCTTCCCAAAGTGCTGGGATTACAGATGTGAGCCACCGCGCCTGGCCAAATCTACTTTCTTTTAATGTTTGTTGCCATTCAGATATTCACCATAGATTTCTATACTACACTCATGCTTAATTTAGTGTATAAAATATTACATATACAATATCTTTAATTAAAAGATTCTAGCCTATCTGTTTTAAATATTTTACAGTGATACTCTACCTTGTAATAAACTACATTTGTAAGTTTTGAGAGTGAATGTAGCATTTACCTTTTTCATCTTTCATTTTATTTATCTCATTAGCTAAGAAACCTTTCCAGCTTGGACCTACGTCATATCACTGAACTGGATAATGAAACCGTGATGGAAATTGTCAAGAGGTGCAAAAATCTTAGCTCTCTCAATCTCTGTCTGAACTGGATCATAAATGACAGGTAACCATTGTAACATGTTAAAAATACTTTTCTAGAGGAAAACATTTAGGAAATATTAATTATTATAACAAGGCATGTCTATAACTAAAATTGAATACAGCTGTGCCTTTTCAAATTGTTATGTTTAAGTTTTGAAAACCATCTAGATCTATACTTTTAATGCATCTGTTGCTTATAAGTGCAGCAAAGTTTTTAGGTGCTTTAATACAAATATTTGCCTCAACAATTGTAACAATAGTAGGCTGTTGAATTTTTTCTTTGTTATCCATCTAAGACATACCTGCTTTTTGCCATGCTTGTAAGTTTGTAATGATATATTATTTGTCACTTTAACATTTTTGCAACATTTGTGGTTGATTTTAATGATTTGGAGAAACCATCTGAAACATTAACATTTAAACCCTTTCTTAAAGGTGACATTTTTTTTTCAGAGATGGAGTCTCACAGTGTTTCCTAGGTACAATTCCTGGGCTCAAGCAATACTTCTGCCTCAGCCTCCCAAGCAGCTGGGACTACAGGCATACACCACTGCGCCTATATTAGCCCATTCTAGCATTACCATAAAGAACTACCTTAGACTGGGTAATTTATAAAGACAAGAGGTTTAATTCACAGTTCTGCAGGCTGTACAGGAAGTATGGCTGGAGAAGCCTCAGGAAACTGACAAGCATGGCAAAAAGCAGATACCTCTTACATGGCTAGAGAAGGAAGGAAAAGAGTGAAGTGGGAGGTACTACACATTTTTAGACATCCAGTTCTTGTGCGAACTCATTATCAGGAGAACAGCAAGGGGTAAATCTGCCCCCATGATCCAATCACCTCCAAACAGGCCCTTCCTCCAACATTGGGATTACAATTTGACATGAGATTTGGCTGGGAACACAAATCCAAACCATATCAGCACCTAAGGATGACATTTTTTTCTCAGTATATATATATGTAATTTGTTTCAGAAATGGAAGTCACGTGATGAATAGCTTAATATACAGTATAGAATCAGAAGTTTTTTCTTACGAATAATGATTAACCCATTTTTCTTTGAAATATTGCAGGAAGGAAGAAAAAAATACAGGAAAACCCTTAAAAGTAGACTATTATAATGAAAACAACAGAGTAGCGCTAGCACTACTGATTAGGTAGATTTGTAAATATGAGCATGAGAGGATTCTTGCCCAGTAAGTTTCCAAGAATTTTGTTTTAAAAGATAAGTTTCCAAAAATATTTTCCTTTCAAAATAGAAAGCACTATTTCAGCTAAAATTAGAACCTGTTTAGATTTAAATATTCTTTTAAAAATAGGAGAAATAATTTGTGTCAGATAATGCTTTAAATTTAAGATATTTTCCCTCTTTTTTTTTTTTTTTTTTTTTGAGACCGAGTCTTGCTTTGGCACCCGGGCTGGAGTGCAGTCAGTGGCATGATCTCTGCTCACTTCAGCCTCCACCTCCTGGGTTCAAGGGATTCTCTTGCCTTAGCCACCCTAGTAACTGGGATTACAAGTGTGCACCACTGGCTGGGCACGGTGGCTCACACTTGTAATCCCAGCACTTTGGGAGGCCAAGGCGGGCGGATCACGAGGTCAGGAGATCCAGACCATCCTGGCTAACATGGTGAAACCCCATCTCTACTAAAAATACAAAAAAATTAGCCAGGCCTTGTGGCAGGTGCCTGTAGTCCCAGCTACTTGGGAGGCTGAGGCAGGAGAATGGCGTGAACCCGGGAGGCAGAGTTTGCAGTGAGCCGAGATCACACCACTACACTCCAGCCTGGGTGATAGAGCAAGACCTCGTCTCAAAAAAACAAAAAAACGAAAAAACAAGTGTGTACCACCACATCCGACTAAGTTTTGTATTTTTAGTAGAGATGGCGTTTCTGTTGGCCAGGCTGGTGTCAAACTACTGGCCTTAAGTGATCCCCCGCCCCGCCGCCTCGATCTCCCAAAGTGCTGGGATTATAGGCATGAGCCATAAGCCACCGTGCCTGGCCTCCCCTTTTTAAATTTCCTTTTATACCTTAAAATAAAACCATGTAGACTCCATTTTCCCCAATTTTGGTAAATTCTAGTGACATTTTCTTAAATTACCCTGAATTACTCTTTATGTGATAGCCTTGACTTCACTCTTTCTTAGTAAAATTTTTCTTGAAAAATGTACTCCTCTAGAATGGGTATGTGATCACCATTTATAAAAATTCTCTCTTGTTTTTGAATAATATTCACCATATGAAATATATCAATATCTAAAGAAAATGGAACTGGAGGTCATTATTCTAAGTGAAGTAACTCAGGAATCAAAAACCAAATACCATATGTCTCACTTACGAGTGGGCGTTGAACTACTGGTGCGCAATGGCATATAGAGTGGTATAATGGACATGGGAACTCCAAGTGAGGAGGCTCGGAGGGGGCGAGGGATAAAAACTGCCTATGGGGTACAATGTGCACTATTCAGGGGATGGGCGCACCAAAATCCTATACCTCACCACTGTAGAATTCATCCATGTAACCAAAACTACTTGTGCCCCTAAAGTTACTGAAATTGAAACATTTAAGAAAAAGAAAATTCAAATAAATTAACTTTCCTGAAAACAAAGTTTACAAAGTAAAATTCTTCTCTATAATCAACATCCTATATAGAAAATTTAAAGTAATCTTTAAAAAGCTATTCATAACAAATAATGAAGTACATAAATACTATCTTGTGGTTTTAAATATCTAACATTAGTTTAATATATTACAGTAAATTTCTTGGTAATGCATTGAATTAAAAGTAGAAAACTGGGCCAGGCGTGGTGGCTCACGCCTGTAAGCCTAGCACTTTGGGAGGCTGAGGCGGGCAGATCACAAGGTCAAGAGATTGAGACCATCCTGGCTAACATGGTGAAACCCCGTCTTTACTAAAAATACAAAAATTAGCTGGGCATGGTGGCACATGCCTGTAATCCCGGCTACTCTGGAGGCTGAGGAAGGAGAATCACTTGAACCTGGGAGGCAGAGGTTGCAGTGAGCCAAGATCACACCATTGTACTCCAGCCTGGGCGACAAGAGCGAAACTCTGTCTCAAAAAAAAAAAAAAAAAAAAAAATAGAAAACTGTTTCTGCAATAAGGTGATTATATTCCACAACAATTTTCTGTATACAGGACATGTGTAGAAGAGTCATTTAATGGGAGATACTATAATTGATAAATAAGATACGGTCTATACTTCGTTGTATGAGTTATCTAAGTAAATATTTTGCTTAGGTTTGTATCATTTAAATACAGATGGGAGAGTGGATTTCTAATCTTCTAGTTCTTTAAATGCTTATTTTGTTGTAGCTGGGTAATTTACAAATGAAAATGTCGAGAGCTCTCACTTTGCCTTTCCTTCCCTTTGTTAGGCTTCATGTACTCAAACCTTGTGCTATTTCAGTCATTTTTTTCCTACTTAACTAATGGTTATTTGGTGTTTGATCCTAAATATATGTATTGTAGAGATTTATTTGCAAGAAATGAAAGTGTATTTTTATGTTTTTAATGGAAAAGTTTGGATTAATTAAGAAAACATGCATTTTAATGAGGTTGAGCAATAGAGTTTTAAAGATCAAGCTCTTTTAGGTTTTAATTACACTACTTGCACTTATCCTGTATACTGTAATAGAAGTTTCAAACATTAAAACCCACTTTGCAGTATCATCTAAATTACTCATCTCATTGTTCTTGCCATGCCATATTACTAAGCTAAGTAATATTTGTAGTTATATTGGTATAAATCTAGAACTTCCCATCAGACTTAATTATAATTTCAGCACTTAGCTGAGATGGGTTAGTAACCTTCCATATAGAGGGCACTGGAATGCACTAATGCGTTTAGCCTATCAATTAATTCTGTTTTACATTCGTTCATTATTATTATCCTCCAGTAAATCAGAAAGCATTTATTAGCCCCCTACTAAATACTTGCTACCGTGTCTCAGACTGTGGGGCACTGAGTTCCTGCTGTTCTCAAAGGTCACTCTCTTTAGGTGACATAAGACTTAATGATAATAGTGAGCCTTGTAAGGATCGAGGGGACGAAAGTAACCTTTATTACTCAGGTAATTGATAGGCACTTTACACGTGTTCTCATTTAATCTCTTCAACGTCTTTTGTTCAGGGGAAGGTCATACTATTTCTATTAAATTTAGACCATTTCTTTGACTTTCTTTGGCTTTTCAGTGGATGTATTTTTCCATCATCATTGCAGTAAAAACTCTAAACAAGAAAAAGTGAATGGCTAATCAGTCAATTTTCCGCGTCATAGCTGGGATTCACATACGATTGACATTTATATATAAAATTCTTAATTTTTTAACTAAGCTCATTATTTTCTCTCATATTGAAAGTATAATGGAACTTTTAGATATTAATTTATATACAATACCTATTACAAAGATTTATCCTGAATGTTGCTAGTTTTAATAAAGGATTTCTCACATTAAGATAAATTTCAGTACTTGTCACAGTCCTTTATATATAACATTTATCGTAGGTTTTAATAATTCTTATCTGTGAACTTTTTAAGTTCAAAATTGTAAAATATGTAGTAATTGAAAGACTTTACTGTTATACTTTATGGTGTCTGTTAGCATTTTCTGGTCCTTGAATTGATCTCTGTGACTAAGACATGCTGCTCTTTATCTTTGTTTTTCCAAAAGCACTTTTTGTGTTTAGAGAGTTAAACAGCATGATATTTTCTTGTATTCAGAAGGATGATCTAGTAGTCATTTGACATTTACCATTGCTTTTGAATACAAATAACATCCAAGTGTTTTATGAAAAGAGGACACTGACTATTTCTATCAGTGATTTAAATTAAACATCTGGTTATTACGTCTCATCCACTCCCTGATTCTAAGTTTATTGAAATTTTTTTGTATTTATATCAGTCTTTATTATTTCACATCCAATTTGGTCTACAACATTTTTATATGTTTGACGCGGAGTCCAGAAGCAGCATGTTTTGGGTGTAACAGCTGATGTGTAAAAAACTGGTCTGAGCATTGTTATAGCAATATACTTATAATGGTTCTTTTATTCTTTTTTTGTTAATAAGAATTAAATAAAATCTAATTGATTTTAATAGATCTTTACAAAAGCTGTTTTCAGTTTTTAAACTATCAAAGGTAATCTCTCCATTTCAATTTTTAATATTGGTCCTGAAAATGAACTTAGTTTATTTAATCCTATGATGTATCAAATCATATATTTGATAATGGGGATTATCAAATATATGAGCCTTTCTTTGACAGTTGACCATGCATGCTCATGAATTAGGAGAACAATATAGAAAAATAATACAAGATAAATAAGATTATCTAACATCCGGTAGCTAAAGTCACAAAGCATAACAAAGGCCAGGGTTGTTGTCAATATCAATTATATTGCCATGATTTGCTGTGTGAATCTTGTATTTATGTAAGGGAAGCTATTGCATCAGTGCACACTCTAAAATTTGGAGAATTTTAAATCTTAGACTGTTATCCAGTTTCTTTCAAGTAAAAAATAAGATCTACAAAATATTGCTATTTTATTTTTTATGTACTAGAGGTTAAAATAGTACCTATAGATATTTCTCTTTTCTTTTTTTTTTTAAAGACGGAGTCATGCTCTGTTGCCCAGGCTGGAGTGCAGTGGCACAATCTCAGACCACTGCAACCTCTGCTTCCCGGGCTCAAGTGATTCTCCTGCCTCAGCCTCCCAAGTAGCTGGGTTTACAGCCCCACCATGTGGGGCTAATTTTTGTGTTTTTAGTAGAGACGGGGTTTCACCATGTTGGCCAGGCTGGTCTAGAACTCCTGACCTCAAGTTATCTGCCTACCTTGGCACCCCAAAGTGCTGGGGTTACAGGTGTGAACCACTGCCCCCAACCAGATATTTCTCTTTAAAAGTAACTTTTAAATAAGACCATTTGAAGTTGCAAACTTCTGGGCCACAGCTGAGTCTAGTCCACAAAGCTGTTTTGTTTGGCATATACAGTATTTAAAAATTTTGAATTAGTTGCCAGCACTTTAAAAATTGGTATAGTTCACATAAATATTCTGAATTCAGGCTTTTGGAAAAGTTGTGGACCCAAGAATACTAGGCCCGCATTTTCTTACGTCAACATTCTTTCCAGGATGATGAATGGACTGTTCTCTTTGGCCCCCTTTCCATTTATCCACTCTTCCCACCAAACTGAATTATCCTTCCTTAAAATTGAGATGCAGAGAATTTTAGATATTTCATATTTAAATCATATGGTTCTTTTTAAATTGAGTCTGGTAAAATATATTAAAAAATAATAGTTCATTAGTCTACCTAAATTAGTTATTTACTATTTCAGGCACTGGCATGTTAGTCAACAGGTGGAAGTTATAGACGGAGACAGAATGCAGCTTAAAATAAGTTAAAACCTTGATTTTCATTGTCTGCCTTCCAAAATAGAGAATGCACTCTTTGTTAGTGTTCAAACAGAGTGCTGTAAAGGAGTTTCCTGAATTATAAGGAGGGTTGGACTAGTTTATTAAAGTCCCTCAAACTCCACACCTATAATTTGAAGTTGCTTATTTTAAAATGAATTCATTGGCAATGTTTAGTGTTTGGTTCATGATTCCTTTGTTTTCAATATTAAGAAAAAATCTTAATACTATTCTCTCTGTCTCTTTTTTTATTTTTGTATAGAAAAAGCCCTCTTTTGTTTTTTTAGGTATATTGAGGTGAAAGTTGTAGAGTGACAGATTACTCCACCACCCCTTTCAGTGAGACTGACAGCACCTTGGCTCATGTAAAACTCAACGTGGCTTTATATAAAGATTTTTCTAACTCCCCTGATCTTCTCTGGATGTTTATTCTGTTTCTTCTTTCAAATTTCCGTTGATTCAATAAAAAACGGTGATATTTAGAAATAAAGTTCAGAGAGGATTTGAGCAGGTGTTGGTGATATAAAATATTTGCTGAGTGCCCATTGTGTTTTATTTCCAAGAATTGTTTTGTGAACATATGCTATATATTGTATTTATAAGTGTTCAAGGTCTGGATAGATAATCTACCATCTTCCTGTGAATGTCATGTCACAGTGGACTTAGAATTTTATTTCATTTCAATCCCCTAATATTACTTAATTCTCCTAGAGACTGAGGTTTAAAGATTGCCCAAGGGGAACAAACCTATCCATTAAATCCAGCAGGCAGAGTTGAATTTGAGTTTGAGAATATTTTGTTTTCTTTTAAAGTTAAGTGGTGTGGAGGAGAGAAATACTTTTCACCTTGGAGTATTGAGTGTGAAGTTTGAGCAATTTTCTATCATAAAAGCCTGAAAACTTGGAAATAAAGAGGTGGCAAAAATAATGCTGACTGTTGAAGCTGCTTGGGGGTGGTATTTATAGCAGCACCGCCTTGCCTCTATAGAATGCAGAGCAATCTGTCTGCATACTTATTGGTGCCTAATAATGTGCCTGGTTAGGTGAAGCTTTAGTAAAACTGAATTTTAGCTTATTTCTGCAATCCACTGAATAGTTTTGTGTATTGTCTATGACATTATTTGTATTTTTGCAAAAAGAATAATGAAATATATTTTACTGAGTTCTGAGAGGATTATAGAAACAGAATGGAGTCTTTCTAAACTAGTGACGTTAGTTTGAGGTAAGCATATTTTTGACACTATTTTTTTGTATTCACATATTCACAATTATGTGTAAGACCATCCCTAGAAAGATAGTTTGATATTGGAGTAACTATTATTCCGGGCTTCCAAACTATCTTTAAAAAATCATGAGGCCAGGCATGGTGGCTCACCTCTTATCTCAGCACTTTGGGAGGCCAAGGAGGGTGGACTACTTGAGCTCAGGAGTTCAAGACCAGCCTGGGCAACATGGTGAAACCCCGTCTTTATAAAAAAATTTTTAAAAAATAGCCGGGCATGATGGCACGTGCCTGTTGACCCAGCTACTGAGGAGGCTGAGCTGGGAGGATAGCTCGAGACTGGGAAGATTGCTTGAGACTGGGAGGCAGAGATTGCAGTGAGCTGTGATCGTGCCACTGCTCTCCAGTCTGGGTGACAGAGGAAGACCCTGTCTCAAAAAAAATAAGATACGAAACCATGCCTTTTCTGTTCTTCTATCCATTAGACCTTCTTTCTAAAACCATGATTGGCCATGTAGTGCTAGTGAGGTAATAGTGTGTGTGTGTATATATATATATATATATATACATTTTTTTTTCTGGAGCAAGGATAATAGCAATAGCTAATAATAGTTACCACTTAATTATACTGTGTTCCAGACACTGTTCTGTTTATACACATTGTTTTATTTAATCTCTACAACAACCCTGAGGAAGGAATTATCCCTATTTTCAAACAAAGGAATTAAGGCCCAGACACGTTGAATAGTTCACAACTAGAGGAACCAAGACTGGAACCCATTTTTGTGGTCTTCAGAGTTCAAGCTCCTACCATGAAGGGCTCACTGTCTTCCATGTCCTTATTCTGCTTCAGACCTAGAGTGACCATATATCCTGATTTGACCAGGATAGTTCCAACCCATGCCTGTTGTTTTGGCATTCTGTCGGGTTTAGTATTTGTGCTGCTGCTGTTCCTAAGTTCCAGAATATTTAATTTAAATGATAAATTAAATGGTCATCCGACCTCAGACATCAGACATGGTTGATCATTCTGAACATGGTTAGAATGGTACCTTTGCTTTTCCATATGGGATATCTAAAAGGTGACATGTTTGAATATTTTACTGCATATATCAAGTTGTGGATATTTTAAAAAACAGCTTATTTTTGGTAAAAAGTAATTTTTCCAATTAACCCCATTTGTAAATACTCTTCATTTCTTATGATGTTTCTTGAGGAAAAGTAGAAAATTTTGCCCATTTTTGTGTTTTGTACTACACATGACTCATAGTTGGTCTGAAAAAGAATTTCACTAATGAATTTTGAATAGGTATTTATTTAACTTATAATGATGCACAATTATTTTTACAAATGTGTCACTATCTGTAAATGCTTCCTTGTAGGTTGTAGCGAATACTTAACCATTGCAGATTAAAGGAGACTACTGGTTCTAATACTTTGAATAAGTTGTCTTTCAATTAAAAAGAAGAAAGTTATCTTCATCAAATGGTTCAGTACCTTTGGCAAGAAATAATTGGCAAAATTAATCTCTACTTTTTTAAGTATGTGGGTTTTTTCAAATAATTGATGATATTTTGCTACAACAGGCAAAGTTTTTCTGGTAAAATTATTTGTGCATTTATCCTCAGATGAAGTTCTTAGTGCATTCAAATTTAAATAAACTTTTTCAGTTGTTTGGTAGGTAGTAGTATTAAATATTAGTTCTGATATTGATTCTTTTAGTACTTATAGTTATTTAATATCATTTTTAAGGAAATACTACTTACTATGTAACACCAGAGTATTTAACCTAGTAAAATCACTTTAAAGGAAAAATCTATATGATATGTATATATTTCAGCCTGCTTTGACTTTTAACTTCAAGAGATGAGATGGGACTGAATTTGATGTGGGTGATTTTGGCTTATTGATTCTCCATGTTGACATTATTTTGTCTAATAGAATAATGTGAATATTTATTATGGTCCTAACATGTAATGGTAATTTTTAATTTCTGTGTTGTCTTTGGTTCCTAGTGAGCAATAGTGCATAAGTGAACATTTCTACAAATACAAATAGTAGTAATTAAGAGCTCCCATAGAATCATATTACGGATATTTCTGGATGTGCTACTCTAAATGCTGCAACTGCTTTTGTGTTTTTCAGGCCATAAAAAGATGAGTAAACAGAGGTACGCATTTAGCTTGCAGTATTTAAACATATTTCCTTGTTATGAAATCATAATTTGTTTTTAAATTATAGGAAAGAATGAGATACATTTTATATGATGATGAATATGGCGTTATAAGCCCATGGATTTAGGGACATCCTAGTCTCAGATCTGTTTTAAAATTGCCAACAATGAAGAAAATCTTCATTTATTGATGAAAATGATGATACCTTATTGACTGCTTGGACAAATTTATACCATCTCCCACTTCTCCCAGGAGTTGTCTTATTCTTAATTCACCAAACCAAAAGTGGCAATTAAAATAACTCATTGTTGTCAAAATTTAAAAATGTGTGATAAATGAAGCCCAGTAAATAGTGAAAATATGAGAAAGGTGATTAAATCTGACAATTTTCTTGTAAAAGACTTGAGATGATAAATATCTCCTGTGATTAGTTATTAATTTAGTGCAAGGGATTTTGCTTCAGCCTAAAATATTTTATGAACAGTGGCATATAGAAATATTTTAGAAGATAGGTACACACATGCTTAACCATAGGAGAAATTGCTGGAACTTGATTGGTAATAATTAAAAATGGCAGACATGACATGCAAGTGTCTGGGCTATTTTCTGTATGACAGTCCTTTCAGAGATTAGGAAAGGGAAGTGTTTCCTGAAGACATGAAGAATGACAGAATACTTTCAGCTTGAACCTTTACGCTTCATGAAAATGGAAAGGTTTTATGTATATCATTCTTCAACTGATAAAACATTTAATTTAAGACAGTATACAATTACTCCTCACTTACTGAAGTATGAAAAATATCAAAGTTGTTACTTAACAATTATAGTTGCACTGCTACTAATAATTTCCCTTAAAATGAATATGAATTCCATTTAAAGAAAAGATGAAATAATAATGTTGATTGTAATGAAGTGCTGTATCATGTTACTGTCTAGCTGAATCTATAGCGCATGGCTCTGCTGGTGGCATATATTATTGTGCGGATGTGTGACGTTTTGTTTATGAGTCTTTCTCCTTGTGAGGAGGACCTGGATCTTCATCTTGCGCCCTGTGCCCTCACTTCACAGCCCCCCTCCACCCCTGCTTCCAATCAGCACCTCACACACGGCCCTGCTCAGAGGATTAATTTAATACATTCGTGTTGGGAGAATTATAGATCATGCTTTTGTATGATGAATAAATTTTCTTTTAAATTTGGCTGAAACTCTGGCTGAAATCCAGGCAATTGGTTCAGATTCTCCCTTTCTAACAGATTTATTTATTTCTGAATAAAGTTGGTGCTTCATAAAGTGAAAATTTAATGTCATTGTTCGGATTCAGATAGAGCTTGCGTTATGTATTACATGCCATTTGTCTGAAAGCCATAGCCTCATTTTTGAACAAGGAATAGAATTCCAATGTTCAATCAGTGCATTTTGCCCTTTTAATAGGGACTTTGGAATACTTTGAGTGAAGAAGTGAGGAACCAGAAACTTTGCCTGCCTTCCATTTATACCTGTGTTAATTGAAAAGAGGCTGAGGAGACAGTTGCAGCTTTTTTTTTTTTTTTTTTTTTGCTTCTTTGTGTAAAAAGTATAGCTATATGAGAAAAAAAATTGTATGAGTTTTTCTTTAGCTCTTCTTGTAGTACTTTTAAGTGCTTCTTTTCAAATGTATATTTAGTGTTTGGTTAATTGCTACTATGAACCTAAACACACTGATTAAGGCCAGGTTCACATTAGAACAATTATCTGGTTAATTGCTCTGGTGCAAAAAGAGGCTAAAAATCATCAGAACATCAAGTTGTGAAAGCACTGGCAGGAGTTTCAAAACCACCAAGCATACCTACTGCAAATCACATCAGCAAAGCAATTAATTTAGGCTAATTGCTTTTCTGTTTGTTCAAGATGCACTTTGGAACTGTCTTTTGAAATGGTGGCAATTAAGATTAGTGAGCAATATAATTAAAAAATGTTAGAATAGTCACTATTTTTTAAAAGTGTTAACTATTCCATATAAACCTGTACAATATATCTCTCATCCATATAGTACTTTGAAATAATTAAACAAAATAAGGTTATTTAATATATTTATAAGATTTCCATAAGAAATAAATTGAGGAGTAGATTACCTATGCCTGAACTATAGCATAGGGTTATCTTTAATCCTAATTTTCAGTTAGAATTATCTAATTTCAGCAATTCATGCTATGATAGCTTGCTGAATGTGGTGAGAAATAGCTAGCCTCCAAAGGTGATATTGGCTACTGGCATTTTCTCCAGTTGAATGTATGTTTGGCTTCTCATATGGCTTCTCATAACATAATCAGGATTTTAAAATAAATTAACAACCAGATTTGACACAATTCACATTATTGAGGTTTTCCTTGTTATTAACTATTATAATTTTGGCAGCACCAATTTGTCAAAAATTGTAAGCTACTTAAGTTTCCAGCTGTTTCTCTATGAAGCAGTGTTGTAGCACATCCTCAGCTGAAAAGAATGACAATTTTAGGGATCAATTTCTTGTTAGGAAATGTAGAAATACCATTATTGGAGGAATACCCTTTCATTCCCCAAACTGTTTCTCTGTTCACCATATTGTCAAACAAGCAAGTAGCTCTTTCCTTTACCTCTGTCTTTCCATAGAAGCAATTCTTACGCGGTATGTTTAGTGACATATCCTGCCCCATTAAATTGTTCAAAGAAAATAGGTTGTATTGTATTAAAGACTGTGGCTCTGCAAATGAATCTTTTAGAGAAACACGTGTTAAAGGAAGTCCTGGTAGCAATTATCATTTCTTTACTGTAATAAATTTGATCTCTTCATAATTCAGTATGAATAGATCTTTGGACATAGCTAATTAACTACATCACAAAATTAAAATTTTCTCTAGGGATTATTTTCTTTTTTTTATTTTATTATTATTATACTTTAAGTTCTAGGGTACATGTGCACAATGTGCAGGTTAGTTACATATGTATACATGTGCCATGCTGGTGTGCTGCACCCATTAACTCGTCATTTAGCATTAGGTATATCTCCTAAAGCTATCCCTCCCCCATCCCGGGATTATTTTCATAGGAAAAAAGTATATGTGCTTTTTATAAGGATATATTTTTCTTCTTTTATAAACTTCATGTTTTCTAGTAGTGCTACATACTCAATCTAGATTTCTTGGTGATGCTATTTGTTGTGGAATGTTCAATTAGAAAACTGCTGTTGGCCGGGCACAGTGGCTCACACCTGTAATCCCAGCACTTTGGGAGGCCGAGGCAGGTAGATCACTTGAGGTCAGGAGTTCGAGAGCAGCCTGACCAACATGGTGAAACCCCGTCTTTACTAAAAAAATACAAAATTAGCCAGGTGTGGTGGCTCACACCTGTAATCCCAGCTTCTTGGGAGGCTGAGCAGGAGAATCGCTTGAACCCAGGAGGTGGAGGTTGCAGTGAGCCGAGATTGCACCATTGCACTCCAGCCTGGGCAACAAGAGCTAAACTCCATCTCAAAAAACAATAAACAAATAAAAT
This sequence comes from Homo sapiens, assembly GCF_000001405.40. NCBI lineage: Eukaryota > Metazoa > Chordata > Mammalia > Primates > Hominidae > Homo > Homo sapiens. The sequence continues at coordinate 108,172,794 of NC_000005.10, read as the reverse complement.
AAAGCTGCTCTTGTAGGTAAAAATATCAAATTAGATGGAAATTTATTGATTAGAAAAAATAGAAAAGTGTTGAAGGCTCTTAAAACACAGAAAAATCACCCAACCAAGCAACTTAAATGATGGTATCAGACGTTGAGTCTGGATCTTGGTCTTCTGTTGAAATCTGTGACTGAAGCAGCAGAGTAATATTACTTCATGTTGGGGAAAATGCAAGCTAGTACCTACTTTTGTCCTTCAGAACTTCTGTGATTATTTGTAGTTGAAAATATAGGTACTATAAAAATTTCTCTATTTTGTAGAAGATAGAAGATGTCAAAGTATAGACACAATTTCTGGCTGTATTTTTATATACGCACTCTTTTGTGCAATATGACGTTGCCTGTCCTCCCATCAAAAGGTGGAGTCTTTTGCTTTATCCTTCTATCCTCTTATATCTGTGCTGGCTTTGTGACTTGGCTGTGACTGATAGAATATGGTGGAAATTTCGTTGTGGGCCTTCTGAGCTTTGGCTTCAAGAAGCCTTGCAACTTCTGTTCTTGCGTTTTTGGAATACTGCCACCAACATGTGAATAAGCTCAGACTGGTCTCTCTGAGAATAAGAAATCACATGAAGATGGAAGTCTAAACAACAGCCAGAACCAACTGTCAAACATGTGAGTAAGGCCATCTTAGACCATCTATATTAGTCTGTTTTCACGCTGCTGTTGGGGACATACCCGAGACTGGGTAATTTACAAAAGAAAGAGGCTTAATTGGACTCTCAGTTCCATGTGGCTGGGGCCCTCAAAATCATGGCGGAAGGCAAGGAGGAGCAAGTCACGTCTTACACGGATGGCAGCAGGCAAAAAGAGAGAGAGAGCTTCTGCGGGGAACTCCTCTTTTTAAAACCATCAGATCTTGTGAGACTTACTCACCATTGCAAGAACAGCATGGGAAAGACCTGCCCCCATGATTCAATTACCTCCCACCAAGTCCTCCCACAACACTTGGGAATTCAAGATGAGATTTGGGTGAGGACACAGCCAAACCATATCACTATCCAATCTTAGTCAAGCCTTCAGATTCCTGCAGTCCTTTGTAGTAAAACTAGCAGAATTGCTTGGCAAAGCCCAGTTCAAATAGCCAGTCCACAGAGTTGTGAGCAAGTAAGAGTTGTTTTTTTAAAGCTACTAAATTTTGGTGTGGTTTGTTTTACAGCAATAAATGACTAAGATACTGACTTTGTAGCTGCCCTATGTGGGGAATTTTATATTAAGTCAGGCTGAGAGTTTTTCATTCATTAAGTTATTTAATTATCACATTAACTCCATGACATAGGTATCATTATGCCCTGTTTTATAGATAAAGTAAAATGGAGCACAGATAGGTAGAATGTCTTGCTGAAGATCACAGATAGCAAGTGCAGAGCCAGGATTGAATGTAGATCTGTCTGACCTCAAAGCCCCCACAATATCCTAGCTGTTAAACTGCCTCCAACACCTTATTCTGAATTTAAAAATATAGTTGGTTGCAACAAGCAGTTAAACTTACCTTGGAGTCCCTGAAATACAAGTGCTAGCTAATAACATTACAATAAAGTAAGTATTAAATAAAATAAATATTACAATAAAATAACATCCATTTGCAGTTTCCAGTACTGCTATTTAATCTTGAGTATTCATTTAGAGAATGCATGGAGAAAAAGGCACCTCTTCAGGTCTCATAAGGGACTGAGTCTGAAAGGGAGAATGTGAAAACAAATTTTAAAATATATAAATATAAGCCCTTGACTTTATATACATTAAAGATAGTTTTGGTATTTCGTGGTATTAAATATCTGTGTTCTTTTCTTCTCTGTTGTTGAATTATGGAGAAATTGAGAGGGGAAAGAAGACCCTTCCTTAGAATAGTTGTTACTGTGACATAATCACCACTATATTTATGCCTTCAACATCTACGTCTTTTGATAAAAAGTCTTACAGTGCTGGGCACGGTGGCTCATACCTGTAATCCCAACACTTTGGGAGGCCGAGGCGGGCAGATCACTTGGGGTCGGGAGTTTGAAACCAGCCTGGCCAACATGGTGAAACCCTGTCTCTACTGAAAATACAAAAATTAGCCGGGCCTGGTGGCAGACACTTATAGTCCCAGCTACTTGGGAAGCTGAGGCAGGAGAATTGCTTGAACCTGGGAAGCGGAAGTTGCAGTGATCTGAGATGGCACCATTGCACTCCAGCCTGGACGACAGAGTGAGACTCTTGTCTCAAAAAAAGGAAAAAAATAGTCTTATAATAACATAACTTCTATGGTATATATGTAATAATGGTACTAATATCTACCAAAAACTCCACATATAGAAATGGGAATCTTTATTTTTGAAATTCTTCTAACTAATACCTTAGTGACAGTACATCCATAAACTAGTTAATATTAGTTGGTGATTCTGACATGTATATAATATCTTATCATACCCATTTACCATAGTGACACACTAATCAGACCTGCCTCAGATTTTCTTGCTTGTTAAATATTAATGTCTGGGAGCATTTCCTCCATGATTTATTATGGTATTTTGAGAGCTATTTTCATTTGGGAAATATGATTTCCATTTGTTTTCCTTTTAACTTGAATTTAAACTGAATTCCTATTTTTGGTGTTGATATAATTTTTTTTCATTAATAAATTACCAATGATTTTAATATTGTATTGTGCACACATGCACATAAATATTTTGCTATGTGTGAATATATATTTGGAGAATCTTATGTTTGGGGAAAGAAGGGAGAGAGTAAGTTACATTTTTTTCTTTTAGTTTTAATTTATACTCAGATGGATTATAAATTTTTTAGAATGTTACATTGTTAACAGCATGAGAGTTAAAACTATAGCCAGGAATTGTGACTTTTCCACAATCTTGGGCTTCTAAACAGAAGCTCACTAAATGCATGTTGATGGATTGATTGGATAGCAATCAAACCTAGTGAATATAAGCCTATGTTCAAGGTAAGATAAAAGAAAATTGACCTACTCAAGTTGAACAAGATAGAATAAGTCAAAATAAGTCTGTAAAAATCTTCAAGTTCATTTATTGGGGGTAGACACGGCCCTTAAAAATACTCTGTAAATGTAATGGAAGAGTTAAAGCAGCACTCACTGAATTCTCTAACATAGAATGGTGGCTTATCTGTGAGGTATGTGGATTCAGTTTTAGCCTAACTGACAACGTGTTAACCTTACTAGATTTAAAAAAACTAAATACAGGGGGATAAAAATGCTGGAGAAACATAACATTCTTATGGCGACAATTTATTTGGAAAAGAGATGACAAAATATGTCAAGACAATGCCCTGGCTTTCTTCATTAAAGTTAGTAAATGAATTTGAAGGAAACCAAAACAACAGTTGTTTTCTATAACATTTCTTTCTACAGATGTATAGACATTTATGGAATGACTATCTTTGAGGAAATAGATATTACTTACATAGAGTTAATATTTTGGATGTTATGATCTTGTTGGAATTAGAAGCTTTCAGTAATTTACATCCTTAAATAGATTTCTATCTTCTTTTTATTTCCAAGATTTTTCTCACAAGTTTATTCCCAGTACAGAGACATCATTATGTTATAGAGGAGCTTTTTTGTGTGATAGCTCTTGGCAGCCATCCATCTGTAAGTAGGACATAATAGTGAAGCTTGTTAGAGGGGGAGAAGTGTAAAGTATTACCAAGCAGGCCCTGACAGGCATTTAGACATCCACGCAGACATTGCTGCTGCTTGATGGCCGTCTTCCATTGTGACAAATGTAGCTGTTTAAAAAGGGACAAGGTCACAATAACTTTACAATGCTACACTCCTGTTGTTTATGGGATGCACATATATTTTACTCCTGATTCTTTCCCCAGTGACAGTATTTTCCTTATGTTTAATTTGAATGGTTTTATTTTTCTTTACTAACTTGCCACTCTTAGTTGTACACTATATTTCAATCCTCTAAATGGGTTCTCTATGTACATGTTGCAGTTGGTAAAGCATTTAGAATTTGTGATGATCCACACTGGTTTTCTTGGGGGTATGCATGGGAGAGAACATGGAATAGTAATGCAAAGTGGTAGGAAATCCTAAATCGCAACTCTCTGTGTTTTATTAATGCTTATATTAGCATTGATTTCACTTCAGCTAGGTGTTGGGAGAATGATGTCCTGCAAGCATTTAGATAGAGCAAACTGCCTGGGATTCCACCTAGGTAGATTAATCTTCAAAACAGTTAATCCTTAGGCCATTAATGGAAAGTCTACATATGGGTTATTTCAAACGTTCTATTAAAGCAGTCATTTGGAATGGGCCAATCATATATGTATGAAAATTTCAGAGTATACAAAAAATATATTCCGTTCATCAGTAATGAGCTGCAGTCATTCTTTGGATAATCACATTTGTAAGCTAGACCCATTTGAAAGAAAGATCTCTAGTCTTAGTGTAAAAGTAATTTTCTCCATGAGATCACCCTTCCCCTTCCCCTCTCTTTTTTAAATTTCAAGAGAGTAGGTGTATTCAACTGGGTTGTTTGACTTTAAGTATTTATATAAGTGAAACTTACTTTCAAAGACTGCAAAGTGGGAAAATCAACAACTTTTGACTTTCTATTTTAAGGGCAATTGGAGTAAATTTTGTTCAATTTTTATTTAATTTGCTGTGACTACTTTTGACATTCACAAATTATGTCATTCATTTTGACACACAAATAGGAAAGTGAATAACTTTGGGATTCAGATGTGACAAGCTCCTCACAGGTGCCTCCCATCTCCTCATTCCTCCTTTCCCCAGGAGCAACGATATGATCTCTAAAAGAGATGTAGTTTTTCCACCAGCTTTTGTAAAATGAGTCTTTCCGTTTCTGACCCTTTAAAGAACATTTGTTTCTTGGATAATTTTTTCCCCCTTTAAGTTGTGTCTTCTTCCCTTTCTTAAAGCTGTGATCTGTCTACTTTTTTTCTGATGACATTTTCTCAGGTTATTTATTTCCCCTTTAATATGGATCTTCTTCACTTTCTTAAATCTGTAGAATATTTTCTTTTATTGTTGTCAGTGTCACTGATGACATTTTCATCTGATTCTTGACATATTCATTTTATAAAACATGGCTTTGTAAGGAGTTTTTTGGTCACTGACATTTTGGCAAACACTTGCCAGTGGCCACCAGAGAAGGTCAGTTAGACTCAGAGCAATTACATAAATTACCCTGAAAGACTTCTTCAAATACCTGTGAATAGAGCTTGCAGTGGGAGCTAGGAGACTGAAGTCCTTTATGTTTTTGTTTTTGTTCCAAAATTTTATCACTGGGTCATTCACTAACCTTGCTAAACTTATTAAGTTCTCTTTTATGCTTGTGGTAATGGGAACCCACCTTAGTGAAATGTTTGGAGGCTTAATCATGTTTCAAAAGCACCTTGAGCATGAATCATTAGTTCATTATTAGAATGGTGGCTTGGGTGGTGCCATCAATCATCGATGCTTTATCACCATCTTAGCCTCATGGTTTTCTGCAAATTGACAGTGAAGGTCTTAAATCAAACTTTGTAAAGACGCTAGCAGATTCTTGAAGGTTACTTATTGCTTATGGTATGGTAGCACTGAAGTGTGCACAATTATCTGAAGAAAATAGGACAATTATAGTGTACTCATTATACTATCTGTTTTCAGATTAAATGGACAAAGTGCATTCAAATTCATAATAGAGATTTAAAAAAAACACAATGATCTCTACTTATATTTTATGCTGCCATAAAATAAGATCTCTTAGTATATAGCTATTTTATATTTTTGTGAAATGCTTTTCACTTGGATTTTTCATCCAAACATATTTTAATAGTTACATTTAAAAATATATATTTTAACATTATCTGCACCTACACATCTAATGGATTAATAGGAGATTCAGTGAAATTCAAATTATTCCAGGAAGCATACCTTTTAATTTCTAATTTCTAGCTCAGTTGAGAAAATGATCTAGTGACTGAAAATTAACTATTTACTTTGAGTGTTTATATTTAATTTTGAACTTGATGTATTCCAAGAATCAAAGGATCTGATTGGAAGTAGTGTCAAAGGTCAGCTAATTTAGCCTTCTGCCAGCAAGCTCTTGACTCTTTATCTATTGCGTATAGCTTGTTGTTTTTTGCTTTTCATCTTTTTACCATGTTTTTTTCATATATCATCTGGGTCCACTTTGTTAACATATCAAATCACACTCTATCTGATGTTCAAAATGCTTCTTACAACTAACAGATCAGCACTGTCTTAGAGTATTTTTTAAATCAGGTTATTTATTATCAGTTTTTTAAAAAGACTATAACACATCATCTTAACTTTGGAGCTTAGAAACGTCTATGAGATATGTTAAAATACAGAGGTGTCTCCCTGGAGCATGTGTTTTGCAGGAGTAGAACAAGGAGGGCACTGTGGACTGCCTAAGGGCAAACTGCTAGAGGTAAGACACCGGCAGGTGCTTATTTTTCTTTGCTTGGGTCTTGCTCTGTTTTTCCAGGCCCATGCATGCAGGTAAAATGCTAATGCTGTTTATTCCATTTTTATTGGCAGCTCTCCAAATTTGATTATTGATATATCTGAATTACAGTGGAATGCAACATCAAAGTCTCACTTGACTCTTTCCTGAGATATTTGTCAGTAGAATTATATATATACCTCAATGTCAGATAGATCATATGTACTTTTTAATCTGTATGAAAGTGAAATGTTATAAGGGAACTGTGAACTGCTTGAAAATGAGTTTTTGGTGGGATAGTGAGGTGTCTCACGTGGGTTTCTTCCTTAGGTTACTATATTATTTCACTCCCTGAAGAATAATCATATTTTCAATAACAAGCACTTAAGTGTGTTTGTGGATTTTCTTTGTTGTTCCCATTTTCTGTGCTTTGGTATTTCATATCTTGTACAAACTGACTAAAGTGTACATTAATAAGCAGCAGATTAATAAACACTGCCACTTGTGACTGGTAGTGGATGGAGGAGTTTTCATGTTCCTACATGCTCTTTTTGAAAATTTTAACCACAGACACTCAGAATTGTAAAGAACTCCCGAGCAGGACAACCCATCTAACACCTATATTTTGCTATTTTGAAACTAAGGCTCAAGGATAATCTGTGACCTGTCCAGATTCATGCAGCTAGTTAGTGATGAAGGTGAAGCCTATATGCTGCTTTCCATTAATTGTGAGGCTTTTATATCCCACTATTCTCAGCTACTCCCTTGCCTTTCTTTATTAGTAATTTATTTGTCACCAACGTTTGTTTTCTTTCATGGTCTAGAATTGACTGTAGTCTCTAGATTGTAGGCCCTTGTATTTCTTTTATGGTCCTTTGAATGGAAAATAGCATACACACAGTAGATTTTTAGTAAATATTTTTTAAAAGAAAAGACTACTTAAAATCCCACTATTCAGAGATTTCCACTGTTTACATTTACATCTTTTCAGTTATGTGCATATCCATGTGTAACTTACCCACTTCCTTCTGTAATTACACTGTCTGTAATATTTTGCAATTGGTGCCTGTCACTCAACTTCTTTTTGTTTTAATAACTATAGAACTATACCACCATTTCTAACAGGTTAGTGGTAAGATTTTAGCACAGTGTATTTAACAAATCTCTTATTAATAGACATTCTGACTATTTCCAATTTTTACTCCTATAAATAACTGTATGATAAATATTCTTATTTCTATATCTTTGTATACTTTTTGTTGTCTCCTTAGGAATAATTTCATGAAATCGAATTTCGATGTCTGTGTCTCTTTCTCCATACCTATGCCAATTGTGGATGCTATCATCAGCTATTTTGGAGCATTTAAAAATGGCTTTAAGGTTTAATAACTGACAAAACTTGGAATAAGTTATTTAGGCACAAGTGTATTTTTCACTAAGGGGCAGAATACTGTAGTAGATACGAGCATCAGCTCTGGAGCCAAACCATCTGGATTTGAATCCTGGCTCTGCCACCTTCTACCTGCTTGTCATTGCGCAAGTTACTTAACTTCCCTGTTTCTCATCTGTAAAATGGAGACAGCAGTAGTACTTACTTCATAAACTTATTGTGTGATTTAAATGTCATTGTACATGTGAAGTACTTAGAATAGTTCCTGGCACATAGTTAACTACTTAATACATATCAGTTATAATAATGATAATTATTATTATTATCAGTCAGTGAGTATTTGATTTCTACCTACAATGATGTTGGAATGTGGAATTTGAAAGGAAATTTGAGACATTACCACCACAGTGTTCAAAAAAATACCTGCCATATACTGGAGGAAATAAGACGTTAAGTAAATGAAAGTTGCATAATTAGGTTAAATAAAGCAGAACTACAGCCTAAGAAGAGGCTTGGACTAAGACATCGTTAATTACCAAATGAGTGATATATTCATGAAATAGGGTCCTCTTGTAATACTTGGAAGGGCAATAATGAAGTTTGTTCTACTTGTTTTTTATTCTAACAGGAACAAACCTTCTGATTTAGAGTGATCATGTTTTTCACTTGGTGCACCACAGTCCTGGTTCGTGTATGGCTTAATGTCATGGTTGGATAATAAATTAATTATGTGCTTATCCTATTTCCTGTTGATATTTTCTTTCTTTCAGTGTCCTTGTGATGTCAATTCTTGCTTTGGCTTAAGAACTATTTTGATTACTAAGGCATCTTTGCTCATTTGTTCTGTTTCGGAGTAATTTTATAGTTTGATTTAGAGGACAATCTTATTTTCAGGTGCTCAGGGAAAAGCTCATACTTGCCTATCTTGTACTGCTTATAAATATCAGGAGATAAAATCTGGAAAAATAGTTTATTGCCAGGTTTTAGATGACCTAGCATGTTGCGTTAAGATAACCAATAAAGACTTTATTTTTCTGAAATTAAAGAGAGCAGTATTTCAGGCAATTAGGTGGAAAGTTTCAAAACTATAAGTAAAACAAATCCAGTGTTTCTTAGACCTCTAACATATAATTTTGCACAGAAGTTTGCATGTAATGCTAAACATATTTTGACGAATATGTAGTTCTCCATATCTTCAGTACAGATTTTAAAAAATGTTTTAAGGCCAGAAGCAGTGGCTTATGCCTGTAATCCCAGCACTTTGGGAGGCCTAGATGGGCGGATCATGAGGTCGGGAGATCGAGACCATCCTGCCTACCACGGTGAAACCCCGTCTCTACTAAAAACACAAAAAAATTAGCCAGACGTAGTGGCGGACGCCTGTAGTCCCCGCTACTCGGGAGGCTGAGGCAGGAGAATGGTGTGAACCCGGGAGGCGGAGCTTGCAGTGAGCCGAGATCGCGCCACTGCACTCCAGCCTGGGCGACAGACCAAGACTCTGTCTCAAAAAAAAAAAAAAAAAAAGAAAAAAAAAAGTTTTCATGTCCTGCATTGTTGACATCTTAGCCCATTTTCGTGTATTTGTCAGTTGAACCTTCTTATTTCCTTGCCTTTGGTGTCACAATAATACATTTAAAGGATTGAGAGTTTAGTCTTTGAATTATGAATAAATGGTAAGGAGAATATAAAGGAATAGAGGTTGACTCTCTGATGGGCCCTGGCAAAAATGAAACTTTTTAACCTCTTTCGTTGTAACTGTCTTCTAATTAGATATTATCAAATGTTAGAGGAAAATGCTTGTCACATTTGAATTTATTATGTAGGAAATTTATGCTCTGAATCATAATGGTACTAGATGACTTTTTTCTGATGTAGTTAAGAATATTGTAATATAAGAGTTTGATCCAGTACAATTTGTATTTTTTAAAATCATTTTTAATATGTTAGGCACTGTGCTTTGTACTGGTGATACATAGTTGAATCAGAAATGGGCTCTACTCTGAGGGGTTAATAAGACCTAGGGATGGCTACTTAGGATTTCAGAAACCTCTCTGCACATCAATACAGAATAATACCAATAACCACTAACACTTCTATAGCACTGATTCTGACAGTTACTATTCCAAATGTTATATATATATTAAATTTCCGATAACCCTGTGAGGTGATACTGTTATTGTGCCCAGTTTTCAAATGAGAGAACCAAGGCACTAGAGATTAAATAACTTGCCCAGTGTTGTATAGGTAGAAAACAATTTTCTATCCCAAGTGAGCTATTTTGAGAAACATTATTCACATATCACTGTTTTGTGCCTTATAAACATTATGAGAAGTAGTTGCTAGTGCAGTTCAAGAATGAATATGTGGAAATTACTGAATATAATTTCATTAATTCATTTACCAGATTTTTGTATGTTTGTTTGTTTGTTTTTTAGAGACAGAGTCTTGCTCTGTCACCCAGGTTGGAGTGCAGTGACATACGTCACTGTAACCTTGAACTTGTGGGCTCAAGCAATCCTCCTGCTTCAGTCTCCCGAGTAGCTGGGACTACAGGGGCACACCACCACCACCACGCTTAGCTAATTTTTACATTTTTTATGGAGATGGAGTCTTACTCAGGCTGGTCTCAAATACCTGGCCTCAAGCAATCCTCCTGCCTCTGCTCCCAAAGTGCTAGGATTACAGGCATGAGCCACTGCACCCAGCCCCAGGTGTTTATTGAGCTCCTACCTTGATCCAGCATTTGGAATAAAGCAGTGAGTAGAACATTTGGATTTCCTACCTTCACATAGTTTAAAATTTAACATGAATTTGCCACAGAATTAATAATTTAGCAATATTTGCCTCATAGAGTTTATAATTTAGCAATAATTGTATAATGCTTTTGCCACTTTACGTTTTCATAATTTCTATTTATCCCTTTTAACGCTGCTGAGCATGCTCTGAAACCTTATTTGCTGTTCCTATAATTAATGGTCTCCAATTTGCATACGTGGACAGTTTTTAATTACTGTATATTGTACTTTTCTTTAACCTAGATTTTCACACATTGTACAATAAATTCCTTAACCTGCCTTTTATATGTCTAAGATCATTGCTCTTGCTGATGAAAGATGGTCCCTGGTTCTCACTTAGGTTTTCTAACTTACTTTTAGGAACTACTAACAGGGATATAGTATTTAACTAAAAATTCCTATTGCAACCAAATTTCTTTACATATGTGGAGAAAATGAATATGCTTTTATTATCCTAATGAGAAAGTAATCCTGGACCCCGAGTTGATTCATTATTGCCCAGTGGTGTGAATGCCTGCTGGTTATTACAGCTGATGAGGAAGGTCTAACCTCTGTGTAGATCTTGGGATGCAAATGGGTAGCAATTTGTGAAAAGAATCAACTTACTGGTTGAGTTTGTGTGGGTTTTTTTGTTTGTTTGTTTGAGACAGAGTCTTCCGCTGTCGCCCAGGCTGGAGTGCAGTGGCACGATCTCAGCTCGCTGCAACCTCCGCCTCCCGGGTTCAAGCAATTCTCCTGCCTCAGCCTCCCGAGTAGCTGGGACTACAGGCACACACTGCTACGCTTGGCTAATTTTTTTTTGTATTTTAGTAGAGACGGGGTTTCACTGTGTTGCCGAGGCTGGTGTCGAACTCCTGAGCTCAGGCAGTCCGCCCACCTGGGCCTCCCAAAGTGCTGGGATTACAGGTGTGAGCCACTGCGCTGGGCTGGGGTATGTATGTATGTATGTATGTATGTATGTATGTATCTATTTGTTGATTAATTATTCCCAACATGCCACAGTTTTTTCTCCCGGGACTCTCTTAACAGGCTACCATTTATGCATAATCTTGGATGTTGAAAAATAAATTCTCTTCCCCTACCTCTCCTCCAGGAACCTAGTGTTTCCCAATGTGGAGGCTTAAAGGCTTGGGAACTAGTTGACCTTCTCAGAGGCCCAAAAGCAGGGTGAAGAAAAGCGTTCTTGTTCTCAGCAAGGGAAATGGCTCCCTTCACAGCCTCAGCCATAAATCCTCTGGGTTGACGGCAGCTAACTTTCCAATAAGGCCCTTGTCAAGACTCTTACCTCCCCACAGAATTATGTGGGCCCAAAAAAGGTGCATGTGCATGGACCACAGTTTGGTGTTTTAAATCATTATTATTTTTAGATCTTTGAGAGTAAACTTCTCTCTTCTCTAGTCCTTTCTCTAACTGTCTTAAATAATAGCTGAATTCACTTTTTGACTTTAAACCCTGTTTTTAGGTCTAGTTTTAGTCTTCAGGGTGGCTGCCTCTAGTATATGAAAAGGGCTTCCCTATGGAATTTTTGTCTGTAGTTCAGATATTCAACTAAACATAGGACATAATTTATGAAAAACTATTCTTCTTATTGGTTGCTCATTTTGCCCCAGTAGAATGCCAACCCAGTTCACTCTATATTCTCAAAGCTACTAACTGAGAACTTTCTTCTTCTTCTCTTTGTTTCACAAGAAAGTAGTGGTTTGTCTAATTACTATACTGTAGTTACAATTATAGAGAAAAGGTCAGTCTAGTCATTGCCAATTAAAGTAGGAAAAAGCTACATTTATAACCACTAAGAGCCATTATATCAATTTAATGCTGTTCATCAGTGTGTAACCCGTTTTCTAAGACATATAAATCTAATCGTGGTATTATAGTACACTTACCCTATTAAAAGCCTTTGGTGCTGCAGAGAAGAGATTATTGCAAGCAACCTATATTAACTGTATGTCTTTTCATTGTGGCTCATCATAAATTTTAAGATCTGGGTTTTGTAAAACCTGGCCAACGTGAGTACAAATAGGTCCTCCAAATCACTGGTTAGCCCTTTTATTTTTAGGTATTTGACAAAGCAAAATAATCTGTTGAGATTAAGGTTTTTCTAATTTTTTTTGACAGGGATATCTATGTAATCATGCATTGTATACTATTGCAATCATATTTCTTTTTACATATAGAGAAAGTGTATAAATTTTTACTCTCCTAATGAGAAAATAATCCTGGGACCTAAGTTGATTTATCATTACTATTTCTGCTTTTATATCTTCATGTAGTATTTAGGGGATTTTGGCTCGTAAAAGACATCGTGGATTTAGTACAAGTTAAGAAAATATGATAGAAATGAGATATTTTCATTAATTTCACCCATTATTTAAAGTCTATCCGAACACTTTTGAGTGTATCTTTACACGATGTTTTAGTCTATTCAGGTTGCTATAACAGAATGCCATAAACTGTCTTATAAATGACAAAAATTTATGTCTTACATTTCTGGAGGCTTGGAAGTTAAGAACAGAGTGCCAGCATTGTTGGGGTCTGGTGAGGGCCCACTTCCTCGTTCATGGATGGCACCTTCTCACTGAGTCCTCACATAGTAGAGGAAGGAACTACCTCTTTGGGGTCTCTTTGATACGGTAGTGAATTCCATTCAGAAGGACGCTGCCTCTGACCAATCACTTCCCAAAGGCCCCATCTCCCAATACCATCACCTTGGTGGTTAGTGTTTCAAAATATGAGTTTTCAGGGGACACAGACATTCACACCGTAGTATATGCTATGCAGGTTGTATCACACTATCAACGGATTATTACAGATCTGAAAGGTTGTCTTCCTAAATTGTCCTTTGCTGTAGGATTTTTATGGATCAAATTTCATCGTGTTTTGAAGTAAGAAAAAGCGAAAGGAAAGTCGTTTGGCTTAGATTTTTGAGGGATATGAGAAAATACCTACATCTTGATATTGAGTTGTAGATTTCTCTGTTTAGAGTAACTGTCTGTAGTAATAAGGTCAAGGACATTCTGATCTTTATTCTCTGATACCCATCTAAATCTAAAAGATTGCATTACTAATTGAAATACCACCACTCACTTGTCAGAAACATTTATATTATGCTGGTTCCCTTTTCCTTGTTCCAGTGAGATTCCAGGTGTATCTTCCACTTTTTGAAGCTCTCCATAGCTATATTTATCTCTTCTGGTATCTTCTACACCACAGAGAAAATGTAAAACCAAAAAGACTCATCAAGCTTTCTTTTATTGTTTTAGCTTCCAGATGCTATTGTCTTAAATTCCCTAATCTGAATATTTCATGGTTGATTACCTTAAACTTCCTACTGAGCCTAGTTTGCTGTAATTAAAACCGGAGTTAAGACATTCCACTTATCTGCATAATCAGTGACTATTATCCTGATTCTCTAGAAATCAAATTTTGGATGAATTGATTTTAGGATCTTTAATCCTTGGTCTGTATGTCACCAGAATAGTGCCTGGCCCTGTTCCTTCTGCTCCAGTCTCTCTATTTTTTTAATGTTTAAATAATGTCAGCCTCTACCTCCCCTCACCCTGGGCACATGGATGCACATGTGCAAATGTGGATGCACACACACACACACACACACACAGACACACACACACACGCCCCACTGTCACTGCTTTACAGTTATAGTTTTATTTGTGGAAATTTGATATCTTTAAAGTATTTTAAGACACACTACTTCCTAGTTGCTTAAGCCCCTTTTTTGAGGTTTTAATTTTCTTATTAAAATTTCTGTATACTTAATGTTAAATTTACTTTTATGTATCCAATAAGTTTTTGGCTATTGTGAATTATATTGGTTCAGTGTTTTCTAATTCGTTGTTGGTAAATGAGAATATACTTTTTGTACACTTTAATATACTTATGGATACTAATTTTATAATTGATCATCTTTCTGAACTTAATAATTTTAATAGTTTTATAGATGAGTTTTAATAGTTTTATAGATGAGTCTCTTGAATTTGAAAGTAGACAGTTACATCATCTGAAAATAAGGATAAATTTGCCCAGTCTTCTCTAGGATTTTTACCTTTTATTTCCTTTATATACCTGATTGTATGTTCTAGATATTCAAGAGGCAAGTTTTGTAAGTAAAGTTTGATTATTTACATCTACTTCTTGCTTTTTCTGTGAACTTTCCCTCTTTTCTTTTTCTTCTCTATTTTTTAAGCAGACACATTAAATGAAATAAAATGGCAATGAGTATTAATGGAAAGTTACCATTGTCTGGGAAGTTAGGGTTGAAAGGTGGTATATAGATAGAATTGATGCATTCATTCTGCTTAACATTGAACTTTTAAAAAGCTAAACTGGGTTACATTTTTGTTTTTAATTTCTATCAAGTAAAAATTAGTGGTTCTCAGTTTTTTTTAATATTTTCTTTTTCTCAAGTATTTATATTTCTTAAAATATGGCTCAGCTCAAACAGTACCATTATATGAATTTATTTTGCATATAATATGCTAAATAATAATTTACCTACAGATTTTAGTTTTAGTTTTTTTTTTTTAAAGAAAAATCAAAGTTCATTTCACTGGTTATTGAGCCTTCACAGACTGTTTCTAAAACTGTTCGTAGAATACAGCAAACATGATCTTTTGAAATAAAAAAGTTTTATTTGTGAGTTTTCCTATATTTTCCCTTTAAAAAAACGAACCTTCCTGTAAGAGATACCTTGACATGTTTTCATGACTAGATCTATATGAAATAATGTAATTTAGTAGTGATTTAGAATTTTAGGACATTTGTTCACGGAATGTGTATTAATACTACTGTGTTGTCAAAGGAAATGAATTATTTGCAATGGAAAAGTCTTTTGGACAGAAACCTTTCCCCTTTCATTTATTTATTTAATTTTTTTCTCTAATTATATCACATTTGTATGTTTTCCCTAGCCTAGTTTTTTTTTTTTTCCAGTTTGTTCAGTGCCATAGATAGGAGTGCATGAACTGGAAAATCGAATACTAGATGATGCATATTATCAGATGGTAGGTATTTGCATATCTAAGAGCTAGATCTAACTCTTGTGTTTTGTTTCATTGTATAAAATAGATTTATTGAAATTCTTATTTTTAAATATGGAAAATATAGATTATTTAAAGAATGATTAGAAATAAAGTTATATAACTTAATTTTGAAAGACTGTTAGTTTAGTCCTTCATATAACTAATTGTCTTGGCCCTCACTAATTTAATTGTTTTAATTTTTCTGGTGTCTGTTTGCCATGCAAATGTGCTAACATATTTGCATTAGAAACAAATTATTATTCTTGGAACTTCAGATTAGAGCACGAGTTTAATTGCTCCTTTTAATTTTTTCTTTTGTTTTTATTTGATATATAAAACTAAAAATATATTTCAAGGAAAAGCAATTTTAGATAGAGTCACAAAGTGATTCCTGAAACTTGCTTTTATGAAATAAGATGAAAACTTATTTATACCAAATATTTTTATAACAACACATTTATAATTTCTTTAAGTAAGGAAAAAGCAAAAACAATTAGGGATTGATTCCTAATAGGATGCTAAAATTTCCACAAACTTTGATACTTTCTTTACTCCAGGAAATTTTAACTCTCAACGTTGTAAAAATGATGACTTAAAAAAAATACTTCGGTTTAATATGTCTAAGATATATAAATAGGATTATGTAGTTACAACCCATATTACTGTACATGTTTCCAGAAATTATTTAGTGATATCAAATATATTGATTTTTTTCCTATGTTGAGTATATACAATTTACATTTCATAGAGGATTTTGTCTTCTCAATTAATTTTATGAACTCAAGTATATATATATATGTATACTGAACACCTAATATATTCTGACACTGTGCTAGGTGCTGGACACAAAAAAGTAAATAAATAACGTGATCTCTTATCATATGTATGAACCAATAACTAAAGTATGATCTGATGCCTATTGTAATAGAAATCATGAGAAGGAAAATTAAAAATAAGAATAATTCCCTATTAGGGTTATAGCAAATATTCTTCCCAAGTTTTAATAGTTTATGGTGGATAAGACTGTCCTCAGCTAATCTGAACTGTTTCTAGGTTGCTTCTTTGAAATTAAAATTAAAGCTACATTTTAGTGTCTTTTTTTCCAGCAAAAGGTAGCCTTTTTATTTATAGTACTCTAATTTTCCAGGCAGCATATAAGAATTATGTAATTTTGATATGCTATAAATTAAATTTTAAAAGCAAAATGCAGAGAAGGATAATAATTAAAATTGAAAATAACCTGAGGGCATAAAGTGTTTATTGCAAGATGGATTCCTTAAGGAATTCTTATTTTTATTTTTTGTTCTAAATCATAATTTATTCTAGGACTAATTTATATCTGAACTCTGATGGCATTTTAGGCGTTTACAGAAAATCAGTTTATGGACTAGGAGCTAGAGAAATTAGGAAGGCACACTTGTAAGTTCATCAGAAATCAAAATAAATTCTTACTAAGCATTCCAGGGATCTGCTAGTCAAAATGTTGCTCATTGTTCAAAGTTCAGAGAGTTTTACCCCTCCTAGCTACTTGGGGGTTAATTGTAGAGCCCACAACTAAAATTTTTCTTTTTTTTTGAGACGGAGTCTTGCTCTGTCACCCAGGCTGGAGTGCAGTGGTGCGATCTCGTCTCACTACAACCTCCACCTCCTGGGTTCCAGTGATTCTCCTGCCTCAGCCTCCTGAGTAGCTGGGATTACAGGCACGTGCCACCACGCCCGGCTAATTTTTGTATTTTTAGTAGAGATGGAGTTTCACCATGTTGCTCAGGCTGGTCTTAAACTCCAGACCTCGTGATCTGCCCACCTCAACCTCCCAAAGTACTGGGATTACAGACGTGAGGCACCGCGCCCAGCCTAAAATTTGTATTAATCTCTCATCGGAAACCACAAACAGCTGTAAGAACCTGCTGTATGTATTATAATATCTCAGTTTTTTCTGTCCAAGAAACTTCACCAGAGGTTTAAAATGTGTATATATATTGTATTTGAGTTTATATGTGTTTAATTTGTTCCCTACTTGGTTACAAAAGATTTGATCAGCTTATCATGAATATTAGTTTTATTAGATTAATTTTACTGGTAGTTAGAGGAAAGTGGCAAATTAGGTTATTTTTTCTTATTAAGTCTGAAGGGTGGCCTGATTTCTTGTTAATCTCTAATCTGTTCATTCAATTTATGGAAATCCCGTTTCTTGACTTCATTTTTTGCTTCCTGCTTTCAGAGCAGTCTGTAAGGATTAGGTCCTTCCTAATTTCTTTGGTGTTCATTGGTCTGTTCAGGGGTAATGGTTGGCTGGGTCTCCTTCATGGTTCCTCTTTTCACCCTTTTCATTCATCTTTTTAAAAATATTTTTTGTCCTCTTTTTTCATATATATACACATATATATGTATATACATATATATGTGTATATATATACACATATATATGTATATACATATATGTGTGTGTGTGTGTGTGTGTGTGTGTGTGTGTATATATATATTTTTTTTTTTTTTTTTGAAACTGAGTTTCATTCTTGTTGCCCAGGCTGGAGTGCAATGGCGCGATCTTGGCTCACCGCAACCTCCGCCTCCCAGGTTCCAGCAATTCTCCTGCCTCAGACTCCCGAGTAGCTGGGATTACAGGCATACACCACCACGCCCAGCTAATTTTGTGTTTTTAGTAGAGACGGGGTTTCTCCATGTTGAGGCTGGTCTCGAACTCCTGACCTCAGGTGATCCGCCTGCCTCGGCCTCTCAAAGTGCTGGGATTACAGGCGTGAGCCACCATGCCTGGCATATCTTTTTTTTTTTTTTTTTTTTCAGCTGTGATCCTTTCCACACTGTTTTCTTTTTTTCCTCCTCTGAATTTACGTGTCTCTGTTTTCTGTAATATCCCTTTCTCTCCTCTCTCTCTCTCTCATTCTCCCATTTTGAAGATAATCTTGTTCTTCACTATCCAAATTCAATGTTTGCTGTTTGATGGAAGGTGGAACACAGTTGAGTAAAGTAACCCACCATTTACCTGATGTCCCAGTTAGCAGATTTGAGGAGTGGGCTCATTTGGGCTATTTGTTGGCAGATTTGAGGCAGATTTGTTGGCAGAGTGAGCTCATTTGGGCTATGTGACAGTTCCTATATAGCCACAAGAAAGAAACACTTCCTGCAAGAAGGAAAATTGTACAGGTTAATTGGGCCCTGGACACCTAGTTGGTTCATAGATACAGGTATAAACGGTGTTTGAGCATTTTGGATGTTTTAAAAACAGTTTTTAAACACAGTTTTGCACAATAATTAATCATCTGTAACCAGTCCTGACAACAGTGTAGAGAGTGTTCTCATGGATTGAACCCTGTGTCAGAGGATGGTTCTGACTTTAAATGAAGCTCCATGTTCAAGAAGGCAAGCTGGCCCAACCTTGATATTTTTTTTAATGAAATTTCCTAACTCTTAGTCACAGATGTTATTGTCCATGGACCAAGTGCTGATCATGGAACTGTGGGGTTACCACCTAGTAGATCAGCAACGTGAAGGCTGGTCTCTACAATAAAACTTTATCTTAAATTCTTATTTTCTCATTACTTATACCTTGTAATTCTTTTTCACAAATATTTAATATCAGGTTTATTGAGCCTACCAACCCTGCAAAGTATGCAGAACAAATTGTATCATTATATTAAGTGGAAAAACTAAATTCAAAGAAGTAGCTTATCCAGTGTTATCCTGCTAGTTGGTTAATTCACTTCAGTGCCATGTATCATAATGCTTCCTAGTTGAATAGTAGTTTCCAAATAATAAAATAGAAATTTTTAGTTTAGATCCATATTTCAAGATTCAATTTATATGCTACCGTATCAGGATTGCCAGATAAAATATAGGCTGCTGTATTAGTGTGTTCTCACACTGCTAATAAAGACATACCCAAGACTGGGTAATTTATGAAGAAAGAGGCTTAACTGACTCACAGTTCCACATGGCTGGGGAGGCCTCACAATCATGGTGAAAGGCAAAGGAGGAGCAAAGTCACACCTTACATGGCAGCAGGAAAGAGAGAGAGAGCATGTGCAGGGTAACTCCCCCTTATAAAACCATCACATCTCATGAGACTTACTCACTGTCATGAGAACAGCATGGGAAAGACTTGCCCTCATGATTCAGTTACCTCCCACCAGGTTCCTCCCACGACACATGGGAATTATGGGAGCTACAATTCTAGATTTGGGTGGTGACACAGCCAAACCATATAAGATGCCCAGTTAAATCTGAATTTTACATAAACAAGAAATACTTTTTAGTATATCTCATGCAATGTTTGCATTTTTATTTACTAAATATGGTAATCCTGTATCACTTCCAGGGGTCCTTTTCTAATTTTCATGCCTCTCAACAGAAGGATACATGATGCTCCCTGAATTCCAGGATATTTTTTTCTCTCTATGGTACTTTGTATTTCACTTTACTTTTTGTAAAACTGACTCTTCATTTTTATGAGACTGAAAGATCCTGTAGTAGAGGCATTTAGTTTTAAGTATCTTCATGCTGTATCAGCTGACAGACTGAATCCTTAAATCCAGTATCCTGCTGAATCATACTAGAGCCCGAGGCAAAAATATAGAAGAAAGTATGCCTGTATATGCACTTATCAGTATATCCCCTCATATTTTGTACCAAATGAAAAAAGTTAATAAAAGCTCTACAATAAAAAAAATTGACTATATAGAAAGATCCACAATGCCCGACCTGTTGGACACCATTGTGTCCTTCCAAGTGGGGGACTCCACCAGTTAAGTAGAAATGACCATTCTCATTGCATAATAGTGGAGGATTATCAAACAACAGCAGCGTTAATTTAAAATGTTGATATTTTGTCCATCATATTGCATTAATGTTTATCTTAAAAAATATTGTACTAAATTATTATCTTGACTTTTCAGTGTTTTGGTACCCCCTTAAATTTTGTGCTTCTGGTTAAATCTTTTGAGAGAGTGCATGGAGTTGTTTCATTTTAGTATCTACTTAATGTTTTTATGTCTAAGTCACCTATGTATTCAGGTTCACCAGCGATTCAAAATCTTGAGGACCCATTGAGTTCTTTCTTTTATAAATGAAGAAACTGACCACAATGGGAAGGTTGAGACCACAATTTCTTACTTGCTGTGATTTCTGCTGACCATTTAGGCTTTCCTGTGGAAGAAGGAATCATTTAACTCAAGCATTCTTGTTGCCTTTGATATCAAAGTTCTTAAGAATAAAGAATGTCATTGGAGCATATTGTGTTCATTATTAGAACCATTAATGCGTGTCGATCATCCCTAGATCACTTCCTTTGAATGTCTGCCAGGTTTTTCGCAGAGGTAAAAATGTAAATGGAAACATAGGTGTCCTTATGTAAATTGCCTTTCCATTTTGCGTAATAGAAAGATTAGTTTTGATTTTTATGGGTAACATTTGAGCCTAGGTCAGTACTTTCTCAAAAAGTTCCACTATTGTAAGTATCTGCTTTAGTAAAGTTTCTTTTGGGTGTCTACAGATGGCTGTGCTCTGCCTTGAATTGCCCTCTTGACTTCCGATTTGGGAATTAAGATTTTGATAGAAACCTTATCTCACCTTTCTGTGTAGTTTGCTTCATTAGAGCTGATAAAGTAAGATCCACAGCAAATACAGAACACTGGAGATGTGACAGACAACCTTGTAAAACTCTTTTTTGGGACAAGTTAGGAGTTTGATTGACAGATTGTCCTGTAATTTTGTGAAGCAAAGAGAATTTTCTTATTAACCAATGAGTCTGATAGGCTCAAATGTGATGGGTTTAGTTTAGTTCTGCTTGTATTTGGATGACTTTTTTCTTTCTTTCTTTTTATGGAATGTAAGGCAAGCAGATATATCAGAGTTTGTCCTATATAGGAGCCGTGAAGCAAGTATTTTGGAAAATACTGTATTTGAAGCTCTAATTCAGATAAAGTTCTAAAGATTTAGGGAAAAAAAGAGACTCTTTATACTGAGTACTTCAGCAGACTGTTATGCTAAAACTATAGGCCTCACGAAAGAACCTATGGTTCCATTACTTAAGTAAGCATTCTGAGAAGGACAGACTGGTTAATGTAACAACCAAAAGGAATAAGAGACCCACACAAAACTAAGGTTGTCAGATTCATCTTGATAAAATGACCGTGTGGAAAGCTGTGGAAAAGATAATTTTGTAGTCTCAAAATATTAGCTCACTAATTATTAATTATGTAGGGCAAAGGTACCTTTACAATAGAGAAATCCAGCAGATAGCAGCTTAATCAGTTGATCAGATATCACCACCAATAATGCGGAAAATCGTTATTATGTGCCTTCATATGTGATCCTGTGATCCTGTGGGAAGTACAGCACCTCTTACAGTATTCTTGCCAAAAAATGTTTAATCTGAATTTAATCACAAGGAAGCAATCAGACAAATCAAGATTATGGATGTCCCACAAGACAACTGATACAGATTCTTCAAAATTGTCATTGTGATGAAACACAAGAGCAAAAATTAAAGGAGAATGACAATTAAATGCATTGCATGATCCCTTGTTGCATCTTGGATTGAAAGAAATCTGTTAAGAACATGATTGGGGGCCAGGCATGGTGGCTCATGCCTATAATCCCAGCACTTTGGGAGGTGGAAGCCAGAGGATTACTTGAGCTCAGGAGTTTGAGATCAGCCTGGGCACCGTAGGGAGACCCTATCTCTGCAAAAAGTAAAAAAGTTAGCCAAGTGTGGTGGCATGTGCCTGTGGTCCTAGCTACTGGGGTGGCTGAGGTGGGAGGATCACTTGGACCTGAGAGATTGAAGCTGCAGTATGATTGGGACAAGTAGAGATAGACTGTATCTGAGAAAAAAAAAGATTGTATCAAAGTTAAATTTCTTGGGTATGATAATGATAATGTGATTTAATAGGAGACTGTCCTAGTACTTAGGAGATGCATGCTGAATACTTAGGGGTAACATGTTATGATGTTTGAAATTTACTTTCAAATGGTTTTGCAAAGAAAAATGTATGATGAGAGAGAGCAATGAAGCAAATGTGGTGAAATGTTAGCAATTGATAAATCTGAGTGAAACATTCATGGGTGTACATTCTACTCTTTCTTTTTTTAGTATGTTTGAAAATTTTCTAACAAACATTAGGTTTTTAACCACATATAAGGTGGAAAGTTAAGGGGCCTAGAAACAGAAGTCTCTCAAGAATTCTCTGCTGTCAGCTTTTGCTCTCTTATGCATTGGATTTAGGAGCAGAAAAATAATCAAGGTAAAAAGGAATATTTTAAAAACATAAGCCATATGGGATGTAAGAAAACACAGAGAGAGAACATGGACTATCTTAAAGTTAGGGCTATTTTTTTCCGTTCACAGTAAATTAATGGATAATTAACTTAATAATGAGAAGAACTGAATATGACTTACTAAGAGTACCAAGATTGGTATGTAATGTAAGGTGGTTAAGATAGCAGAAGAGGCTTCATAATGCCCAACTGAAGCCACTGTACAGACTGTCCAAAGAGACTCATGTGTCAAGGGTAGTTAAAATAAAAGAAGCCAAGACTAGAGCCTAGCTCTCTCATGCTTAACACATGTGTAACACACTTCAAAGTGAGACTGAGGAAGCTTAAATGTGAGATCTACTTAGGGGATAATGAGAAATGAGAGTAATGAGAAACTGAGCAGTCAGAAACTATCTTTGAAGGAAAGAATTTGTAGCTAAGATATTCTTCAAATGACAGATAATTTCTCTAAATGTATGTAATGATAAATTGTAGTTTTGAAAATTAAATAAAAAATTAAAAGATTTTTCTCCTTACATAATTAAGGCTTTTTAAAAATTGAATGTTTACTTTGAAGGATACAAGAAAGATAAATCTGATATAGAGCCCACCCTCAAGGAATTTATATTGTTGAATTATAACATATATGTCTATAAATCATTGTCATCCTACAAGAGACACTGTGTACATTTCACAAAACAGTGGTGGAAAGAGAACAGGCTTTGGAGTCATATAATTAGAACCTGTCATTTGCCATGTGCTTTGTAACCTTGACAAAATAACTTGTCTTGCATTTATTGTTAGCAAAGCAAGGGGCCTCTGTTTTGCTTGAGTCATGAGGACTCATAATGTTTTACATAACACAGGACTGACATGTAGTTAACATTTAAGAGATTATAAACATGATAGTATTAGTGATATTGTTGTGACATACTTTTATATAGTTCAGCATTCTTTGTTTTTTCCAGAACCTGTAGCATGAACTGCCACTTAGTGGCAGCCATCAGAATTACATATGCTACTGTAGAGGATGAAATCACTTGGCCTGATGTGTCCTGTGAGACCACCCTGAGATATTAATCTGTAATCTTTGGATGTGGATATTCAATTTTTCAGAGTCTTCCTCACTATACTCTTAGGTTGGCACATTTTAGCATAGATTTTGTCACCTGTGTAATTCTATATAATTACGTTTTGCCTATTTTTGTTTCTTTATATAGATGTAATCATACTGTGTGTATTCCTCTATGACTTGCTTCTTTTGTTTGATAAAAGATAAACTGAGGCACATTAAAAACTTAGAGGGTTTATTTGGACAGACAGTGATTCATGAACCAGGCAGCTCCAGACCATAGATGGTTTGGGGCTCCGCTAAAGGGACACGAGGGGAAGATTTTTACAAGGCAAATGCAGAAGCAAGGCAAAAGAAATATTTGATTGGTTAAAGTGGAGCACTAGCCTTATTTGGATCATCTCAGTGGAAAGTGTCAGTGGAATATCAGGATTCCCTGGCACTTATTTTTTTCTTTGTTTAGCAGTTATGTACTCTTATTATCTGATATTTTAATGATTACACTCACTATTTTAATATACACATTTAACAAAATATATAGGTAATCAATATGTACTCTTTTGTCAGACTTACTTCTTTTCTCCCTTCCCTATCAGAAATAATTGTTTTATACAATCGATGTTTACAGCTACCCGTATATATACAAGTGTTTTTGCTTGCATCTCTGTCCTTCCATCTGAGATAATTTTCCTTCCTTCTCCATTGTGTTCTTTAGAATTTTCTTTAATGAGAGGCTTTTTTCAGTTTTTTTCCTTTGCCTATATTATTGTTTTTTATTGTTTGGGAAGATAGTTTGGCTGAATATTAAATTCTACATTATGAGTTTTTTTTTTCAGCTCATTGAGGATACGATTTTACTGTTTCCTGGTACTCTTTCTTGCTATTAAGAGGTTGTTATAAATCTAATTAACATTCTTTCATAGGTGATCAGCCTTTATTTTCTGGCAGGTTTTAATATCTCTTCTCTATCTTTGGTATCATGCAGATTTGTAATGAGACATTGAGATGTTTAATTTTTATTTATTATGCTTTTAATTGAGCTCCTTAAATTTGAGGATTGGTGTTCATCATTTGTCAACATTCTTAGCCAGTATCTCTGTAAATTTTTACTTTCTCATATGCTGATGTGTTCTTCTGGAATTCCAATTACATATGTGTTATTTCCCTCTACATATATTCTACTTAATATCTTGTAACCTATCCGTCATTTTATTTTTTTATTTCAGACAGGATCTCATTGTGTTGCCCAGGCTGGTCTAGAACTCCTGACCTCAAGCAATCCTCTCACCATCTCTGCCTCCCAAAGTGCTGGGACTACAGGCATGAGCCACCGTGCCTGGCCCATGTTTTACACTTTTGATGAAAGGTCATCCAAATTGTATTATGCCAATTTCATCTAAACACAGTAGTTTCCATTGACTGTAAGAGTGGGGAGAGAGGAGATAGCAAAGGAGAGACAGAGAAAGACGTTGTTGCCTCAACTTTTATTTTTTCTGCTTCGAGTTTATGCTGGATGTTGGGAAAACTCTGAGTTCTTGCTGCTTGCTATGTTCTGAATGTTGTTGTCCTGCCAAAAGTCACAAGTTGAAGTTGAATAACCACTGTAATAGTATTAAGAGGTAGAGACTTTTGGGAAGTGATTAAAGTGATGAGGGCAGAGTGCCCTTTTAAAAGAAGTTGAAGTGAATGCCCCTGTCCCCTTCCACCATGTGAGGATGCAACAGCAAGGCACCTTCTATGAAGCAGAGAGAGAACCTTCATCAGATGTTGAATCTGCTAGTTCCTTGATCTTGGACTTCTCAGCCTCCAGAACTGTGAGAAATAAGTTTCTATTTCTTTTGAATTACCCAGTCTAAGGTATTTTGCTATAACAGCAGGAACAGACTAAGACACTGCTCTTCTGGCTGTGCTAGATAAGGTTTCACGATCCCTTTTTGCTGAAACCTGTCTGGGGGGTCCCTAGCCTGTGATTTGAGTGTCCCCACCCCCAGGATACAGCTTCTCTGAATGTTTCTCTCCTCCTCTGTGTGGAGATAGTTTAGATAGTTTTTGACATGTGAGAAATGACTGACTCTCCAGGAGTCTTCTAGATCTTTGGGTGATGGCATAAGTTATATAGCTTTAGTCCTTAATGCTTAAAAGCCTGTTTGTTATAACTCAAAAGACTGGGTAGGGTTTATAAAACTCAAAGAAAGATTTGATTCTTATTTTCTCAGGATCACTTCTCTGAGGTTGTGAGGTAGACTTTCGTGGCCATTTTGACTGGGGGAAGAGGATATGGCATTCCAAGAACTGAGCTGGGAGTGTGAAACCCCTGTTAGTATATCCTGCTATAGTGATAGTGAAAGAGAAAGTACCACTAGAATTACCATGGAGCCCATGAATCAAATTAATCCTCGTTCGAATATGGGGATTTGTGCTTCATTTTTTTTTTTTGTACCAAAGTGGTGAAAATTAATATACATTCTAAGATCCTGGTTCAGTTTTGGTGATGAGTCTTTTTTTTTTTTTGAGACGAAGTCTTGCTATGTCGCCCAGGCTGGAGTGCAGTGGTGCCATCTCGGCTCACTGCAAGCTCTGCCTCTCGGATTCACGCCATTCTCCTGCATCAGCCTCCCGAGTAGCTGGGACTGCAGGTGCCCGCTATCACGCCCAGCTAATTTTTTTGTATTTTTAGTAGAGATTTTTAGTAGAGACAGGATTTCACTGTGTTAGCCAGGATGGTTTCGATCTCCTGACCTCGTGATCCGCCCGCCTCGGCCTCCCAAAGTGCTGGGATTAAAGGCGTGAGCCACTGCACCCGGCCTGATGAGTCTTAATATCTTATGATCACTGCCGTCTTGTGCATTTCTCTCTCAGTGTCGGTACTGATTATCTCTACATTGTAATGAATTATTATTATTATTATTATTATTATTATTGTTTAGGCAACCGAAAATTTAGTGCTATATTTTGTAAGAAAAATGGTTCCTTTGCTGCCCTTTAAAAATGTCCTTTGGGAACTGACCTAGCCACTTAAAGTTCTGATTTCAAATAACTCTTCAAAACTGACCTCACTGTTGTTTAGAATAATTCTCACTATCTGATAAGTCATTTTCTTTATTTGTAGAACTGGGACTAAAAATGTAACCTGTTTCATATCCCTGACTTCCCCATAGTAAACATTGTAAGACACTTCTTAACATTTCTGCGTTAGTAAATGAAAGTAAGTGGGAGAAGGAAGGAAATTGGCTAGTTAGTATTGCTTAATGAGGGAAATTATTAAGTAAGCTGGTTTAGTGGGGAGATAAAATGGAAGATGTCTTTACCTATCTGGTGTTGGATTTTATGAACTTTAGAGTTCTGTCTGATTCTAGCAGTTCTGAGAGAGAAGAAATCTGTGATGCTCTTGTGTTCAGGGAATACAGTTCTGCTTGTTACCATGTGATCTCTACTCATTTACTTTTATTAAGTTCATTGTTTTATTTCTGATGTATTTTTCCTACAAGTACTTCCTTACTTGTAATGACAGAAGTAGAAAATTATCTGACCAGTAAACTTCATGTATGCTTTTTTAATCTAAATTATATTCCTCAATCCATCATTGGCAAGTGTTATAAACTAGAGTATATCAAAGTATATGGAAAATTTGATCCTAATTTACTATTATCTTAAAAATTTTTGTGAAACTGATAGTGAAGCAACTGCTTTCTCTACTTAATGCCATTTTTTCTTGGTTCTAGCAGGTTTTGATTGAAAATGCATAATCCTAAAACAATGTGTTTAAAATGTTATTATGCTTCTCTATCACATTTGCATTTTTAAATATAGAAAAGTTAGCAAAATTATCAGTCTGTAAGTCTAACTAAATTACTTGAATATTAAACGTGTTTATTTTCAATTTATATGGAGATTCAGAGTCATGAGCTCTATTTTACTGGTTCCTCCAGGTAAAATAGGCCAACTAAAAGATTTTGTCAGTTTCATTCCTATTATGATTTAATTTAGTTGGAGAATTTCAGTAGATTATATGTGTTAAAGAAGTTTCTGATAAGAAAAAGTATGCAAAATCTATTAGACATACTGTATGAGGAATGTTTATGAAATAGTTTAAAATATCGACAGTAGAGAATTACTAGGTACAGTTTTTTGCCTACAGCAGTTGACTATCAAATGATTACAAATGTTGGAACACGTGGTATATCTTTGAAAGAAAAATCTGCAGAAGTCGGTTTCTACCCTTGGCAAGTAGCCAAATCCATGTATTATGGCATTTTAATATAATTTTGTTTTTATATCAGATTTTTAAATATTTTTAGCTGTGGGAAATTGCTTTCTCCAGTTGACACATGATTAAATGAGGGCTTTTTCATGTTAGAAATAATTCCAGTGTATTTATTTTGGTCCATGAGAATACCTAAATTCGGCCCAAATAATTTACCGTTTATCATATCATTTTGGGTTCATATAGAATTGGTTTTTTCAGCAACTTTTAAGAATCACTTTCCCTAATAGCATGAGTATTAACTCCTTGAGAGCATTAGAATGTGACCTGGAAGGAAACAGTCTTCTCCTTGGTTTGAGAAATGGTTCAAATAGAAAACCTCTTTTTAAGTTAAGATTCTTTTTAAGTTGGTCTAAGTGTGTTAGAAATACCAAAGAATTATGGAACCAAAGTTTCCAGGGATATCACCCTTCCTTTGTTCTGCCATCATCATATAAATGTGAGTTGCTATTGTATTTTTTAAAAGCTGCAGATAAGGAGATGCTATGATAGCTCTCTATAATTTTTCAGTTATAAGTTTTTTCCATTAGGTTAAGTTTTTTGAGTTTTGTTTTGTTTTTTAAATCAAAATCTCTACCAGCTTACTGGGACATAGACTAAGAAATTAAAGAATGTGAGTTGTGTTTTCCTTGCCAAAATGGAGTCTTTTCTCAAATTTACATGGAGCCAAATTGCAGACACATCCACAGACAGGATGAGTATCAGTCTAAGAATGCAGTCTTGGGTCCTTTTTTTTTTTTTTTTTTTTTTTTCCCATGAAAACAAGCAAGTTCACAAGTATGAAGAATATAGAAGCACCTTTACCTCAGCTAAGGGGCTCAAGGAAGGTTTATTGGATGTGACTTTCTTGGAGCTATCTGGGCTTCAAAATATACTTAAATATTCATATGCATAAAAGAAGGTGGGGGAATTTTAGCTGCAGATGTTGGTAAAGCAGAAGAGAGAAGAGAGCAAGGTAGAATCAGAAGACTGAGTGTTCCATTGTGACCAAACATCTGTTGTAGAAAATCTGGTCATGAAGAGATACCTTGGGTTACACTTCATGTTCTTTATAAAATACTACAGCAGATGAATAAATACATTAATAGCATGTTATTTGTATATGTGTGTGTGTGTGTGTGTGTGTGTGTGAGAATGCTGTTCTTCTGGTAAAACTTGTTAATTGTCTATGTTCATTTATTGAAGAATGTGTTTAGTATCTGAATAATTTTGCATGGTGGGATCTGTAATGTTATATTTTCTCCTTTAAGCATTGAAATTCATCATGTAAGGCAGTGGTCCCCAACCTTTTTGGCACCAGGGACTGGTTTTGTGGAAGACAGTTCTTCCGTGGACTCGGGGTCGGGGAGCGGTTGGTTTCAGAATGGAACCGTTTCACCTTAGATCATCAGGTGTTAAGTTCTTATAAGGGGCATGCAACCTAGATCCCTCACTTGAGCAGTTCATAACAGGGTTCATGCTCCTGTGAGAATCTTTTATTATTATTATTATTATTATTATACTTTATGTTCTGGGGTACATGTGCAGAACGTGCAGGTTTGTTACATAGGTATAAACATGCCATGGTGGTTTGCTGCACCCATCAACCCGTCATCTACATTAGGTATTCATCCTAATGCTATCCGTCCACTGTAAGAATCTTATGCCCCTGCTGCTGCTGCTGATCTGACGGGAGGCTTAGCTCAGGTCATAATACTTGGTTGCCCACTGCTTACCTCCTGCTGAGTAGCCTGGTTCCTAATATGTTGGGGACTCCTTGTGTAAGGACTTTTTTACAGTTTAAAAGAAATCTGTCTAACTTCTCATCAACATTTCTTCCCCTACGGTTTTCCTTATTCCCAATTGGTTTTCAAATGCAATGATAAGTATTACTAATTAATATTATTTATGTAGGCTCTAGGCGAAAAAATCAGTTAGCAAATTGATATTTGTTTATAAACAACATTTTTGGGCAGAGGTGCTCTTGTGAATGCCAGAGCACTGCTGCTTTGAGTTGATTTAAGAAAATAAATAGTAAGGAGCATCTAGAAATTCAAGTCCAACTGATTTACCATTTACTCTATTATTTTGGGTCTGTACAGATTTAGCTCATTAAACACCTTTTAAGAATCTCTTTTTGCTAAAAGTAGATGGAGAAAAAAGTACCAAAACAGTCTTTGAAAAAAATTACTATTTGCAAAAAAGATTACAGAAGAAGCAAAACACTGAATTCAAAATAATTATAATTTGAGTGGAGCCTCTTATAGTTTCTGAAGTACCAGTGCAAAATGATAGGAATAGAGAGAGAATATTTTAAGTGTAGACAAATTAATGCCAATCAAAGTGAGTTAGAATGTGTTTGTGTTTTTTGTTTATATATGCTTATCTTCTTATTCTGCTAGTATGTGAAAACATATGCTTTTAAGTGCCAGGGATTTAAAGATAAATGTAACAACCTCCATTCTGAAGGAGCTGACATTCTAGTAGGAGAAACACATTTTTAAACCAATAATTAAAACACAGAGAGTGAGTCAAACGTATTGAGCTCTGCTGGAAGTATATCAGAGAGCAAGTCAATCAACTCAACTTGGGGTGGGAGTAGTGAGGTCAGAAATGATTCACAGAGGTGTGAGGTTTACACTGAAGCTTGAAGGATAAGGGGGACTTTCCCATGTGGACACTGGAGGAGAGCAGTGCAGGCCTGGGGCACAGAACAACGTATAGTCTGATTGCTAGAATCTGACAGGAGGATGAGTGTTAGAAAGTGACTGAAGCAAACAGGTTCAGGTGGGTCTTACAGAGATTAGGATGCCATCTTGAGGTGTTTGAAAATTTCTCCAGAGGCTCCGCATTGCCTTCAGATTAATTAGGCAAGTAACCTGCCCAGATCTGTTTTTAGAAATAGAACTCCTGTAGATGTGTAGAAGAGTGATGGGAAAGAGAAAGGACTGATGTCCTTCTTTTCATTGAAAAAGATATTGTTTAGGTCCTACAATGGCTTAGGTATGGTTTGAGACTCTGGGGTTACAAAGCAAAGAAAACCTGGCCTCTGCCCTGCTCAGAGAACAGCAGGGATAGCATGTTAGCAAATAAGTATATAGTGTGGAAAGGTCTGTAGTCAATAGCAGTCATTTTGACAATAGGAAAAGGAATGTGTGAAACTTCTGGGTCTGTGTGTGTGTTGGGGTTGGTGGGTCAAGGGAGGGGATCCAAAGATGGTTTCACTAAGAAGGGAAAAACACCGGACCTGAGACTTGAATGCAAGTAGAATTTTGCCAGGCAGATGATCTGTTCTTCCAGGTAGATAATCCATCCTGGGCAGACAAAACCAGGCTGTAGAAGGAACACCATGTGTGGAGCAATAGAAATATCTCATTGTTACTGGAGTATAATGCATGCAAGAAGCAGGCAAGGTAGACAGGGGCCACCGTGAAGGAAACTCTGAATAGGGGAATGATATCATCACATTTCCATGTTAGGACAAATAGGAGAAGTTTAATATCAAGATGTAAGAAAGTTAATGGAGGGAGACAATTCAGGTGTTCCAGCCAAGGGATGACAATACCTAGTTTGAAGGCAGGGATAGGGAGAAAGTATTAAGGGAAAATAATTCAAAATTAGAAGGAGATAGAATTAATGATTTGATGTGGGGAGTAAAAAAAAAAAAGAATGGCTGAAGTTTCTTGTTTGTGTAATTGGGTGGTACCATTCAATGAATAAGCAATCATCTCGAATTTTGGGGGATATCCTTGAGTTTATATCTACCTTGCTATTGAATGTACGGAGTAGAACCTGGGAGAGAAATCTGAGCCAGGCATTCAGGATATGTCAATCTATAGGTGACTGTTACAGCCTTGGGTGTGGATATATTCTCAGGATTGCTATGGCATGAGGGCCCACATGTAACCCCAATAAATGTCATTTGTAAGCGGTAGGCAGAGGAAGCAGAAACCCTAGAGAAAATGAAGAGGATGAATCATTTGAAAAATAGGCAAAGTTGTCACCTGAGGCCAAAGGAAGAGAAAATTTCAAGCAAGAGCTTGCCAGGTCCTTCAGAGAGTTGTGAAGGTTAAGGACTATGGGAAGCAGTTTGCATTTAGCATTAGGAGGATCTTGCAAAAGAAGACTCTTTTCTTAGCAAAAGACATGGTGGGTTGCCAGGCGCAGTGGCTCACACCTGTAATCCCACATTTTGAGAGGCCGAGGCAGGTGGGTCACTTGACCCCAGGAGTTGGAGGCCAGCCTGGGCAACATAGTGAGACCCCATCTGTACAGAAAACAGAAAAATTAGCTTGATGTGGTGACATGTGCCTATAGTCCCAACTACTTGGCAGGATGAGGCAGGAGGATTGCTTGAGCCCAGGAGGCAGAGGTTGCAGTGAGCTGAGATGACTCTACTGCACTGCAGCCTGGGTGACAGAGTACCCTGTCTCAAACAAACAAACAAAAAATGATAGGGTGGGGGACTAAACCCAGATTATAATACACTGAGGAGTTTCACTTTGTTTAGTCTTTCAAAGTGGGAGAAACTTAAACGTGTTTAGGGGCTGAGCCAAAGGAGATAAGAGAGAGATGTAAGTGAGAGGAAGGAGAAATTCATGGAAGAAGTTCAGGAAGAATTCAGAAGGCATGCAAATTGCACACTGAATCACTAGTAAGTAAGTAGTTAAGAATAAGGTAATATCAGAAGGAATTAACCTGAAGGAGGCGGGGAGTAGATGCCTTCTAGCTCTAAGAAAGAAGATGGATGGTGATTAAACATTTCCAAGAGTTTGTGGAGTGTTAGAAGCTGAGAGAATGCAGGCTTGAGATCCTCTCATTATTCTTTGAAGCCAATCAAATTGTGAGATAAAAACCTGAGCCAGAGAAGCAATTGGGTAGGGCCCTTGGGACAGGAGCTAAAATTTGGAAGAGCTGCTATTAGAAGTGGCAGAGGGAGCTGACGAGCAGAATGTAGAATTGCTGAGTGGTTTTGAGAGCTTGGAAACTATAAATTTGTAGTGGCATCGGTCCACATGATTGTTGTATTTCCTCCAGCAGAAGTCAGCAGTCCACTTATGAGAACTCAAAAAATGCTGATTGAAACTGAAACTGGAGGTGCTGTGAATCCAAGATGGTATAAGACACCTATCAAATTTCATAAATTCAGATTTGTATATGACAATAGACTGAATTATTTTGTGATTTCTAAAATTAGCGAATGCTGTATCTCAGGTGCTAAATGGACACAACTTGTTTTCTATGTAATGTTTCCTATCCAGGAATATCCTCCGTTACTTAAACACTGTAATCACTACCTCCATGCCTTGCCCTTTCCCCAGTGGTCCCCCTTTCCCCTATGGTGAGCGTGCAAACACACACATACTAAATATGGCATGATCTTAATTCTTCCAGTGCCTACTTTGTGCATAAATATTCTTATTTCAGTTAGATCATTTCATCTGAGTATTAAAGATTTCTCAGTTGGCCACATATGAATACAAGATTACTCCTGATAAATGATTATCTTGCAGGGAGATGAATGCTCATTCTCAATGAGTTACTAAATCTGAGGCAATTCTTACCCAAGTTTAGTTCTTATGTGGCTCTCTCCGTAAAATTTGTCACAAGCTTTTATTTTCCCTCTTAGATAGGCAACTTGATCTCCTCTTTATGCCTCTTTTTCATATTTTGTCCATATTGCACTTACCACAGAATTTCATGGTTCTTTTTATACAATTTTGGATTCCATGAGAGTGGGGACTGAGTCTTACTCATCTTTGTATTTCCAATGTCTCCCTGTTGCCTAGTGCCAATTGCACACTAAATCAGTAGTAAGTAAATGTTAACTTCATGAATGATGCATTACTTCTTCAAAATAAAGGCTATGTGTAAGTGAGGGGAAAAATTAAACTTTCTTTATGACTACCTGTAATTTATCTTTGTCCCCTCTTCCCACCGGCAATATCTTCTGGTTTACCTTTTTAACCTTTGACCAATTGAAGAGGAGATGTTTATCTCTTGAATAATATCAGGCCCAATTGTACTAGGCATTGGAATAGGAAAGAAAAAAACGTATGATATCTACACACAATCCAAAAGCCCACACAAAATCTTTTACCAACGTTATTGATAAGCAAAAAGAGAGAGAGTTTTAAATTCTCCATGCTTAAATTCTATGGATAATGCAAATTTAGAGTGAAGCCAATGAAAAATTGGCCAGATGTGTGAGAGAAGGAGAAAATGGGGAGAAGTAAAGAGTTTCTATAAATATTAGTAATCTTGACATTTGTAGTCTGAAATGTATTTTCTTGGTTGACCTTGTTTTACTTTTGTTTGTAAGATATCTCCAATTAGCTAGGGTATGTTTTAAAAATAACTTTAGACAAATTACTGAATAACACATTATCCTACCAACAATCTTGTCCTTTTGATTTAGAATCTTTAAGTTATCTTTGCATTTATAAAGTCCTGGTCCTGAGAACTTTCTTAGGAAGTTACAAAAATAGACAAAAAATTCTAGAAAACTAAAACAAGGTAACTTAAAATCCAAGTAGTATACAGCTACAAATAGTTTTAATAGCTCTTGAGTATTTATCTTGGAAGTGTTGTGCCCAGATTATCGATAGTCTAGGCATAGATAATGTATTTCTTAGCAACTCATCCAGTTCGTACTGGACCTAAAATTACATGTAATGCTTCTCTTTATCCCAACATTTGAGGTTTCATTTTGTTCAAGAAACATTGTATGAAATAAATGTGTAGGTGGTCCTGTTAGATCATTTATTTTGAGGAAGAAGGGTGCTACTAAGATACCTGTCCAGGAGTATCTTATCAAATTGATTTCATGACTTTCTCTTGAAATATATAATTCACAAGTACAGTACATTTTCTGAAGCAGGTAATTGCTGGACACTGATAAGCTCCAGAATAATGAAATAATCTCATCAGTGTGCAGTTATCATCTATGGCAGCTTTTCCAAAAGTGGCATGCCACTTTATTCTCATGCATGATTACTAATAGGTGATCATGCCAACATTCAAAAACACAGTGTTTTTGGCTGATGTATCTGATTCTGTGAAGGTGGGTGTTGGGGAGATAAGGAGCAACATGCCATGACGTAGAGGCAGAGATCAGGGAGGAGGCTCTTCCAAATAACGTATGAGAGAAAGCAGTGGCTGATCCTCTTACCTCCTCCTACAAAAAATACAGCCTTGGCTTGCCAGCACCTGCTATGTATTATGTGCAAATAACCAATTTCCATAGAGTCAGAATGAAATAATGTATACTTACAAGAGATTACACTGAATGTAATTATCCTTCTTAAAAATGCCAAAGACATTTCAAGATTTTTCCATGTTTTGTGATTAACATTATGATTATCATCTTAAAAGAGACATATTTAGTTCATAGAGAATTAAGTTATGGCAACTTTGATAATACTATAAGTTAATATAGCATTTCTGATAAGTCTAATTTTTAAATGTTATTACCCTTTGAAAGATTGGATGATGTTATCTAATCATCAAAATGAGTTTCTTGGAATTTGAAATTAATGTTACCTTTTCTTTAAATATACAATTTTAAGTTATAGTTTTGAAGTAATTAATAAGTTAAAATCTGGTTTCAAAATAACATCAATAATATTCTGGATTCATCAAATCTTCCTTTTTTCTATCTTAAGAAAATGTGGAATGATCAAAGCAATTTTTCATACTAACAGAAATACGAGGTTTCCTGTCGAGTTTAGACCACATTCCTTATAATAGCCACTCACAGAAATTTCTGGGATTACCAAGCTCTCTAAGTTTTTGCAGTTGGGCTTTATCCACAGTGCAAATTTAATATAATTATGAACTTTTTTCTGAAGAATCAGTTTTATGTATTAGTATGTATCTTTTTTGGTGTAAGGAGGGTCCCACTAAGTACCACACTGTGTGTTTGTATGGATTGGCTGCAGAAGCTATTCAGCTATTTCTTTGACTGTAGTCCTTTGCTTCATATTGCTTGACTGAGCAAGAAAAACTAGTTCTTACATCCACAACCCACTTTGGAGCAAGAAAAATCATTGTTTAAACTTGGTGTTGTAGCGTACCCAGAAATGTATTACAGAAACTTGCTATCATTGTGACTTGTTGGTTTTGGATCTTTTATTTGAATACCTAATTTTTTCACATTTACCAAGCTAAAGTATGTTTGCCATTTTCCTTTTTTGTGAGAATAAAGGAAAGTTTTTCAGGATAAATGAGTGATTCAAGGAACATTAACCAGTAGTAATTTGAATTACTTAAAGAGTTAGGCTCATAAATACAAAAAGAAGGTTTAAGGTCTTCCCATCTCCAAATCTAAAAGATTTGACCTATCTGCATATTTTTCTTTTACATATAAACAGCATACTTATATACATATTCATATTTTCAGATGACAAAAAATGTTTTCTTCAAAAGTCATCTTATGTTGTTTCTCCCCCAAAATAATTCAACTTTTTTCCTCCTATTTTGAAACAGCAACCATTGTTGCTCATTCATTGATGATTGAAATACCCCTTATACTTGCCATGGCCCATAAAAAACTATGTTGGAGGCCTTGACGTCTGGATAGTGTGAGGAAGAGATGAATATTTTAGAACTTACTTCTTTGCCTCCATTCTGATGCTTCCCAAAATAATTCACCTAAAGAATTTCATTTTATGGGAGATCAGATATGTCCAACTTATTATAAAGTTTAGAGTGATTGATTGGAGAGGAAATAACCATCTTATCCTTCTGCTTCTGAACTCCATAAGCCCTAAATCGAAAATTAAGAAGAAAAGGAATGCCAAATGCACATGTCACCTTTTAGAACAAAGACCTTTTTTCCCCTGCCTTTTCTCTGGATTTTCCAAAATTCCATGTGTAGCCTAAGTTCTTTGTTGTTTACTCAGTAAGAAATTTTTAGGAGTGTAAGGAATTATGAAGCAAGATAGACACAAAAATCTAGATTTGTTCACTTCACTACAGATAAGTGTACTTTAAGATGTTAGTGGAGTACTGAATCTATTATAAACGTGGTTTCATTCCCAAGGATATTAGTTAAGGTGGTTTCTCATCAGGATCCAGATGCTTGCATAATTCTTACCCTTTTACATGTAAGGGTGAAATTACCAGGAACAGAAACAGCACTTGGGAGTAAATATTCCCCTTGTTCCCACCTTCACTCCTAGTTCGTATTGAAAGTTTTCCCCTTTAAATATGAAGGAGCTGTTATAAGGAGTGTTTTGTGGGTCTTAGCCCCTCTCAGAACTACCACCAGCTTTTTTTCTCCAAATCTATGCTAAGTAAACAGATGACTTATAAAAGCTATGGGCCAGCTGTGTCAGCACAGCAGTAAGATGATATCCATTG
Source organism: Homo sapiens (assembly GCF_000001405.40). Taxonomy (NCBI): domain Eukaryota; kingdom Metazoa; phylum Chordata; class Mammalia; order Primates; family Hominidae; genus Homo; species Homo sapiens. The sequence continues at coordinate 108,135,136 of NC_000005.10, read as the reverse complement.
GTACTCTTCCTTCCACCTGATTGATGTCCCCAGATCCCTTCTTCAAAGAAATTCTGACGCTACCACTACATATATTGCTACCCTTTTTGAGGCTGTGAGTTTCTGATCAGATTTCTTTGGAACATAAGGGATAACAGCAATACTTTTTATTTAAACATATAATGACAAAAATATATTTAGAAGATGTCATCATTAAAATACAAATTTATTAAACACTACAAATTCCATAGCAGCTGTTTTTGTCAATAAGGAAGAGAAAGAAAAGCAAATGCAGGAAAGACTTAATTTGTAAGTGGGGGACAAAGCATCTTCATCTGAGGATTTCTGCAGAAGAAGCTGCCAACCTGTGGGGAATTCAGGAGCCTGGAGGATGTTGGAATTAGGATTGGAAACCAGCGGATACATCAATATAGTACACATACTACACATACATATGGTTTTCAAATGTTCTACTTCATGGAAAATTTCTTCCAATATTTACTCTTGTCACACTGTTAGTCCTCTGTGGTATCTCTCCTGATACAACTGTTTTTCTTTCCTTTGGTACACTGAGCTGGGCCCATTTTGGAAAGAGAACTCTGTTATTATCCCAGAAAGAGTTGCTGCAGTTCAGATACGAGGTTTTGGGGGAAAAATTTGTTGGATTTTTATGTGTCTTTTTCTGAAATTATATCTATCTGTTATTTAAAAACTTATGGTTAGAAATACAACTATGTCCCCGGTTTAAGAAAACCTCATGTATTAAATTATAGAAGTAAAAACCAGACAAAGTGAATAGGGAATTATTTGCATTATGAAATAATTTCTTAAAACAAAACAGAGGACTCACTCTGGCTCTCCTGATGGATTCTCTCTATTTACAACTCCATATATGTTCATATGTTTGCTTCAATTTTGAGATGAAATACAAGAGTTTGGGGGTTTTTTGTTCACATAATTTCCCTTTAGTGGAATATTGTGGTCTTTTAGCAAATACTAGAGTTGTTTGCCATTGGCATTATCTTGAGAATCACTATTTATTGTTTTTTGCCATTTTTGGAAAAAATGAAGCTAGATTTTTGGGCTTTCCTAAGTAATGGTAATATATCTTCAAAACAGCTAATAAGGACAGCCAATGTTTAACCTTACCTTACTGCCAGTACTTAAATTTGTAGTATTAGAACATTACAAATTATTTAAAAATATATATTCTTCCAAGTGTACTGAGGCATTAATAGAGCAGCTGGTATTTACTGAATACCTACTGTGTATTGGACTTCTGCTGAATGTTTTACGTGTGCCAACTCATTTGACTCATTTTTACAGACAAGGAAATGGGAGCATAAAAATTAAAATACATTTGAAATTTTACAGTCAGTAAGAATAGATACGGAATTCTAGCTGAGATATTTGACTCCAAAGCCTACATTTTTTTGTCTTTTCTTCTTTTTTTATGTTTTTCTCTTCCTTTTCTTTGCTTTCCTATAGACCAACGTTTTTTCCTTCCTTTCTTCTCAGCCCTCCATTTCTTTCTTTCTCTCTTCCAGCAGATCTCTGCATGCTGTCTTGATTCCTGTCATCATGGTAGGCACTGAGAATTCAGTGCTGTTCTCAGGGAATTTAAAATTCAGTCTCCAAAATGCACTGTTTATTTGTGCTCTGATTGAATGACTGAATGGAGTAAATAAAATAAATACTTAAGATTTCTCTCATAATTTCAAATAGTTTATTATTGCTGCTTATAAGTAAGGCTAACATGGCACATAGAATTCAAATGCATAAACTATGAATATTTAAATACAGTGTACTAATATCTCATTCATGGCCACTTCTCCCATGCATAGTACTAGTTGGAGACCCCTGAAAGAAAAAAAAGAGCCAAACTTGATATAAAAAATTTTAGATACACAAATAGAAAAAGATAAAGAGGAGGTGGTTTATGGGAGAAGTTTAAAATTTACTTCAAAAATTTCACTTTTTTTGATGCTTTTCCTACATCTTTTACGAATAATGCTTTTAAAATTGTCATCATAGTGCTTGTATAGTTTTACTATTTGCCTTCGTGTTCCTCTAGAATCTTCAGTGATCATATTAATGACGATTATTGTTTCCCAATATGCGTTGGAGTGGGTATTTATCACACTTTACTTAACCATTTCCATTTCTCTCTTTGAAGGCCCTTAAAATTCTTATTTTTCCCATTGCTAATATGACATTCCTTTCTTTTGGTTCCATGTTTCTATGCCAGGTTAGAGGTAAACTGATGCAGAACATCCAAATGGAGATGTTCTTATGCATATTTAGAAATATGGAGTGTGGGTGAGAGCTGGCAATGTAAACTTCAATGGTCATAGTGATGTTTTCACAGCCTGACCTGGGAAATCAGATACTTCTTTGTATGGTAAGACCATCATTATTACATAGTTAAATAAAATGTCTGTCAAGAGGAAGTAATAATGAAGGCAAAGGTGTTTTGTAAATCATTGTTTACTGAAAGCCCACTGAAATGCAGACATTTTTGTACTTGCTAATCAAATCCATTAGAAAATAAAATTTCTCTAAAATAAGTTTTAAGGAGAAAATACTATTTACATACTTTTTCAATGTTTGTTATACATACAACATATTATATAGAGCAAAATATTATTTATTCCCTTAAAAAGAACACATTTTCCTAAATAGTGTTCATTTTGGTTAATGTCTATTAAGAAGAGAGCATTAGTGTATTAAGTAATTAGGGGTTTCTGTTCTTTTATATATAACACTAATAACAAACACAGATTTTGGTCTATTGTGGTCATTACTATCTGTAAGAGATAATTTTGATTTAACAGAGCTGTGTGAATTCTTCACACTTTTGCATTTCTTAAAAAGGACTTTCAGGCTGGGCACGGTGGCTCATGCCTGTAATCCCAACACTTTGGGAGGCTGATGCGGGCGGATTACCTGAGGTCGGGAGTTTGAGACCAGCCTGACCAACATGGAGAAACCCCGTCTCTACTAAAAATACAAAATTAGCTGGGCGTGGTGGCACATGCCTGTAATCCCAGATACTAGGGAGGCTGAGGCAGGAGAATCGCTTGAACCTGGGAGGCGGAGGTTGCGATGAACCGAGATCATGCCATTGCACTCCAGCCTGGGCAACAAGAGTGAAACTCCGCCTAAAAAAAAAAAAAAAGGACTTTCTTCAGTCAAGGTTAATATAATTCATTTTGGAAGGACTCATGGTTATCCTCCTAGTAGAATACTAAATTGAATATGATTGTACATGCAAATTTATGTGTCAATTACTCTTAAATAATTAAAATGATTTTATACAAATAAAACCCTGAAATTTAGCCTTTACATTTATTGAGATAATTTTTAGAAATTATAAGAGAAAGCTATAAGTTATAATGAAACCATAATTACTGTAGCCATATAATAATTAGCATTCATAATTATAACAAATACTATAATAATTATTTTTTTCTTACTGATCAATCAGTGTTTGAAATTTCCTCTGTAGCAAAAATTTGTGTTTTGATGAAAAAGTGGTCTCTTGCTGCTCTGAGAATATAAGGGAATACACAGTGGTGATTAGTTGGTAAGAAGTAAATCCCACCCTGTTTTTTAAGCCCCAATGGAATGTTTTATTAGAATTTTCCTTCTAAGGTGTAGGTTCTCATTATTAAAACTAATAATGCCCATGTAAGTTATCTTTTCATAGAAGCATCCACCTCACTGCAATTTTAAATCGTTTATAGTCATCCTATTAATGAGGACTCTGGAGGTCTCTTCATTTGTGATTTTGGTAACTGAATTCTTGGGCTGGTTGCAAATTTTTCACAAATCACTCTTATAGCAAAATATTATTACCAAACAGTCACAGATTTATTTATAAGAGAATTCAGAACTTCCACTGGTGAATAGTCAAGGAAACACGTTTATTAAGATTCATTAGATGCTCAAGGAGCCTTTTAATGTAACCAGGAAGTAATAATTTACTGGGGTTAGAAATAACTTGAACAAAGAAGTTTGTGTCAGAATAGATATAAAACAAGCATAGATTTAAACCTGCAAATTGTTCCTATTCCTGTTTGAAATATGTTATTTATTTCAGTAGCAGAGTTGAGAATTGCTTAGAGATGTATATGAAAACTATGTTTCTTGAGTTTTGCTATTTTTCTAAAATTTGAAGGTTTAGAAAGACTTGAAAAATTCAGAGCAATGAAAAAAATTACTTATTCTATCTTCCTTTTTCAGAAACAAAATCTAAATGAGAAATATATTAAAATGAGGACCAGAACTTCAAAGTCAGTCTTTTAGATTAGGACACAATAATATAGTGTTATTAATTGAACTTACAAGAGCTATCCTAATCTCAGCACACCTGGCTAATGTGGTTGTGCCATCTTTGAGCCCATAAATCTTATGCAGTTAGAACACAATTGACAGTCTATAAAAGTTAAAAAAATAAAGTAGGATATTAAAGCAGACATTCTTTAACATCTATCAACCTAGAAGTTAATAAATGTTCCTTTAAGGCAGCATTGGAAAAGAATTGGTTTGAGATATTTTCAGCATACAGAAAAGCTGTCTTTACAAATGAGCTTGTTCTGGGTTTTTACATTTTTACTACCCGAGTTAAAATCTTGAAAAGATACTTTTCGTTTTCTTTATTCATTTAAACTGAATTGTATATAATAACAGCCCCTGACATCTTATTCAAAGGCGTAGTAATCATTCTATTTAGAGGCATGTCCTAAAATTATATTACTATATCCAGATACTTTTGAATATCATTATTATTTTCCACTCCCACTCAGAGCTTCTTGATTACTAAGATTTGAGATTTTCTGTTAATTTTAAGTTTTATGCTTCTTGGGTTAGAATTTAGAGTTTGCATGTGCATATGAAAGGGATATTTTTTTTTTCCTGTCATTTCTTTCCTAATCCAAGTCTCAGTTTTGACTTCGCCAAACCTGTTTAATGTTTTCTTTCTCTCCCACGATAAAAATTATATTTTAAAAGTAAATTATATTTACTATGTTCATGGTTATATAAACGTGTATGACAAAGTCTTAAAGGAAACATTAAAAATAAAAGCAGTTTATGTATGATTATTCTTCCTTTGAAACAATTTTTTCTTTTAAAATGCTCTTTTAATAAAAGTCATAAAAAATGTAATTGTTTATAGAGACTTATCGGAACTTGTATTGATTATCACATTGGTCACTTTTTATTAGATTATTAAGTAAATGTGGTTAAAAAATGGGTTATTTAGATTAAAAAAAGAACTGCAGCAGCCTCTTGAAAAACCTTATTTAAAAATGGTAATTTAACCATTATTTTAGATGTAAAAGATCTTAGTTTACCTGCCAATAATTTTTTTTATTTATTTTGAAAATCTTTGTTCTATTCAGGTTTTAGAATTGATTTTAGCAATCTATTGTGGTAATGAATTACTGCTATAAGGAATGCAATTTGATATATTCTCAGGAGTTATGTAACTACCATGACATATTTTTACTCAGTAATTTTCATCTCAGTAGAGACATATTTAAATAAGTAATGTTATTCAAAATGATTCTTGAAGTCTTTTGACTCGTTTTCACTGTATAGAAAATATTAAGGTTAAATCTGCAAAGTGATTGAAGCTAAATGGGAGCCTATTTGATTCTAAAGGAAAATGATATTCAATTAGACAATTTCATACCTGTGAGACTTTTCAACAGATAGTGGTAGGTTGTCTATTTTAAGAGTGTAAATCAGACTACAGATGAATTCCTTAGAAATATGTGTATGCAACCCTGCTTGAAGATGCATTCCCTTAATTTACAATACTGTCATCCTGTGAGTGACAACTAGTGAATACATTGCATTGATTTCATAATACTTGACAGCCTATACAACTATAGAACAAATTGGTAAAATCCCAGTTCTTGCAAAGACAGTGCTGAAAGAACCTTTCTTTTGGTTTTCTCATTTTTAATTCACGTGCTCCATCAGGATGCAATAACAGTAGATTGATTGCTTACCATCAAAAGAAAATACTTAAATTCAGATTTTCCACTAATGATAGTCAAGACTGTTGAATGAGTTTTTAAGTCAACCTATTTGATACAATTCTCTGAGTATGTAATTCTCAGTCATGATTGGTATAAAATCTACCTAAAAATCATGTCAACCAAAAAATCCCATTTAAATAGTTAGGGAAGTGAATTCCTACATACCATGAACATAAATGTAGTAATTGAGCTTGGTTGGGCTCGTTATTTTGTTGCACATATTTAAATATCTAGTTGTTCCTGTTGAAGTTATATATACTTTTGAAAAGTTTGTTTTCCTTACAGTATATTTCCTATAGAAATATACATGGGTAGCTCTACTCCCTGGTGTTTCCCAGTTGCTTTCTTTAGCTAGTGTTGAGTGATCTATATCTCATTAAAATTTTAAACTGCTTGAAATAAAATTGTGCTGTAGATCTTCACATAATTTTTAACTGTGTTTTGTAGACTCTTGTTGAATTTGGTATTTTAATCAGCTATCATGACAAATCATCAGAAATGTGTTTAGGAGAAGCTCTCTTGGTTGCTGTTTTTATCATAGAGTTTCTATGTGCCCCAGGACAAGTTATAATAAGGTGACAAATTATTGTTGGTATATTAACCCTTTCACTTTTCATCTGTTTTATAACCTTCTTTTGTAATGTAATAGCATTTTTGGTACTGAAACTGAGGTAGGCTAGTTGACTAAAAAATCCCTAGTAGCACAACTGACTGGTCATATTAGAGAAAATGATACCTCAAATGAGGAACATTGGCCTCCATCACAGATGGAAATCCAGTGAAAACAAAAAATAATTACTGAAAGATGGTTACATTTTCTGATAAATTCAGGATTAAAGACAAATTCTTTTTTTTTTTTTTAAAGATGGAGTCTTGCTCTGTTGCCCAGGCTGGAATGCAGTGGCATGATCTCGGCTCACTGCAAGCTCTGCCTCGCATGTTCAAGCTATTCTTGTGCTTCATCCTCCCCAGTAGCTAGGATTATAGGCATGCACCACCACGCCCAGCTAATTTCTATATTTTTAGTAGAGACATGGTTTCACCTTGTTGGCCAGCCTGGTCTCAAACTCCTGAACTCAAGTTATCCACCCGCCACAGCCTCCCAAAGTGCTAGGATTATAGACATGAGGCACTGCACCCAGTGAGAGATTCTTAATAGTTAACTGATATGTAGAGAAAACAAAAAAAGTATTGTTTTATGAAAATGTACAACTCTGATTTGAAAATCCTACCAGGGGGTTATTATTCAAAGATTTTGTCACTGTTTGGATGGATTTATACATAGCATATTAAAAAATTAATTCTTAATTCATGCTTGTTTTTTATTAGATTAATTTCATTGAAAGCTATCAGCATTTGGGAAGTTTTCTTTTAATGTTTAAAATTATGCTTTCAAGTTTACATCACATTACCTATAGATTTTTTGAAGCAGAATTTTAAAAAATCTATTAAAGATTTTTTTAATTGGAAACAATACCATGCTTCAGAATTTCCCCCTTCCTAGCTCCTTCCATGTCCTAAGCACTCTCTTTTCTCATCATCTTTTTAATATAAGCATCTCCTTTTCCCCAAGAGAACAACCATTATGTGTCGATAATCTTTGAAACCCAAAGTCCTGTCACTTATGCCAATTTGACTGTGCATTTTATTTATATGAGTAAGAGAAGAGCACTAATGGTAATTTCATAAAGGGAATAAAAAATGCATAAGCCCCTTGTGCCAGCACAGCTTTTCTACACTGTTTTCTTTCTTACTATGTTTTGAACAGGACAATGACAGTGGTTTGATGTTAATCATCATTGTAGTTCTTGAGTATCAGAATTTATCACTGTGGGCCTCATCATAGCCTTAATTTCTACTATAGTGAGGATGATAGGCAATTTGAAAGCACTTCTACAAAGACATAAGTGTTGGTGTCTTCCAAATTTATAATTACTTTCTTAGACAAAACTGGCTTTAGAAAATTTCATGTGCATATCTTTCTCCTTATTCTTGTTTGCACAAGCAAACTAAAAAACAAAACATACACATAAACAACAAGAATGTTAATAAAATCATGTTTAATCTGAAGTAAATATAGTCTGATTTGAATTGGATGAAATTGTATTAGGAACCCAAGGGTTTCTGGTGACTTTAAATGGAAATTTTTTGATGTTTATAGTAGTATTCAGTGAGTACTGAGATTTTTTCTTTTATTTTTGCTTTTACTTTTAGTTGACACGATATTTTCTTTTGACTCTCAATGGCATTTTTTTCTTCTTTTTCTTTTTTGCTAAATGTATCTTTAGGTGAATTAAAGAATAGACTAAACCTTTTTATCAAAAATATTGTGCTGTGAAAGCTTTTTAAAGTCAGTGAGCTTTGTCATCTGACCCTTCTTTTAGAAAATAGGCCTTTAGCTGACTCATGTTATGTATGTGTGTATATATATATATATATATATGTATATATATATAGAGAGAGAGAGAGAGAGAGACAGAGAGACAGAGAGATAATCTTATATAGCATGAGTTGCTCCAAGAATTAATGATATATACACACATATATAAAATAACCTATGCCTGATGGTAAAAATATAAACTGTCAATTTCTTCTTTTAGGGTCTTAGCTGTCTAGAATGTTAATAAAATCATGTTTAATCTGAAGTAAATATAGTCTGATTTGAATTGGATGAAATTTTTAGGCTTATTACTTTCACAGGTGATTTTTAAAAAAATGCATAGTGGTTTAACAAAAGAAACTGAATCTTAAATGAAAATAGAGGGAAGTGAGTGAACCTGATCTAGTTTCACCTACAAGACCTCCAAAATAGTTTCTAAGAAAATGTGCCTTTGGACCGATGTCTCATATGCCAGGTTCTAGCCTAGTGCCCAATTTTTTTTTTGCCTGATTTTTAAACTGATCAAATTAGAGGCTAAATTATGCTCTGTATTTTAGTTAAGCCATGTGCTATTAGCAGGGCACCTTAGGACTATCTCTAGTCTACAGCTGGCCAGAAACTACTTGCCTCTGCACCTCTTATAACTGCACATGATTGCTCTAGAGGAAATTCTCAAAAGCCCCATTCCATCAGAGCAATCTAAAATTAAGGAGTTGAGAAATAGGATTTTTCCACTTGTGGGCTTTTAGAATTTTTGTTGACTCTTTGGGCCCTTTGGACCGTAAAGAATATACAGGTGTTATGTTTCACTTGGTTACTTTATCAGGAAAATAGAAGGGCATATACGACTAAAAATAGATTTTCTGGTTCTTTTTGGGGTTTAGATATATTTTGAATGATAATTGAATATAAACACAAATGAATATAAACACAATAACTGGATATAAACACATCCAGCTTAAAAAGGATCATCTCCTCCAACACAAAACTATAACATAGTTCTGGTAACACTAATGAAGAGTATATGTAAATATCAACCCAAATTACTATTAACATATCCCACCCAAGCTACCACGTTCCATCAAAACTATCTGCCATTTTTCAAAGATCTAAAACATTTCATTATCTACTCCTTCCTTGCCACCCTCCATAGAATACTCCTATCGTTACTAATACATAAAATATAAATTCTAAATATCTCATTTAGGAAGTTCTTATTTCAGGATAACTTAAATTCTAGCTGATACAAGTGTTAACCATTTTGTTCAGTTTTGATCGTGACCTACTTTTATTGATTCTTCTGGAACTCTTAAAAACTTTCAATCCTTCCAAGTTTATTTTTATGTAGCTTTATCTCATCTTTCTGTATAGTACAAGCAGAGAAAGCCCTAATGTTTACTATCCCTTACTTATTTATTTAATTTTTACAGGTACATAGTAGGTGTATATATTTATGGGGTACATGAAATATTTTGATATAGGCGTATAATGTTTAATAATCACATCAAGATAAATGGGGTAAGATTGCTCATTTATGTTGCATTACATTTTATTTTTATAGTATGTTGCTTAAATTTGTATGTCTTTGGTTTCAAGCATTCTTTTTTTTTAATAAAATACAGAATTTTGTAGTTTCTGGTACCTAGATAACAAGGAGAAGTAGTGTTAGCCAGGTTTTCAAACTGTAGCCCTTTTCCTTGAACAACTAGTTAGATAATTTCAGGGATGGTTTAGTTGAACATGGATTTTTATATTTAGGATATTGCCCTAGTCGTTTTCCTTTCTTGAAAAGGGGATATTTGATTGCGGTTAAATTGTGAAGTTGTAAAGCTATGTTAGCTAAATTTTTTACTATGTCAGCAAGCAGAATATTGTTTGCACTTCTTTGCTTTTTAAATGCTGCTCAGGGAGCTGCGTAAGTTATAATTGATGCACAGAAGAGATTTCAAATTTTATATGCCTATAAATTGGCATTGCTACATAGACTAGAAAGATGAGATTGGAGAAGTTATTTTCCCGTGAGAATGATACAAATTACTGTCAAACTGTTTATGCTTGCTGTAAAAATATTTTCAATGTACAGGTATTTGCTTACTATCTGGGTAGCACTCTTATTAAAGTGGAATAACATTTTGAGCCAAAATGAAATGTTTTCAGTACTATTGCATATTGTAGTAGTCTGGTTTAGTCATTCCTGGGCTTAAATGCCTGTAATTATGTTTGTTCTTTAAAATTCTTGAATTTGCTTAAGTTTGGAGTTTTAGAATTTTAAGTAATTATAAACCCTATAGTGTTTATAACAGCCTGGCCTCCTTATTTTACATATGAAGAAACTGAGGCCCAGAAGTGTTAAAAAATATGCCAAGGTCAAAGACCTAGAAATTTGCATGAATGGAATTAAAATAAGTTTTCCTGCATCACTCTGGTTCTTTTTTTTTAACATATTTCATATCTTATGAAATTGCCATGCTTAATATATATTCATTTCAGGAATATAAATGCCTTTTCTTCTTCCAGTTTACATTTAACCTCCAGATGACCTGAAATTTGCAATGTTTAAGATGAATTTGTAGGACTCATTTGGTGAAGTTGGCCAAAACTTTAAAAGCATAGACTAAATTAGGCATTAGTAAATATGCTTCTCTTATTTTGTTAAGACAGTTTACTAATGTCAACAACAGGAGTGTGAAGTGATCCTTTACCCTAAATAAACTGCCAGTCACTGACTCAAACTTATTGTATCTTTAATATATTCTCAAAAAGAATGCTGGTTGGTAGGTGATCTTTAGTTGGGATCAAGAGAAGAACTCTCAGCCGTAGGTTCCGTGGGAATTAAAATTCTTCATTTTGTTAGTGGTGTCTTATGTTTTCCATATGAAAGTACTGATTTTGACGGATCATTTAGGAATGTTAAGTTTTTGTTTTACTTTCCCATTACTCAATAGGAGAATCTAGGAGATCTCATATTTTGCAGTGATTTTTTTTGTGTGTGCTCCATTGGTTTATAGACAAGAACACAGAAATAGGGAGTATCAGCTAATGAAAGGTGACAATGAGATGACAGTTTGAGGTATGCTGAAATGAGATGAAACTAAAGTTTGCTTTCATTCAGATTGCTGTTTTTTTTCTTTCATCCTAGAACGTAAGCTCTAAGGAAAAGACTCAGTGATATCTTTACTAAAGATTTAGTAACATGAAAACACTAGAAAATAATTTGTTTATATTAAAGCTTTCAAATGGAAATATCAACATAGTAGCTGAATATATTTCAGTGCCCACAGTGACATTTATTTTAAGATTTGTTTTTAGGAATTGGCTTGCACACATGGTTGCTGATCTTTGGGTAGTTTCTCTCAATTATTTTAAGAGTTGCTCGATCTTGCTTTCAAGAGCTTTGCCTGTGTTGGGGGCAAAGAAAAGGTGGGAAGAGGAAAATTGACAGTCTAATGCACTTCTTTCAGGATAAAACTGTATTGAAAATAGAGATATTTGAGCAATTCTTGGGGAAACTTAACTTTCCTGTAAATGGTTTTGCCAAAACTGTGTAGTGGCAATTAAAAAAAGCAAAAGACAAAAAACTTACCCAAGCACATGCACAACCACCATCACACAACAAGAAAAAGAAAAACTTTTCCTAAAAGATCTAGTATGGAGAAGTAGGAGATTTTATATGCAGCCAAAGAATAAAAAGTAAAAATCACACTAGAACCTGAGAAATAATGCCTGTATCACTCAGCCCTAGCCTTTGGCCACAGATTAAGGTCATGTGTTGGCGGTATTAGAAGCAGATGCTCTTATAAACTAAATGTTAGGCTAATGAGTGCGATAGCACTGCCAGTAATCAGAGGTGACTGCGAGGAACATGTTGTTTTCTTGCACATGCTTTTCCAAAATGCTCTAGGAATGAGACCATACTATAGGAAGAGGCAGAGGCAGTGCTGTCTGGGCAGTTCCTCGTGGGCATTTTCTGTAAAGCTTTTTGCAGATAAATAATTCAGTAGACAATATTAAGAGTCATTTGCATTTGCCTCCCTGACTTTGAGTATATGTTACTCAATGTCTTGCTTTTGTGTGAATACACAATTGGCATTCGTTTTACATTTCTGTAATGTTGGTTTTCTAATTATACTCATTTCTCTCTAGAGATTATTTCTGTTTCTTTCCTGCTGTATGCATTCACCTCCCATTCATGGTAAAATAAGTTACCATAAAACATAAGTCCATATTTTAAGGGAAATTCATAAATGGATTTATTAAAAGATTGTAAATTATCTTTACATTTTGTAACAATATACTTAATTTGTGATATTTTCACAAAAAATTAAAATGTATTTCTTTATGAAGTATAGTACTGTGGTTAAGAACATGAAATCAAGAGCCAGACCCTGAATTTGAATCCTGGCTTTGTTATGTATTAGCTGTGTGACCTAACAGCATGTTATTTAATATCTGTATGCCTGAGCGTTTTCATGTTTAAAATGGAGACTATCCCATCTACTTTGTAGGATTTTTGTGAGAATCAAATATATGTGCATTGTACTTAGTACTTCATAAATTATATAAAAACTATGTATTTTAATATTATGATATATATAGTACCTAGTATAGTACCTGGTACATAATAAGCCCTTTTCAAAATGTGGTTTATAACTTAGAGAATATTATTTCATTGCCTTTCAAAGATGTTTTTAATATTTATTAATTTGATTCCATCTGTTTTCTAGTGCCTAGAATTAGAGTATTAGTCTTTCAAATAAAAGCAAAATTTTGGGGTTGGAGTAGATGTTAAAAATACAGAGTAACAAAGTATCTCTTGTCATCCTCTTTAAAAATAAGATAAAGAAAACTTTTAAATTGTAAATATATTTTTGGGCCGAGCGCGGTGGCTCACGCCTGTAATCCCAGCGCTTTGGAAGGCCAAGGCAGGCGGATCACGAGGTCAGGAGATCAAGACCATCCTGGCTAACACAGTGAAACCCCCTCTCTACTAAAAATACAAAAAAATTAGCCAGGCGTGGTGGCGGGTGCCTGTAGTCCCAGCTACTCAGGAGGCTGAGGCAGGAGAATGGCGTGATCCCTGGAGACGGAGCTTGCAGTGAGCCGAGACCGTGCCACTGCACTCCAGCCTGGGTGAGAGCGAGACTCTGTCTCAAAAAAAAAAAAATTGTAAATATATTTTTGTATCAATTAGATTTATGTAGCATTTTCCTTCCATATAATAAACATTTATATTAAAATATGCATGGACTCATTCTGTATAACTTAGAAAGATTTTCCTCCTTGCTTTACATTTTTGTCAAGACTTTGTGTGTAGAGCATATAAATGTGTGCTTCCTATTTGTTGTCATTTATGTATTCCATTGCCAAAAAACATTAACAAGATTTTCTTTCTTTTTTTTTTGAGATGGAGTCTTGCTCTGTTGCCAATCTGGAGGGCAGTGGCATGATCTCTGCTCACTGCAACCTCTGTCAGCTGGGTTCAAGTGATTCTCCTGCCTCAGCCTCCCGAGTAGCTGGGACTATGGGCATGCGCCACCATGCCTAGCTAATTTTTGTATTTTCAATAGAGACAGGATTTCACCATGTTGGCCAGGATGGTCTTGACCTCTTGACCTTATGATCTGCCCACCTCAGCCTCCCAAAGTGTTGGGATTGCAGGCGTGAGCCACCGCACTCGGCCAAAAAGATTTTCTTAACGGTATAGCCTGTTTACTTAGAAATTATTTAACGGTGAAGGACTGAATCTCAAATTCCTGTATTCTTCTGAGCTTTTAAACTTTGTTCTGTTTTTGGTTCTTTTTTTATAAAAAAAATACATATTGTGATTAAGGATAAGCATTCATTCATTCAATCAGTATTTGAGTGCTTCCAGGCACTATTCTAGGCACTAAGGATACATCAGTGAAACAAGTATTTATTTAGAGACAGAGTCTTGCTCTGCCTCCTAGCTGTCTGCAACCTCGAACTCCTGGGCTCAAAGAATCCTCCTGCCTCAGCCTTCTGAGTAGCTACGACTACAGGCACATGCCACCAGGCCTGGCTGATTTTTATGTTTTTTTGTAGAGATAAGAGTCTTGCTGTGTTGACCAGGCTGGTCTCAAACTCCTGGCCTCAAGTGATCCTCCTGCCTCCACCTCCCAAAGCGCTGAGATTATTCATGTGAGCCACTGCACCCAGCCCCAGTGAAACTTTTAGATCAAACTATAAACTCATAATTGTATCAATTAAATTTTTCTCAATGATATAGGAACTTCATGGTCTTAATTGTTGATAGCATCCAAGTACACATTCAGTAAACAGAGCTTTTTTTTATCTGTGTCATGCAGTTAAAATGGTTTTTTATTGTTTTCTATGAAATATCTTAGTTATATAATGGTCAAACTGAAACATCATCTCTTACAAAGGTGAGATTAAACACAATAGAATTATTTACAGAACTTCCATCTTATAAGCCACTTTTTCATTAAATTTGGATAATAAGTGGTGCTTTGCTACCTGATTTAAACTAGTTTTATTTAGGCTATGAATCAACCTCTTTGTTCCAAAACACTGGAATAGGGGAATGTTTTGCATTTCCCCTTCCCCACGAGAGTTTGTTTTCCTCTAAGTCACATTAAGATGCTGTTCTCAAGCCAGTTTCGTTTCACCTAGTGCCTAGTTTTTGGAGTGGGAATGAAGGTAGGCAAAAGTTAATTGTAGACCAACACAAAGAGCACAAGTGCAGCATGTGTTTGCAGTAATAATGAATGCACACTATGAAGCAAGTCTAATGCCAGGGCCTGATCAAGCAGTGCTTTGGAGCCAATGGGTGACCCATCAGATACCACTGGTTGTGGGCCACCTTCTTTATTTCCTGAAGTTCTGTAACATGGAAATTCAGTCACAGGTTAATCTTTACTAAATTTTGTTCTACAGAATTATTTAAAATCATAGGGAAATGATCAGGAATTGCTATTGTTATAATATAGTGGGATTAAATAGGTTCAAAATGAGTAGATTGTGTATTCTCCTTACATAGAACCTTGTGCAAAATGTCTAAGTAAAGTAACAAGTTACTATACAGCTAATTCCTCCTCATTAGAGTATCAGATGTTCTTATTTAATTTTCTGACAAAAATATGAATGCTGCAATTTCATTGGTGCTTAAGGCCTATATTCCAGAACTTTCTTCATTGAGTTTTAGAGAAAGAGAAATATATTCCTTCTGAAGTTGAGGGTCCTGATTTTCTGTTAACAATGGGCCCTATTATGCTGCTTCCAACTGAGCAAGGCTAGGAAGAACTTCACAGCTGGCTGGGCACCTGACATGCCCAAGGCAGGTACTCTGACCTGCTCATATAGCCCTGGTTCCTCCTGGGGAGAATAGCAGTTTCCATTCCCTGAAGTGCCTAATTTATTCCAGGCTATGAATAGAATGAGCTTGTTGATTTGGGACTAGTGGCATTCCCCTTGCACAACCTCAGGACATGATTATCCATGCCAGGGTCAGGCAGGAGCTTCCCATCTGACCCTGTGCAGTCCTCACCCTGAGCACTTAACAAGAGTAATAAGAGGCTATTGGAATGTCACATTCTCTTGAATTTATTTATATTTTTAATAAGATACTGGCATCCTCTTTTGCCTCCATGTTGTTCCAGTCTTAGTGGGTATGGCAGCTATGTAAAGCAAATAATTGCAGCAATTTGAAATGAGTGCCTTTTGCATATATGAATAAAATGTGGTGAACTAAGCCAGAAAAAAAAGGAAATATGTAAAGGATAGGAGAGGCTTCCCAGAGGAGGTGGCGTCTCATTTGAATCTTCATGGATGAGTTAGGAGTTTTTTGGGAGAAGAGAATATAGTAAGGGTGTTCTAAGGAAAATCACATGTGTAAAATAGATCTGAAGGATCACTGTGTGTACTTGGAAGTGCGAGAAGTTGGATGTGTCCAGAACATAGCATAAGCCTGGAGGTGATAGTGAGAGAGGGGTCTAGAGAGGTAAGTAGGAGTTGGAGCATGAAGGACTATGGATATTATGCCAAGAATTTAGAATATTATATATAGATGATGGGGAAACATTGACTTACACTAAAAAACAAAATTAAAAACACCTGCATACAATGGACTACAGAGGAAGATCATAAGAAGGACAGTCTACCAGAGAAGATTGCAAAGGTCCAGGGAAACAAATTATGACATCCTAAATGTCAGTAGTGAAAACCAAAATGGAAAGGAAAGGATGAACTTAAGTGCGATCAAGGATGTGTTGCAAAAGATCTTACCCATGTGGAGGCTGAGGGAGATGAGGGACTCTAGAATTTTCTCAAGTTTTTAGCTTGAGCACCTGGGTAGATGGGATACTGTAACAGAACTGTGGAAAGTTGCAGCACAAACAACTTTTGGATGGAAAAGAATGGACTCAGTTTTGAACATGTTGAATTTGAAGTTATTGTAGGTCCACCAGGCAGGGATGTCCCTTACTCAGTTGGGTTTGAATCTGAAGATGGAAGTCAGGACTGGAGATAAGGATTTTGGAGTCATCCAGGATATAGGTTATAGTGAAAATCTTACACATGCATGGAGTTTTAAGAAGAGAACAGGCTCAAGTGTTATACTTAGGAAAGCACAAACAGTGGCTTTGGACCCTGGGAATACATGAAAAAATCCTGAGGTAGAACTATACCATATCATTAAGTTAGCCCACCTGCCAGGTATTATGTGGTAATGCCAAATAATGGAAACTTCAACCTCCCTCCATCTCCTGCTTTTTCATTCCTTACGGTTTCTAGTATGCTGACAAAGAAGAATACTTGAAGGAGTTTTTTCTCAGCTATCTAATGTAGGGCTTCCCAAACTGTGCTTTCTAGAGCATCTCTGGCAGTTCTGCAAGATGTTAATAAGCATCCGTGAACTCCTGTGTCAAAAACTGAAATATGAAACATTTCTTAATTGCAGGCCTTCTCAAAACCTTTATAATATAGGCCAGGGATTTCCGAGAGGGGGTGTAGTTAGTAGCTCCTTCTTGTGCTTTTTTTGCCCCCCAAACCACAGACCCCTTTTCCTCATGGACTACCTATTAATACCTCAACGTTTTTTGAAAAATACTCATCTTTTGATTAGAGAAATTAATGTCATCTTCATAGTCATTTGGGATTTTAATCTTTGAGGGTCTTTTGTACGTGAAAGGCATACTCATAGTTACTGTGTTGTAATTAACATTTTTAAAAATTTTAAATTATAAAGCCAAGTTTTCATAAGCCTTTAAGCTCAATTTATAAATCTTATTTTATTCATAATCTAGTAATTTGGGGTTATATTTAAAACACTCTTTTTCATTTGTTCCTTAATTAGCAATCAGTTAGCTTATACGTTTGAGAGACTAAATTCTATTAAACATTTCACATCATTTTCAAACTTGATTAATTGCATTCCTTTAGACTTTTCAAATTGTAACCCCCAATATGCTTAATTTTCCCAAGCACTCTCAATCTCTGGGAAGGCAGCCTTACAAATCTAATGCAAGTCTTCCTGAGCACTTAAACACCACTTTCACATGAAAGCCAAATGTATGCATTAGTCAATCAGTTTTTAAACACTGTATATAAACTTAGTCAATCAAACTGTCCTTAAGTATTTAAAATTAAAATGTCAAGATTACTACTAGTGAATCGCTCTAAATATTTTAAATAAAAACTACAAGCCTTAAGTCGATTTCCCAATGTGTCAGATTCTCTTAAACATTTCATACACTTGAAATAACAAATGAAATATCCACAGCCCTAACAAAATTATGAAAATTATTTTCACCAATTTTTTTTTAATGTATTCTCTCCCCTTTTCTGATTGTAGAGTCACCTACCTATAGGGCAGAGAATTACCCTCTCAGTCCTGCCAAAGCTGAGGATACAAGGCTGCTGGCCAGATTGGGAATTAAATACCTGGGTGTTAATCCCAGGATGGATCTATCTGAGCTGTTTTTTTGAGTGATAAGAAATTATGTGCACATAATTTCTTTTGAAAACGGTATTATTCATCTATCATCCCATTCTTTATCTTATTAACTTGTTTTATTATTATTTTTTTATTATTATTATTATTTTTGAGACGGAGTCTTGTTCTGTCGCCAGGCCGGAGTGCAGTGGTGTGATCTTGGCTCACTGCAACCTCTGCCTCCCGGGTTCAAGCGATTCTCCTGCCTCAGTCTTCTGAGTAGCTGGGACTACAGGCACATGCCACCACGCCCAGCTAATTTTTTTTTTTTTTTGTATTTTTAGTAGAGACAGGGTTTCACCATGTTGGCCAGGACAGTCTCGATCTCTTGACCTCATGATCCACCCTCCTTGGCCTCCCAAAGTGCTGGGATTACAGGTGTGAGCCACTGCACATGACCCTATTTTATTATTTTTAATTGCCCGATTTGAATTAATGATATTCACTACCCTCCCATGGATTGCATATTAACCTCGTAACTACCTAACTTGATTCTCCATCTGCTTTATATTTTGTTGTTCTTTCTCCTAGACCACTATTCTTTAGTAATTTTACGTATATAAGGCAGAGAAACCCTTACTATGCTCCTTATTATATGCTTTCTTAACTTTAGTGTTTTTCTTGTTTCTGTTTTCTTTTTTGTTTACTACATTCTTTCTATGGGGATTTTGTTCACTGTCACCTTTATTTCAAAATTTTTGTTAGATCTTTTCATCTTTTCTCAGGCCATGACTTATTCAGTAAAATTTCCAAGCCAATGGTTATTTAGCTTAAAAACAAACAAAAACAGTCATGGAAGGTGGTCAGCCTGTTATGTTATTTACTTTCAGTGTGATTTTGGACAAGCTCATTTTAATCTCTTTGAGCCTTGACTGCCTCAGCTTTTAAAGTAGATGAATATCTTACCTGTCTGCAGGCAGGGGGCCAGATGAGAAGATATCTTGGGGCCTTCTCTTTGATCTCTGATAGCTCTAATTCTTACTGCTTTTCATCTTGCTCAGTTGCTCTTTACTGACATGGTGTGTATATGTGGGTCATTTTGTAGAACTACTCAGAGAAATAACTTTTTCAACCTTTAATTAGTTGTAAATATTTAAAAACTGGGAGATTTTACTCTTCTTTTTTTTTTTCTTAAAGATGGAAAGATGTGAAAATACTGTGTCTGCATTTCTCCTTTCCCCCAGCAGCTTGAACTGAGTGTTGACGACCACTTCTATCTAGTGTCCTGTCCTTTTCAATTTGCCTCAGTGCCTACCTCACCAATTTTGTAATGAATTGAGCCAATGAGATTTACATAGAAACAGTTAGTGTAAAAAATAAGGTCCGTTCTAGAATTTAAGGACTAAGTTTATATATATGATAGCGTGAGCTTTTTTAAAAAAAATTTTAAATACTATAATTTTTTTTTGTATCAGCTTCAACCTACCTACATACTCAATTCTCATATTTTAAAAACTGACTTAGGCTTAAAAAAACAGTGAATAAAGCCCATGCTTCTCCTGTTTCTCTTTTTTTCCTCCTAGTTTGAACATTCTGATTTTCCTCTGGGTACTAGGAAGAGGTGAATACTTTTGTTTGCCTTACTTGAGTACTTACTGTTCTAGCAGTTTATTGCACTTGGACAATAGACACCTTCCTATATTTCCTAATAATCATTCCTCAGGTTTTCTTTAAATACGTCTTGAATTTGCCCAATTGTCATTGATGCAGTCATTTAAAAAATTGCTTGGGGATTATGATCTTATATACACTTAAAAGAGTGCACACCATTTTGAAATCACTACATTTTTTGGACTACATTTCTGTATAGGATTAGAGACACTCTGTTAATATTCCAGATAAGAAATCTGCAACATGTTTGTCATTTACCTTGTTTCTCTGGACTTAGGACATGAAATTCTATCCAGCAGCTTGAGAGCAATATTAAAAAATGATGTAGTATCACAAGCCAATGATAAATATGTTCACCCTAAGAATTTAAATGTGGTGAATAGATGCAGTAGTGTGATTGGCATTCAGTGGCCTATCTCTAATTCTCTTTACAGGCATTGAAAAGCCAACCAAGCTTGAAGCATTTTCAATGTGCCAAGCATTTGTGTGCTCCACTCAGTATCAGGGTAAATTTTGCCCATTTGAATGTCTTTCTGATATACATAGTTTGAAAAACAAATGTCCACAAATAAGAATATAAAAGTCACTTAGTATCCTACACCATCACAAACAAAGAATGTGGGGCTACTGAACACACAACAACTTTATTTCTCATTATTGGCTATAAAATTATTTTCTTGCCTAATTTGTTTGAATCAGACATTTATTGATGTATACCTAATTGTCTTTCATTAACAATAACACTCAATATAAATGATGATTTATGCTTGATGTCATACTGAATTTATAATAATTTGGAAACAAGAGACAACTTATAGGGAATTGAATGGAATAAACTCACTAAGATACAAATCAGAAGTACTTTAAGAGTAAGCAAATGGTTACTATGCACAATAAATAAACAATTGTAAAGTTCTGGGAACTGGATTATGTAAAATATGTACATGTTATGTTCGTACAATGGAGTATAAACTCTTCGGGAGGGGTACTTTCTTGTTTATTTATTACAGAATGATAATGAAGATTAGCTTCATGACCTTCATATACAGCACTGCTGTGTAATGCAAATAGTTGACTGCCACAAGTCTTTTTGTATAACTGAAAGAGACATACAAAGGATTATTCTGTTTAAATGACTCAAAATTAATAATTATACATTTGTTCTATGTGTAAAAGTTCTAAAAATAGAAGAAACTGAAATGGATATTTCTTAATTAATTATGCCTTAATTCTGATGCACATTTTCTTTTGAAAAGCCAATTTTCTGAAGAATAGTTACACACAGCTTCATTCCTGGCATGACTATTTCAAGTGTAGTGTTTAGGGATTATGTCAGATTAGACGGATATATGGTATAGAATGATTCTGGGGATAGACTTTCCAGATTAACAAGAAAAGAGAATTTTAAAATACCTAAATTTAGGTATTTTACCAATTTAGGTATACCTAAAATTGGACATTTTTAATGTGAGGAGTGTTTAGTTCAATGGGGACATTTCTCAGAGAGATTTACTACTTTTTAATGGTGCCTCTGAGAGTCCTTCAGTAGCTGTCCTCCATCGGAGAACATCTCAGAATTACTTTTTTTCTGTCCACTTGCCCATAATTTTCATTTACTTTACTGGATTTGCTCACATTTATTACCCCCATTCATATTTCCTTCCATTCTCGATACACTGGAAGAAAAATTTATTTATATATATATATGTGTATAGCATATATACACATGTGCATATGTTGGAAAAATTGTTTTTTTAAATATATACACATAATGCAAGCTTAGCATAGCATCTATCTCTCTTGCATATTAGATTTAAAGGCTCAGTAGTTAAAGTGTGTTTTAAAGTTGCAGATTACATCCCGTCTTTTAACTTAGAAAATAAAGAGACTGAGATCTAGTCAGGTTAGCCACATGCCCATGTGGTCTTCAGACAGAGGCAGAGCTCAGATGGGAATGCATGTCTCTGATGCCCTGCCCATACCTTCCCTGCAATACTGCCAAGTCTGGATAAAAGTGGTCTGGGTGTAAGTAAGAAGTATGAGAAAGACTGGGTGAGTTATTAGCAAACTCTAGATTGCAGTCAACTTGATCACTGTATGCTAGGCAATTTTAGGAGTATGACTTTCTGTCTGTAAATGGAGGTAGAATAGATGAAGAATATTAGAAAGATTAATTAAGAATATGAATGGTGAATTAAGAAAAAGTTTGGGACCAGTGAGATGTGACATAATGTCTACTCCCACTTTACCCCTATTTTACAGTTAAAATATCAGAAGATACCAGAGGAAGTAAAGTTTTATGAAAATACAATATTTGTTAAATTTATAATATTTTGACCTTGAAGCATATTAGCATACCATTTCATCTGTAGAAGTTTGATTTGGATCTTTTTACAACTTTCATTTCACTCTTGATCATGTTCATGCATTCCTTCTCCTTCTTGAGCAGTAATATATTTTAATACCTGATTAAATGCCTTGTTCACTAATTCTATCATCTATGTCATTTATATGTCTATTTATATTGATTGTTTTTTCTCCTCATGGGATATGTTTTCCTGTTTCTTTTCATGCCTAGTAATTTTGACCAGATGACCAACGTTGTGAATATGACGATGTTTGGTATTGATTTTTAAAAAATTCTTTAAATATTTCTGGGCCTTGTTCTGGGAAGAATTAAAGTTACTTGGGCACAGTTTGATGGGTAAATCCTGAACAGTGTTTAGTCAAGGGCTAATTCAGCCACACTAGTGAGGCATTGCCCTTCTGAGTCCTTGACTCAATGCCCTGTGAATTAGCAGGTCATTTCTATCCAAGCTCATGGAAGTATCAAGTACTCCCAGGCCTAAGCTCCAGATATTTCCCACTTATTCCTTAATGATGGTTCTTTCTCTGGCCTCAGTAGTTTTCTTTTTTATGTGACCAGACCAGTATTCAACCAAAGACTCAATTGGACTGTGCCTATCTCCAGAGCTTGCTCACTTGCCCTTTCTGTGCATCTGCCTCCTTTCTGGCACTCTTCCCAGCATATTCTGGTCACCTTGGTGTCCTAGAGCCCTAAACTCTGTCTCCTAAGCCAAGCAAGACTGTTGGGCCTGTTTGGGATCTCCTTTCCCTTGCCGCATCCAGAAACTCTCTCCAGGCATTGAACGTTTTACTTATGTATATGGCTGTCCTCATTTGTCTCCTTTCTCTCAGATATTATTATGCAGCATTACCCCTTGTTCAATGTGTGTCAACAGATTTATGACAGAGTGCTAACATGATCTATATACTGGGTTCTCTGAACACTGCTTGAACTTCTGTAAGCTCAAGGGCAGTGACTAAGTAATCAATCCATTTGTAAACATTTATTGAGAGTTAATTATGTAATAGGATTTTATTAATTATTGGAAATACAGAGATGAATCAAGTGTGGTCCCGTAGCCTAGTTGAAAAAGCTAGCATGTACAGACAGTTTTTTACACTGACTGAGATTAAAAGATTATTATAATTGGGGATTATCCTGAGAGATCAGAAGGTCTTAGAAACTTTGTGTTTGCAGGATGTAGCATGTAACTAGATCTTGTATACAGCATTCAATAAATACTTAAGAATGAATGATAGTGTAGCTAATTTATAAGCATATTCTGCTAAGAAATGCTTACAGCCTTTTCTCTTAGTTCCCAAGATAGCTTAAATAAATAAGAATATGATGATGTGTTTTAGAGAAAAATAATCTGACTTCAGTTTGAACTATCATGAATATTATTTATTGACAATTCCAAAAAACTTTAAATGTAACATTGATATCTAAGTTATATAGTCTTGTTTTGTTTCCAATTATCATATCAAACAATTGAAAAATACCAATCCAATCAAACCTTTATTTGTAACTGCTGCTCCCTCTTTCTTCTTTTTCTTTTCTTTTCTTTCTTTTTTTTTTCTTCTTTTTACTTATTTCTGTTCATGTTTTGAAAAGCAGGGTCTGCAGATAGTTATTTATATGTATGAATTCACTGGTTCATTCTAGTGCGAAATAGGTCATTCTGAAACAGTGAGAAATGTGATTGCTGAATTTCAAGCAGTTTTTGCTGCTCAGCTGGAACTGTAGAAAAAGGAAAGGGGTCAGGCCAGCACTTGTTGAAGATTTCTTGTTGCCATTGTCCTAGTAAAAGAGACTTGATGCTGGTGAATGTGGACTATTCAATGTATTAGGGAGGAGGAAAGGGAGGCTTAGTACCTAGTTTAATAATTATTATGATATTTTAGTTTAACCACTCTTTAGAAGGTTAATACAAAAAATCAAATGCCATCCTAATAAAGATGTGCAGGGCTTTTTCTCCTTAAAAAGAAACTAGGTACAGCAAATAATGGCACTGTGAAAACTTTGAGGCACAAATTCGCCCCTTTTTTTTTTGCATGCTAATATACTGAAAAAGAAAGAAAGCTGCAGTAGGATTGGCAGGTTATGATTCTCATAAAAAATAACAAATTTTTAAACAAGAAAATAAAGAATACTTTGAAAAAATTGTACATTACTCAGCATCGAAAAATGGAAATCATTTAATCTTGTGCCTTCTTCTCCTCTGTGGAAACTAGGGTTCTAAATAGGAAACTACTTTCAAATGGTAAACTGTTTACAAATTTGATAAAAAGAGCCCATTAATTAAAATCTGATTCCCACATTCAAGTGACAATTTTCTTTATGAATACATGCATTAATTCATAGGTTTTTTGTTTTGTATGACATAGCTGTGATGTACCGCAATTATTTCCATTAATATCTAGTTAAGAAATTTCAGAAATTCTATTTTTAGAAATATGTACTTTAGTCTATTTCAGTTGTTAATATAAATAAATAGACTATATTACTGATGAATTTCTTTCAAATTAAACTTGAAGAGAGGATCTTATAAGAGATTAATTCAAAATTATGCTCAGGTTCTGCTTGGGTGTTCTTGAACCCAGTAAACCACTGGATTTTAAAACAAGTGAGTGAGAATGAGTACTGACAGAACAGTGAGAGTTTTGCTTGGCTGGCCAAGGAGGAGGTGTGAGCTACGGGCACACCCTTCCCATTTAGAAGCTGTGTGGTACCAATAGGCTATGATCTTAATCACTTATTTACCTGTAACCTAGAAGAGAATGAAGGTATGTGACTCAGTCATATGGCAGACTTTTAAATGGAAATATTCATTATAAGGAAAAGGAATTCTTTCTCTGATTTTAATAGAATGGAAGTGTTCTCTCCCTCAACCCCATGACCCCACCTTCTGTGGACTGAATGAATTTGATGTTTGAAAAGTGATTCAGATAAAATGTAGTATTGTGATCAAAGATGTCTCAGAACATCTTAATCATGTATTGCTCTTGTATTGATATACATTGTTTACATTGAGCTAATGCAATAATGTAATTAAATATTCCCATAGTACAGTATGGGAATCTGGGAGTGGGGCACTAACTGGTATTCCATTCTGTGGGGGAAAGAAATTTCTCTTCTTATCCCTTACTAGGTTCATGGCTCAGACCCCTATAACAAGACAGATAATCAAGAAAAAAAACATACAAATGTATTTAAATATAAGTTTTATGTGACATAGGGGCTTTCATAAG
Organism: Homo sapiens; assembly: GCF_000001405.40. Classification (NCBI taxonomy): domain Eukaryota; kingdom Metazoa; phylum Chordata; class Mammalia; order Primates; family Hominidae; genus Homo; species Homo sapiens. The sequence continues at coordinate 108,109,548 of NC_000005.10, read as the reverse complement.
GAAATTAAAACCTAAAGAAACAGGTAAACCTGTATATTTTTTATGCTAGGTTTGATGAAAAAGTCAGTCAATACAGAGAAGTGTGATTGGACAAAAGGGTTATGATCTAATGGTAATAAACTGGGAAGAACTTACCAAGTCTTGTCTGTTGAGATTCTTCTCTGTGTCCCTGTATCATCAGACATGAGGATGTTCCTTTCTTGTGGATATAGAGTGGGCACCTCTCACATGAAAGTCTTATGACCTGCTTCAGGGGAAGGTCAGAAAAAGGATGTGGGGAAGGTGAGAGTGACCTTCCTCCTTCTGCTATTTTCTCAAATGCCAAGGTACCATATTTTGGGGAAGTGTGTCCTGACCCTCATCAGTTCTCTCCATTACTCTTTGTCCTTCCTTTTGTAAATCTCAGGTATTTCCCTTACTGTTCTCCTTTTTACTTTCCCAATAGGTCTTTGAAAGTGTGAGTCTTGGCTGGGCGCAGTGGCTCACGCCTGTAATCCCAGCACTTTGGGAGGCCGAGGTGGGCGGATCACCTGAGGTCAGGAGTTCGAGACCAGCCTGACCAACATGGAGAACCCCATCTGTACTAAAAAATATGAAATTAGCTGGGCGTGATGGTGCATGCCTGTAATCCCAGCTACTCAGGAGGCTGAGGCAGGAGAATCGCTTGAACCCGGGAGGCGGAGGTTGCAGTGAGCCGAGATCACACCATTGCACTCCAACCTGGGCAACAAGAGCGAAACTCTGTCTCAAAAAAAAAAAAAACAAAAACAAAGTGTGAGTCTTTTGGCCCACTGGGGAAACATATAATGGGGGTGCTTTTCCTAACTTGCCTTGTTTTAAGTAAGGACACAGATCCAGGATTTGTAAGGAGTGTTCTACTTAGTGCTGAAAAAATTGGAGAGGATAACAAAGTATTTTTTTACAGTAGAAAACTAAAGGAAAAATTAAGAAATCTTTAGTAATTGTTACCCATGTCTTTATTTAAATATATAGATCTATCCTAACATGATTATTCTTAGACATAACAACTTCATTCATTCATGAATCTATCAAACCTTTAAACGTGCTAGATATGCACCCCTAAGTGCCCCAAATTGACTCCTATATCTAAAGAGCTCATGATACTTTATAGTTTTCTAAACACTTTCATTAAGGTTCATCTGATTGTTTATCTACTTTTTTAACAAATACTGTTGATTTCCCTATTGTTAGCACTGGAGTTACAGCAGTGAATAAAATAAAACTACACTGTCTTTGTGGGGTTATATTCCAGCAGGAAATGGATAATGGACAAGTAGAAATATTCTTTACATCACATAGTTGGTAAGAAAAGTATAAGAGATTAAATGGATGTAGAAGGTGGGGTATATGTTTGCAGTTTGAAATACAGCTCATGGAGGAGCTATCACTGAAGGAGAAACTTAAGTAAAATCAAGGAGTAAGCCACATGGATAAATGAGTAAACAGTACGTACAAAGTCCTTGAAGCAGAAACACACTAGTGTGTTTGAGAAACAAAACGGAGGGCAGTATAGCCAGACCAAATCAGAGAAGGAAGGAAAGGTAGCAAATAAGGTTGGGGTGCGAGCCAACAGGCAGATTATATTGGGCCTTAATAGGTCATGCAAAGGGGTCTGGATTTTATTCTAGGTGCAATGGAAAGCCATTGGAAGATTTTGAACAGAATGAGAATGAGGTCTCTCTTTTCTTTTTCTTTTTTCTTTTCTTTTTTTTTTTTGAGACAGAGTCTTGCTGTGTTGCCCAGGCCGGAGTGCAGTGGTGCCATCTCAGCTCACTGCAAGCTCTGCCTCCCGGGTTCATGCCATTCTCCTGCCTCAGCCTCCTGAGTAGCTGGGACTACAGGTGCCCGCCACCATGCCTGGCTAATTTTTTGTATTTTTAGTAGAGATGGGGTTTCACCGTGTTAGCCAGGATGATCTCAATCTCCTGACCTCGTGATCTGCCCGCCTTGGCCTCCCAAAGTGCTGGGATTACAGGCTTGAGCCACCGTGCCTGGCCGAGATTTCTCTTAAAGGAATCTAACAAAGTGAAATTGTCAAGCCTCAAAGGAAAGTGAATTATAAATTAATGACTGATCATGTAGACACTTTGCTTAACAGTTAAAAAGCATTTGTGTCGTTATTTCATCTAATTAACAGAAAACACCAAAATAATATACTTTTCGTAGTTGTATTTAAAATTCAGAGGTTTTCACTTTGGGAAGCCAAGGTGGGTGGATCACCTGAGGTCGGGAGTTCGAGACCAGCCTGACCAACATGGAGAAACTCTGTCTCTACTAAAAATACAAAACTTAGCCAGGCGTGGTGGCACATGCCTGTAATCCCAGCTACTCGGGAGGCTGAGGCAGGAGAATCGCTTGAACCCAGGAGTTGGAGGTTGCAGTGAGCTGAGATCTCACCACTGCACTCCAGCCTGGGTGACAGAGTGAGACTCTGTCTCAAAAAAATAAATAAAATTAAGCTCAGAGATTTTTAAGGAGGAAATTTTACATAATTGATTTTTATAATATTTTCCATTTTTCTTGTTTTCTGAGCATTTCCTTTAATTTTTTTCACCTCTTTAAAAAATAACTTTATTGAGATGTAATTTACATACCACAAAATTCACCCATTTAAGGTGTACTATTCCATGGTTTTAGTGTATTCACAGTGGTTTAGTATATTCATATTTAGTATATTCACAGTTTAGTGTATTCACTATTGCTACTATCTAATTTCAGTAAATTTTCATCAGTCCCAAAAGAAATTCTGTAACCCATAGCATCACTCCTGATTTATTCCTTTTCCTCAGCCCTTGGCAACTACCAATCTACTTTTTGTCTCTATGGATTTGCCTATTCTGGACATTTCATATAAGTGGAATACTGTAATATAATATGTACCCTTTTATGTTTGGCTTTTTTCATGTAATACAATGTTTTCAGTGTTCTTCCATGTTGTAGCACGTATTCACTTTCACACTTTCTTTTTATTTCCAAATAATATTCCATTGTACTGATACACCACATCTGTTCATTAGTTGATAGACATTCTGGTTGTTGCTACTTTTTTGCTATTGTGAATATTTGTATATACATTTTGGTGTGGACATATGTTTCCATTTCTCTTGGATATATACCTAGGAGTAGAATGGCTGGGACGTATGGCAACTTTACATTTAATATTCTGAGGAACTCCCAGACTTCCTTCCAGAGTGGTTGCACCATTTTATAATCCTGCTAGCAGAGTTTAAGAGTCTAATTTCTACACATTCTTGCCAACACTTGTTATTATCTGTCTTTTCAATTTTATTTTCATTAATGTTCACATTTAGAGGAACTAGAAACCTGTCCTGCTTGCTTGTTCTACATGCTCAGTTTTTCCCTGCTATAGACTGTGGTGGAGATGGTACCTCTGGTATGGTAGAAAGAGCCCTAAACTTAGAAGAATTGGTGTGAGTCCCAGTTTAGCACTTACTGCTTGAATGACCTTGAATAAATCATTCTCTTCACTTCTGTGAGCTTCAGTTTCCCCCTATTTAAAATAGGATTAACCCTTGCTTTCCGGCGATGATCCAGTAAAGCAATATGTAAAATATATTAGAAGATCAGATTCTTCCTCCTGTTCCTTTTCAGTCTCCCTCCGTTTTACTCTCTCTTTGATGCATATTTCTTAAGTAAATAAATAAGGAGAGATATTAAATAATTTTGCCTTAATGGCCTTTCCCTAATAAGATATAAACCCTAAACACGTTTTAAATTTCCTTTCTGTCTTTGTAATGGGTAGTTAATGTTAAAGTTAGTTGTATCAGCAGAAAAGTTGAAAGCAAAAGCAAAGTTTGTCTTCTGGTCTGTTCCATTTGGGAGGAATTTTATAATTTGTCTAGGATAATAAATGAAGTAGATAATCGACATACATGAATAATTAAGAGATGACTATATGGCTCTTTTTCTTTTCTAGTATTTAAATTGTTTTTCCACAGTTTTCTTATTTATTCTTATAACTTGAGTATGTATCCAAAGAAAGCTGTGTTTTCTCCTTTACCTTCTTTTCAGATAAAGGCAACTTTGAGAACATATGCAAGATCTAATATCTTCAAAACAGCATGTGGCCAAAGCCTTCACTGGTTTACAGCAGCCAGACTTTTCTGCCGCAGTTTTGCCTGAATCACCTTTTGAAGCCAAATTGACACAATTACAATCTTTCACAAGTGCCATCAACTTTCTTTCCATTGTGTTTTTCCCTCTTTGTGCCACTGGCCTGGCCCATTATTCTTGTCCAGCCCCCAAGGTCCACTTCAGTTGCGCCTTCTCCAAGAAGCCTTCTCTTCTCTTTCTTCATTCATTAGAATCCTTTTTATTTACTGCTATTTTTTGATACAAAAAGCAATTCATACATTAAAAAAATCACGGCCAGGTGTGGTGGCTCACGCCTGTAATCCCAGCACTTCGGGAGGCCGAGGCGGGCGGATCACAAGGTCAGGAGATCCAGACCATCCTAGCTAACACGGTGAAACCCTGTCCCTACTAAAAATACAAAAAATTAGCTGGGCATCGTGGCGGGCACCTGTAGTCCCAGCTACTCAGGAGGCTGAGGCAGGAGAATGGCGTGAACCCGGGAGGTGGGGGTTGCAGTGAGCCGAGATGGCACCACTGCACTCCAAGCCTGGGCAACAGAGCGAGACTCCATCTCAAAAAAACAAAACAAAACAAAACAAAAAACATAATTGTGTACTCCCCAAAGTACTCTATGTGTAACCTTCCAGTCTTTTAAAATACATATCCAAATACATTTTTGACAAAATGAGAATATCCCATATATGTTGTTGTGCACTTGCTTTGTCACAAAACTGTGGATCATCTATTGCACTCACTGAATGACTCACTTTTTATTTGTTTTTATTTAATGTTTTTATGTGGATTAGTCTTACTCGTCCAATTAAAATAAGACACATCTTGGAGGACAGAGACTATATCTTAACTCTCAAACTTTTGTTCTTCTCCATCAGGAATGCTCAGAGCTCTGCTCTGTAGGAGGTACTCAATAAGTGTTGTTGGTTAAATTGGACATTTTGAGCCTATACTTAGTGTGATGTTCTATAAATTCAAGAGAAGTCTTAGAGGATTGACTTCTTTATTTTCACTATAGGTAATCTTTCTAATGAAAATAACATTTAGAAGTACAATTGCATGTAAAATTGATATTTGTTTGCAGGGCTGGGCACGGTGGCTCATGCCTGTAATCCCAGCACTTTGGGAGGCCAAGGCAGGCAGATCACCTGAGGTCAGGAGTTCGAGACCAGCCTGGCCAACATGGTGAAACCCTGTTTCTACTAAAAGTACAAAAAATTATCCAGGCGTGGGTGCGCATGACTGTAATCCCTGCTACTCGGGAGGCTGAGGCAGGAGAATTGCTTGAACCCAGGAGGTGGAGGTTGCAGTGAGCCAAGATCGCGCCACTGCACTCTAGCTTGGGCAACAAGAGTGAAGCTGCATCTCAAAAAACAACAACAACAACAACAAAATTGGTTGCAGAAAGAATAAAATTGATGTCAGAAATTTGAGAAGACCCAGCATAAGGCATACTGTCTGGCACAATTCACTTTGTAAAATGAGGGAAAAGGATAGCGGGTAGAGGGGAATAAAAAGGGTAAATCAACAAAAAGTTTAACAGTGACTTGGTTGGGGACTGAGAGAAACGGTAAATGAAGGGAGACTTTTTGAGAAGTCAAATACATGTAGTCAATACAAAAACTACGGAAGAGACCTTTTATCCTTTTAACTATAATAAAAGCCCTACTGGCTTCCCAAAATACCTATTCCATCAAGGAAAAAGATAAGCTTTGTGTGTAAATGAAAGAGAATATCTCTTCTTTGTCCTGAAACAGTTGAAAAATAAAAAGTTTTACTACAGGAGTATGAGATTGCCTGAAAAATACATGACATAAAAGCTAAAAATTAATCTTTTTTTTTGTTTGACATATATTTGTTTACTTTTGATTCTCACAAAGACTGTTTCATTTTTTCCTAAATTAGATTAATAGTATTTTATACTAAAGGTTCACATTGACGATAGCAGCGATAGGATCCACTGACCAAAAGATTATTTTTAACAGTAGCAAATAAATGTATTGTTTTTGAAAGAGGCAATGGTCTGACTTTGTGAATTTTCTAATGAATGCTATTTGAATGTTAAAGTTCTTTATGCCACTGGAAAGCAGAATGGCTGCAGCTTAAAACCGTAAGCTGCAGGAAGTTTCCTGAACTTTTAGAAGTTGCATTACTGAATACAGGTTACCTTTTGCATAATTGTATAAAGCTGATGAAATGGGTCTCTTTTGCTCTGATTGCTTTCCAAATTCTACCCAAGTGAATTCACAGCTGATGGTTTTAAGCAGAGCAAAGACAGATTAACTGGCTCACATAAAATAAAACCTTTAGAGACAGAAAAATGGAATAGTCCTAAAGCTTCACAAGATGTTATACATATTTTCAAAGTACCCAGTAATTCTTATGGCAAATATCATCCCCCACTCTGATTAGCTTCACTGTGGTGTTTATAACATATTTTACCTTGTGCTGTTAGTTGATGTTATATCTTTTAGTTTGTCAACTATGCTTTACAGTGTTTAGAATAATAAATGTTATTGGCAGAAAAAAATGCCATGAGAAAATTGCTTTGTCTTAAGATTTCTCTATCTTATAAGATATATTATTTATATATTTATTCTGCCAGGAATTCTTTAGATGGTTAAACATTAATGACACACATGGAGGCATTATTTCTGAGTGTGTGTTTGCAGAAGTATCTTTTCATAAAGGTTTTTGTCTTGCATTGATTTTGTACTGTATATCTACACACACCATTGTGCAATGGTGAACTTAAATGAAAGCAAAACAAAAGAGAAGCCAAAAGTAACACAGTTGCTGTGGTCTGGAGCCCTTCTGACCAACAGAGTAGCCTAAGCTAAAATGGAGATACCCCACCCCACCGCTACACACACTTTAAATGCAATAATGTAGGCATTATTTTCATTGTGTAAATAAGGAATCGGTATCTCACAAAGGTTTAAGCAATTTGCCGAGATCTCAGTTAGTGGTGAAATCAGAATTAAAATTCAGGTCTGTCTGATTGGAACCATGAATTTGGCTACCTTCCAAACTCATGGTTTGGCTACCTCAGTTCTAAAAATATGATAGACATAAAGTCATTTTTAGTAAAAGAAAATTAAAATTTGTAATAAGTTATATTCTTAATTTGATACTGAAAACAGATACGGAACTGAAGATTTTAGCATTTAAAAATAGTGCTAAGTCACTTCTGAGTTTTTGTTTTGGGACCAGGCTCTCCTGTGCCCTCTGTATCTCTCCAGATTCAGACTCCATGAATCTCTCTCTTTGGAGACAGAAACACTAATTGCCATCTCTCTCTCAGAGCTGTATTTAATCCTTCTTTCTTGGGGCAGAGTACAAGCTGCCGAAACGAATTCAGCTCATCTCACTTGGGCCCCAGCCACTTAAATTCCCTGCCGCACCAATTGCCCTAGTCCTGGAGTGCAGCCACCCTGGGAACCTGTGAACCCATTCACACAGGTCTCTGTCAAATGTGCCACTTTCTCAAGGAGTTTTTTGCTTCTGTGATGTCTACTTTGAACTTTTTGCAAAGTATATCCTTAGCATTTCTCCCAAACTTAAGTGGCATGCCCTGTACAGTCAATTCTGTATTTTTAGTAGCTTTGAAACATTTTTGTTAGTTAAAATAAAAGCCACAGATTAGTGTAGGTGGTAATTAAAAGTTGGTACTTTTTGTCCAATACTTTTCCCTGCCCATGCACTATTGAGAAGCGTGGGAGAAGATTGCTTGGGAAATTACTATCACAAAGTATATTTTAAAATGGCTAATTATAAACATTTTCTCCTCTTTTTGTATCTCTTAGTGTTGAAATAAGGCACAGAGGTAACTCAATTTAGTTCAAAAGCCATTTTCTAAATGAGAGGAATTAGCTGAGAACTGTTACATTAATAGACATTGCCAGTGACTGTATTCTGCATACAAAACACTTGTTCATGTTTTCCTTGACCTCCTTTGATTGGGCCCAGCACTAAGTTTATACTGAATGGGCTCAGTCTGGTCTTTGGCAAGCATCAGGGAGTAATGAATAGTGGAACATCGAAAGGCTTAAATGTCCTGGCACAGGCCCTGTGTCAGTATGATGAGCTAACCATGGCATTGTTCAATGAGAAGGCCCTGTGTTCCTTTGGAAATAAAATCTTGGCTTGTGGACAGAGGTCTATGTACACACATTGAATTTCTCTGTCTTCCTGCTATGCTATTCCATTCATAATTAAACTTTGAAAGCAAAGCTCTGAAGAGGTTCTTCAATGCCTCTCCTCTGAGTATGCCCAGAAACAAGTGGCTGATGTAAAAATGGCATAGCTCTACTCTTTTATTTGGGAGCTCTCTGAAATTTAAGTCCAAAGACTTGAAGAGCAAACTCTTTAAGCTGGACAGCAGTGTAGACATTCACTGTTTCTCCCCTCAAAAGGTCTTCCCTCTGAAAGCTGTGGTAATCACAAATTTTTTTTTGCTGCAGAATTTCTGATGTTCTGATCTTTTTTGTTTACAGCTCCATCTGTATTTGTAGTGAAATGTCTAAATTTGTCTCAGTACATCTCAATTCCAGGAATGAATTGATCTTCTTATGGGCAGTTCCCCCTTGAAAGCAAAGAAAAGGAGGAAAACTAAGCTCTAGAGATCATTAAAGCTATGACATTATAACTTGCCTTTTCTAATTTTTACTCTTAAAAACAGAACAAAAATTTTATAGTCAGAGTCTGCCAGAAAGTACCTGAAGAAGCCAGGAATATTTGGGTAATAGAAACATATGCTGTTGATATTGTAAATTATCAAGAAGAGTCTCCTAGGAGTTCTTCTAAAGCATATTTTAATTCTGTGTTATAAAACCAGCCTCCTGGTAGGGTATAAAGAGTTAAATAAAATGATCAAGAACCTACATTATGCAAGTATTTAAAATCTGAAGATCTTTTAGAAATACATGTTGAAATACTTACATAATAACAACATAATTTTTGGGATTTGCTTAGAAACAGTTTGATGTAAGGATAAATAGGTCAGCATGTAAAGGAAATAAGATTAGCCATGAATTCATTGTTGACCTGGGTGATGCATACATGCACATTCTTATACTATTCCCTCTACTTTTTAGATGTTGGAAATTTTTTATAATTAAAAGTTAAAAACTTTTTTCTGATGGTTCAGACTGATGGTTTCATAGGATGAAATGTTTTCTTGTTAAAGAAACAGAGTCCAAAGATCTAAGGTACTTTAGAATCTTTAAAAATTTGTATGCTATGCAAATAATACAATTGTAAATAATCTATTTTTACTCCAGTGATTGCATTTAGAATGCTAGCTGTGAATGTGGATATAAAAATCATACTATAAATAGTATGATACCTGAAATGCTTAGGTCATTGAGATAATTGGGATAGTTTAATTTCTAATATAGGTTATTCACAGGCAAACAATGCTAAAAACATTACTATATTGGAATACATAGCAGTAAACCCACACCAGACAACCTAATTTCTGTGAAAAGATCAAGAAAATGGTTGGATTCTTATGGTTATGATTTATCATACCATTATGGTGTTGGAAACATTTTGATTAATAAAGTGTCAGTTAAGAGAATGAAAGATGAAGCAGGAGTTAAGAATATGCCATCCTCAAACATGCCATTCTGGCATATTAACTATTTTGAGGTAAAGGCACTTGATAAACAGCAGGGGCAAGAAGATCACTCTGACCTTCCTTCTGTTTTGTAAAAGCAGTGGATGAAATTTCCATGTGAAATATGTCCTCCCTCCCTATACCAGAAGGAAAGTATCATTCATATCTAGGATGGTAAGTTGAGGCCAAGGAAAATCTGTACAAACATGAACCTTCATCTTCCTAGTCCCTTCTCTACCCAAAACACTCTAGCCCAAGCCTCTTTGCCTTGTCACATTTTCACAGTTTACTGCTTTTTGTCTGATTTTTTCTAATCTTTTGTCTATAAATCAATATCTAAGTGTTCAACTCTAACTGCATCTTTGGGTCTTCGTTTTCCTATGAAGTCTCCTGTGCCATGTAAAACTTATATTAAATTAATTTGTTTGCTTTTCTCTTTTTGATCTGTCTTTGGTTAGTTTAATTCTCAGGCCTAGCCTAAGAAAACTAAGAGGATAGAGGCAAAATACTGCCCCCCTACAATGTTCTATGTACCCAGTATCACATTATCAGCTATTTTATACTTTTTCTTTGGCTTAGTTCAACCATTAATCAACTATATTAAAGTTCAGGTTTTTAAAAAAAATGTAGTTATATTATTGCTTAGTTGGGGGATGGGCATATCTTGGTGGATTCCCACTGGAAAAGCTTTACTCTAATGAGGCCATTAATGTTAGTATTCTAGGCAATGGGAATATAAAGTAGTTGCTGGTAACTATTGAGTAAGCAGGATGAGTCTTTAATGACTCTGCTCTTATCTATTGCTACTTTTAGTATTTTCTTGAATATAGCAATTCAGAGCCTAAGTAACTGATCTTATATTCTCTGAAGAATGCTACATCCTAGCTAAGAAGTTATTAGTGATGATAAACATGATATCAACATGTAAACATGATATATTCATGTTTACAGTCATTTACTTCTGCCATATGAAAACGTTTAAAGTATATATTTTTTTTCAGCTTGGAAAGTTTGATGGCATTCCATTTGAGAATTTTTTTTTTTTTTTTTTTTTATGAGACAGAGTGTCGCTCTGTTGCCCAGGCTGGAGTGCAGCAGCACGATCTTGGCTCATTGCAAGCGCCGCCTCCCGGGTTCACGCCATTTTCCTGCCTCAGCCTCCCGAGTAGCTGGGACTACAGATGCTCACCACCACGCCCGGCTAATTTTTTGTATTTTTAGTAGAGACGGGGTTTGACCGTGTTAGCCAGGATGGTCTCGATCTCCTGACCTCGTGATCCACCCGCCTCGGCCTCCCAAAGTGCTGGGATTATAGGCATGAGCCACTGCACCCGGCATGAAAAGTATTTTTTTTAATACTGCTTTTTGTGGCAAGTTGACCCAAAAAGTTGAAAGGAGGTGAAATCAAAGCCTTTATTTTTATTTATTTATTTTCAGACGGGGTCTCACTCTGTGGCTCAGGCTGGAGTACAGTGGCATGATCATGGCTCACTGCAGCCTTCACCATCTGAGTTCAAGCTACCCTTCTTTAAGAAATCAAAACATTTATTAGGAAAAAAACTATGATTCATAGACTGTTGCAGATAGACAGGAAAATCATCTTTGCAGTATATGATAGCCCAGATTAGATTTCTGTTTTTTTTTAGAAGATGATCATCAGATATTTATTGAAGTTTTACTGAAGTCACTATGTTTCCATCCATCTGACCATATGCTTGTCCATTTGCTCATTCATTATTCATTTAAGAAGTGTGTACTATGAGCTTCTTCTAGGAGATCTAGTAGTGAATAATAGACAAGCTTTCTGCTGTCATGGAGCTTACATTATAGGGGTTGTGGACAGATAAATATAAAACCTGTTAGACAATATAAAATGTTATTTGGATAGATAAATAAGAAACCTGTTAGACAGTATAAAATGTTATTCAGAGAATTATGGTAGCATGATGTTATGGAAAGAGAGACACTAGGTAGTCAGGAAAGACACCTCTGAAGATATAATTTTTTTTTTTTTTCTGGAGTCTCGCTCTGTCTTCCAGTCTGGAGTACGGTGGCATGATCTTTTCTCACTGCAGCTTCCGCCTCCCGGGTTCAAATGATTCTCCTGCCCCAGGCTCCTGAGTAGCTGGGATTACAGGCGTGCACCACCACGCCCGGCTAATTTTTGTGTTTTTAGTAGAGACGGGGTTTCACCATGTTGGTCAGGCTGGTCTCGAACTCCTTACCTCGTGATCTGCCCACCCCCACCTCCCAAAGTGCTGGGATTACAGGCGTGAGCCACCACTCCCAGCCTGAAGGTATAATCTTTAAGTTGAGATCAGAATATCAACAAAGAGTCAGTCATGCAAAAATGAATTGCTTAGTTCTTTTGTTAAAAACTAGAATGTTAGAGCTATGTCCAACTTTCATAGTGGCAGGCTTTTGTCCAAGTAATATATATGTATTAGTCCATTTTCACAATGCCAGAAAGATACTACCTGAGACTGGTTAATTTATAAACAAAGGAGGTTTAATTGACTCACAGTTCCACACAGCTGGGGAGGCCTCAGGAAACTTACAATCGTGGGGAGGGTGAAGCAGGCACATTCTTCACAAGGCGGCTAGAAAGGTAGAGAGAGAGTGTGAACACACAGGTGAAACTGCCGTTTATAAAACCAGCAGATCTTCTGAGAACTCACTATCATGAAAACAGCATGGGAGAAACTGCCCCCATGATCCATTCACCTCCCACCAGGCCCCTCCCTTGACACCTTGGGATTACAATTTGAGATGAGATTTGGATGGGGACACAGAGCCAAACCATATTAATATATGTATAACCTTAGTTCTACTAGGCCCATCAGTAAACTAGCTAAATGCCCCATGCATGTGCCTTTACATGTGTACCACTCTTTCACTCTTCAACACACCATAGGGGACTTTTAACTTCCAGTGCAAAGCCCAAAGCAGGATGCTTATGTTTGACATACTTCTCTTGCCTTTCATCCATTCTTATGAGGCCTGCCCTCCTTAACCCAGAGCTTCATACTGTCCTCCCATTGCTCAGACAGCTCCTTGTTTCTTGATCCTTTTCCTTCCATACTCACTGGCCATCCAGGCACATTTGTTGCATGTATCCCACACCCCACAAATAAGAAAAGCTGATCTTATTGTTTTTGTCTGCTTAATGCCAAATTCTTGTTCTTCTGGAGTTTACTTCTGGATAATTTGACTCATCCCAAGTTGAGCCAATGAGTGCAAGAAAGCTTGACTATATTCTCCTTCTCTGTGTCCCATTACACTTTCCCTTGCTTGTCAATCATGTTCTCTTACTCCAGGGTAACTAAGCACATTTTCCAGTGGTCTTTTGGGGCATCTTCCATACGTTTGGTATTGATTTTGAACTGCCACCAAAGACATTCTGGAGAAAATGGGCCTTGTAACACTAAGATCGTCCTATGTGGTTAACTGCCTAAATTGAGAGCTGTTATGCTCATGTCTGAAAAACACTATATTTTCTATTTGCACAGGATCAATGTTATTGATAATGAATTAATGGCTTCTTACTGAGCTGAAAAATCATTTTGCTAATGCTCCGTGTGTGGACTCTTCATGCCTAAATAAATTGCCACTTCAGTACATATGCAAAGGATAACTAACATTTATGAACAAAATCAGAGTATTTTGTGTTGCAGTAATCATTCACTTTTTTTGGACTCCTTAGCTTTATGGAATTGCAAACAAGCGTATAACAGTTTTAAAACATTGAATCTATATCTAGGAAGATAACTAGATTGATATGGTAATCATGCTGTTTAAACAGATTTAGAGCAGTTTTAGCTCCTTAGAATTTTAAACTTACAGAACAATTTTATCTATGTTTTTAGAAGTTGTGTTTTGGCATAGAGAGTATGTCCATGTCTTGCAATGATCTTACCTGTCTAGGAAATTGATTTATCAGTTTTTCTTACTTCTGAGAAGACAGTTCTCTTCATAAAATTTCCTAGTTCTTTTCAAACAATCGAATTTGTGTCATTTTGTTCTGTTGAAAACTCTGTGAATGATGCCATTTATCATCATATTAGTTCTTATTATGAATAAATTGTAAGTAAATTTGCCATTTATTGTCTCTAATAATAAAAGTGCTAAATTGTACATAATGGGTTCCTAACACATTATATGTTCCTAATACACCAAATATTGTTAAGATTTGTTGAAGAATCAAAAATTATCTAAATTGTCAATAAATTATCAAAACAGATGCTCTAAAATATTTTGTTAATTTATTTAATTAGCTACTCAACTGATCTACCCTATACAGTATATGAGGTTAGGACTAGAAGAGACTTCTTCAATAATTTCTTTGTTAATAGCTTACTAAAATACTTTATTTAAATTTTATTTAGATTGAGTTTCTCCACACAGTGGACATAAATATCATCCCCTCTCTTTCTTCCTGTATGGTAAAGGTTAAATAAATACCACATATTAAGTGAGAAAGCATCTGAGGTTCCCACCGATATCTGTTCTCAGTTCTTTATTTTCATATTGTAGGTAAAATTTTTTTTTTTTAACCATTTGATGGTATTTATAAAAGTTGATTTGGGACCTTTAAAAGTAGAATTCTGATGGACACATGGAAAATGCTTACCATTAATAGGAAGAAAAATTCATGAGCCTCCCCAAATGTAAATATATTACGTTATGATTTTTAAATGAATGTTGTAAATGGCTTATTTGCTTTTTAAGAGGACTCACTTATATACAAAGTAGAAGAGCTAAATATATCACTTATCATATTTGGCCAGAGAAGCAAGTTTTTTCCTCAGTGTGATGATTGCTTCCCTACCAATTTTGAAGTGCTCTGATAAAATGCATAAGAAATAGGCTTGCCAAGATAAACAGTTTATTTTTTCATAGAAGGTCACTCATTTATTTTTTTTTTTTGCATCCTTGTTCCTGTCAATTTTGATATAACCTCTCAAAATTTAGGCTTCTAAAGTCATTTTTATTTTTGCTTCAGCCTCCATGAGATTCCTAATCATAGTAAATAATGTAATAATTAGTCCCAGAAATGGTTTAGACAATAACATTTTTAGAGCAGACTATGGGGGCCCTTTGCAGATTTTGAAAGGAATCTATTTTCAATTACAAAAAGACCTTTCTTTCATAAAATAGTAGGAACACATTTGCAACTTTATGTTATTTGTCCACAGACCTGTTTTTGTACATGAATGGGGAAGTTGTAAATGTTGTTCATGTGAATGAGCAGAGTGAAGTTTAAAAATAGTTTCAGTATTCTTTAAATATATTGGAGAGAGATGGAATGGATGTGAATATGGAAAAGTTTTCTGGATTTCTTCTCCAAATAATGCAAAATGGTTACATGGTGTTCAACACTTGTCCTGCTGGCATTTGTATGAAGGAAACCTGTTCACCTAATAGTCACCCCTCCTTTGTATACCAGAGTTTGAACAAGTTTCTGGATATAAGGTATACAAAGATACATAATTTTGTCCCTTTTTATCAGAATGATGATTTCATAATTTGTGCAGAAGAGCTTTTCCCTCATGTTCTACCTTTGCTTTTTGATTAACTAAATGGTCAAGGGAGCTTAATTTGTACAAAACAATGACTGAAAAGAGCACACACTACTATGAGCTATAGATTGCGTTTTGTGCCTGTGTTCCAGTAAAGTAACCATTTAAAGTTTAAGAGCTCGAGACTTTTTAACTGTGCAGCACTCAGAGAGCACACTATGTGGAGGTGCAGATTTTGATTTTTAATCCATAGACTTTATGCTATTATTTTAGAACATCAAGTGATCAAGAAACTACAAAAGTGAATACAGACGTCTAAAATTAAGGCTTATAATAGTACATGCAGATGTGTTCAAGCTCCAACATCCTGAATCTGTGGTTTTCTAAGTATTTAATGACTTTGATTTTTAAAAATCACACTGTTTCTTTGTACATTATCATACATTTACATTACATCTTGAAATAAATTTAAGCATTAGAATAAAACATAGACACCCCGCTGAGTTAAAGATTTTAAATCTTATTCTATTGTACTTACCCTTAGACCTACCCACTTAATTCTGAGGTCTGCGTATAATCTTTGCCGATATAAATGCAATAAAATGACTAAATCAGAAGATGTTAAAAACTGTCAGTGTAGAATTGTGAACTTGAATAGGTAGAAAAGGAAATTCTTCTAAGGCAGTAAACACTGTATGATAAAATACTTTTTCATTGGTGACCCTTAGGGAATATCTAGTAGTGTAAATTACCTTTTCAGCTTTTCAAGAGCAGTTTCTTATTAGAAATTCAAAGGAAATCTTCTTTAGTAGTAATCGTTTTAATGCTCCACATCAGTGAAGTCAACTATGGTTCCTCATAAAGTTTTGTTTTTCATTGGTAATTTACTGACAAAATGCAGTGAGGGGTGGTGCAGGACTGAGTTTTCTTATAGAACTCAAGGGGGCAGTAGTTCCAGGGGAACATAACCGTCTGCAACAAACTACTCTTTTTTTTTTTTTAAGTAGATTAAAATTTTTAGTGGGAACATTATAATAACAGTAGGTTATGGCACATAAAATACAGAAAATGGCATTTTTTAATAGTAAACTAATTACCAGCTTTTATGTTAATTAATTATAAACATTGAATTTTAATATATTCTCTGGAAGGGTGCTTGGAAGTATGCATGATGCATGTATGGGGGGAGGGATAGAGTGGTGAAAAAAGAGGTCTGCACAGGTATAAAGTTAAAATATTAATTGTTAAATTTTGTTATTGGTCTAAGTGAATGGTTTAGAAGTGTTTTATTCTCCCTCTCTATTGCCAATTTTCTGTGTAATTATTTCACACATTGATTATATGTTTATATAATATAGGAATCGAAGAGAGTATACCATAGTCACTCTCTCCATTCATTGTCCTTTCTTTCCTCAAAACAAAACAAAAATAACCAAATTCTGAAAATATGTCATACATCTTAACAGTATGCACAAATTCAGTAGTTACTGCTTATTTTCATTCTGTTCCCTTTGGGAAACATTCATCCCTCAGGTGTGTAATTGAAAAAGGCTGCTTGTGTTCTCATTTTGGGGAAAGCATTTAATGAGACCTATAAATGATTCTTGGCAATAGAAAACAACTCCAAATTTTGTTAATTCCATATTTACATAAAGATACACCCACTTGCCAGGCACAGTGGCTCAACGTCTGTAATCCCAGCAGTTGGGAGACTGAGGTGGGCAGATTGCTTGAGCCCAGGAGTTTAAGATCAGCCTGGACAACATGGCAAAACCCCATATCTACTAAAACTACAAAAATTAGCCAGGTGTGGTGGCAAGTACCTGTGATGTATGTGAGTAGGAACCATAGTTCCTACTCGGGAGGCTGAGAATCATCTGAGCCCAGGAAGTCCAGGCTGTGAGCCATGATCACACCACTGCACTCCAACCTGTGCAACAGGAGTGAGACCCTGCCTAAAAAAAACTAATAAAGAGACTCATTCAGCTCCAGCCTCACTCTCTAATTTCTGAAGGCCAAGTGTTATCTACTCTCATTGTATCCACCTTTCTCTGGATCGCTAAGGGTCGTTTGAAAAAGTCCAGATCTCCACTGGTCCAGCATACTAGGAGGAGGCTTTGAAGAGCTTCTCTGATCTTTAATTACAACAATGACACTAGTTAATTTTTGGTGGTGCAGTCCATTAAGTTTTAGTATGTAAAGTAATATTTTCCTCAGCCTGGCAGATTACAGGACAGCGCCAAAGCTAATGCCAGAAAATAAACAGAGGAAAGATATTGTGTTTACCAGGCAAAGGTGTATAACACCTAAATTAACAAAGAAAACATGCTGTTATATATTATTTTACTGTTACTAAAACTAAATATTTCATTTTGCTATCCACATGTTATTCTAATCTACAACATAATGTAAAGATTACAGCATATTAAAAATTTAGAAGAATTCTTACGTGTACCTCAGTTTCAGTGAAATGCATTTAAGCAAAATGCAAATTTAAGGAATTCACAAATTAAGTTAAAAATTCACTTCTGTAAGCAGCAGTTCATTTCCTAGGGTCCTGCTGTGCTAAGCTTTGTTTTAGTGGAGTGTAGAGGGTATGTGCTGTGTGTGTAAGAAGTAGGGGGAAAGTATAAGGCCTGATTCCCATTCTCAAGAAACATATGTAACAACCTACTTAGAGAAAAAGCAAGGTTCATATAAAACAAACAGCAGAGAAGCAAATAATAAAAAAGAAACATGCAATAAAGAAATAATAATAAGAAACATGCAATAAAGTACCCAAATGGGTGGTGTATTAAAGGAAAAAGTAAAAGCAGAGCTCCCTTTCCAAATCAAAGTGCGTGCACAACACCAACATAGAAAACAGAGAAATGCGATCTTTTGTTACTGTAATTTTGTCATGCAAGTTCAAATGTTTATAACATTTACTCAAGAAATTATTCAGGAAATGAGGCCGTTTTTAAGTAGCAAAGGGACTGGTCTGTGGGAAGGACTCAATAAATGTTAAATACTGTTGTTGGTATTACTTATATATTATGTGCTTTGGATAGCCATGGCAACATGTCATTAGCCTCAGCTTTCACTTTGTTTCTGTATTTTGTTCAGGCTGCATATTGTAGAGAAGAATTTTGATTCACACAGATAAGTGGTTGTATGTTGTAAGGTTTTGTTTCGTTTTAACAGCTTGCTCTGCTAACGTCACATTGTGATAGTCTTCAGTTAAATAAGAGGGCAAGAAGAGTTTCTTTTAAGCAGCACCCCCACGCACACCCAACAGAGGAAACAACAACAACAAAAACTTAGTGGCACAAGTTAAATAATTGGTTATTTTAGTATACAAAAAGAGATGATAGTGACTATGTATTCATGTTTAACCTATAAAATACAACCAGGCATTTGAAAACCCCTTAAAATATCCTCAAGTAAAACTAACTTTCCAAGGTATGTGCTCTGAGAAACCCCGGTAAGTCTTGTGAGATAGAGGGTCAACAAACCACCTAGTCCATTGGCCAAATCTGGCCAACGCCTGTTTTTGTATGGCCCACATGCTAAAACTGACTTTTATATTTTCAAAGGTTGAAATAAATTTTTAAAAAAGAAAGATAACTTATCATGATATGAAAATTATATGGAATTCTAGTTAATTACCTATAAATTAAATTTTATTGGAACACACCCATGTTCATTCACTTACATATTGTTTACAAATGCTTTTCTGCTACAGTGGCTGAGCACAGTAGTTGTGATAGAGACCATATAGCCTGCAAAGCCTAAATTATTTACTATCAAGCTTTTTACAGAAAAAATTTGCCAACCTCTTCCATAAGAAATATTATGGTGGAAAAAAAGGGGGGACCATTAAATGCTGAAGCCAGGGAAGGCATTGTGAAAGGGTGGTCTTGATTCAGGCTATTTGGGTAGGCTAAGGAAGGTCCACACAATGAAGGGAAATACAAGGGAGAAAATGTGGAAGACTGAGGGTGAATGGCTCCCATGTGGTATGCCATAATCAAATTCATACATGGGAAGCATTTTTAAGATGTCTATAATTTGTCAAAACAGGAGATTTTATCTACTCAGATTATTTAGTGATGATACATGTTACTAATTATTTCTTTATGTTATGATTAAGCTTATTAAAACATTCAATTTTGGCTGGGCATGGTGGCTCACACCTGTAATCGCAGCACTTTGGGAGGCCAAGGCGGGTAGATTGCTTGAGCTTGGGAGTTCAAGACCAGCCTTGATCAACATGGCTAAACCCCATCTCTACAAAAAACGCAAAAATTAGCTGGGTATAGTGGCACACACCTGCAGTCCCAGCTCCTTGGGAGGCTGAGATGGGAAGATTGCTTGAGCCCAGGAGGTC
The DNA here is from genome assembly GCF_000001405.40 of Homo sapiens. NCBI lineage: Eukaryota > Metazoa > Chordata > Mammalia > Primates > Hominidae > Homo > Homo sapiens. The sequence goes on along the minus strand of NC_000005.10, from coordinate 108,089,912 downwards.
GAGTCTACAGTGAGCCGTGTTTGTGCCACTGTACTCCAGCCTGGGTGACAAAGTGAGACCCTGTCTCAATACAAAACAACAACAACAACAAAAGCATTTTACTTATATTTATTTAACTCTTTGGTCATTCTTTTAACAAATATCTCTTGAGTGCCTATTGTGTATGAGGCAGTTTGTCAGGAACCTCAGTTATAATGGTGAACAAAACAAAAACTAAACAAGGGGAAAAAAGCTGTGGGTCTCAGCCCTTTTAGGAACTTACCGTCTATGGGGAAGAAGGAGGTTTCTCAAATAATCACAAACAAATACAGAATTTTCCTAGGAAAGCCTATAATTGACATCAAGGATGTGAGCAGGTCCAGAATCAGAGGACCATGAGGATCTTCCCTGAGGAGGTAGAGATTAAGAAGAGATTTAAGGAAGAAGCAGGGGTTATTCTGGGGATGGTATGGGAGAGTGGTGAGCATTTGGGTTAGAAGGAAATATAGGTGCTAAAGGTCCATGGTAGGAGTTAAGAGTGAAAATCAGCTCCTGTGGCCAGGTATAGGAAAAAGGAAGAGATTAGTGTGGATGGAAATTGAGGCAAAAGCCAGAAGATGTCTGGCCTTGTAGCCATATTAAGATTTTTGGTCTTTACCCCAAAAGCAGCAACACTGCAATGTTTTAAACAAGGGGCACAAATTCTAACTGGCTCGCAAGACCAGTTAGAAGGCCATTGCAGTCCAAGTGAGAGATGAGAGCATTTCGTTTTATGATAGCACCAATAGGGATAGGGAAAAGTACATAAATTCAGAATACCTTTTGGAGGCTGTGCCAACAGAACTTGATGGATTTGAATATGGGGAGACAGTGAAGGAAAGAGGGATTTTACGTAAAACTATTTGGTTTTGGTTTTTCTTTACAGGATGAATAGCAGCACCATTCTCTGAGATAGGCAATTTGGGAGGAGGCCTGTCAAAAGTTCACTCTTTGGCAGGTGGAATTTGAGGTGCCTTTGAGGCATCCATTTGAAATGTTATGTGAGTTATCTGTGTATAAGTGAACTATGCTTATCTGTGTATTAGTAATCTGTTGATAAGTGCTGCTTTAGAGCCATGAGTATGGCTGAGAACACCAGAGATTGCTAATAGAGTGAGAAGGGATAGAGGCCTTGGACCAAGATATACAGGTATCTTTTTTTTTTTTTTTTTTTTTTTTTTTTTTTTTTTTTTTGAGATAGAGTCTCGCTCTGTCGGCCAGGCTGGAGTGCAGTGGCACAATCTCGGCTCACTGCAACCTCCACCTCCCAAGTTTAAGCGATTCTCCTGCATCAGTCTCCTGAGTAGCTGAGACTACAGGTGCGTGCCACCATGCCCAGATAATTTTTTGCATTTTTAGTAGAGATGGGGTTTTACTGTGTTAGCCAGGATGGTCTCGATCTCCTGACCTCATGTTCCCCCCGACTTGGCCTCCCAGAGTGCTGGAAAGTATACAGAGGAGAAGCAGAAAAATGGGAATAAAACTAGAAAAGTTTAGTGTGGTAGAAGTCAAAGGAAGAGAAGTGTCAAGGGAACAATAATGCTTTAGAAAAGTCAACAAAAAGAGATTGATGAATGTCCATGGATTTTGTGAATTGAATGTCTTTGGTGACCACAGCAAGAAATGTTTTGATGAGGCAGTGAGACTAGAATCCCTAAATTATTATCAAAGTTCTTTATACCTTTAAATATATTAGTTGTAAAGAAAACCTACAATCCCAGGTGTGATCTTTTCATTGTTCAATTGATCTCCAGGTTTATAATGGCAGTTAATTAAAAATGGAATCACTTAAAAGAAATTTGCTTCACAGCAAATTTTGATTGAAAATATCTATTTCCCATCATCTATATATTTAAATCTTACCCAGATTATACATGAAATCCCCTTTAATAAAAACGGGCAATAATAAGAAAAAGGTTCTTGTTCCAACATTTACAATTTTTGTTTTTTAAAAAAAGCGAAACTGGTGACTCATGAGAAATACATTGCTCAAAGCCTTTTCAATTTTAAGTAGGTTTCCAGCAAACTTAATTGTATTACTTCAATTTATTAAATAATGCCTTTCTGCCTCACCAACATTTGTTCTATATGTGGCTAGAGTGTTATCAAAGGAGGGTTGAAAAGGGGAGAGATGGGGCATTTTGTTTGTTTACATGTGGTTTCTCATATGTATTTAATTGCTTTTTTTTTCTGCTTATGTTTTTATAATGTGAAAGTGTGTTATAATATGAAAAAGGACAGAGATGTTTTGTTACTGTTGGATTCTTTGGAAGCAGACACTGAGATCGAGATTGGGGTATAAGATGTTTACTAGGCGTCAACCTCCATAGAAGAAAGTATGAAAGAAGGAGGATTGAACAGAGGTAAAATTCAAACTTTGATGCGGTCACAAAGATGTGTTGGCCAACCCAACAGGAGCCCTCAAGCATATATTCCCTGTTGGAGTGTCCTGCTTTGGGTTGACATGGATGGATGTTTATGCTCCGCCTCACTCAGTGGCTGTTGCAGGCTGCTGTTCGGAATAGGCTGGCTGCTGCCCCACCCTGTAGTTGGCTGCAAGTCCTTACTTTGAAGAGGGATCTGAGCAGTGCATCTGTCTCTACCACAGTATATTGTAATCTTCCAAGTAATTGAGTTGAATACCTTGTATACATTTAAATTGGTTTGGATCTTTTATGTTACAAGTAACAAAAGCAACAACTCGCACTTACCAAGTCAAGGCCTTGATAGGCTCATATAAACAGAGGCTCAGAGGTTGGGTAGGTTTCAGAATTTCCTCAATCCATCAGCTCCAGCTCCATTCACCAGAGTGTTCTGGACCTTGTCCTATTCAGTGCATGGACAGTGTATGGAAAGCGTATGTCCTATTCAGTTTGCTCTTGCTGCAGGCCGGCCTCTCTGTTGGTAGCAAGGTGACTGAGGCCCCACATCTGCATACCAGCCAGTCCAGGAAAGGAAAGACCATCTGGTGGTATGCCACGGTAGTGGTGAAAGGGTGTGATTCCTTTCCTCACACATTGTAAGAGTCACAGCTGGCGGGGTGCGGTAGCTTACACCTGTAATCCCAGCACTTTGGGAGGCCGAGGCGGGTGGATCACTTGAGGTCAGGGGCTCGAGACCAGCCTGGCAAACATGGTGAAACCCCTACTCTACTAAAAATACAAAAATTAGCTGGGTGTGGTGGCATATGCGCCTGTAATCACAGCTTCTTGGAAGGCTGAGGCAGGAGAATCACTTGAACCCAGGAGGCGGAGGTCGCAGTGATCGGAGATCATGCCACTGCACTCCAGCCTGGGCAACAGAGTGAAACTCTATCTCAAAAAACAAAAACAAAGACAGTCACAGCCAACATTCCTATTAAAAAAGTCAGGTTAACACGAGAAAAAACAAATTTATTTAATTAATGCTTTATGTGACATGGAGCCTTCAGAAATCAAGACCCACAAACCCAGGGAAAACTGTCTATTTTTATGCTTAGGTTTGATGAAGAATAGACAGCTATGTAGAAATGTGATTGGACAAAAGGCTATGATCTAATGGTAATAGATGAGAGGGTAGGTGGACCCACCAAGGCCTGTCTGTTTAGATTTTTCCCGGCCTCTTTGTGTACCATTTTTTCCTCCCGATTATGGGGCAGGACTTCTCTGGAATGAGGATCTTCAAGGGAGAAGGGAGACTGTGACCTTTCTAGGTTTTTACTGTCTGGGATTGAGGAATTATGGGGCAGGACTTCTCTGGAATGAGGATCTTCAAGGGAGAAGGGAGACTGTGACCTCTCTAGGTTTTTACGGTCTGGGATTGAGGAATTCCAGTTTCTATGATCTTCCATGGTGGAAAGAAATTCTGATTTCTATGAATGATTTTGGTAGGGGCAGAAAAAAGGGGCAGGGGATATGAGAAGGGAAGAAAGTCAGAAAGACCTTGCTTCTAAGGCTCTTCCAATGTTCTTTACTATTGTTATTATTATTACTGAGACAGCATCTAACTGTGTCACCCAGGCTGGAGTGCAGTGCCATAATCTCGGATCACTGCAGCCATTGCCTCCCAGTCTCAAGTGATCCTCCCAAGTAGCTGGGACTACAGGCGCATGCCACTACATCCAGCTAATTTTTTTGTATTTTTTGTTGAGACCGGGTTTTGCCATGTTGCCCAGGCTGGTCTCAAACTCCTGGACTCAAGCCATCCACTTGTCTCTGCCTCCCAGTGTGCTTGGATTACAGGCATGAGCCACCACACCTAGCCCCAGTGTTCTGTTGTTCAAAGTATTCAGTATGCCAAGGTACCATACACTGAGGTGTCATGTTCTGAGCCCCAACGGCACACAGTGTTCAGGCACAGTCCGGAGATAAGCTCAGCCTGGACCACATGGGGTTCAAATAGTGGCAGAGGTAAAGAAGAATAATTAGCTTAGCCTACGCTCAGCCATCTATTCTTGGAGCCACCAGTGGAGTCAACTTTTCCTGGAATCCCTTGGTTTCCCAGTAGAAGTCAGGGGCTGTTGCATAGGGAGGGGAGGCCACCAACAAACAATGTGAAATGGATTTTTGGAAAATGCCTCTGGCTGTGTTGTTGTCAGATAATAATCAGTTTACCTTACCTGTATGGGCAGAACTCTAGACCAAGCTGCAAACCAAAAACTTAGTTACTAAAAACCAGTTATCTTTGTTCTTTGAACTGTTACTTGTGGTTAAAATTAAACTTATAAACACTAAAGCTGTCGTACAGTTGGACATCCAGTGAAAGGAAGGAGGAACTATGCAAGACTATGTAATCAAAATTTGAAATTGATATGTTTGACTTTCATCTTGTCTTTTTTGCTCTGGTTCACCTCTGGGTGAAGATAATGAGGAAAAAAAGTGAAAGAATCAGGGAGCTTAGATAATTCAAAAATGTAAACCCAAGTTAAATCATTGAAAGCTTTCTTTTGGGTTGAGTTACAACTCCAAAGAGAAAAGAAAAACAAATAAAACTGGCATATAGGAATTGTAAGTGTTAAAATATTTATCTACTTTAAGAAGTTTCTAGTCCCATCTGGGACACCTATTGTATTGATGGGAAGTAGACCCTATAAAAATTTCATTTTCTTGGAGATTTTATTAGGTTTTTTACAAAACATCAGCATTTGATTTCTCTGCCTTTACTAAGTGGTTGAGATTGCAGGCTGACACTTATTAATTATACCAGATTTCTAGTTTTAATTAGAGAATCTCTTCTGAGACTAAACCTTTTTACCATTAGACTGTTTGAAACCTATGAGATAAAAAAGGAGAGTTCTTTCAGAAAATTATTTACATGAATTTAATTAATGATTATAATCTCCATGGTCATTTTTGCAAAAGAGCATTTAATCCCTTAACCAGTTTTCATGATTTGCATTTTGCAAAAACATGTTGGCCCTGCAGGCTTATTATCTCTGAGTTGTGTGTTTTTTCCAGATGAAACTTATTTTGGGTGAGTTTTATTTTGCTACTGCTCCTAGCCCCGTTTCATACCTTAACACCTGTTTCTCATGCAGAGCAAACCGATTGGTAGATAAGTAAAGTTTGCTTCCTTTTGCCAAGACAGAACATAGCCCTTGGCAAGGTTACCTTTGAAAACAGTTTTTCATGCAGAGACCGTACACAAGCAGCATTGCTGTTGCCAAGATCCTCTGACTAATGAAGGGTCGGAGAGATGGTGTATTCTTTTTCATTGCTTGCGGCACGTATATGTAGCATTTCTTCTGAGAAAAGGCACTCTAGCGTTTCAAACACAAGCTAGAAGTTTAACCTTCCAAGAGGAAGGTCAGTGTTAGTTTTTACTGATAACACAGAAGAAAGCCACTTTATAAGAATATGAAAGATAAATTCTTTGCTAAGTAAAAACGATTAAACACACTGAGCTTTCCAGCTTTCTTATGAAAATCAGTCGGAAACTATTTTACATTTTCAAAGTTTCTTTTGTTTTCCCTCCTAGCTTAGGTGTCAGTCAGATCCTTCATATTGATGATGCTGAGCACCAGTCTCCAAGCTGTGGAGACATAGTAAGGATTCCAGGCCCAGGTCCCTGTATACAGCTGTCTGCTCTGTTTTGTTGCTGTTATGCCATATGTTTTTTTGGTCATGTTTAATCATACTTTATGAGAACATTTACATTTCCAGTATGCTTTAAGCCATCTATAGTTTAATGGTTTCATAAACTCTGAGACTGCCAGGCATGGTGGCTCATGCCTGTAATCTCAGCACTTTGGGAGGCCAAGGCAGGTGGATTGTTTAAGGCCAGAAGTTCAAGGCTAACCTGAGCAACATGGTAAAACCCTGTCTCTACCAAAAAAAAAAAAAAAATTAGCCACAAAAAATATGGTGGGATGCACCTGTGTCCCAGCTAATCAGGAGGCTGAGATGCGAGAATGGCTTGAGCCTGGGTGGCGGAGGTTGCACTGAACTGAGATCACACTACTGCACTCCAGCCTGGGTGACAAAGCAAGACCTTGTCTTAAAACAAACAAACTCTGGGATGGATGCTTTGTTTCACAAGTTGGAAAACCCTAGAGAGCAGTGTTTTGTGAGTTTACATGGAGCTAAGGAAGGAATGGAAAATATTTTATTCCTCTGTGCATGATAAAAGAAGCTGCTGTCTTAATATATCTGTCTATCTCTCTCTCTGTGTGTGTGTGTGTGTGTGTGTGTGTGTGTGTTCTGAGGTGAGGGTGAGGGAGAAGCCATGGAGATGGATTGTTTCTTGCTTTATTTTCCTTGTATTAGGTAGATATTTTTCACATTAAATATTTTTACTATTTTACACCTTCTTAAATATTGATTATTTGGGGGTTATAATTTTTCAGTTTTCTTATATCTTCCCCTCTTCAGTCATGGACAACAGCAAAATAATGCATTAATTCTATAACATTTCAGCAATACTGCTACACAACATTGCTTTCTTAAACAAATGTAAATAGCTGATTGAAAAGTACATTTCTTTAAATTACAAATTTTATTATCCAACTCCTACTGAAAGGCTCCACTTACCTCCAGTTATTGGAAGAATTCAACTATTTTCACTTTAGTTCTACAATCTTTTTATATCTCTTTTGGCCAAACATATGATCACAGCAAAGTTCAGTCTGTTCAAAGATGAGGAAATAAATTCTACAAAAGGGACTGGAAACAAAACAATAATGTTATAATTTTTTGATTATTACTATTATTATTATTTTGATGCTTTAAAAATGGGATTTGTAGATGATCACTCTGGACTGTCATTGGGGTTCATGTTCTACCACACTTTGCAGTTATAAAGGATTATTTCCAGGACTGGAAAAAAGAAAAGTTGAAAAAACAGAAGAGCCTGCTACTTTGTAAAATGTTGTCTACTGGGAAATAGAGGCAGCATGTCAGGTGGCTGCTTACACCTGTATGTCACTGGAAATTTTTAGAATAACAATGACAATAACAAACATATATTGAGCACTTGATATGTGTCAGCTGTTATTCTAAGCACTTATTGATAATATTGACTCATTTAATTTTTATAACAATGCTATGAGGTGTATCACCATGCTAGAGAGAAGAAATCAGAGACCCACAGTCATATTGCTAGGAAGTGATCTAGCTGAGATTTAAACCCAGGAGATCTGAGCCTGTCCTTGGTTCAACTGCTGCTCTTTCCACATTACAGCATTAGCATTTTTTTTTTTTTACCAGAGGGGATTTAATAAATCCTCTGTAATAATCCTTCTTATTTTTCATGTATCCTCGTATGTAAATATATAACTGGCTCAGAGACACTGAGTAACTTTCCAAAGGTCATAGTGTCAGGATAGAGGTAGGATTATAGTTGAGTCTGTGCACTTCTTGGTTCCATGTTTTCTCAACTACTAGGCTTCTGCCCTCGTAACAATATTGGAGGCCTTATCTATGCTCTATGAAGAGTTGAGAGTTAGGCTTAACTCTTTCCTTCTTGATGAACTTGCAGCCCAGAGTAATGGGCTTAGGTGATGTTCAGCTGAGTCAGCAGTCTAGAAATTTACTCGGAGAGAGTAGAAGCGGGAGGGAAGCTGGATGAGAGCAGGTGGAGTGGGGCTGGAGGAATGACTTGGACATTTATGTGTGAAGCAAAGCTTGAATAATATTTGAACATGTGGTTGTAAGGAGATCCTGTTACTGGCTCTTATTTTTTATTTATTTATTTTTTGAGACAGAGTCTCACTCTGTCGCCCAGGCTGGAATGCAGTGGCACGATCTCGGCTCACTGCAAGCTCCGCCTCCCGGGTTCACGCCATTCTCCTGCCTCAGCCTCCCGAGTAGCTGGGACTACAGACGCCTGCCACCACGGCCGGCTACTTTTTTTTGTATTTTTAGTAGAGACGGGGTTTCACCGTGTTAGCCAGGATGGTCTCGATTTCCTGACCTCGTGATCCGCTCTCCTTGGCCTCCCAAAGTGCTGGGATTACAGGCTTGAGCCACCGTGCCCGGCCTACTGGCTCTTATCTTAGAAGAAGCAGTCTTAATGGTAAGGAACCCTAACTTCTCAAAATATAAATGCTGTGTTCACATTGTAAAATGAAAAATAAAATTCCAGGCTCCCCAACCAACTGAATCGATCCTTCCTTTCCGCCAAGGAGATTCCAAAGTAAATCTGAAAATCTAATTCAGGCTGTTATGGGAAGGAGGAGTCGGATGTGCCTCATTATACTCTCCTCCTTTTGGAATTCAGGCACAACTGACCAGCATTAACACTAAAAAAGAGATCTTAAGACTGAAAAAACTGACTCTTTGTTGCAATAAGATACCAAATTCCAAACTGACTCTAGTGTAGAGTCAGTTTGACATGACAGATAGCAGGGCTTGGTCAGAATTTTACCCCAAAATATATTTCTTTGACGTATTTTGAAATGCCCTTACAAGGCTGTCTTTTATGAAGAAAATCTGCATTCTGTAGAGAATCCCTTTCCCTTTCCAGGTTTCCTTCTGATCCAGGAGAGATTAACTAAGAGTCTGGCACCTTTTTAGGTCTGGTAAGAGACATTTAGCATCTATTTTCTCTGAAACCTGCTACTTGGAGGCTTCATCTACATAATAAGAACCTTGGTCCCCAGGACCCCTTATCTTAACTCAGATACTCTTTTCTACTGATTCCATGTCGTTAGATAATAATTTAACTCCTTCAACCAATTGCCAATCAGAAAATATTTGAATCCACCAAGACCTGGAAACCCCCACTTCCAGTTATCTTGCCTTTTCAGACTGAACCAATGTATGTGTACCTTACATATATTGATTGATGTCTGCCTGTAACTTCTGTATACACTCAAGCTGTAACCCAGCCACCTTGGGCACATGTTTTCACGACCTCTTGAGACTGTGCCTTAGACCTTGGTCACTCATACTTGGCTCAAAATATATTCCTTCAAATATTTTACAGAGTTTGACTCTTTTTCATCAATAACATGAATTTTGGTATATGACTCTACTGATTACAGATCTCGCCTCTACTAACAAAGTGCATGACTTCTGAACAAGATGGGAAATGTAAATGCTGTTGAAACATAAGAATTGTTTCCGTGATGGCAATTTGGTTGAAAACATTAATTTCAGAGGAAAATTCTATTCTTACTGCAGATATAAATAATTAATAGAACAGGTTATTATCCTTTGTATTTCTATGTGAAAATTAAGTTTTTAGGTGTAGATAGGCTTTTATTTTAAAAAGCACCAAAAATTTTGCTGTAAGGTAAATTTATCTGGTTGTAGTTCTTTGCTAAGATATTTGCTTTAACTCATATTCATGGGTTTCCATCAGCCATATTCACAGTGTCACAGGGATACACTGAATAAATCTAGTGCCTCCAGACAGTAGGTGGTGGTGTTCAATCCTATACAAAAGCACTGTGTAATACAGAAACACTGTGCTTAATATCTGCCTGCCTCCCTGCCTTAATTCTTAATTGGATCTGTGCTCTAGGGGGCATTAGGTTGAAGTGAACAAAAATGTAGAAACAACATTCCATTTTTGAAGCCAAGTCAGTTAATCACACAGTGCATTTCAAAAGAGTAACTTCTAAGAAATTATTGTGTAAATTAGGCCCATTGCAATTGCTGGGTAGTTAACATGAGACAAGCCTGTTTTATGCAACCTAAAATACTTCACAATTGCTACTTCTAAACCCCCTGTGAAATAATCCTTAAAACCTCATTGCTGGCACCCACAAAATAACCATACAATTTTTTTATAACTACATTGGTTATGTTTTCCCAGTGAGCCTATAATTACACATTTAACTTTTTAAGCAGAGGTTAATAATGGGATTTTTTTAGTTTGAAGGTATTTTATTTTTCTCCAATACTTCTTCTGGTCCTTGTATAATACAGAGGATTAAAACATATGTAAAGTATGTTTTGTCTTTAACAGTATTGAAACTCTACCCAGTGTCTTTCATCATATCATACAACCTCAAATACATTATTATTTCTAATTTTATTTTAATCAGTAGTCAGGAATTGTATCTTCAGACGTCCTATTTCAGAAATATGTCAAAAATTCTAAAAAAACCCTTGAGAGAGTTTCAGGATCACTTTGCTCCATTATTACACAACTATTTTTCAGCAACATAGTCTAGATACTCAGTAAAAGTTTCCCACTGGTCTCATTAAGAATCACCTAGCTTTCTAATAAGCATTTATAGGGGCCTTCTTTTTCCTCTGAAGGTTGGCTAAAAAAATCAACTCACAAAAGGCAGATTAATAAAAAAAAAAAAAAAGAAAGAGAGGTTAGGCCTGGTGACTCATGCCCATAATCCCACCCCTTTGGGAGGCTGAGGCAGGAGGATCACTTGAGCCCAGGAGTTTGAGACCAGCCTGGACCACATAGTGAGACCCTGTCTCTACAGGGAAAAAAAAAAATTAGATCGTTCAAGGCTGGAAGATTAAGGCTGTAGTGAGCTGATTGTGCCACTGCACTGCAGCATGAGCAACAGAGTGTGATCCATCTCTAGTAATAAGTAAATGAACAAATAAGAGAAAAGGCATACAGTTTATTAATCTGGACACAGGGAACATCACACAGTGATTACCTAACCCCGTAGTGGAGTACAGAAGCTTATATACTATTAATATCTTGAGGTTACAGAAAGAATGGAGGCTCAGAGCATAGCCAAAAACAAGTAATGGTGATAAATCAGGTCATAGTGGCAAGGCAGGTTATGGGAGGGAGAAAAGAGGAAGCCTTAGCTAGCAAAGGTAGTCTTTTTATATAGATGAAACCTCACAGATAGCAGCTCTCGGAGAAAATAGAGAGTAAATGCTTCTTTCAGATCTTTAAGGTGTCAAACTCTGGGTTAATCTTTCCGAGATCCCAGCTAGAGAAGGCCCGCTGGCATCAATGTAGATTCTCTACAGATGCAAATTTCCCTCACAAAAGACAGCTTTGCAGGGCCACTTCTGTTTGCTGGCTTTCTGACAGTCATCTCAAAATATGTCAAAGAAATATATTTTGGAGTAAAATATTTTGATTTCTTTCAGTTCCCACTTTGAAACTTTAAAAAGTTTCACATATGACAACCAAGCTGATACCTTTGGAGAGATTTGGGTTAGAGGTTGTTAGAGATGGACAAAGGAATGGGAAAACAACTTGAGATAAGCAAAAAACAGCAAATTTAAGTATATCATCTCATATCTTCTTGAATCAGTCTCTTACTCCTGAGCATAGATTAGTTCAGTTGAACAGCTGTGTCCCAGCCCATGTGGTGGCATTGCAGATGGGCGAGGCCTGTATATATGATGTAGGCAAACAGATTTTTAACAAGAGGCATTTCTGTAGAAACATAAGAAAAACAAAGGTTAATGTCTGGAGTAGTCTATAGACTAGTTTTTCTAGCGCCTCTGAGGTATTTTTCTGGATTGTAGTTTTAATCAGGTGTTTAAGTGAACTTTCTGAGTAGCCTATACAGCAAAACAGACATGAAGGCTGCTTATATGTAAGTTGGTGTGCGTTCTCCTGAAGTTCATTTAAGTTGTTTAGCTTCCATTTTCAGGGCTTTAAGAAAAGCACAGTTTTAATTTCTTAGTGATTCTTAGTGATTCTAAGTTAGAAGAAATGGAAGAAAAATTTGAAAATGTTAATTTGGAGACTTGTACCCAGGAAACAATTCAGGATTCAGTCCAAATTGTAGACAAATAATAAAAACTCAAAAACAACGGACAATCCAAAAATGGGTATACTATCATTTTCATTTTTTTCATTTTTTTTTTTTTTTGAGATAGGATCTTGCCTTGTTAACCAGGCTGGAGTGCAGTGGTATGAACATGGCTCACTGCATCCTCAACCTCCTGGGCTCAAGGGATCCTCCTGCCTCAGCCTCATATGTAGCTGGGACCATAGGCACATGCTACCACATCTGGTTAATTTTTTGATTTTTTGTAGAGATGGGGTTTCATTTGTTACCTAGGCTGGTCTAAAACTCCTGGGCTCAAGTGATCCTCTTGCCTTGGCCTCCCAGTGTTCTGGGATTACAGGCATGAGCCATCATTCCTAGCCTATAATTTTCTTTTGAAACACAATTTTTTCCTCCAGCCCCCCATTTCTACCAGAGAAAATCATAGTAGGATTAACTTATTTGCAAAATAAATTTTAGTCTTATCATACTTGGCCTATTTGCATCAAGAATATTGATTGATCGTGTGGGCTCTTTTAAATCAGCTTTACTAAAAGATTTTCATAAGGAAAATGCGTAAGGAATCTCAGATTAGACTTTTGATATCAGTGAGGCTAGGAAGTCAAGCCAAGTATTTACCATCAGACTTTGCTTGCAATACCTGTATGAATTGGGTGAATTCCTCTTTTTTTGAGGTCCCAAAATAACTTGAGGTTCCTGGACCTGTCAGAAAGTGATATTCTGTACTTACCTTAGGTCTGGAACCTTGTAAAAGAACCATATAGACAAGGCACCAGACCAGTCTTTCCAAGGGGTTTCTTATTGGCTCCATAAAGTCAACCTCAGTTCCTTGAAGTAGTTCGTTTATATTTGAATATGTGCCATTCCAGTCAAAGCCTGAGTAAAATAAGAAGTCTGGCTAGCAAAAATGCCTTCATTATGTAGATGAAGCCTCCCTCAGAGGGAATAGGTGGTAAATGTTTCTTTTCAGACTTTGAAAGGTGTCAGACTCTCAGTCTCTCTGGGATCTGGGGAAAGGTGTAGAAAGGGGAGGGGACATTGCCGTATTAAGGTAGATTCTCTATGGCTGCAAATTTTTCCTACTTAAGGTAGCTTTGCAAGGCCACTTCTGCCTTATGCCCAAGCAGCAGCCATTTTAAAATATGTCAAAGAAATATATTTCAGGGTGATATATTTTAATTTTCTTTAAAAAAATCACATTTTATGCTTTTTAATAACCTTTCTTAACAAAAACAAATTTCCTGTACTTTATGTATAGAATTGTTTTTCTTATGTATAGGAGTTTTAATTTATATACTTATTATAATGTTAACTCTTAATAACACTTATTTTCAGTGAAAAAGATATAAGTAAGCCATTTTAATTATATAACAGATACAAACTGTAGGATAAAGGACAGAGCTATGAAGGCAATGCCTGGACAATCTGATTCCTCCTAGCATGGCCAAGATCCACACCCCAGCCAGGGAAGATAGGGCCTGGGTGTTGTCCCCAGGCCTTACTATGGTCACTTGTCTAAACCTCAGAGTTGAAAAGCTCACATCCAAAGATATAAGCTCAAAGACAAATTAAGCAGGTATGAGAAATATCACAGACACAACAATACTGTGACCTTAAAACATCTAGCAGAGATAGTATAAACCTGTCTCACTAAACAACCCAGGCCAAAATGTTGAAATTCTAAAGACATTTCTATTTTATTTTACCAACACTTTTAAAACTACCTTTATTTACCAAAGATTACTACAATTATTGGATTTGAAAAACATTTGGGATCATTTCTTTAATTTATGAATACTCATTTGTTTTGTAAGTCGATTTGGCATCATAAAGACAATATGTAAACATAGATGTATACACATATATGCATAGAAATACAGACAAACACAAATAATGACATGATAACCTTGACTTTAAAAGTTTAGCTGTGAGAAAGGTAAAACTCACTAGTTTGAAAGGACAGTTGGGGTCAGATGCGGTGGCTTAAGCCTGTAATCCCAGCACTTTGGGAGGCCGAGGCGGGCAGATCACCTGAGATCAGGAGTTCGAGACCAGCCTGGCCAACATGGTGAAACCCCATCTCTACTAAAAATACCAAAAATTTGCTGGGCGTAGTGGCGGGCGCCTGTAATTCCAGCTACTCAGGAGGCTGAGACAGGAGAATTGCCTGAACCCGGGAGGCAGAGGTTGAGTGAGCCAAGATCAAGCCATTGCACTCCAGCCTGGGCAACAAGAGCGAAACTCCATCTCAAAACAAAACAAACAACACGGGATTCAAACTGTGCTTTTGTGTAACTGGAAAAAGTAAAGTTTATCTGTTTCACATGATTGAAGCCCTTATGGAATTTTAGAGAAAACAGTGGCAAATTTACATCTCAAAGCACAGAGAGTGATGGAAAGTTTAAGCTTAAAGATGATTTTGTGTTAGTTAGAGGAAGATAAAGAATGATGCTAAGGTAGCACAAAATCACAGGAATTTACCATAGGGTTTTGTAAGAAGACCAGTTTCATTTAGATAGGTAGCTTTTAATTTGATCTCTTTCCCAACTGGACAACTGAGCTCAGGGTGGAGTCCATAAAGAAACAGAGCCAACAAAGTATTTGCAGTTTTTAGGGCCTAATAATGTAAACATGTGAAAAACATGCACAGCTGGAAGGCAGACCGTCTAGATCTTTAAAAAATAAAGAATTTCACTTTTACACGGAATCCTGGGTTCCCCACAAAAGGGAACCACCATGGGACTGGACAGAGCAATCCTTTCACAATGAAATTTGCTACAAAGACATTTCTCTAAGTGTTTAAATCATGCCTTTCTTATCCAAATGCACAAAGAAAGGAGTAGCCTCCTGTAGTAATAACCATTTACTGTAAACAACTGCTGTCAGCTACCTCCAAAACTGCAGCTCTCACCAGTGACTTGTCAGCCATCACAGATACAAAGGTCAAGTGTTCTCTCATAGTACAAAGTAATCTCTGGTACCCACAAAAGCCAAAGCGATCGGGTAATGTAATACAAAAGAGAGCAGAGTTTTAGACCTGAGATGAATCTGTCCATGACTTTAGACTCCTCAGGAAGACAGAAAAGGCAGAAGAGAGGTGAGTGGTGCCTTTTTTGTGTGTTCCTTAAGGGGTTTGAGTCATTAGACGTCCTCTGTAGATCCTTTCATGTGTACTTTAAAAGGCAAAGAGGAAGAAAGAGTAGAGATAAATAGAATTAATGGGAAAACAATTCATAAAACAAGGAAGCAAACAGAGGGACCAAACACGTAATTTTAAAAATGTTATTTGGGCACCTAAAAAAATAAAAAAATCCCCAAAACAGGATCCAAAAAGAGAAGAAGCAGAAAGTCCATTAAATACATATATTGAAAACTAGCTTTTAATTAAGCTGACTTCTGACTGTAGAGCTCCTTAAAAAAAAAAAAAAAAAAATCTTTTCAAATCTCTTATCAGATTTTAGCTAGGACAAACTGCCGATAACCCTGGCTTTTAAGTTCCTTTTTATGAAAGATATTCTCTGAAGTTAAATGGGTACCCCAAAATATCAAAGGTCACACAAATATCAAACCAAAATGGACCGCTCATATTAATGTGTACACTGGGAGCATCACAGTCCCCCAGTGGGGTACAGTTTTATACATTCTTGAGGTTACAGAAAGAATGGGGGCTCAGAACATAGCCCAAAACAGGTAATGGTGGTAAATCAGGTTATAGAGTCAAGAGGCTATGGGGGAGAGTGGAGCCTTGGCCAGTGTGTTAGTCTGTTTGCATTGCTATATAGGAATACCTGAGACTGGGTAATATATAAAGAAAAGAGGTTTATTTGGCTAACAGTTCTGCAGGCAGTAGAAGCATGGCACCACCATCTGCTTGGCTTCCGGTGAGGCCACAGGAAGCTTGCAATCATGGCAGAAGGTGGAAAGGGAGCCAGTTTATCACATGGTGAGAGAGGGAGCAAGAGAGAGAGGGAGGAAGTGCCAGGCTCTTTTAAACAATAGATCTTGTGTGAACTCTTGCTTATTTATTTATAAATATGACACTGAGTGCTTTCCATGACAATAACCTTAACATGTTGGATTTTCAGGGAAACTTGTTTATAGTGTACTGTAAAGCCTCGTTATGTTTGTCTTATTATCTTCATCTGATGAGCCTTCCAGATAGAGCAGGTTAATTACTTGCTGTATATTTTTATTTCTATATTACTTGCTCTAGTTTTTTAGTTTTGGTTATTTTTCGTTTCTTCATGTGTAATATTTTTTATGGTTTTTTACTTCAATTTGGGTCCTTGTAGATAATACCTTATAATTGTCAGTAATTAAATTCATGAGTAACATTTTCTTTCTTTTTACTTGTGTCTCAAGTAACAAATAAAATGAAACATGACTCAAGTCATGTTTCTTTTCAGAAACTAAGCAGGGTGTTAATAAATATTTAAAATATGTATTCTCTTCACCCCTTGTCCCCACTTTAGCGCTAAATTTCAAAACCAATGTGGTTCAGATTTTTATCCATCAAGAGTTGTTTTTCCGATTTTTATCCATTAAGAGATGTTTCCCAGTAGATTTGGTGTTACTCAGTTTAGAAGTATAGCCAGAGTTTTTCATTTTTTATTTTGTCCTCTTTACTGTGCCTTTTATCCAACTATTGCTGTAGAATATTGTTAAAATATAGCCTTTCTGACTTCTGTAACTAGACATAGGACTAAAGAGTTTTCATCCTGAGGTAAAAATATGTGTAAATTTTAAAAGGCTATCAAAAAATAAGCATATATATTTCACTCGTTTTGTGGTCATGATCTCATATACTTTTATCTTTTTCATCTCAGATTTAGTCCTTTTATTTGTGTAACTATAGGACATCTTTCTGCTAAAAACAACATATTTCATATCAGAGAAGGTAAATGTATGTTAGCCTTCTTTTAGGCATCTGAAATGGTTCTAATGAAAAAGCGTTAATGAGGAATGAGATAATAAATGTTGTGATTGGTTGAAGTCAAGATATGGTTGAGGATTTTCTTTCTGTACTTTCTTTTTTTGAGACAGAGTCTCACTCTGTCTCCCAGGCTGGAGTGCAGTGGCGCAATCTCGGCTCACTGTAAGCTCCGCCTCCCGGGTTCACGCCCTTCTCCTGCCTCAACCTCCCAAGTAGCTGGGACTACAGGCACCCGCCACCACGCCCGGCTAATTTTTTTAAAAATATTTTTAGTAGAGACGGGGTTTCACCATGTTAGCCAGGATGGTCCCAATCTCCTGGCTTTGTGATCCACCCGCCTCAGCCTCCCAAAGTGCTGGGATTACAGGCGTGAGCCTGCTTCTTTCTGTACTTTCTAAGGAACGTTTCTGTCGATTGTGCCCTGTAACTGTTAACTGACTTGCTATTGCTCACACTTTAATTTCTGGTAATAACTATTTCATTTTTACAATATTTTGTAAAGGCTTGAGATGTTAATAAGGAGCTTTTTGGGTATTCTTTCTTACTTCTTTACACTCTGTTACCTGAACTATCTAAAACTTTAGCTAGGTATAGTTAAGTATGAGGAAGATAGACACGTGGAATCTCAGTTGAATTCCATGTAGATAAGTGTTGCTGGCATAAACATAAGAGCAAAGATCAGTGCTCAGAATGCATTTGGAAATCATTCAGGCAAAGTGAAGTACCCATCACTTTGAGTAAATGAGGTTACCCAATTCAAGAGTGCTGAGGAAACATCACTAGCTTTATGTTAGGAAACTAAGAAACAATCCAGAAGATAGAGGAAGAACCAATCTGATGCTGCAGAGAAGACAGTTTCATGAAGGAATTATTTGGCATATTAGATTCCACAGAAGTTGTGCACATGAGATCCTGTGCTAGGCCTTTGATTTAAGAAATTTTGTGATTTAGGTAATTTTGTTGGAGTTGTACTCTAAACTAGATTATAACATACCAATAACATACCAATGAGTAAGTGAAATATGTAGAAGCAGGGATAGCAAGTGTAAATGATTTGGCCTTTACTCATGAATGAAAGGGGAAAATGCAGTATTCACTTCACGATAAAGTAGAATAAGGGAAGTTTGTTTTAGGATTTGAAAAACTTGAACATGAGGAAACAGAGAAAGAGACTAAGAGAGGGGAAAAGAAAGAGAAAGAGAGAAGGAGAATAAAGAAGACGAGGAGGAACAGGAGGAGAAGGAGGTGGGAAAGGGGACAGCAGGGGAGGGAATTGACATGGAATTAAGTTGGTTGTCAACTTAGATCTGGATTGAGATTGGCCCAAAGAGGAATCCATGCACTTCAGTGAAGTCATCCTCACAACTGGAGATCACAATCATGACATGAATTTTTCTTTCTAATTTCAAGTCTACACATGAGATGTGACCCAAATAGAGCTCTTGATTTTTCAACTGTTCTTGAGGCCTGAAGCAGATAGTTACTGTTTACAGATTATGCTCCAATGCCTTAAACCTGGAAGGTCAAGTGTAGTAGGGTCATGAAAATCTTAGTACTCACATTTCTACTGCTGAAACACAATACTAAAGTGCACATTTTGGCAACCAAGCCAAGAGTTACACTTTGAGAATTGCAGTGTGACAACTGAGTTCATCGCTGCAATGCAACCTGTACCTGATAGTGCCATTTGTATCTCAGTGAACATATACTGTTGTCACAAATTGTTCTTTTATTTTATCTCAAGGTGCTTTGGATTGCAGTTAGTTGAGATAGCATTTTCTCCATCAAGAAACTGTGTTTATTTGGTTTTAAAAATGAAAGTGTTATGGCAATGTCTTATCTGCTTCATCTGCAAAATTCCTGAATTTAAAAGATTTGTAGAACTTAAATAAACTCTTTTACACCAAAGAGTTTCTTTAACATCCTGCTGCAAATTAAAATTGCAGTTCCCAGTGGTAGTTACATGGTAGTGGGTATTCTGGGTTTAGGCCTCTCTACTTTAGAGGGCCTTTATGCTCTGCTGCACTCTCGAACTATTCAGCCTTAAATTATCTTAATCTCACTAGTCAAGATAATAAGGACTAGGGTTAGTAAAAACTGTCCAAAGCAAACTGTGTATTTTTAATTGACATTAACTTGGATATCTTTATATCTATGTTTTCAGAAATGCTGAGATCCTTGCAATTGAGGTTTGGTTTACCCTAATCAGTTTACACTAATGAGTACTGTTTTGATTTATGCAATGGAAACAACAGTAAGAAAAGCAGATGCATCTTGTGAGATGGGTTTGAAGCATTCGTAGTGATAAGGTATACCCTTATTAAGTAAACCCTGTTGGGGACTTAAAACAGTATAATTTTTCGGTTTTCATTTTATAGCAATTTAGTTCTTCATGGTATTATCAAAAGGTCTTTGCATTTGCCAGTATGAAATATAAGATTTTTAGTAATAGTGAAAAACTGTTGAAAATATATTTAAGAGTTAATGCCTCTGAACCTAACAGTGGTTTTTAAAGACTACCACACTTTGTGTAGATTAATGCAATCCTGAAGGAAACCATCATTAACCTGATCAGAGCCTTAAGATTACATGTTAGTGGATCTTTTGTAGAATTAGGCTTTGCAGGACATTATTGGTTCTAATGGAATGATAGAGTGAACATATTAATTTTTGATGAGTTTTCTAACATTCACAGGCTCATTTACAAATCTGCTACATGAAGAAATACTTCTACTTAATATGATGTTTTAATGCATATTATTTTAATTTGAAATATATGCCATGTGTCCAGAGAAACAACTTAGGACAGCAATAGAGGAAGAATCAACCAACTAACTTAGATAGGTAATTCTCTTTGTAAGACTGTTTCTACAGATTAGTTTTGTTATTTGACCACTGGAGTGCTGTCTAGCTTCAAAATAATTACAGCTAGTAGTCTGGAATATAAAGTGAAAAAAAATCCGTTATCAGCACTATAGAACTTTGTTTCAGGCATCTGCATGAGGAAGGTTTTGAAATTAGAAAGATATATGTAAGGAGTTGTCAGCTCTTATTTCTTCCTCCAGCTGTGTGGGGCATGACACCCTTTGAAACCAAGAAAAGTTAAGACGTTTTCTTCACCAACTGTAACCAGGCTATGGGGAAGGAAAATTTTCCTTTCTTCCCTGGATCAGCAGGAAGTTTACCTCTGTGGTTTCCTGACTTGCAGGTTATAGAATCATGCTTTTTAATGAGTATAATTTCCTTTGTGACTTCTTCCTGTGAGTTCTTACTTTTTATTTATGCCTACTGTTGGCCTGATGCATATACACAAAAACACATTAACAGAGATAACACAAAATTATTCTTCAAAAATGATTGTTCCTTATTGTTTCATTGCACATAGATAGCACTCATATTCCATATGTTGTTTGACTTAAAAATAGTATATCCTTAATGTTCCTATTTTTAAAATAAAATATGTATTCTAGAGTAGCCTCGCCATAAGCCGAATTGTTGAATCAAATGCTAGTCTCCTAAATCTTTGATATCCACCTTTTCAATACAGTGCCACTTATTTAGAGGGGAAAACAAATGATATTATGGTTTCAGTTGACAAGATTCAGTTGTAAATTTTAGGGCATGTTCTCTGGGTAGTTTTTCTTATTTCTCCTAGCTCTGCCCCCAAAATAACATGTCTCATGGATCAAAATATTTCTTCCTGTAGACTGTGAGGGGTGTGTGTATGTTTGTGTGTGTATGTGTGTGAAAGTGTTACACTCACAACTTCAAGCACTTGTTTTAACAGAATTATCTTATGATCTTGTTTCCAGCCAAATAAGATGTTCTCTAAATGTTTTCTTACATCAATTCCAAGGCCAGGAGTATTCTAATCACCCCATTAGCTAGCACTGCTGTACAAGTTTGATGTTTTTTCCTTCATTTTTGTTTTAAACTGTGTCAGTGTTTCCATTGTAAATGCTATTTTACAGGCATCCATTGCACACTATAGGTTGTAAACATTCATTTTGGGCTAACACTTGTCAGAAAAAGTCTGTTAGAAATTAGGAGTATTGGCCGGGCGCAGTGGCTCACGCCTGTAATCCCAGCACTTTTGGAGGCTGAGGCGGGTGGATCACGAGGTCAGGAGATCGAGACCATCCTGGCTAACACCGTGAAACCCCGTCTCTACTAAAAAAATACAAAAAATTAGCTGGGCATGGTGGCACGCGCCTGTAGCCCCAGCTACTCAGGGGGCTGAGGTGGGAGAATCGCTTGAACCCGGGAGGTGGAGGTTGCAGTGAGCCGAGATTGCGCCACTGCACTCCAGCCTGGGCAACAGAGCGAGACTCCATTCCCCCCGCCCCCCCCCCAAAAAAAGAAAAAAAATAAGAAAAGAAATTAGGAGTATTTAGATTTTATGGGTATAAAGAGTACTTTTTGGGGGACTAGTTTTAACAAAGTTCTTTGACTCAAAGTTTTTGATGATGGTTTTCTGAGAAGTGACTTTTGATATTCCGTAGAATAAGTATGTCAAAATATTTAACTGAAAATCAGTGTTATTTGTGTATTTTAATTACTGTACACTTTTATGAAACATCTTAGATCCATAAGCAAAAATTAACAACTTTGTGATAATTTCATATACGCAATAAAAGGCAAAGTTTTTTTAAGTAAAGAATCTAAAAAGTGATAGTCTATTAAAGCAGCTGGATTTTTTCAAATACTTTAGGCTATCTGAAAGTATGAGTGAATATGAAATGTCAATACATTAAGTTTAAAAGAGTGAAGTAGTGAAGCAGCTGTTAACTGTCAATAAATGTCCAAGCATGATGACCAGAAAAGAAATCTGCAATTTGAGGATATGTGCTGATACATAATGGAGATCTCACCACACGATTTGTTAGATGATAAAATGTATTTCAGAATGATGTGCTTAGCCTGTAACTTAGAATTGGCTATATTTTTATTTTTCAACAGGGAGTGACAAATATTTATGAATGTAAACTAAACCTTTGTTACTTGTCCAAATGTTGAATCAGTTTCAATTCTCCTATTAAGCTATGCACAGTACAATAGGGAAATATGTAGGAGCAGATCCAAGTTTATTGGGCCTTTCACTTTTATACTTGCCCTCCACCCCTTAAGAAATCATATAAAAAACTACAAATACAAAGTTGGGTTCTAAACGTGCAGTAGTCTTAATTATAGTTAAAATATGAAAAATGTACAAACACAAACGACCATGTGAATCCAGTGCTAGGACATCTCTCAAGCCTTAGAAATAGCCCGCACAATCTAGAGGCCCTCAAGCTCATAGATTATAGAAACTGACTTTCTAGTAAATATATTTATTCTGTTAAGTTTTTGTTTTCTAGTTATTTATAGTAGTAATTTGTCTCCTTTTAACTTTAGGAGTGTTTTTTGCCTGTTTGTTTATTTACTCAGTGTTTGTTGAACTCCTCCAATTTGTGAGGTTCTATGCTTACTAATCGGAACAAAATGATATAGTGCCCAGAAGGAAGATAGAAGTATACATATAACAACAACAACAAAAATACGAAGTAGATATTAAGTCTGTTTTACATGTCTCAGATAATACCATATACTGTTAGGGTCATTAACAAAGCCCATATTGTTACGATAACAAGTTTTCTTCTATGTTGTGTAAATTATTAATGACATTCATCACATTTCCTTTAGAATATTCATTCAACAAGCAAACTACATTCTAGAGTATGTCTTTCAGTACATTTATTTAAAACTACTGTAGATTCAGGTTTATATAGTACTGTGACCTTGCTTTATTATAAATATAAGAAGAAAATTAATAGTTCATTTTCAAAAAATTTTATTTGTAGAATGTATTTTTGCTTTAAATTTTTATTTAGCTTTTACATCTAAATGCTTAGTGCTCATTTTCAATATTCAAAGACTTTAATTTCAGATAGAATTTTCTCATATTTTTATAGACATCAGAAATTCATACTGTAAAGGCACATCTATTGTATTTCGAAGAATTGAGAATAAAAGTGAGTAATTAATATATCCCATTTCAGGTAAACATTATAATTATAAAAACAACTGATTTTAAAAACTTGTGAAAATATGTAAGTTTATAGAAAAGATAAAATAATAAAATGGAGGAAAATTATAATTATTTTCCTTCTAAAATGATACATTATGAAAAGAACGTTTTAATGTTTTGGCTCTGCCCTCAAATTTAGGTACAAATTATACACTTGAAACCTATTTTACATGTCCTGCATTAGTTAGAAAAATTCACAAATAGTTAATAAAAGAGATAGTGTTATAGTTCTCAAGAATTATCTAAGTTGTTTGAAGTCATTTATATTAAAATTATAATAATTTTTATAAATTCTTTCATTTTAAGTCTTTCAATAAAGGCAATAAGGTTATATACATGTATTAGTTCATAACAAGTACATATCCCAAACTTTTTATGTCAAAAAAGATACAATGCTAATGTGGGCGTTTAGTTTATATGTTATAGAAATGAATATTAATAGTTGTTGTATTCTGGATATTTTAAATGTCCTTTCTTTAAGCCAACATAGTGCCATGGTTAATAACAGTACAAATTAGCTGAGTTTGAATAATCTCTTAGATTTCATGACCTTCTTTATAATCAATGTCATGATGTCTCTTTTGTCCCCAGTAAAGGTATTTTGGGTTAGGATTCTGACATTTGAAAGCCTAGGTCTACCCACTTACTCTTCCCTCCTTCTTCTTCTTAGCTTTTGGAGAATTTCTTATCAGGAGGGGAGTCCATGAAAATCCCTTCCATAAACCTAACCTTCGATAGTCCCCTATTCCCTTATGAAGCCATTTCCTTCCCCAGGTACTCATGTACCATTAGTTTTGGGGGTTTTGTTTTGTTTTGTTGACAACCATCGCTTTCCTATGTGAGACTCTGTTGGAAATTTTAGGATTTCCGGTTCAGATAGTCCTGGTTGTTTTATTTTACTCTTTTTACAGTTTCTTTTTGTCTCATCAACTCTTGCTTCAGAGTTAGGCGGAGAGAAATTTTGCCTGGAAACTCCAAGGTTACTTGGGAAAGGAGACTCTTTTAAAACCCAAGTCCAAAACGTTTTCTTTCATGTTGGACCTAATTCATTTCTTGTTTTCTCATCTATCAAGCAGTATACTCCATGTGACTGATGGTCTTATTTTCTAGGGATCTGTAATCAATCATACACCTTGAATTATTAGCCTTGAGAATAAGAAGGCAACTAGAAGCAGAATTTATTAATTTTGAATTGTCTTCCCTTCTGTAAAAATTCATGGTAAATCATTCCATAGTCACAACGTACAAGGGATTAATTGCCACGTTGTGATTGTGAATCCAAGTTTTTACCACTGATAAAATGTGAGAACAATTTGGTAATATCTTTCCAAATAAAAAGTGTACACTTTTTGACACAGAAATTCCATTGTAGCTGTTTAAACTCCTACATGTGTAAAATAATATTTAAGGATGCTTCCTGTATGTGCTTTGTATGTCCTACGTACATGTTAAAACTTAAAACTTCTATATATGGAAAGTTAAGAAGCAAAACATGAAAACAGCATGTATGCTATGCTCTTATTAAAGGGGAGACAAATTGTATATATACATACATATGTACATATCATACCCATATACATACACACACATACATACACACACATGGCATATATTTGCAAATTCACTCGTTGCCTCTGAAAAGTCATTTAAGAAATTGCTAATAGGGTAGCCTCCAAGGAAAGAAACTGAGCTTCTAGGGATAGAAGAGGGAGAAAGGTAGACTTCATTTTCATTCTCTTAACTGTTGTAGCTTTTATATGTAATGCCTATCTTAATAAAAAAATAAAATATCTAATATTAAAATTAAATTTAAAAAGCTAAAATTAAAAAGCAGTGGCCCAGATGAGATCCTCTGCTGGAAGGAAGCTGCAGGAAGGCCGTCCCAGATGAGATCCTCTGCTGGAAGGAAGCTGCAGGAAGGCTGTCCTAACTGTTTAGCCTAGGAACTGTGAGATAAAATCACCAAGCCCTTTAGTTCTAACTCTGCCCATCAGGCAAATTCTGTACTATAAATTTCTGAGTGGGTGAGAATAACTAATCTGACAAGACTAGCAATTCAGCTTGCATTACAATAATGTTTTATTCTAAAATTATAAAGTCACATTATAAAGGAGTTTGGTTTTCATGAGTTTATCCCAGAGAGGCTTCTCAATTTCTCTATAAGAGCAAAATCATTTCTGGAGTGCAGAGGTAAGACTAGGCCCTGACTGTAGTGACCTGGATAAGTGCTGCCATTGAGAGGCTCTGCAAAGCTGCTGGCCAGCACCCTCCCTTGGCATCTCCATCCCTGCTTGTAGCAGGGATGAATATACATGTTCACCACTCATCATGGTCTCCCCTACTTTAGATTTTAGTTTCTTTTCTTCAGTTTTTATTTCACAGACTGAAATGAGCTCAAATCCCAAGAGAAGTGGGAAAATGACTGCTCATTATCTACATTACAAATTGTGAAATTATTTCTCAGAAAGTGAAACTTGATGGACTCAGAAAATTATCTTTATGCAGAATAACTCAGAATAGAATAAAAAGTACAGTAAGTGATTGACTGACATAAATATAGGTGTGCCTGCAATATATATTAATAAACAGGGCCATAATGTTAAGGGGTCAGAAGCTATTTCATTTTTAAAATATCGAGTGAAAGTTATATTCATAATTATGAATATTTAAACAGTATTATTGCTTCTCAATATATAACACATGCAAACATACCACATCATTTTTATTACCAAAAAGGAAAAAATAATTAAAACTATAAAAAGCTGTTCTTTAGTGTCATGTTAATGTGTCTTTGTTATTGCCATTTATCTCCAAGAGATAATATGAAAAAGAAATTGAGAAATAATGCATCAGCAGATGATAAATTTTATTCAAAGCAAATTTTTTTTAAATCACTGTTGTTTTTTTCATCCAAGAAAACAAAAAACAAGAAAGATACATCTATTATAAATATCTGTTTTGTATTGATATCATTTTAAAAATAAAAGCTTGCATTTCCCCATGGATTTTCAGTTTAGCTTACCTTTTTATATGATTTCTGTCTTACTTGATTTTTTAAACATAAGGAAGATTTTTACTCATTTTAATGAATGTATATATGAAGGACTGTCTTCCTTTCCAATATACACTTCTATGTTACTTCCCTTGTGAATCTGAGGAATTCAGAATAGTAGTTCATAGATTGGGTTTCTTGTTTCTCTACATGGTAAAGGTATTACAGCAGGCTGAGGGTGGGAGAGCTGCAGCAGAGAGAGATTGACAGTTCTGGTTTTTGAAAGCCACGCTAAGGTTAGGTTACTGGATCGTTATGATCTTATACTGTACTTGGAAATACCCAAGACTTTCCTGTAACTAATATGAGACCAAATCCTTGGATAGTTGACAAGGTTAGTTATTGGCTTCTCTGTAAGTTTAGATACCAAGACACTATGGTGTCTCCTTTTCTTGGAGCACTCCAAATAAGACTGCCACTGTCATTTCTCACCATTGGGAACAGTCTGTAGGACAAATGCTGAATCTCTGAGTTCAACAGTGCCTCCTCTTTGTACATTTAGGAATGTCAGCTTTCCATTGTGAGAGGTTACAGAAGTTTTAACAAGACAAAAAAAATGAACTTAAAAAAGAAAAACACATGCTTGGGTATAAACTACTTCTTGACATAAGTGAAAAGAGCATGATATAATATTGTATTTCTACTATAATAGTGTATGAGATAAAAGTGAGAAAAAAATACAAAAAGAAAACAGTAAAAGTAAATATATAAGAAGTGACCAGCAACTGCACTAATACTCATAGTATTATTTGTTCTCTCTTTTCACTTTGCCGAACTTCAAATTTTCTTTTATGAACCCATATTATTTACATAATAATGAGGTGAAAGGAAAGCTCTCTGCTTTGGAAATCTGATAATTTTATCTTGTTTATGTTTTTGCAGTTACTTCTTTGTGCAGTTACTTCTTCTGATACTCTGTACATTTATGGATTATATGTCGAAAAGACAGAAAAATAAGCCATAGAAATGAAATAAATACAAGAAAAATTTTTAATGAATGGTTTATTCTCCAAAAAAGTCATGAAAATTGCTTTAGCGTTTAAATTCCTAGGTTTAAAAACTGTTAAGTTTTATTAGAGTAGGAAGTTTATATATTTAATATGTTTCCTATAGTGTAGAATTCAGTTCACTCCCAGCTACAATTGTTGGTGATTATTATTTATGACTTCCTTTAGAGATTCTCTCCTCATTGCTTTCTTTTCCATACTTAATAGAATAGTCAACTATAATAGTTGTTGGAAAAGTTTTGTGTTCTTTTTAATTGATATCTATACTATTAAAGATATGAATTTTGCATGGATGGATTTCTAGCCTCATGTTAGATAGTCCTCGTATCCATGACCACAGAAGCATGATGTCTATATGCTAATATGCTTACTTAATCTTTAATACATTATATTTTAATAATATAGGAATGCCAAGCTACGGAAGAGCAAATGAAAAGGTCATTTTTTATTCATGTACTACTGAATGTACCTTCTGCTTGTAGCTCATTATAAAAGCAGTTGAGCCCAACTTTTTAAAAGTGGAAAGCATACGAAATTAAACCACAAGTTTCGCAACTGATGTTCCTTTTGTAAAAGGAGTCCTCTCCATCTTTTCAATTTTATTTATTCTGACTGCTTGTTACTCATTTGTGCTTCTCTCTTCTCTGTTATACTCAGAATTTGTAATCCCATTTTAAGCAGAAGGCTGCCACTTTTCATCAGAGGAGCGGCAATAAATACGCATCACACTTATGTATGCGGGCTTTCATCTGGGGAGCTCAAAGTGTTTTATGCATAAGTAGTATTTCCCTTGGCTTTTTTTTTTTTAAGTACAAAAAATGAAGCCTAGAGAGCTTAAATCACTAAAAGAAACCCAAACCTGTAACAACAAAAGTCATGGTTTTAATTAAATATATATACCTGTGAAAATACTGAGGATTCTTGGACCTAGATATCAGTTTATATACTTCTCTTGACGAGTAACAAAATTGTGGAGAGTAGAAATAGGTACTAGTGCATTCTTGTCATAATCCAGTTACGAGTAATGGTGGCATAACAAAAATGAGCTCTAACAAAGCCTAATTTTACAGACCTGACTATTCGTTTAATACTTTTAAATATCAAAATTATAAAAATATTGAGTGGGAAAAAGTGTTGTCAGGGTCAACTTTTGAACGATTTGTGACTGTGGTTGAGAGGGCCAGAGAAAGGGCAGCCTGTGGATGGGGTCTGGCCAGGGCAGCAGGAAAGGCTGGTTCTGGAAATGAGCCTTGTGCTCATTTTCTCTCTTCTCTTCCTCTTCTCTTTTGCCAAAGGCATAAATCATCTCATTGGTACTAAGAGAAATGTGGATAATTATTTGTAAGAGCTTGAGTAAGAGATTAATAGGAAATAAGGAATTTTTTTTTTCTTTTTTTTGTATGGGGTTTGGCTCTTGTTACCCAGGCTAGGGTGCAATGGCATGATCTCAGCTCACTGCAACCTCAGCCTCCCAGGTTCAAGTGATTCTCCTGCCTTAGCCTCCCGAGTAGCTGGGATTACAGGCATGCACCACTATGCCTGGCTAATTTTTGTATTTTTAGTAGAAACGGGGTTTCTCCATGTTGATCAGGCTGGCCTTGAACTCCTGACCTCAGGTGATCTGCCCACTTTGCCCTCCCAAAGTGCTGGGATTACAGGCATGAGCCACCATGCCTGGTCAGGAAAATTTTTTTGAATTAAAAAACCCAGATCATCTTGCTGGCAAGATGTCTGGTTGTTGGCCTGTGGTTCTCCCCCTGCATTACACTGCATCTGTGGGGAAGGGCCCCAGGGATGTAGAAAATCAAAGGAATGGGGACTAAGAACGTCTTTTTTCCACTTTCCCTTTTGGTGGTGGTGTGCGGATTGATGTAATACATGCATATGGAGGTGGCAGTGAAAGGACTCTGGGAAGTTTGGTTTACACTGAGAAGGGAGGCCATAGGATTGTGTGTGGGAGGGGGGGATGGAATGAGAAAAGTTAAAACCAGGGAAGACAGGGTCTGAGAGAGAGTTCTATGGGAACTGAGAGATTTAAATATACTGGTTAGAAGTTGTTGATTTTCTAGGATGAATGGGACTTTAGGAAGATCACTTTCTGAAAAAGGTTTTTTCAGAAGTGTAACTAGACAATAAGAGACTAGTGGCTACATAGAGTACTACTTGATAAGAGATTACTGAACTCACTGGCATGTGACACTTTTTGCCTGGTGTAAAAAATATATCAAAAAGTGCTATATGTCCCATGTACTAATTTGAGATGGCTGGTTGAGAACAAATGACATAAAATAATAAACAGATTGGCTGAACAGCAGAGGGATGGTGACACAATCTCACTGCCTCTTTACCATGTGTAATCCAACCGGAGTAATTTCTTAAATAATATAATTACTTAATCAACTCTAAAATAAACTTTCTTCTCCATTTAGCTGAAAAATAGTGTGAAGCAGAAGTAGTAATACCAATCAATATATTTTTAGTGGTGATATATCTATATCTATATATATATGTACACATATGTGGAATAGAGATATTTAGATAACATGTAGATTTGTACTTAGTATAATATTACTACAAATATAGAAACTTCAAATGTCCTGCTGAATATATATATTCATATGTTTTATATATATTCAGTAAATGAATATGTAAATATATATATTCAGGATATATAGGTTTTTATATATATTCAGTATATAAAAACATATTCAGTGTATATTTATATATATTTATATGCTGAAAGTGTATATATAATTTATATACATTTCCACTAGAAAAACCGCTTTAAAATCACTCTCTATGTAGGTATGATGAAAAACACTTAATTTTTCCCCCAAGTTATCCATATAAAATTTAGAAATACTCCCGAGTGTTGTAAATGCCTGTTAATACAGTAGTTGTAAAATTGTACGTGTATTAGCAAGGAAACATAAACCTGCCTGGAATAAACTGTAAACCATGGAATATCAGACACCTGCCTGATATTCTCACTACAAACATTTCGTGGTCAAAATTGTCTTCTGACGATGATGGTCATTTGGAGAACAAAAACAGCAAAGCAAGAGGAGAGAACAAGAGTATCCTGAGGCGGTCTCCTGCAGTGCTCATAGCTGTTCCTCCTTAGCCTTCCACCTGGTGGCCCTGGACTAGACCTCCAGAGAATTCCAGGTTGTGCAAGATGGGTTGCCTCTGAAATGCCATCCTGCTGAGGCACCATTGTCAAGTCTGGTAATGAGAGGGCAGCAGGACAGCCACTTTCTAAGATCTTATGATCTTGGAGCCAGTTCTCAATCCCTGTAGACTCTAGCTTCTTCATATGTTAATGGAAAGAGATGATAACTCCTAAGGCCTCTGTCAGGTCTAATATTCAGAGATTTAGTCTTATCCTCCTTGGAACTGTTTCTTGTCTATACCTTTAGAATAATGTACCACAGGTCTGAACCTTGAGAAAAAGCAGTAAAGGTTTCACTCTGTGGTAATTGTTGCACAGGAATAGCACAGTGCAGTCCATACTCAGATTATTTTCAGAGTCAAGTCTGAAACATCAGAAGTTGTTCTATGGAATATTAATAGGTCTTATACTTGGGAAACAGTAAATACCAAGTGAAACGAGCCTTTGTTCCGCAATACTGCTCAGAGCTTTTTCTATGGTCATATATGCATTGTGACCCAAGGATCTGAGGGTTCCAGAATGATTTGAATGAAGTCTACCTGTTTTGTGCAGAAAGTCTCTACATTCTGGGAAATGATGATTTGGGCTCTTCTCAACCCACAGACATATTCAGCTAAACAATCATCAAATATACTGAGTGTTCCTCTTGCTAAAATCTGCCCTTCTACTAGCTTGCTTTAGCTTTGAGGGGCAACTTCTGTAGAAGTACCTCAAGGCATTGGGCTATGAATTCAGTGTTAGGAAGAAGTGTAGGAATATCAGAATAAATAATTACAGTACAGACCTGGCCCAAATTCACCTGCATTTCAGTTTCATTCTCCTTTTCTTTCTGAAACTCCGTCTTTACTAAAATACAAAAAATTAGCCGGGTGTGGCAGCATGTGCCTGTAATCCCAACTA
This sequence comes from Homo sapiens, assembly GCF_000001405.40. Taxonomy (NCBI): domain Eukaryota; kingdom Metazoa; phylum Chordata; class Mammalia; order Primates; family Hominidae; genus Homo; species Homo sapiens. The sequence goes on along the minus strand of NC_000005.10, from coordinate 108,058,612 downwards.
CTCGGGAGGCTGAGGCAGGAGAATGGCTTGAACCCAGCATGCTGAGGTTGCAGTGAGCTGAGATTGGGCTACTGTACTCCAGCCTGGGTGACAGAGCAAGACTCTGTCAAAAAAAAAGAAAAAGAAAGAAAGAAAGAAAAGGAGAGAGAGAAGAAAGAAAAGGAGAGAAGAAAGAAAGAGAAAGAAAGAAGAAAGAAAGAGAAAGAAAGAAGGAAAGAAAGAATCCATGTAGACTGTAGAAAATAGTAAGAGTGCATATCTTGGCTTTGAAATTATTTCTAAATGTAAGATGTTCCTCTTCGAGAAAGGAACTTTGCAATCACATTTACCTCAGTTTAAATCTGCCACTTAGATATAATAAATCAGACCACTATCAAACCGAACCTCTGTTTCTGCAGTTGTAAAACAGAGATGGTCAAATGGTAAAACAAACTGATATTGTGAAGAATTAGCTAAGTAAATACTTAACAGATTACCATTACTACCGAGTGTTCACTAATGTTAGGTAACTTTATTCTTTCATTGTCTAGCAGGTGGTCCTAGAATTAGGAATCTAGTAACTTAGTCTCATTCCTTTACTAATTCATTGCTACTTTGCACAACATAGAATATTGTTGGCCTTGGGACTTAAGTTCTCTCTAACTCAATTCCTTCATTCGTCAAATGAAGATAAAACCACCTCACGTGGTGTTTTTTATGGATAAACTGAAATAACAGATGTGTAATTAATTTTGAAAGTTTCAAAAAATGTGCCAGTTAATCACACTTATTCTTAGTAGTGGTAAAATTATTATTGACTATTAGTCTGACAGAGGGACTTTTTGTTTCTAGTAAAATAGCTATTGTAATGGGATTGCTGAAAGAGCACACTATTTGAACAAAATCCCTTAGGACGGATTTAAGAAAAAGTACAGAGCCTCTTGTTTTCCATCTTACATGGGAAGGTTTATATACTTTTAAACATTTGTATACAAGTTCTTTCATCTTCAGCTGCACAACTGTAAGAGATTTAGAGTTTTTGAAGATTGTGCATTTAATTTGTAGCTGAATTGTGTACAGATCAAATCCATGCATCAGAAAGGCTCCAAAAAGAAAATTTATAGAGCTTGGGGAGATGGAGTTAACAATTTATAAGTCTTTGGGACCCTTAAATGGGAAAGATGTGAAAAATGTGTTTTTGAGAGGCTTAAAAACTACATTTTTAGAACTCTGGGAAACTGTCTTTAAATTCCTACATGAAAATCATACTATTTCTTCTGTCATGCTTAAGATATGTCATTAAATCTATTAATTTCACAACACAAATATATTATTGGTATTACAGTTTTGCTCTGGCTATTTTAATGTGTTTTCAAATTAATTTCTGATGTGAACTTTTAGTAGTTTGGCCCAAAAATTTAAGGCATTTTTTTGTAAACTAGATTATTCTGAGACATGTATTATATTTATCTTACATTATATCAAACACTTTTTACTTAAATTTTTCATTTAAATAGTTAACCTCTTTGAATAGAATAATGTTTTTGAAGTCATTTGCAAAATGCTTTTGGATGCAAAATGCTTTTGGATGCTTTTGGATGCTTTTTGTTAAATCTCTATTCTTTTGAACATTTAGGAGAAAGGTCCAGATTACTGGGCTATGTCTCTAACGACCTGGCTGCTTATTCTGTCTATTGCAACTGTCTATTCATAGTTCACTTTCCAAGTGAGAATAGTTAGGTTGGCATTTTATAATGTCCTGTAGGAGTTAAGTGTGTATGCAGAAATGGTCTTAAAATTGTATTTTTGAGAAAAGCTGTCCAAACATGTAAATTATTGTCCCATCTAAGATGTGCTTAAATTGGTGACATTTCAAAAGTTCATGGACTAGGTGTCTATTTTTATTCCATTAATGACGGCAGAGAGTGCTCCTTAGCTAGTTTTCTAGGAGGTCATCATAGAGTATATGAACTTCTATATTGTTTCATTTGTAGTCACAGCACTGTCTCAACACTGTGGCTGCCTACATCTCACTGAGAGGTCATCATTTCTTATCTGCATCAATATATTAGGGTTGACTACTTTATGTATTTGTAAAACTCATCACCAGTTGGCTGGGGTGATAGACCCAGCATATGCACTAATCTTGTCTCAGATCATATTAGGGTTTTCTATTTTGCACATAACCAATCACAGAAAGGGAGTGAACAAAACTAGAAAACTAATTACAGACAAATTATTCCCCACTACCTGTTGTAAGAAACACAAGCTTTTGTAGTTCAAAGACTTACTTTCACTGCAGGTGTGTGCTGTTCTGCAACTCTTTGTAACACTTGAGAGGCAAGTCTCTGACCAGAGGCTTTGGCTTCTCTCTGATAGGCAGTTGCCAGGGAAATTATTAGTATTTACATCCACAAGGCAACTAAAGGACCATCACAGACACCCACCTACGAATCAAGCTACCATGGCCTTTACCCCAAAGGAATGTGTGTAGGGTATAAAAGAATTAATAGGAATATTTTGACTAGATAGATAACTTTATGTTGGATAATCAGTCATGTTGAAAAATGCTATGATATATATAAATAGTTTTAGAAAGCTACCTCTGATTATTTTCCATGTATTACATCAAAGCCAGTGGCAGGAAGGTATGTGATTCCATGTAGGTCTTAGTCTCTCTATAACCTTGATCATCATGAACTTTTTATTATTTTATTATTATAAGTCTTTACTTTCAAACTAAGCTAAAAATGACATGAGGACTAGACTTTTTTTTCTTTTTTCTTTTACAGAAGAGAACTAGGAAGTGCACTTGAAAATCTTATAACAAGGGAGGAACTTTTTAAAGATTTATTTCTCCAGGTGAAGAATAACAAAAGATAATTTTTAAGGCTGAATGTCCAGTTCTAAATTTTAAAAATTCATTTTTTTCATTATAGTTCATATACCTTTTATTTTACAAGCATGTGGAACCATTTTTATTTTGAAGGGTTTTTTCTCTCTTTTTTTTTTTTTTTTTTTTTTTGAGACAGAGTCTCGCTGTGTCGCCCAGGCTATAGAGCAGTGGCACAATCTTGGCTCACTGCAAGCTCCACCTCCCGGGTTCACGCCATTCTCCTGCCTCAGCCTCTCGAGTAGCTGGGACTACAGGCGCCCACCACCATACCCAGCTAATTTTTTGTATTTGTTAGTAGAGACGGAGTTTCACTGTGTTAGCCAGGATGGTCTCAATCTCCTGACCTTGTGATCCGCCCGCCTCGGCCTCTCAAAGTGCTGGGATTACAGGCATGAGCCACCGTGCCCGGCCTGAAGCGTTTTTCTTTTTTTTTTTTTTTTTTTTTTTTTTTTTTTTTCTAAAAATTCTATGTCATTTAAAAATCTGTCACCAGCAGTCTAAATTTTAAAAGTCATCTTGGAGAATACTCATCTGGTAATAATACTGTAGCATATTATCAATAATAATGTTATTTTATTATTTAAAAAACAAGAGGAACAATATTGAATTTAAAAATTCATATCGTTCTGTTATTTTATTGAAGATGAAAAATTTTTAAAAACCCTTGGAATTCAAATGACATTATTACATGCTTGGCATTCAAGAGTTTTCAGTGTCTTTAAAACTCTATGACAAACTTGTACTTTGAGGAAGATAGAATAGGCATACTTTTTCCTATTACCTCCACTAAGTACTGCTAAAATCCCAGACATCACCTATCAAACAAACATAAGAAGACTCTAAATGGGGAAGAGAAGAGGCAGACTAACTAGGGAACTTGGGACCTGACGAACAACATGGTGGTAAGCTCCCTGGATTTTCTTTTTGTTTCATATATCCCAAACTTGGAGGTGAATAAGCTGGCAATCTAGAGACAGCAATGGGCACAGACAGAAATGCTCCAACAAAAGCCTGCTTTCTGTAGCCAAAGGATGAGGAAAGGACAGCCTTATAAGAGAAAAATCTTTTAGATAATAACCACTCTATTCCAGGCAAGCACCACAGAAAAATTGTGACCCTACTCTTAACCCATTCAGCAAAGGCTGACTAGGAGCACAGCTGCAAAGGGAAACCTCAGTTAACCCCACTGTGGTTTTAGCAGAGAAGGCCAAACAGGGAGTTGGAGCTTCCACTTCTGCCAGCTAGCAACTATCTGCCATACATACCCCACATGCAGAGCTGTCAGTGGAAACTCTGTGAGGAGTCAGGCTCTATAAGGAGCCTGACTTCCACCACTGCCCAGCAGTAATGAGGTGACCCTCCTTTTCTTCCTGGAGTCTTATTGGAGGAGGTCTAATGCTAAAAAAACCCATAACTGTCAACTCAGAATTTTATACCCAGTGAAAACACCCTTCAGGGATGCAGAAGAAATAAAGACTTTTTTTTTTTTTTAATTTTTATTTTACTTTACGTTCCGGGATACATGTGCAGAATGTGCAGGTTTGTTACACAGGTACACATGTGCCATGATGGTTTGCTGCACCTATTGTCCCATCCTCTAAGTTCCCTCCCCTCTCCCCACACCCCGCAACAGACCCTGGTGTGTGCTGTTCTTCTCCGTGTGTCCATGTGTTCTCATTGTTCCACACCCACTTATGAATGAGAACATGTGGTATTTGGTTTTCTGTTCCTGCATTAGTTTGCTGAGGGTGATGGCTTCCAGCTTCATCCATGTCCCTGCCAAGGACATGATCTCATTCCTTTTTACGGCTGCATAGTATTTCATGGTGTATATGTACCACATTTTCTTTATCAAGTCTATCATTGATGGGCATTTGGGTTGGTTCTATGACTTTGGTATTGTAAATAGTGCTGTAGTAAACATACATGTGCATGTACCTTTATAGTAGAATGATGTATATTCCTTTGGGTATATACCCATTAATGGGATTGCTGGGTCAAATGGTATTTCTGGTTCTAGATCCTTGAGGAATTGCCATACTGTCTTCCACAATGGTTGAACTAATTTACATTCTTCCCAACAGTGTAAAAGTGTTGCTATTTATCCACAGCTTCACCACCATCTATTATTTCTTGACTTTAATAATTGCCATTCTGACTGGCATGAGATGGTATCTCATTGTGGTTTTGATTTACATGTCTCCAATGATCAGTGATGTTGAGCTTTTTTTTTTCTGAGATGGAGTCTCACTCTGTTGTCTAGGTTGGAGTGCAGTGGCGCAATCTATTGAGCTTTTTTTCATATGTTTGTTGGCTGTGTAAATGTCTTCTTTTGAGAAGTGTCTGTTCATATCCTTTGCCCACTTTTTGATAGGGTTGTTTTTTTTCTTGTAAATTTGTTTAAGTTTCTTGTGGATTCTGGATATTAGACCTTTGTCAGTTGGGTAGATTGCAAAAATTTTCTCTCATTCTTTAGGTTGCCTGTTCACTCTGATGGTAGTTTCTTTTGCTGTGCAGATACTCTTTAGTTTAATTAGATCCCATTTGTCATTTTGGCTTTTGTTGCAGTTGCTTTTGGCATTTTGTCCTGAAGTCTTTGCCACTGCCTATGTCCTGAATGGTATCACCTAGGTTTTCTTCTAGAGTTTTTATGGTTTTGGGTTTTACATTTAAGTGTTTAATCCATCTTGAGTTAATTTTTATGTAACGTGTAAGGAAGGGGTCCAGTTTCAGTTTTCTGCATATAGCTAGCCAGTTTTCCCAGCACCATTTATTGAATAGGAGATTTTTTTCCCCATTGCTTGCTTTTGTCAGGTTTGTTGAAGATCAGATGTTTGCAGATGTGTGGTGTTATTTCTGAGGTCTCTGTTCTGTTCCATTGGTCTATTTGTCTGTTTTGGTACCAGTACCATGCTGTTTTGGTTGCTGTGGCCTTGTAGTTTAGTTTGAATTCAGGTAGCATGATGCCTCTAGTTTTGTTCTTTTTGCTTAGGATTGTCTTGGCTATACAGGGTCTTCTTTAATTCCATATGAAATTTAAAGTAGTTTTTCTAATTCTGTGAAGAATGTCAATGGTAGTTTGATGGGAGTAACATTGAATCTATAAATTACTTTGGGCAGTATGGCCACTTCATGATATTGATTCTTCCTATTCATGATGATGGAATGTTTTTCTATTTGTTTGTATTGTCTCTTATTTCCTTGAGCAGTGGTTTGTAGTTCTCCTTGAAGAGGTCCTTCACATCCCTTGTTAGCTGTATTGCTAGGTATTTGATTCTCTTTGTTGCAGTTGTGATTGGGAGTTCATTCGTGATTTGACTGTCTATTGTTGGTGTAAAGGAATACTTCTGATTTTTACACATTGATTTTGTATCCTGAGACTTTGCTGAAGCTGCTTGTGGCTTAAGGAGTTTTGGGGCTGAGATGATGGGGTTTTCTCAGTATAGAGTCATGTAATCTGCAGACCAAAACAATTTATCTTCCGCTTTTCCTATTTGAATACCCTTTATTTCTTTTTCTTGCCTGATTGCCCTGGCCAGAACTTCCAATACTATGTTGAATAGGAGTGGTGAGAGAGGGCATTCTTGTCTTTTTTCTTTTTTCTTTTTTTTTTTTTTTTTTTTTTGAGACGAAGTCTCACTCTGTTGCTTAGGCTGGAGTGCAGTGGCACGATCTCGGCTCAGTGCAAGCTCCGCCTCCCAGGTTCACGCCATTCTCCTGCCTCAGCCTGCTGAGTAGCTGGGACTACAGGAGCCCGCCACCAGACCCGGCTAGTTTTTTTGTATTTTTTTAGAAGAGACAGGGTTTCACCATGTTAGCCATGATGGTCTAGATCTCCTGACCTCATGATCCGCCCGCCTCAGCCTCTCAAAGTGCTGGGATTACAGGTGTGAGCCACAGCACCCGGCCAATTTTTTGTATTTTTAGTGGAGATGAGGTTTCAATGTGTTAGCCAGGATGGTCTCAATCTCCTGACTTTGTGATTTGCCCACCTCAGCCTCCCAAAGTCCTGGGATTACAGGCATGAGCCACTGCACCCAGCCTCATCCTTGTCTTATACTGATTTTCAAAGGGAATGCTTCCAGCTTTTGCCCATTCAATATGATATTGCCTGTGTGTTTGTTGTAAGTAGCTCTTATTATTTTGACATATGTTTCATCAATATCTAGTTTATTGAGAGTTTTTAATGTGAAGGGATGTTGAATTTTATCAAAGGCCGTTTTTGAGCATATTGAGATAATCATGTGTTTTTTGTCTTTGGTTCTGTTTAGGTGATGATGGATTACATTTATTTATTTGCATATGTTGAACCAGCCTTGCATCCCAGGGATGAAGCCACCTTGACCGTGGTGGATAAGTTTTGTGATGTGCTGCTGGATTTGCTTTGCCATTATTTTATTGAGGATTTTTGTATCAATGTTCATCAGGGATATGGGTGTGAAGTTTTCTTTTTTGTTGTTGTGTCTCTTCCCAGTTTTGCTATCAGGATGGTGCTGACTTCATAAAATGAGTTAGGGAGGAGTCCCTCCTTTTCAATTGTTTGGAATAGTTTCAGAAGGGATAGTACCAGCTCCTCTTTGTACCTCTGGTAGAATTGGGCTATGAATGCATCTGGTCCTGGGCTTTCTTTGGTTGGTAGGCTATTAATCACTGCCTCAATTTCAAACTTGTTATTGGTCTATTCAGGGATTCAGCTTCTTCTTGGTTTAGTCTTTGGAAGGTGTATCTGTCCAAGAATTTATGCATTTCTTCTAGATTTTCTAGTTTATTTGCACAGAGGTGTTTCTAGTATTCTCTGATAGTATTTTGTATTTCTGTGGTATCAGTGGTGATATCAACTGATATCATTTTTTCTATTTGATTTCATCAAATATATTTGATTTTTCTGTTTGATTTGATTTTTCTCTCTTTTCTTCTTTATTAGTCTAGCTAGCAGTCTATCTACTTTGTTAATTTTTTCAAAAAACCTGCTCCTGGATTCATTCATTTTTTGGGGGGGAGTTTCGTGTCTCTTAGTTTCTTCAGTTCTGCTCTGATCTTAGTTATTTCTTGTCTTCTGCTAGGTTTGGGATTGGTTTGCCCTTGCCTCTGTAGCTCTTTTAATTGTGATGTTAGGGTGTCTATTTGAGATCTTTCTAGCTTTCTGATGTGGGCGTTTAGTGCTATAAATTTCCCTCTTAACACTGCTTTAGCTGTGGCCCCAGAGATTCTCTTTTTTCTCATTGGTTTCAAAGAACTTATTGATTTCTGCCTTAATTTCATTATTTACTCAGGAGCCATTCAGGAGCAGGTTGTTCAATTTCCATGTAATTGTTTGGTTTTGAGTGAGTTTCTTAATCCTGAGTTCTAATTTGATTGCACTGTGGTCTGAGAGGATGTTTGTTATGATTTCAGTTCTTTTGCATTTGCTGAGGAGTGCTTTACTTCCAATTTGTGGTCGATTTTAGAATAAGTGCCATGTGGCACTAACAAGAAGGTATATTCTGTTGATGTCTGTTAGGTACACTTGATCCAGAGCTAAGTTCAAGTCCCGAATATCCTTGTTAATTTTCTGTCTCGTTAATCTATCTAATATTGACAGAGGGTTGTTAAAGCCTCCCATTATTATTGTGTGGGAGTCTAAGTCTCTTTCTAGGCCTCTAAGGACTTGTTTTATGAATCTGGGTGCTCCTGTATTGGGTACATGTATATTTAGGATAGTTAGCTCTTCTTGTTGAATTGATCCCTTTACCTTTATGTAATGCCCTTCTTTGTCTTATTTGATCTTTGTTGGTTTGAAGTCTGTTTTGTCAGAGACTTGGATTCCAATCCCTGCCTTTTATTTTTGCTTTCCATTTGCTTGGTAAATGTTCCTATATCCGTTTATTTTGTATAGTGTGTCTTTGCATGTGAGATGGGTCTCCTGAATACAGCCCACTGATGGGTCTTGACTCCTTATCCAGTTTGCCAGTCTGTGTCTTTTAATTGGAGCATTTAGCCCATTTACATTTAAGTTTAGTATTGTTATGTGTGAATTTGATCCTGTCATCATGATGCTAGCTGGTTATTTTGCACACTAGTTGATGCAGTTTCTTCATAGTGTCATTGGTCTTTATATTTTGGTGTGATTTTGCAGTAGCTGGTACCAGTTTTTCCTTTCCATATTTAGAGCTTCCTTTAGGAGCTCTTGCACGGCAGGCCTGGTGGTGACAAAATCCCTCAGCATTTGCTTGTCTGGAAAGGATATTATTTATCCTTCACTTATGAAGGTTAGTTTGGCTGGAAATGAAATTCTGGGTTGAAAATTCTTTTCTCTAAGAATGTTGAATAGGCCAGGTGCAGTGGCTAACGCCTGTGATCCCAGCACTTTGGGAGGCCAAGATGGGTTCAAGACTAGCCTGGCCAACATGGTGAAACCCCATCTGTACTAAAGATTAAAAAAAAAAAAATTAGCTGGGTGTGGTGGTGGGTGCCTGTAATCCCATCTACTTGGGAGGCTAAGGCAGGGGAATTGCTTGAACCTGGGAGGCAGAGGTTGCAGTGAGTCGAGATCTCGCCGCTGCACTCCAGCCTGGGCAAGAGTGAGACTCTGTCTAAAAAAAAAAAGAATGTTGAATATTGGCCCCCAGTCTCTTCTGGCTTGTAGGGTTTCTCCTGAGAGGTCTGCTGTTAGTCTGATGGGCTTCCCTTTGTAGGTGACCTGGGCTTTCTCACTGGCTGCCCTTAACATTTTTTCCTTTATTTCAACCTTGGAGAATCTGATGATTATATGTCTTGGGGTTGATCTTCTCTTGGAGTATCTTAGTAGTGTTTCCTGAATTTGCATGTTGGCCTGTCTTGCTAGGTTGGGGATCTTCTCCTGGATAATGTACTGAAGTATGTTTTCCAGCTTGTTTCCATTCTCCTCATCTCCTTTAGGTACTCCAGTCAATCCCAGGTTCCGCCTTTTTACGTAGTCCCATATTTCTCAGAGGCTCTGTTCGGTCCTTTTCATTCTTTTTTCTCTAATCTTGTCTGCATGCCTTACTTCAGCAAGGTGGCCTTCAGACTCTGATATTCTTTCTTCCACTTGGTTGATTCAGCTATTGATACTTGTGTATGCTTCATGAAGTTCTCATGCTGTGTTTTTCAGCTCCATCAGGTCATTTATGTTTCTATTTAAACTGGGTATTCTAGTTAGCAGCTCCTCTAACCTTCTATCAAGGTTCTTAGCTCCTTTGCACTGGGTTAGGACATGCTCCTTTAGCTCAGCAGAGTTTTTTATTACCCATCTTCTGAAGCCTACTTTTGTCAGTTTGTCCGTCTCATCTTCTGCCCAGTTCTGTAACCTTGCTGGAGAGGCATTGCAGTCATTTGGAGGAGAAGAGGTACTCTGGCCTCTTGGGTTTTCAGCATTTTTTCGATGATTCTCATCTTCATGAGTTTGTCTAGTTTCAGTCTTTGAGACTGCTGACCCTTGGATGGGGTTTGTGTGGGGACTTCTGTTGTTGTTGTTGATGCTGTTGTTGTTGCTTTCTGTTTGTTTGTTTTTCTTTCAATGGTCAGGTCCCTCTCCTGTAGGGCTGCTTCAGTTTGTTGGGGGTTCACTTCAAGCCCTCTTCATCTGCTTTGCTCCCATGCCTGGAGATGTCACTCAAGGAGACTGGAGAACAGCACAGATGGCTGCCTGCTCCTTCCTCTGGGATCTCTGACCTTGAGGGACACCAACATGATGCGAGTAGGATCGCTCTTTTCTAGGGTGTCTGACAACCCCTGTTGGAGGGTCTCACCCAGTTGGGTGGCATGGGGAACAGGATCTGTTTAATGAGGCACTTTGACTGTTCCTTGGTGGAGGGGTGTGCTTCGCTGGGGGGAACCCCATTTGTCTGGGCTGCTTGGATTCCTCAGAACTATTAGGAGGAAAGGTTAAGTCTGCTGGTCTGCAGAGACAGTGGCCACCCCTCCTCCTAGGGGCTCAGGCCCAGGGAGATCTAGGTTCTGTCCCTGAGCCTCTGGCTGGAGTTGTTGGAGTTCCTGCAGGGAGGCCATACCCAGTGAGGAAGGATGGGTCAGAATGAGGCCTGAAGAGGTGCTCTGGCCGCAGTATGCCACAGCCGGTGTGTTGAGCTATGGGGGACAGCTCTTGCAACCAAGTTATCCAGCCTCCCTGGCTCCAGCAAGGGAAAAGCACTGCCTGGAGCTACAGAGATGGATGCCATCCTTCCCCCACCCAGGGAGCTTAGCGTGTTAAGCAGTTATGAGTGCTAGTGCTGGCTGCTGGCCCTCCCCCAGGGAGCTCACAGGACTTAAACAGCAAGCAGCTGCAGCTTTGGTGCTGGTCACCCCTCCCCCTGGGGACCTGGCAGGCTTAAGCGGATTCTAGCTGAGAGGCTGTTGAGAATCTGCGTCACTCTGGGGTTGGGACCCTAGGTCCCCGTGGTGTAGGTTCACGACTGGGATCTTCTGATCTGTGGGTTGCACAGTTCCATGCGGAAAGCACAGTTTCCCTAGCTGGGTAGCACACTTACTCGCCACCTCTTTTGGATGAGGGGTGGCTCCCCTGCCCCGTGTGGCTCTCAGGTGTACCACCGCACCATACTACTCTTCCTTCCCCTCCATAGATCACGCCAGCTGGCTAGTCAGTTCTGTTGAAAGAACCTTGATACCTTGGTTGCCAGCGTAGGATTCATATGCTAATTATGGTTCTTTTTCATGGTAGCCTCCCATTGCCCCTGCTTGTAGTTGGCCATCTTGGCCCCACCCAATCCAAGACGTTTTTCAGATCAAGGACAAGTAAGAGTATTTGTCACCAGGAGACCTACCCTAAAAGAATGGCAAAAGGAAATTTTCTAAACAGAAAGGAAATAATAAAGGAAGGGACTTTGCAATATCAAAAAGAACATGGTAAGCAAACATGTGGGTAAATACAATAGTATTTTATTTTCCTCTTGAGTTTTCTAAATTGTATTTGATGGTTGAAGCAAAAATTATAATGCTGCCTGATGTAGTTCCAAATATATGCAGAGGAAATATTTGATTACAAATATGGGGAGTAAAGGGATGCAAAGAGGAGTAAGGTTTATATACTTCACTCAACCTGATCAAATGACACCACCAGTAAACTGTGACAAATTATAGATATATAAGATAATACCTAGAGCAACCATTTAGAAAGTTATATAAAGAGATACTCTTAAAAACAAGATACAATTCTAAAAAATGTTCATGTAACCCCAGAAAGGCAGGAAAGAGAAAACAGACAAATGCAAAACAGAGAAAACAAATAGAAAACAAAAATAATGAAACTGCAAACATAAGCCTAACATATCAATAATTATATTAAGTATAAAGCTCTAACTATTCCAATTAAAAGATACAGATTTACAGAGTTGATTTTAAAACATGACCCAAGTATATGCTGTGTTTAATAAACTCACTTGAACTATAACAATATAGGCAGGTTGGAAGTTAAAGGATAGGAAAAGATATATCATGCAAACATAGAAAAGCAGGAATGGCTACATTAACATCAGATAAAGTATATTTTAGAAAATTTCAAGAGACAGATAAGGACATTATGTAATGATAAAAGGATCAATCCACCCATTAGACATAGCCATCCTAAATGTTTATGCAGCAAACAACAGAGCAGGAAAATATGTGAAGCAAAAACTGGTAAAATTGAAAGGAGAAAGATAAATCTACAGTTGTAGTTGGAGACATCAGCACTCCTCTCTCAACAATTGGTAGAACAATTAGAAAATATCAGCAAGGAAACAAATGATCTCAATAACACTATCAACCAACAGATTTAATTGATTTTTATAGAACACTCCAACCAAGAACAGTATTTCACATTCTTTTCAAGTAACCATGTCGCACATGCCAAAACACACTATATCCCGAGCCATAAAACAAACTTCAAATTTAAAAGAATTAAAATCATATGGATTGTATTGTCTGACCACAGTGGACTCAAACTGGAAATCAAAACCAGAAAGATATCAGAAAATTCTCCAAACACTTGGAAACAGAAAAGACTTCTAAATAATTCATAGGTGAAAGAGGAAGTCACAAGAGAAATAATTTGAAAAAATATATTGGACTAAATTGACATGAAAATACAAAATACAATTTTCTAAATTTGGTATTAGAAAACTGCTAAAATAGTGCTAAGAGGAAATTTATATTGTTAAGTGCAGATATTAGAAAAGAGGGAAATTTTTAAATCAAAAAGCTAAGCTTCTATATCAAGACGCTAGAAAAAGAAGAGCAGTGTAAAGCCAACACTAGCAGAAGGAAAGAAATTATTATTGTTATTATTATTATTATTATTTTGAGACAGAGTCTTGCTCTATCGCCCAGGCTGGAGTGCAGTGGTGCGATCTGAGCTCACTGAAACCTCTGCCTCCTGGGTTCAAGTGATTCTCCTGACCCAGCCTCCCAAGTAGCCGGGATTACAGGTGCGCACCACCATGCCCAGCTAATTTTTTGTATTTTTTTGTAGCGACAGGGCTTCACCATGCTGGCCAGGCTGGTTTCGAACTCCTGACCTCATGATCCGCCTGCCTCAGCCTCCCAAAGTGCTGGGATTATAGGCGTCAGTCACCACGCCTGGCCGGAAAGAAATTATAAAGATAATATCAGAAATCAATGAAATTGAAAACAGTAAACAACAAAGTCAATGAAGCCAAGAGCTGGTTCTTTGAAAAGATCAATAAAATTGACAGACCTCTAGCAATACTGACAAAGAACGAGATAAGATACAAATTGCCAATGTCAGGAATGAAACGAGATATTACTACCGACCTTGCACACATGGAAAGATAATAAAGAAATACAATAAACAATTCTACACACATAAATTTGACAATTTAGATGAAGGAGACCACTTCCTTGAAAAACACAAGCTACCACAACTTATCCAATACAAAACAGCTAAGTTTAGCAGCACTATACTTATTAAGGAAATTGCATCGATAATTTAAAAAAAAAATCCCCCAAAATAAATCTCCAGGTCCACATAGTTTCACTGGAGTATTCTACCAAACATTTTAAGATGAATCAATGCCAATTCTAGACAATATTTTCCAGAAACTAGAACAGAAGGAAACATTTCCCAATTCATTTTATAAAGTTAATATTACCCTGCTGAGCAAAATCAGAAAAAAATACACTTCAAAGAAGTAAAGCTGTAGAACAGTGTTCCCAATGAATCCTTTACAAATGTGAGCAAATAGAATTCAGGACCATATAAAAAGAATCATGCACTATGGCCAACTGGAATTTATTCCCGGGATTCAAGGCTGGTTTGGTATTCAAAAATCAAAAGATCACATGATCATATCAGTTGTCAAAAAAGCATTTGACAAAATTTAATATCCATTAATAATAAAAATTACTTGCAGAAAGACAGAAACAGACAGGAACTTTCTCAACTTGATGAAGAGTATCTACAAAAAAATACTGCCACTGACATTATAGTTAATGATGATAGATTGAATGTTTTTTTTCATTATGACCAGGAACAAGGTAAGGATATCTGCTCTCACCACTCTTAATATAGTACTGGAAGTTCTAGCCAGTGCAGTTGGCCAGATAAAGTAATAAAGGCATACAGATTGGAAGGGAATAAATGAAACTGCCCCTATTTACAGATGACCGAATTGTTTATGTGAAATATCCTAAGGAATGTATAAAAACATTTCTAGAACTAGTAAGCAAGACTTTAGGATAAAAGATAAACATACAAAACTCGATTGTATTTCTGTATACTAGCAATGAGCATGTGGACACCAAAATTAAGAACACAATACAATTTACATTCACTTTAAAAAATAAAGAAGTAAACCAATGAAAACTTGTATAGGGATTGTATGCCAGAAATTATACAAGCCTTGAAAATCAAAGAGCTAAATAAATGGAAAGATGTACTTTGCTGATGGATTGGAAGCCACATAGGAGACATGTAATTTCTCCCCAAATTGATACATGGGTTTAATGCAATTTCTATCAAAATCTCAGAAAGTTTTTTGTAGATATAGATAAGACTATTCTAAGACTTACATGGAAAGTCAAAAGAACTAAACAATTTTAAAAAACAGTGAAGTTGGGGGAATACATTTACTCAATTTCAGGAGTTTTTATGTAGCTACAGCAATGAAGACTGTCTGGCATTTGTGGAGCACTAGACATACAGATTAATGGAACAGAACAGGAAACTCAGAAAGGACTCACGTAAATATGCTTATGTGAGTTTGCCAAAGATGCAAATGCAATTCAATGAAGAAAAGATGGCCTTTTCAATAAATGGTGCTGGAAAAATTGGACATCATAGGCAAAAAAATGTGAACTTCAACCTGTCACATAGCTTATATAAAAATGAACTCAGAAAGGATCACAGATTTAAATGTAAAACATAAAACTATAAAACTTGTAGAAAGAAACCTAGGGGGGGAAAAACCTTCAGGGTCTAGGGCTAGGCATGTAATTTCTAGACTTGACACCAAAAACATGATCCATAAAAGGAAAATTGACAAACTGGATTTCATCAAAATTAAAAACTTTTGCTATGTGAAAGACCCTTTTAATAGGATGGAAAAGGCAAACTACAAAATGGGAGAAAATATTTTTGCAAACCATGTATCTGACAAATGACTAACGTATCGCATATAGAAAGTACTTTGAAATTTTATAATTAAAAACAAGCCAGTTAGAAAATGCGTAAATGACATAGACATTTCACTGATGATATACAGATGAACAAAAATTAAGTACTTGAAAAGATGTTCACTGTCTTTAGCCATTAGGGAAATGTAAATTAAAACCACAATTGAGATTTTTACTACAATCAGAATGGTAAAAAAAGATTGTCACAAAACCAAATGCTGTTGAGGATGTTAAGAAACTGGATCACTCATATATTGTTAAAGTGTTAAAGAGTGTAGTCACTGGAAAATAGGCACTTTCTTTAAAAACTAAACATGCAACTACCGTATGACCCAACAATTGCACTCCTGGTCATTTGTCTTCGGGAAATGAAGACAAAAGTCTATACACAAATATTTATAGAAGCTTTATTCAAAATAGCCAAAACCTGGAAATAACTGTCCTTTAATAAGTGAATGGGTGAACAGAATGTGGTATGTGCATATCATGGAATACTACTGAATAAAAAGGTACAGACTATTTGTAGACGCAGCAACCTTGATGAATCTCCAGAGAATTACACTGAGTTAAAAAGTCTGTCTCCCCAAATTATATACTCTATGATTCTATTTCTGTGGCATTCTTGAAATGATAAAATTGTAGGAATGGAGAACAGATTAGAGGTTACCAGGGGTTAAATAAGATGTAGGGGTGGGAGGAAAATGGGTGGGATATAGAAGGACACCATGAAGAATCCTTCTAGTGATGGAAATGTTCTCTGTGCAACTGTATCAATGTCAATATCCTGCTTGTGATATTCTACTATAATTTTGCAAGATGGTGGAAACTGGGAAAGGGCACATGGGCTCTCTCTACGTCTTTCAACTACATGTGAATCTACAGTTCTTACAAAATAAAAAGTTTGATAAAAAACTGAAGGCCAGGAGCGGTGGCTCACGCCTGTAATCCCAGCACTTTGGGAGGCCACGGAGGCAGATCACCTGAGGTCAGGAGTTCGAGACCAGCCTGACCAACATGGAGAAACCCCCTCTCTACTAAAAATATAAAATTAGCCGAGCACGGTGGCACATGCCTGTAATCCCAGCTACTTGGGAGGTTGAGGCAGGAGAGTCGCTTGAACCCAGGAGGCAGAGGTTGCAGTGAGCTGAGATTGCACCATTGCTAGATGGGAAACGAGCGAAACTCCATCTCAGAAAAACCCCTGAATTATAGAATGGATAGATGAATATGAGTATGATAGAAGAAGTATAGTAAAACGTTAGCGGTAGACACTAGGTGGTAGGTATAATGGTGTTTACTATAAAATTCTTTCAACTTTTTTGTATTTCTCGAAATTTTCACAATAAAAGGAAGAAAATGGAATTTGAGAATTTGGGGTTATTTAAAGAAAAGGGGCTGAGTACAGTAGCTCACACCTGTAATCTCAGCACTTTGTGAGGCCCAGGTGGGAAGATCACTTGAGCTAAGGAGTTCGAGATCACCCTGGCCAACATAGTGAGACCTCGTCTCCACTAAAAATTAAAAAAATTAGCCAGATGTGGTGGCATGTGCCTGTAGTCTTAGCTGCTTGGGAGGCTAAGGTGGGAGGATCACTTGAGCCCAGGATTTCAAGGCTGCAGTGAGCTATGATTGCGCCACTGCTCTCCGGCCTGGGTGATAGAGTGAGACCTTGTCTCAAAAACAAAACAAAACAAAACAAAAAAACAAAAAGGCAATTTGCTTAGTGTCAAAGGTAAGCAATTCAAGGTTCTTAGCATGATTTTGGCTTGACAAATGCCTTGCGACATGAGAAATCCTTTCTACTTAACACCCAATTGTGAAGGTTGATTAAACATGAGCCTCCTTTGTTAGAAGGGGGAACATTCTCATGTTGTGAGATGGAATATAAAATACTAAAGAAAAAAGCCCTTAACCATTTTACAAATATGTATTTTCTGATTTAGAAGTATTTAATAATAGTAGCTACCAATTAAAATAATTGAACTCAAGAATATAAAGCACTGTACATATATTACATCATTTAATATTCCCAACAATCCCATGAAGTCATTATCTCCATGTTGTTATTAAGATGATAGGATCACAGAGATTATATAACCTGGTCTGTATTCATACATTACAAGACAGAAACCAGACTCAAACCAAGGTCTCTGATTCCAAATCCTGTGCCATAATGCTTCCCATTTATGATACATTATTATGATTTTTATAGCTGTTTTATTGCCTGATCTAAACCAAATCATTCTTACAATGCCAAAGCTGCACTCCACTTTTATCTTCCTACATATTTAATGTCTCTTAGTCAACTTCCACGGTAAAAACCTCATGTCCACAAAGCCTCAGAAGTTACCTCTTTATTCCTGCATATCATTTGGCAATTAACTTACTGTTTTGAAAAGGATAAAGATATTAAATTCAAGCCAGTTTAAGAATATGTAAGAAATATAAAATAATTATGTAGAAAGGATTATATTATTCATGCTGCTTTTGACTTTCTTTTAAAATCCAGCAATATTTCTTGAAATCTTTGCATGTCAGGGAAAATATATATCGTCTTATTAAATGCTTGCATCTGGATACCATAATTTATTTAACCTAGTCTATTTGTGTGTGCAGAAATAGAATTTGTGGGTTACAGAACATAGTTATTAAAAACATTCTTAGTTTTTTAAAAATCATATATCACTAGAATCTAGTATAACTTTAGGTCATATATGGTGGTCTAGAAGTATATACATTAAGGAATAAATAATGCTAGACCACACTCTAGAATGGTTTTGCTAATTTATGCTGCCACCATGTACGTGTCTTTTTCCCCAGATCCTTCCCAAAGCAAGGCATGAAAGTTGGCAACTAAGTCCACAAGTCTCTTTTTCACAAGTAAGCTGTTTGTAGAGTGAAGGTAGAAACTCCAAATGATTAGAGGCTCGTGTTAGTGACTATGTTTAGGGTGACTCCCAAACAGCAAAAATGCCCACAGCATTTTTGAAAAGGCGCTTTCTGATTTCTAAATTCTTATTGTCAAGCCAAAATCTAATTATTATACCCAAATATTTAGTTTTTATAATTTGGGAAGTTTGGTTTAGAGAAACTATAATATAAACTTTTCTATTTTGTTTCCCAAGATCTAAAGTAATGTGCTTCAACATTTTTACTATTTTTAAATAAATACCAAACGATATCATTTTAAAATGTATGATGGAGAATTCTGGCATGGAACTTTAGGCATTAATTATGTATTAATTTTATTCTGATTTGCTGCTTTGTTACATTTTCTAACATCTTTGAGATGGGGACTATATTAAATTAAACCTATAACAAAATATGTCTTATTAAGATTAATTTTTTCTACTTTAATGGTCAGGATTTGGGTAGCCTTCTGTGAATTTGCTGTTGTCCCCCAAGAGTATGAATAAAACTCAGAATTGTGCTTGAGCTGATATCCAGTTATATACTATGAAAACTGATAATTTTAACAAGTGATATTTAAATTCTGGTACTTATAATATTGACTATGAATATTTTACATAACTTTGCTTTGGGAAGTAATTTTATTTTAGGCATTTATTTTTTACAGCAAAGTTCAGGGGCATCTTATTTTTTTACAACTAGCCTATATAAACACTTATCAATTCTTTTGTTAAGTAGGCAGAATATAAATAAATAACTTGTCACAGTTATAGTATTTACTAAGTCTAGTTGATATATTTTGTCTTTGATCAAATGCAAAACATAGCTTTTGGAACAGCCTCTAGCTTCTAGGTTATATTTATTGAAACTACAGTTATATCACATAGTCTTTATTATTAAAACTGTAAAACATCATATCATTTCCTCAATTTATACTGCTTTAATTTTATATTATTAATTAAATACTTGATTTACATAGTTGAAACACTATTTTCAGCAGTATTTTAAAATAGAAATAATCTTTGCACTCAACAAGGGATCTAAAAACTTCATTAAAGAACAAAAACTTGTAACGCAGTAGAAGGCCCTCTTTTCTGCCCTGGTAGGAATTAGTATTTGTTCATTTAAAGAGGTAAAGCAAGAGGAAGATTGTAAAATAAAATATTTTAAACATTTGTATCTTTAAAAATTATTTAAATGTCCATTTATTCACTAGTCTTCTACTTAGACCTGAGACCTTTTATCTGCATCTAAGTGTACTGTTGGGAGTTTCATGTTTTCTTTCTAATATAAACCACACCCCGAGTATATCATCAAGGATTTCCAGTTTTCAGTACATCATGGTGAGGTTATCACTAAGATACTTGTGAAGCAATTTAAGTGTAGAAACCTTTTAAGTTTTACCAACTTTTACATTCTCTAAATTTTTACAATTATCTCACTCACATCTAATTCAAAAGCATATTTTTTTGTGAATTGCCTTTATCAAATATATGCATTCAATGTAGTTTTATAGAAATAATTATCTCTCTTTTGTGTTCATATTTATTCATTATAATATAACATTCAATTAAATTGCTCAAGTAAAGTAACAAATATGATAGGCATATAAACAAATTTAAGGGCAAACAGAAATGTTAAATCCACAAGATAATGAATTTGTGAAATTTCACATTTATTGTGGAAAGTTTCAAACACATAAATATAGAATCATATAATGAAACTTTGTGTACCCATCACCGAAACACAATTGCCAACATTTTGCCATTGATATTTCATCTTCTGATCCCCTAAACTTTGAGGGTTTTTTTGGCGTATTTTAACATAAATCTCAAAAAAATTATCATGTATAAATGCTTCAGTTATCTCTATCAGATGGGTTTTTTAAAAAAATGTACACATACAGTCCTGTTATTACAACTAACAAATGTAATAATAATTTCTTAATATTATATAATATGGAACCTATGTTAAATTTTTCCTGTCTCAAAAAATGCCCTTTTCAGCTTACTTATTCAAATTAGGATCCAAGTTAGGTCAAGTGTTTCATTTGGTTGATATAGCTCTTAGGTCTTTTTAAATAACTAACATCCCGTTCCCTATTTTTGCATGTCATTTATTTGTTGAAGAACATGAATCATTTGTCGTGCAAAATTTCTTTCATTCTGTATTTAGCTAATCATCTTCTTATGGTGCCATTCCATATGTTTTGCTGCTTGCCTCCTTCCGTTACATTTCTTGTAAATTGATAGGTAAATTAGAGGCTTGTTTAAATTCAGTTTTTTTATTTTGGGGCAAGATACTACATAGATGGTGTGGGGTATGTCTTGTTATATGAAATCACGAGGCACATAATGTCTAGAGATAAGGGAAAATTTAATTCAAGTAATAATAACTAACACATGTACCAATGTATCCAAGGCACTATTCTAAACTCTTTACATACAGCATTTATTTTAATTCTTACAAAAACCCTTTGAGGTAGATCTTATTGCCCCCACTGTAAAAATAAGGAATGTGAGACACTAACTTGCTGAGGTCTGCAAGCCTGGATTTGGTCCTGGGAACTCAGACTGCTGAGTCTGTGGCCAGAGCACCCTGTCATTCTGCCTGTTAAAGCCACTGCCACTTCTGAATTAAACTAAAAAGAGTTAGGTATGTTCCAGGTACCTCAAGTAAACATGTTGTCTTAATTCTGTAAGTAAATAAATGTTAAGAGTATTAATAAAATGTACCTTTAAACTATATTGTTTACCTCATCTACCTTCTTTGAAAATAATCGCTAGCAAATCCCATATTGTCTTACTATGGTATTTACTCTCACATTGACAAACTGTGATATTTTCCTTGTCTTACAGTGGAAATTTTCATGGAAAGTAAATTTACCTCCCTTAGGTAAATGTTTCTTTTCCAATATCAAGAAGTGTAAAATGAGTTTCTTGAAATTAATGGCACTTTATAATTTTCAATACCCATAATATTGTCAAAAATTATTATAGCTTCTGTTGTTTTTTTGCTTACTGTAAAATAAATATCATGGTGTCTTCTCAATCCTTTTGTCTTACCTAGCATAGGAGATATGTTTACTGAGAGAAATTCAGCAGAAGCTACTTTATGTTTCATTACATATTCTTACCTTATTATTTATATTTTAAACCCTAGGGATCTACATATGCAGCCTTTTCTCCTTTTAATTCCCTTTGTTTTGTTACCACAAGCTTTTTATCCCTTTTATTAGACAAGTTTTGCCTAGGTATTTCTCTTCCTAACTATAAGCAAACCAGTCCTCATGCCTAAAAATAATGCCCTACTTTGTTGAAATATTCTTAACAAAAGTAGTATTCTGAATAATAAAAATTATTCAAATGCTAAGTATATAACAATATGACTTGCCTTATTACTGTGCATCAATTCTTCTCTCATTCGTTCAACAAACCTGTTTTGCGTATCTAATCTAAGATAAGCGTGAGTCCTGCTGCCAGTGGCTATGTGATGAATGGTAGCCGGAAAAGTCAGGCCAGAGCAGGAGGAAGTCGGGTCAGCATGATGACATACTTCATACAATGGTCACAACAAAATGAAGGGAAACTAGGGGTTAGGAGCAATGGTCACTATGAGAAGACATAAGCGCTTGGGTCTGAATTATGGGTTTCAAATTCATGTGGAGGCAATGTATATGGTATTCGTAGGGGTTGCAAACTTAAATTTCTGTGAGGGCCAGATACGGAATGTAAATGAAGAAAGTGCATCAAATGTAACATTAGGGAATGCTCAGGACTGGAGAGTGCACATCTGATCTAAAGGTATCCATATTCAGAAGTTTATTTGACACCCTGACTCAGCCACGCAAAATATGCCTGAGATGCTTCCTTGTGACTCTCATGGAATCTAAGTGTATGAAAGGTTTATTGTTTTGAGAAACCATCTTTGTAATAAATATGTCCAGTGGACCCACAGACAAAGTTATGAAGAATATATGAACCAGAAGTCAATATCCAGAGTTTCTAGCTACATTGAAAATAATAGATGGGGCCAACATTTGAACAGCAACAAAAAAAACTGGCACAGTCATCTCAATCCATAAAACAGGAAAATAGACTGGTGCCAGTACGGTCAGCAGTCACTTTCTACAAACTCATTCTTTCTCCTGGATTATTGTTAGGTATACCAGGCACAGCCTTAGTGTATCAGCATGACGAGAGCAGCATAAACAATCTGAAAAAAATTAGACTTTGGTTTTCCTTTTATTAATTGTACAATTTAGTATTTTCATTGTTATTTTTCACAAAACTAGAGGGAAAAGGAACCATATTTTTTTCCCAGGTCTTCATGGCCTCTCCACACCTTTAATCTGGCTTGGATCAGGCAATAATATCTCAGATTTCAAGGGTAGAGTGCTTTAGGTGTTTGGCTGAACTCTAGACTTAAGGTGGCTGGGCATGGGCATTGGAAACAAGGCTCAATAATAAATATGGTGGTACTGCATTTGTGTGAATACAAAGCTGGCTGGCCATGTAAAAATTCTTCCTCTCCCAGCCGGATGTGGTGGCTCACGCCTGTAATCCTAGCACTTTGGGAGGCCGAGGCGGGTGGATCACCTGAGGTTGGGAGTTTGAGACCAGCCTGACCAACATGGAGAAACTCCGTCTCTACTAAAAATACAAAAATTAGCCGGGCATGGTGACACATGCCTGTAATCCCAGCTACTCAGGAGGCTGAGGCAGGAGAATTGCTTGAACCTGGGAGGCAGAGGTTGCAGTGAGCCAGGATCACGCCATTGCACTCCAGCCTGGGCAACAAAAGCGACACTCCATCTCAGAAAAGAAAAAAACAAACAAACGAACAAAAAATTCTTCCTCTCCCACATAATTCTGAATGTCTTTTTATAATTAATGTTTGGCATTTGTTATGCTAGCTATTATGAGAGATTTTTAAACTCACAGATTTGGACTCTGTATTAATTTTTGCAATAAGTATGCATTTATTCTCCTTTGCAATTATTTGTAGACATTGATTCTAATCATTGTTCTTAGAAGAAAGGTATAAACATAACTATTTATAAAGGTACATAACTATAAAGGTACATAACTACACACTGAGAGATCAATTTCTTTAAATTTGAAAACAATTGAGTAATTTGGAGTCACTTTCCATGGCTTTCTGTATTAGATCATTAGTAGAAAAAAATTATGTAATGTTTATTGGGGGAAGGGTTCCTGTGAATAGTCTTTCATTGCTTCAAAATGCCAAACATTATAAAGAACAATGAGAGAAGATAAATTACCCTTCATGTCAATAAATGAAAACCTTGAGGTTGATAGTAAGTTTACTTTAAAAAGAATTAGGTTGAATATTCTGAAAATTATATGGCATAATTGAATAGTGTAACAGTGTAAAATGACTTTTAAAAGCTTTGATACAGTTTTTAACTTTGCAGTTATTTCTCAGTGGTTTCCATTTTTAAAACATTAATCTTATGAAAAATAATAGTTTGTCTCTCTAATAATACAAAGCAGCTTTATGTTCATTTGAAAACTTCTAAGGTTTTAGCATGTTTCAGTGAAGATTTTTATTTCATATACAGTATTCATAGCTATGAAAATAAATAACTGCATGTTTCTTAAAATTGAGCAATTTACTCAAGTATTAATTAGAAATAGTAAAAAAAAAGAAATTCCTTTTTTATTTTCAGTGATTTGAAGAAAACTGCTGGGAGGTACATGGTATCTAGCTTTACTATTTGCTGGCTAATGCCAGAGTCCTAATCCAGTTTCTGGCAACACAATTTTAAGAATTCTTTCGGTGATAGGATAAGCAGTGTACCTTTTAAGTTACAACATTATGTAAGGTCTTCCATCAAGTATTCAGTTAGAGTAGAAACCTTAAATGAAAAGCCTGATGCTAACAAGGATGACAGTTTGGGGCTGATTTTAAAATTGGTTCCCAACTTCCAGTTCAACTCATTAGAGATAAAGTGGAGAACTACATGTAATATAATATTGAGGGCTATATGCAATGACTAAAGGTGTGTGTCCTGAAGTTGTCTGGTCGTTGCTGGATATGTAGGTTGCTTGGAATAAAGGTGATGAAATAAATAGAATTAACCATGAAGATATCCCAAAGAACTAGCATGTGAAATGTTATCTGGGCCCAGAAAGCTATTGCATGGGGTTTACAACAAGTATTGCCTGTAAAATGCATTAATTATATGACACATATATATTTTTATGTCTTGTACACTTTTTCAAAATTCAGGAAGTATATGAATTACTTTAAAAATATTACCCAATTTCTAGTTACTTTTTGTCATTGTGTATTTCCTTAATGAAAAATAATAAGAGTAGAATTGTTATTATGGAATCTTTAAATTTTTTAATGTTGAACTCGTCTTTACGAACTCATCAGAATGTCTAAAATTTGAAAGCCTGATAACATCTATGTTGTTGAGGATGTGGAGCAACTAAAATTCTGTGTGTTGGTAGGAATATAAAATGGTATAACAGCTTTGGAAGAAGATTTGGCAGTTTCTTATAAAACTAATTGCGCACCTACTACGTGTGTACTACTAATACTCTGTGACTCTGCAATTTCACTTTTAGGTTTTTACTCACAAAAGAAAATGGATAAAACTAAGCTACTGTAAAATAAAACAAAGTAACAAAAACATCTACAACGGTAGTTGCATTTGTGAGTGGGAATGGGCATTGGGCATGAAGGAACTCGGTGGTGTTAGGAATACTCTAGATCTTGTTAGGGGTTCGAGGTAGACATATATATGCATTTGTCAAAACCGATTGCTTTTAAGATTTGTGCCCACATCACAAATTTCACAGTGAGTAAAATTTACTTAATAAATAACCATTAACAAACATTCATCTGTAGTTTATGATGTGTATGCTAAAGTGTTTAGGAGTAAAATGTATCAATGTCTGCACTTTGAAATGCATAAAAAATAAGATAAACTGATGGATGGATACAGGGATGAATAAAGAGATAGATGGATACATCTGAGATAAAGCAAATATAGCAAAATGTTAATTATAGAATCTAAGTGATGGATAATGGGTTTTTTACTACACAATTCTGTCAACTTTTTCACTTGAAATTTTCCATTATATCAGAGGAAAATGAGTCTTTATTCTAAAAAAGTTTCAAGTTTTAAATACATACCTTTTGGAATTTATTCTAATTCAGGCTGAAGATATGGTAGCGTTCTCTAAGTATAGGTTTTCTTTTTTTGTCTTTGTCACAACAACTTAAAATTTTGTTCCATCCAATCACATCATCTTAATTGCCATTAACATGTTACCTTTATAAATCAAATTCCTTGGTGTTACACATGTAATCCAGTGATTAATATCATTCTTAGACACTGTATTAGTTTCCTGTGACTACTGTAAAAAATTACCTCAACCTTGTAGTTTAAAAACAATGAAAACATTTTCTCTCACAATAGTGAAGGACAGAAGTCCAAAACTAGTTTCCCTGGCCAATATCAGGGTGTCATCCCCTGTCTGGAGGCTCTACGGAAGAATCCAATCCTTGTCTTTCCAGCTTCTGATAGCTACAGGAATTCCTTGGCTTGTGGCCACATCACCCCAATCTCTGTTTCTGTAGTAATATTGCCTTCTCTTCTCTGTCAGTGTCAAATCTTCATTTGCCTCTCTCTTGTGAGTATGCTAGTGATTGCATTTACAGCCCACCCAGATAATCCAAGATAAAATCTCTCCATCTCAAAATCATACCTGCAGACACTCTTTCCATGGAAGGTAACATTTATTGGCTCTGTGAATTAGGACCTGATGTCCTTGGGGGTCACCGTTCGGCCTACTACAGGTATTTTTTAAGTGTGCCAGGTTCCATGCTAGGGCCTCAATAATGATAAATAACATTTAATTGCTTACTGTATGCTAGGTGCTGCTCTACGTACTTTACATTTGTATTTTTGCTAAATAAAAAAAAATGGACTTGATTTAACATAAACTTACTGTTTCTTGCATATGTCAAATATTAAAGCCCCAGAGTGCTAGTTTTCTGAGAAATGTACCTTAGGAAATACTATTTTGTTCTAAATAACCCTGCCTTATTTATGTGGAGGATATTTAAAGTTGAGAAGATTGTGAATTCCCTTTGGGAAGAGATTTATCTGTCTTTGTATCCAAATAATTAATGACAAAGTAGATGTTAGCAAATGTTTGTTAAATGACTAAAAGTGTCTTTGCAAACGTTATGAAATGTAACCTTCACAAAATCCTTGGAGGTAGATATTGTAGTTTCCATTTTATAGAAGAGACTTAGAGAAGTTGAATTTAGTTCCCAACTTCAGTACCAGGTTCTAAACACACACACACAGAATTTTGGCAGTCAGCATTGCAGATGCATTTCCATTATCTATAACCAATTGATTTTCTACCTGAAGTGTTAAAATTCAGTAAAATACAGGTGTAGTGAAGTATCATCTCTGTTTTATTACTGTATTATGTTGCTAACCATGTACAATGATACTTTCTGATTTTTAAAACTTTTTTTTGAGAGACCAGTTTCTCATGGATTAAGTTTACAATGCTATTAAGAAGTGGGAGGACATTTTCTAAATGGATGCAGAATACTTTGAACTTTCTTAAAACGTCAGCCTTCCACCAGAAATGCCTCAAGCATATCTAGCCTTTTTGTAGCTTCTTTTGAACATCTGATTTTTTTAACTCCTATGATATTATGCATAAATTACCATGCTTCCCTCTTTCTTTGGTTCTTTGAAAGCTTGAAATTTTATCCCACTTGTGGAAGCTTTCCAGGTCTGAATTATATGAATGCCTTCAGGATGGGTATATCCCAGATTTTATTATTTTTCTACCTATTTTTTACCCTCATTGCCTTTCTCAAATATTTCTTTTATAGTTTTATATGAATTTCTAATCGAATACAGCTAAATATAAGTAAACAGCTAAAATAAATTTGGGCTCCTTAGTAATTGTGCAATATATGGAGTATTATTTCTTTTCTTTTTCCCCATTACAGTGTTCTCTCCACAAACTTAAATTACTAACTCAACTAATGCTTCCCTGAGTATATATCCACATTCGCTAACTTGCTTATACTGTTACCTTTTATAATTTGTCACCTTTTTCAGAGTGCGATATGTCATTGAATTGCTCTTACTTTTCCCAGAGCCCCAAATGTTGCCAAATGGCCTAATAGTATTGTGAATCTAATGACCCTGTCTGTGCTTACCTTTCAATAAAAGATCTCCAAAAAATGAATTTATGCTCTAACTTTATTTTTTTCTATAAAATTCTGTCATTACCAGGATGGAATTCATGATGCCCTCACGACCTATAGAAGCACAAAACTGACCAACTGATTCCAGGCACATTTACCTGCCATCTCTTTCAAACACCTGCCATTGCTCCCCTTCCTTATTCCACTAATGACTTTTGAAAATAATAAACTATTTCTCCTGAACTCTCAATCTTTCTTTCACAGAATGCCAGAATGTTATGCCTTTATTTAGTTGGGTACTTGAAAGGAGTGCTGTTTGTGTAGAGCAGAAGTTTTTAATACAGTTACTCTCTTTTGCTAAATGGTTTGTTGATTATGCAGACAGAACAGTAACTGTATTAATTAATAGTAGATCATTTCAAAATACGCCAAAGAGATGCACTGTTCATTTTGGTTTATCCTTTAAAATAACGCAAATCTGAGTACTGGATTGGGAATGTTGGTTGTTTCTGCTGGCTGTCAGACATGATGTTGCCTGCAGAGGTACCCACTGTCTGAAACAAATAGTGAAATGTGCCTTCTCCTTTCTCCGTGTTTACTTACTGTCTTGCTTTTGCAACTTTCTGCAAGGAGAAAATGGGTAATACTTCCTCCCTGTGGTCTCTATCAGTCTTCCACACTGGTTTCATTAGCTTTCCACCACTCTCCCTATGAACAGAGATGTGTTTCTCTTCAGAGGGAATAGACTGGTGACTAATCCATGCAGAGCAACCTGGACTTTTGTGATTATGGTATTTCAGAGGTTAGGCTGCTAAATTATTTTATTTAGTGCACACACAACAACTATGTATTTGTTGATTTAGTGACAATATTGATAAGGAAAAAATATATTTGTTAAGAGTTCTCTTCATAAGTGTATGTACATACATGTACACGTATACTACATAGTCCTTTGATTATAAGTTATTTATAACCAAGTTTTTGCATTATTAAACAGTTTAGAAAGAAACCTCTAGAAGTATATTTATTTTACAGACAAATGGACTTTTTAACGTTAGGAACCACTGAAATGGCCTGATAGCCTGAGAAGCTACGTAAGATTCAATAGCCTCTTCTGGAATCTCGAATTCTAATCCTATAGCATTTACTTGAACATTAAAAAGGAAATGTGGAAGACTTTCTCTATCCTTCGGTTAAAAAAAAAATAACCAAAATCAGCTATCTTCCTTTCTTTTGGATTAAAAAAATAAACTACATAATTTTTATAGAGAATTATTGGTTGATGCCTTTTATTGTCACATTCTTTTTTAAATATAGTCCACATATTTCTATAAATAAAAAGAATTATTTTTTAAGTAAAAAGTTATCTCTCTGCATAAACACAGTGCACCAAAACAACTTAACATGACCTGCTACCTCTTTCTTACAAATGTTACAGCAAAGATGATTTGCCTCTGATGTGAACATTAATGTGCAATTATATGGGAAAAATAAGAGTAAAGCAATGGCAGTCCCAAGAGCTTTGGAAGCAGGTTTTATATATTCAGTGATGATCCTTGAGACTCAAAGGATTCAGAGTACAATCTGGCTAAGTATCAATAGTGTCAAATTTATGTAGGTCCCTGCCTTCCTCAAGCTTGTGTGATTCTTCTCCTTTCTTATTTCTGAATGAATATGTGGGTTACTTTGTTCCCACTGCCTACACTTTTTCTGCTCCCTAATCTACAACTCCTTCCTCATTCCTTCCCTTTTAAAAAATAACAAGAAGTCATGACTATCCTATTCTGCCATCCTGCTTGCAGGATTAATTAGTTTTGTATAATCTCTATGTAAAATCTCCTGTAAAATTTTTTTATTAGTTTTTGATCAAACCAGAAGTTGCCAGGCTTAAAAATTAATGACAAAGTGCAGGCTTCCTGGTTATGAATGTTTAAAGCATACGGGAAACATTTGGAATGAAGATGTTGACCTGCTTTCCTCTGTATTTGATTATAGCTATCTAATTATAAGCTTTCAAAGGCATCAAATTAGGTACCGTCTTCATTGCATTTAAAATAACTAAACTTTTTTTTCGTATTACTAAAACCATTTTTGAACAAAATTTTGAGTGATACATTGGGATGCTTAGAATCATTCTTAGCTCAAGTGAGAAACCATTCCTTTAACTTTTATAAATTATCTTTACCTCCTGTGTTTTGTAGTCTTCTGAGAATTTGGCTTATCCAAAAAGAGATTTTATGCCTTCCCAAATGAGAAGGAAACCTTTTGTCAGCATCTTGTCTGAGTTGCCTCCTTGGCTACACAGGTCATGGGAGGTCTGTGTTGAACATCAGTCTTTGGCTGTAGCACAAAACTAGTATTGAAGCACAGGCCAACTCCCAGAGCACAGGGGTTAAAGAGGCAATTAGTCACTGCAAAGCAGAGTTGTGGCTGTCTTCTGGTGAGGAAGTGCTTAACTCTTTCATGAATGATGCCTGAAATCTCATCTTCTGAGTGCTTTTATATTCCACTAAAATAATTTAGTCTTAGCCATTTTAAATTAAAAGTAAGCTTAAAATACATGCTCTGTTGAACTGAGACTTTCATATCAATACTTATAGCAGTTAAGATAAAGGGAACAGGCTGGGCAGAGAGATTATCATCAATTATATGTTTAATATTTCACCTAAATTTCACGGTATCCTTTTTAGCTATTTGGAGCCCTGACAAATCTCTTTACAATGTTTCTAGTTTTCACTATTAATGTTTTTGTGGTGGGCATCAGTTTCGAGTTGCAGAATTTTGCCTGACTCTTTTTCAGGACAAGAATGGTCTCTAAAGAATTACAATTCATTAACCTAGATTGTAGTTTTAAATGTTTTAGTATTTCTGCTTTTCTAGGGTCCTGAGCTTTTGTTTCCACATGGTAAATCCTTGTTACATGTAGGGTGACAAAGTCTTCTCTTCTGCTGTCTGTATTAAAATATGCCAGAACACCATAAAGATAGCACCAGTCTTAACTATATCAAAATTTTACAGTATCTGGATTCCATTAGAGTTACGGATTATGAATTGATGGAAACTCACAAACCTTAAAAGATGGAGGAGGTTTCTTAGCATTTCCTTATTCAAAGTAACTAACTACATGTGTTTCTACCGAAGAATGAATAAACTGGTGAATTAGGAAAGCTTGCCTTTAATTTTTTTTCTAGCGTTTCCTTTAGTCCTGAAATATTTTATTTACAGGACTAAAGGAAATGCTGACCTTCAGTTGATTTTTGATAGTTATAGAGATAGTAATATGACTTTGCTGCTCCTAGGTAGGAACATTAATATCAACTACAGTCACAAAAAATAAACAATATTTGATCCATCAAGGTTATAAGTATTATGTTCATCATTTTATAATAATGTGGCTTTTGATTATATCTTTTAGTATTTCTAAAACATAGTTTACACTCAATGAAACATTCTTGAATTAAGTGAATTAATTAATAAATAAAGCTTAGCATCTTTTTTCTGCTTCTTGCATATTCTGAGGAATGCTTAGAAAATGTTAACTTGTTATGTAAGGTTTAGTTAGTTATGGTAATGGATGGATCAATGGCTAAAATTAAAAAGCAAGACTTTTGGTTAAGTAGATCTGAAATATTAAAGCCAGAGCCAAGTTTATTGCAAGTTTGTTACTTCAATTTCTGTACCTGCCCCTCAGAAAAACATTTAATCGTCTTGTTTCTTAGTAGCTTAAAGAAAATGTGCATTTTAAAATATTGCAGGCTTTATTCTGTCTAAAATACATTTTTAAAGTATTCTAAGAAACACTCAAATTAAGTTTAAACATTTTACTATATAAATGAAGAAAAATGTATTTTCATAACAGCAGGTTTGTGATGGCCATTCCTAAATATATGAAAAATATTATTTTGTTGGTATATTACTTTTTCATTGCTAAATCCTGTTCTCCAATGAGAAAACCTATTTAATGTTAGACACTCAAGGAGAGAGTGGTCCAGAAAGAATCAGCAAATGACATCTGCTCTGCCTCCTTTTCCTTAAAGGACACCCTCTGTTGGCAAAGATGCAAACCCGTAGTACTTAAGTTTTAATAACATTTCAGTTTGTAGGCCACCTCTTGTGATGTGTCTCATTAAAACATAAATAACAAAACACTGCTTTTCTAATTTTGTAGCCTTCCATTACTTCTCAGTGTGACAAAATGGGCATCGGTTTGCTATTGTTTAAGTAGCAAGAGCTTAAATTAATCTCAGCCACACTAATCAGATATTGGCTTTCTAGAGAATAACATTTGGTAGTGAGAACTTAATGAGTGTCCGGAGATAATTGTTGTTAACTGGTGGAGTTGGTGATATTTTGCATGTCACTCCTAGTCTTTGCCCCTGTGGTATATTAAGAACGTGCTTTGAGCAAATGCTCTCGCATGTTAATTGCAAGTCAACCTTTAAAAAAGAATTTTTCTTGCGGTAAACATCTCTTCTATGAGCACATCTTTAGAAGTTTACATGAAAAATTGACTTAGGTGTATATTTGGTATTGTGTTGTCAATAGGATTGAATAGAAGAGCATTTACAAAAAAAGTATACTGTAAAATACAAAGTGGATTTAACATATCACCTTGATACCATCTGTCATGTTCCAGAAATAATCTTATATTTGTCATTTATGTATAGCTGTTTAACTTGAAGATTAAAAAAAAACTATTTCATGCCATTTCTGCAAGGTTAAGATGTCCTATTACTTAGAAAAAGTAACTATAAATATAAGACTCATAAATGAAATTGTATTCAAATGTATTAAGGGGAAGCATACTATTAATAGATACTTGATTACTTCTTGGCCTTTTGACTGAGATCAAGTGTATTAATAGATTCTCGAATTGACTCATCTTGTAAAAGTTTACTTGTAAATTTACCTCTTTTGTGCATAGAAATCTTTTATATTGTGCATTTTCTGAAAGCAGAGTAAACCTATAAATTATACCCATTCGTTTACTGCACTGGGATTGGATTATTCTTCAGTAAAACCTGATTTGGAGCTTTAGAAAAATCAATCAGATATCATTATTCTTTCTGTAAGATACCAAATTGTGTTTTGGTGACCTCTGCTATCATTTAAATGACCCACGTATGAATTAGTGGGGATGAGCTTCTGCAGCATGGAATTGGACTGTTTGCTCTCGTTACTCTCTTTAGATCTCGTAAACAATTTTTACTCCTTTCGTGTGGGGCCTGTGTGTGTGTGTGTGTGTGTGTGTGTGCGCGCGCGCGTGTGTGTGTGTGTTTGTGTGTGTG
The DNA here is from genome assembly GCF_000001405.40 of Homo sapiens. Lineage (NCBI taxonomy): Eukaryota > Metazoa > Chordata > Mammalia > Primates > Hominidae > Homo > Homo sapiens. The sequence goes on along the minus strand of NC_000005.10, from coordinate 108,025,693 downwards.
TGTGTGTGTGTGTATGTGTTGTAGCTACTTAAGCCCCTACCCACTTACCATCTATGTAACATAGGTTGGATTCTTGGCTTGTTTAGTTTCAAGAAATGATGAAAATGAGGTTCTATTTCTAAAACCCCAAATAGATCACTTTTATGATTTGTTTCAGGAGTTTTGAGGTTTGATCCACACGTTTATTCAACCTAAACATACCTAGCTCCCAGATGCACTTATTTGCCAATTACTTTACGACACTCTTCATAGTTCTTTGTTTTAGATCTGTGGGGTTGTTTTTGTCTTGTTGCATTTGTGTTTCACTTAAAGATATATCTATTATTCAAATATAAAAGTGACTTAGGAAAGAACATCCTAAAGTTTATTTAGAAATTCACCAAGCCACATACTAATGCATCTCTGCTGGGGACATTTCTTTTCACACCTCTGAGGTGATGGAGCCTGTCCTTTAAAGTGAGATTTGCAAACCAGTGTCTGGCAGCTCCAATTAGCTTCTTTAGGGTTTGAAGCACATCACAAACAGTAACAAGGTCTCCTAGGACACTCCTATTGCAAGCGATGTAGTCATATTTCCTCATTAGTTCTTTTCAATTGTCACTAATGCCATGTTCTAGCTTTTGAGTAGGAGACAAAAAAACATAAAAATTTGGTATGTATGTAGAATGGGCCATTGTTTTCCATAATTCAAGGCTCTTTTGAATTCCTTTGATAGTTTTGAAGCTTACACAGCTTAATTCATTAACCTTTACCCTTCACATAAATCATATGATTACGAATCTATTGCTAAGGAGACAGATTTTCCCTCCACTGAAAGTAAGTAATGCCTTCTCATCTTTGAAAAAAAATCCTATCTAGCTTACCAAAGTAACCTTTCTGTTGCTTTTCATATTTCATCAAATGTTTCAGGTGCATTTTAGAACATTATCAAAACCAAGTGAGCATAAAATTACATTATTATCAAAAATAACTCTGGATGCTTAGGATACTTTGGAGCAGGTTTTCTGGCCCTTTCTCTGTATTCCAAAAGAGTTTATATATATGTACTCAACAGCTGTTACTCAAGAATTTACAATGGTAGCAATGTCTTTTTTTTAATTCTCTTCAGACCCCTGCCAAAACATAAAAGCAGGAAAATAAACTGAGGGTAGGCAATTCAGAATAAATTAAAGTATATTTAAATGAACCGAAGACATTTGATTTGGATAACTTTTTCATATGGAGTTATCTTGTAGAGAATGATGATATAGGGCTCCAAAAAATGTACGTGATTGTTCTGTGATTCCCTGGAGGTAAGACTAGAATGTCTTTTGATTCTTTTATTCTCTCTTGTTAAGACAGATCTCTCCTTAGGGTTTAGTAATCTTAATTGTGCTTGACATTCATGAGCTACTTTAAAAGTATTTGATATTCCTCAGCATTTATCCACTATGCCATTTTCCCATGTTATGAATTTTTCTTAATTATCTTATACACGGATACTTTCTGTAAGGAGACAGTTCTTTTTCCAAATTTTATAACTCCTTATGTTGTCATACATGAAGTGGGAAATCTTTGAACCTACTGATCCATAGAGAATGGCCATGTGATATTCTGAGCTTTGCCTATAGGAGTGATGGGGACAAGGGGTTGGGGAAAAATAGGAATAACTTGAATTCTAGATTCTGAGTTTAGAGACTCATGGCTTGCTCCTACAGACCAAACTAATTCATGACTATGATTAATGAATGTTCTTCTATGTAGTATCTGTAAGAAAGGTGATGAAGAAGTAAACATTTTAAATGTGGTCTTTGGTTCTGTCACTCTCCTTCTCACTTCAAGATTATCACTTTGCACACATTTCTCTCTTTTATTGGTATCAGTTTATAAATGCCTCTTAACTTGCTGTACCTGTAGTCCATACTAAGATTTATGACTTTGTTTTTTGCATACATACTATACAGTGAGCTGGGAATTGCTCTGATTTTAATACACCAAAGGTTATGACTAGAGCCAAGATTCTTTGTGAAACAGTGGAATTATTTAAAGTAAGTATGTTCACAGACTTGTGTTATGTACTACTTGTAAGCATGTTATAGAATGGACTCTAAAAGTTTCAGGAGAAAAGGATAGTCACCACCCACAATCTCTCATCATGAACTGCTATCACCACATGCTGCCAGGGAAACGCGACATAGGTGGATTACGAGACTTTAGACACTAGCCGGGAACATGAGGTGGTGTTCCATTTCCACCAATTTGTAGTAATGGGATAATACAAACCACTTCCATTTTCAATTCTTGAAACAACAGCTACTTTATCTACCTATTTCAACCACTCAATTTTGTGTCTCAGTATATATGACGTTTATGTCCAAAATCACAGAATTTGGGGTTTCTCTTTTCAAATGTAAAATCCATAACAGATATAAAATTAATATTTTGCTACAAGTTTTCCAAGGAGTATGGTTTTGTCTCCATGAATTTTTACTTCAGGAATAATTTTATGTTGTACATGACTTTTAGCACACTGGCTGTGATCAAGGTAATTAAAAGTATTTGGAAAACCTTGTTTACCTGAACTTTCAAGAACAGCAGAAATGCTAGGTGATTCTTTATAAAAAGCAAATTGCTTTTCTCTTATATTTCTCCCTTTTTTATCTGAAAGACACTGCTCACTCTTAATCATGTGTTGTCTCTTGGCCACTGTATTGCCTCCTGAGTATGCTAAATGATTTTATAATACGTATTCATAATTGTCTACACCTCTTGAACTTTTCTCTGTGAATAGCGGGGAAACCTGATGCTCATGACCCTTTATCAGTTTTTAGGACAGTCTTTATCCAGTGATTGATCATCTTATTTTATATAAATGTTGGTTCTTGTTGCTTATGTACTAACATTTGACTTGGCTTGTACAGTGAAGTCAATTTGTGTCATTTGCTATTTGTAGTCATCTGTATGTCTTTAATGTTCATATGTGCTTATAGCATATTTAATGTAAAATCAAGTACAAGGAAGATAAATAGGATATTGCACTTGTTTAGAGCATAATCAAATATGAATCAGGCATTTTGAACTATTCAAATAGAGCATGAGAACAAACTGCAATTAATGATTTTTGGTGGCCACACAAAATATTGGATGTGTTAGTTTTTTTGGTAGGCAATGGAAGAGGACAGTGAGATATGTATATTTGATTTGACAGAAAGCCGTCAGATTATTTTTTAATGATTTAGGATATTATAGTCTAGGGCCTTTATTTGTACTCTTAGCGTGTAAAAATAGTTTTTACCATATAAAATGTTGTTATTGTTGGTAATGTTTCGTTTCTGTTTTTATTCTTTTTTAAATGAATTTATTTAAATATTATGTTATAACCAAATGACGTGGAATTAGGCTTTAAAATTTCCCTCACAACCTGTATCAATCATAATTGCATTGTGTTGCTGTTTTAAGTTTCCTGTTTTAGACATGGAAAAGTTTATCCATTTTTTTATAGATCTTTTTTGAATAGGGGAAGAAAAATAATGTTTATTCGGTTATTCTGAGGAAATTTGAAATGTTTATCATTCCATTAAAACAAAATTCCATAAAAAATTTTTAAAAAACATATATGTCTTCTCTATAACTAATTTAACCTTCAATAATGAATTATGTGAAGTAAAATTGTATAAAATTTCCTGACATTTTATGAAGATTCCTACAAATAAGCCAGACAGCAAATAAAATATAGGAAAGACAGAGATGGATACTGAGTAATTTTTTGATAGATTATGCACACAGGTATCAAATTACTTGATCCTTACTTCCTAGAAAAGGTTAATGACTCTTTTTGCTTTTACCCTTTTACTTAACTGTTATTTATAAAGATTAAAAGAGGGACTGCATTGAAGGGTGCATTTGCCTGTGTGTCTGTATGACTACACAAATTTTTCTGATATTATAGGAAACTGAGCCACAAAATGGATAATATTGTTAATCATTACTTTTAAAGTTCATTCGAATCTGTATACAACTTCCGCTAGGCCTATTAGAGCAGAGTGCACCATTAAAAAAAAATGAAACTTAAATGAAACCAGAAAAGACAGTCTTACATATCTGTATCTATATTGTTAAAATGGCCTAAACCTTTACAACAAATTACTTACAATATTAAGAATAAGATACTTTAAAGTAAAAGATTTTAAAGTTATGTGTGTATATTTTCTTTCATCTTTAATCTGTAAAATTATAGCTTTTTAGAATATATTTGATATTATGTTGAATAAAATTTTGCAAAAAATACTATTTCAGTGCTACCTAATTCCATCATTAATAATTGAACCATGAGCATATAACCATCTACCTATAATAACGATCTATCTATATTCTACAGTTCTATTATAATAAATTATTATTATATAAATAATATATATTCATTAAATAGCATATGTTTACTAGTCTTTTATTACCAAATGTAACATTACTCTTATGGGAATATTTCTTTTTAAGCTGTTTGGTTTTAAAAGATGCACTAGTCATAAATGTATTTAAATAAAGTCATTTAGGTATGACAGCACTTGACTTTAAAGCAGGGAATATAATACCTTTCCTGAAACACCATTAAAGAAGCTGTGGCATTCACCAAATACTGACCTCTTCCTATTATATTCAAACCCCTGCTAATTTAACTTGAAACGCATTAGTATAACCACTTTTTGTATGTTTCAGGTGTGTGGAGGTCATTGCAAAGGAAGGACAAAACCTGAAAGAGCTATATTTGGTGTCCTGTAAAATCACAGATTATGGTAGGTAATGAACCATTTTCCTAATCCTTTCTAAGAATAAAAAGTTACAAAATCATTGAAAGTTCTTAAAAAGAAATCAAGAACTATATCATAGAGACTGTCTATCGTCACTTATGCTCATTGTGACCATACCAAAAAATAAAAATAAAAAAATTATGAGCTAAGAACCAGAGTAAAATGAATATGCATATTACTTCATTGCCACATGCAATCACACACACATGCACACATGTATGTTTGCACACACACACTCACACAAAATTAAAAAGTATAGCTAAAAGAGGTATACAATGAAAATAAGTTTAACAATAAAATGTTGAGCATAATAAATATAACTAAGAAAATTATTACATTGAGTTTATTTGCTTAATGTAATATCATATCAAAGGCATATCTGCTGACATTCTAAATGCCAAACTTCTTAACACTTTAAATTCTGGAAAGCATTGGGAATGTCCATTTGTGGATATAGGAAGTAAAGGGTATACATTTATATGCAACATTTTAAATTATCTTACATTTCAATATTCTTTTAAAGTGGTGAAAAGCAAGTTGTTTTCTACAATTATGAAAAATATGAAGTCATATTGTCGCAGTAATAAAGAAAAATAACCTAGCCCTTCCTTTTTTGTTTAATTTTGTAAATTTTTTCTTAACCATTTGTGTATTTAATCTAATTACAGAGTTTTAAGCAGAAAATATATTAGGCTTTATAAGAGAATGAAATGGTTTTCGTTTATTTTCTCTGACTTTTTGATTTTTTCATTTAAATTTGAGAATATTCTTTCTACCTTGAGGGAAGTTAATAATCCATTAAGTTTTTATTGTTAGCTCTGACATATAATAATAAATGACTCCAGTCCTAGGATGTCACACTGACCATCTACCATGGATGGGAGAGTTGTCTTTTATTAGCTACTAAATTCATCTTTTTGAAAAATTTTACTAAACTCTACTGAAGCTATAATTTTAAAAATAATCTAATTTTTTTTTTACATTTAGAAACACACCTAATTTCAGTTTATCTTGGAGAATATGTCTTATAATGTTTCTGGGTTGTGAGTTTTTTCCTAATTTTGCCTTGTAAAAGTAGTGTTTTGATATATTTTTCTTTACTTACGTTGTTTGTTTTCTGGTTTGGCAATTAGATTGCTACTTAGACATGGTTATCTCTCTAAAACTTCTTATGTCTTGCATTGTCTAGACCCTAAAGAGTTCTCCCTGACCAACACACGGCATATTGAGAGAGAGAGAGAGAGTGTGTGTGTGTGTATGTGTGTATTATATATGTATATTGTATATATACCCATGTAGATTTGTTAATTAACTAATACTTTGATTTGTTCATTTGAAACTTGTCATTACCTGCTCTTCCAGTCTTTTTGTATATTTCCCCCTTTTTCACTGCCAATTGTCAGGTAGCTAATAGCCAGGAGTTATGGATAGTAAATCCCTTATAATGAACTCTTCTGAGATTCTGCAGTGTAAAATGTTGTTAAAGTCACACTTTATCCTGAAGGCATAGAGATACTTCATGTCATAACAAAGGCAGTGCCCAGCACCTACTATTAAGTTATCAAGTACAAAAAGAAATGTTCCAGAAGATAATTGAGAAGGTAAAAAGCTCTGGAGTTGAGACAGATCTGGGATCAAGTTCTGTCTTTGTTCTTTGACCTTAGGGAAGTTCCTTCACATATAGGACACTCCATTTCCTCAGTTGTAAAATGGGGAATTAATGTCTGACTTCATGCTTCTGTATGTATCTGGTACCTAACCTCGTGAGTAGCACAGTGTACACTGCTAGTAAGTGTTGTTTTTCTACAGGAGTGGGATAAAAACAAGATTCACTTAGAATTTTTCTGCCACCTTTCCTTTCCTAAGTCTTAGAAGAGGTTTATGTTAAAACCTTACCAATATGGTTTACATTTATTTGTGTCTCTGAATTATTTTAGTTCAGTGTTTCTCAACCCTGTCTGCACATTAGACTGTCTGAAGAGTTTCTAAAACATATTGACGTATAAGCCTCACCTAAAACTAGTCAAATTAGAATTTCTATGAAATGGGGCCCAACCAGTCATTTTGTAAAACTTGCCTAAATGAAGATAATGTCAGGCAAAGTTGACAACTGATCTTGTCCATTTGAGCGGAATCGGAAGTGAAAATTTTGTGGACTTTCCTCTCCGTGGTGATAAGAAATTGATCATGATTTTTCTTGCACCTCAGTCCCTCCAGCTCTCAAGCTCTCTGCCCCATCTTACCTTCCTTCTTCATTAGGATTTCAGGTATTCAAAAGGTTCATGGTGAAAGTTTTTGCATCTGTTGATTCTGTTCTCCAAAATGTTGGCGCACAATTGAGGAAGAGAGGGAAATGTTGATAGGTTATGAGATCGTACTACAATAGCTATTTGATTATAAAATTAAACATATTACTGAAAGCTCATCTCATCTTTTCACCCACTACAATGCCAATGCTATATGAGTAATTTTTGTCAAAGAGGCAGCAAAAAGATTATTCATTGTAACCAGAGAAACAGCATGTTATTAAAGGTAACTGCACTGCTGGAGAGACTGTGTCCCCCCTACCCTATTATTACAAATTCTAAGAACAAAAAGCAGATGCCCTTTTCCTTCTTTGACTGGACGAGTAGAAACATATTCTATAGGACTTTTTGATTATTGAAGCTACTTAGAAATTGTAAAATTTGATGTACATCTGATACAGCGGGAAATTCATCCTTTAAGAGACTACCCCATGATTCTGCTTCCTATTGCTTTACTCGTATTCAAGCTGGTGAGTCTGTTTTTGGCCTCCTCTTTCTATGGTGGTGGGTATGTACATTCTTTTAGTACAGTATACTGAGATTTTTTATTTTTTTTTACAGGCTTCATTGATTCAGGAACAGCTCCTCACCTGGCATATCATTTGTAATTTTTGTCAAGATTCTCACAGGTGTTAAATGTAGTATTATAGTACTTGGTAACACCTGGCCAGGCTGTTACAGAGTTATGTTTATTTTAATTGATATATGATATAGTTGTCATAAAGAAAACGATCATGCTAATAGGCTTCTTACTCCCCAAACTGAACATAGATATTTATGGTAAAGGGTAGCAACTATAAACAAATCAATAATTCAGACACAGCTAAATAGAAAATACAGTCTTGGGAAATTGCTCCCTAAAGAGAAATATAATATTGTCATTCCTTTATCACTGAACAAATGTATGTCATTGGCAGTGTTGTGGAAAAAAAATCAAACTTAGGTGTCAGAGAGTTCGGTTAAAATTCCAGCTTTGCCACTTATTTTCTTTGTGACCTAAAGCAAGTTACTTAACTTCCTAGTTTTGCCATCTGTTAATCCACGTGATGATACATGCCACATACGTTAGTGAAAATCAATATAAAACACTTGTGGAGTGCCTGGTGGCATAGTCGACACTCACTAATTGGCAGTTCTTGTCATACAGAATCTTCTTTCTCTTTCCCTCTGAAGAAGAATTAGCCTTCTCCTCTTCCAAATGTGACTTTTCTGTTTGTGGAAATCATTATTTAGAAATTTGACCTACATTAGTCTATACCTGCCTACTTGATCTCCAGAGCTAAGCTAGCTAAACAAGATTATTAGTAGGCAATAGAAAAAGATACAGCAAAAAGTCTAAAACCTTTCATTTGCCTTCTTGTCGTAGATTTCTCACCTATCTCTCCTTTGTGCTACTTTCATTTTATGTGGATAATTTTCTCATTGCTCCCCTTGTGCTTTTCTTTGTTCCTGGAACAATTTGTCAGCAAATACTTCCCAACCTACTTTTTTGCTCAATTTTCTTTTGAAAATTTACTTCCTTCAAGGCCAGGCATAGTGGCTCATCCCTGTAATCCCAGCACTTTGGGAGGCCGAGGTAGGTGGATCACCTGAGGTCAGGAGTTTGAGACCGGCCTGACCAACATGGTAAAACCCCGTCTCTACTAAAAATACAAAATTAGCTGAGCGTGGTGACGCATGCCTGTAATCCCAGCTACTCGAGAGGCTGAGGCAGGAAAATTGCTTGAACCTGAGAGGCAGAGGTAGCAGTGAGCTGAGATCATGCCATTGCCCTCCAGCCTGGGCGACAAAAGCGAAACTCTGTCTCAAAAAAAAAAGAAAGAAAGAAAGAAAGAAAAAAAGATAATTTACTTCCTTCAGGAAAGTGTGTCCTTGGGATTAAGAAGAAGACAAGAAGGTGAAATCAACCTGTGTCACTCAGGCCTGTGGAGGAAGTGGTATTTCTCTTGGGCCGCACAGCACTTCATATGGTGTACTGAACGGGATGGATGAATAAAGCGCTTATCTCCATTAGTGTCTCCACAGTGAATATTACCATTGTGAACCTTGTGTCAGGGGGCAGTTGTAAAATGACCCAGGTTTCTTTCTGAGTTGTCACATTCTTTTTTCACTTTAGCACTCCTGTGGGCCCTAGAAATACACTCTAGAGATATTTTTTTGTTTCCATTTTAAAGTAGTAAAATAATCTTTAATTAAAGAGGACTGGAAACACTCAAATACTGACACTGTTGTTTGGGGGCATACAGGTTGCTGACAACCCACAGGCTCACTCAGTACCACTCCACATCCTTCTGTGTGGTTTCCACAGACCCGTGGACTGCTCTCCTGAGGCTGTCTTTGGCTGCCCTGTATTCTTGATCGCAGTACTGATCTGGGACTTTTTAACATAACCATGTGGCTTGACAAAACTTTTGAATTGCTCTGGGCAAAAGGTCTTCCAAGTCAAGGAGGTCACTTTGTCCATGATTATGATTGGAGATGTCATTTTAGTTGGGCTGCCATATGTCAGACATGATAAAAAAATTTCATTCTGTCAAACATAATATTCTGTCAAAAAATATTGAGTCAGCACCCACCGTGTGCTGGGCCATGTACTACATACAGATGTTTAGTTTCTGCATTCCTAAAGGGATAATGCTGGTAGGATCCAGAGGACAGGCTAGCCTGCTTATTAAAAAAAATGCATCTTGTTTTCCAGACAAGAATAGCAGGGAGTGGCCTGGTGACATTATTCATCGTTTTGGTGTAACCCACACCTCACCCCAGCCTTGTTGACCTTCTGATACTATTGGAAGATTAAAAGGTTATACCTTCCCTACCTCTCCTTGGGATACCAACCCTTTTAAGCTGTTAGTTAACCCAAATTAGGATCTGGGATACATCATCAAAGTAAATACACTCATGAAACAAAAGAAACCCCAACAAGCATTCTGGGTTACCCCGGTATCCCTTTTGTTGCCAGACTAGCACTGATAAATTATTCAAGAAAAAAATTTCTATGCCCAAAATAATTTTGCTCTTTATTATGTTATTTTATGTTTTATGTTATTAGGCATGCATTACATGTAATGATCTCCCATTTTAAATGAAATTCCTGTTTTTTTCATTTTATATTTTGTTTCATTTTTAAATAGTATTTTAAACTGCTCCAAGATTGCTAGGTAAGATTCCACTCCTTTTGTCAGCAGGAATAACTCTAATAGTTGTAAGGTGATAGAGAAGAATGTTAGAAAAGACATTTGTAAATCAAAAAGAATGTCCTAATGTTTACTGTTGATTATTCACACTTTTTTTTCCATTCTATTATTTAAATATAGGTAACTTTTATTGTTTCTAACAAAATAGTACTAAATTGCTAAATCTATGCTTGCAAATTTCCCTTGTTTTTATGTTCATCTTAAAAGTTATTTCTCTCCATTTCTAAATTTTCTTTTATTCCTGGAGTTCCCCTTTACCAGATTTATATTCCTACTGTTACATTTAGCAGGTGTTATGTTCTTTTTCTTAGTAATGTGATATGGTTTGGCTGTGTCTCCACCCAAATCTCATCTTGAATTGTAGCTCCCATAATTTCCATGTGTTGTGGGAGAGACCCAATGGGAGATAGTTGAATCATAATGGCAGTTTCCCCTATACTGTTGTGGCGGTAGTGAATAAGTCTCACGAGATCTGATGGTTTTATAAGAGGTTTCCCCTGTTCATTTGGCTCTCATTCTCTCTTGCCTGCTGACATGTAAGATGTGACTTTTGCCTTCCACCATGATTGTGAGGCTTCCCCAGTCACATGGAACTGTGAGTCCATTAAAGCTCTTTTTCTTTATAAATTACCTAGTATGGGGTATGTCTTTATCAGCAGCATGAAAGCGGACTAGTATATAATGGAAATGATTTTTCACCCAAAATTTGGTATTTAATTATTAATCTTTTCTCCTTTCTCCTTTGCTCTACAGCAAAGAAATTGTTGACATTCTTTCCTATTGCCTAGGTCATCCCAAGACTGCAGCTAAGTAACCTTGAAATAAAAGACTGAGCAGTGACAACTCTTATCACTGTGTCTTGCTAGAATAGACTACAAATGTCAAATCTATTGAGAGGGACTTCTTAAAACGTTCATCCAAGAAAATACCACCACAACCAATTCAAAGATTAACTCTAGCTTCACATTTAGTCGTTTTTTTAAATTAAGAAACATTCTAGCCTTCATTTAAAAGACAAATGAACCTGTTTTTGCGTGCTTACCCCTTAACTTTCTTACCCTTTGAAGTACATGTATGTTGTTCCAAATTAGTTTTTAAGCTAAATAATAAATTTACATATTTAACCATTAACTGAAATATTAACTTTTTATCTTTTCTTTCCTCAATTCCTGTTAGCATTTCTGAAATATATTGTCCAATTTTTAACTAGCTATTTTTAACATTAGTCTTTGAAACAGTCTTCTATAGGTATAGGAAATTAGTCCCAAATCATATAAAGCATCATTTTTCACAGAGTTCCTATCTTTAACCCTCACTGCATAGTACTCTTGGATATACAGACTAAGCATTGTTTTCCAAGTACTATCTAAAGGTATATATATAGAATTATTATTGACGATTATCAGTATTATATCACTGATGGATAGTTCTAAATGGAGCTGGAATGAATACCAAGATAATTGCAATAATGCTAGACTTCCAGTATGCCAAACAAGAAATGACTTCCTAATGTTTAAAACTTCTTGAAAATAGATATCTTGAGTGGTAGTGAGTTCTCTATTACGAGAACTATTCAAGCAGAGATAATATCTGAGGGAGGATGTGGAAAGATGAAAGCATTGGGTAGGAAATCAGCCTATATGATCTCTAAATTCCATTCTAATCCTGGGGTTCATTCTAGACTGGTTTTTTATTTTTGTTTCATTCAGCAAATGTTTACTCTGTGTGTGCATGCTACTGGCAGGGTGCTGTGGAAAATACAGAGATGGATGGGAAGTACTCTTGTGTTGAGAAAGAAGACGGAAACCATGTAAAATTTTCTGCCTATGACATGTTGGGGCTCAAGAGAGGACAGAATCATCATAGACTGCAATATTTGGGGAAGGATTTGTGGAAGAGGAGACATGGGAGAACAGAGAGGAGAAGGAAGGGCATTTGAGGTAGAACAACCCTTGGAAAGGCTCAGAGCAAGAACAGGTGTCTGAATGGATGCTTTTGTATGCGTTGGTTATTCTGAAGAAAGAATAGAAATCATCCAAAGTGATTACATGCAAACACGGACAAATTTTTGAAGAAACCTTATGAAAATATTCTAGTTGAAAATTCAGGGTAAGTTCCAATTTTTGTTGTGACTTTTCCTGTCTTATTCAGCATTCCCATGGTAACAACTTCCATTAACATATATTATGTAAAAGGAAATATTACTTTGGGTTATCACTACTAATCAAGTATCCAGTTAAATTAGAAATAAGTGAAATAACAAACTTTCGTAACAATAATAATAAAGATAAAATAGATAAAATGTATTGGATGTTTTCTGTGGGCATTATTCATTTAATTTTATTAATATTCCACTTTAGATAGGTACTTTTTTTTTTTTTTTTTTTTTTTTGAGACGGAGTTTCGCTCTTGTTACCCAGACTGGAATGCAATGGTGCGATCTTGGCTGACGCAACCTCCGCCTCCCAGGTTCAAGCGATTCTCCTGCTTCAGCCTCCCTAGTAGCTGGGATTACAGGCATGTGCCACCACGCCCGGCTAATTTTGTATTTTTAGTAGAGACAGGGTTTCTCCATGTTGGTCAGGCTGGTCTTGAACTCTCAACATCAGGTGATCCGCCTGCCTTGGCCTCCCAAAGTGCTGGGATTACAGGCATGAGCCACCACACCCAGCCAGCTAGGTACTATTATTATTCAAGTTGTAGACATGGAAACTGAGACCTGGATAGCTTCAGGTTTACATAATTTGTGCGTAACACTATAGTATGCATTCAGTATTAAGTCAGTGTCTTGCATAATCACTCAGAGGTCAGAGAAGTGTTGTATTTATTATTAGCAACACTTTTTTTTCCAGTAGGATTTTTCCAGATGTCAGAGCCTTAAAAATATAACTAAATCCAGACAGCCATATTTGTTAATCTGCATATGAAAAAACAATGTCATAAAGCGCTACCCCATGAGATCTAATTATATTCTTCTAGAACTTAATAGGTTTAATTTACTTATTCACTATAACTTTGCCATGCTGATACCAAATGTAAGTTGCATGCCATGATTAAGTGTTCTGTAGCTGAAAGGGGGAGATTGTTATTGATATTCAGTATGTATTAATATATTCAACAAATATTTTCTTAAAATGATTTCAAAAGTGTATATATTTCTTCATGAGTTAAATTTTTTCTGAATCCTCTTTTAAAATTATTATAACTAACTTATGAAAGAAGTAGTATTACCTATTTTCAATAGATGAGGAAGCTGAGGCCTGACAGGTTTTAGTTAATTTGCAAAACAAAAACTAAAATTTCCCCATTGCAGATGACTTCTCAAATTTCTCTGCTTTTCATATAAGAATTATTTCTTTATTTAAGTAGTAATTTTAAAGCAATTTAAGACAACATTCAATGAGATACTTTCATAGTAGCTTTAAAGTGCAGATATTTCTAGAGATACATAATTTTACTATTCCTAGAAATGTAAGCAATTGCTTTCTTGAATTCCTTTCTTAACCCTACACTCAGAAGTTCTCAGGCCTCAGTGTCATCATTCACCCTCAGTTGCCTGTTAACTTTTTGTTTGTTTGTTTTTGAGATAGAGTCTCACTCTGTTGCCCAGGCTAGAGTGCAGTGGCGAGATCTTAACTCACTGCGACCTCCACCTCCCAGGTTCCAGTGATTCTCCTGCCTCAGCCTCCCCAGTAGCTGGGATTACAGGCACGTACCACCATGACCGGCTAATTTTATTTTATTTTATTTTATTTTTGTATTTTTAGTAGAGACAGGGTTTCACAATGTTGGCCAGGCTGGTCTCGAACTTCTGACCTCAAGTGACCTGTACGCCTTGGCCTCCCGAAGTGCTGGAATTACAGGCATGAGCCACTGCACCCAGCCCCATTAACTTTCTTCTCCTGAGAGAGCCTCTCCAAGAATGTTCTCTGAGAAGTAAAAAATCAAATCCCTCTTCAGTGTGGCTTTGTGTTCTACCTACTTTGTTCTCTTTAGCTTTAGTGTTCCTTATTTTCCGAGATACAATGAAAAGTAGGAGCAAAAAGGGAGAAAAAGCCCAAGAGCTGCATCCCTTTCTTCTAAAGTATCAAACCATATGTCTTCTATTCCCAAGTGCTGTCTTATGGTTTTACCTGCTCTTCAAGATAATTTTGTCCTCACCAGCTGATGTTGGACTAGATCTACTTCGCTACTTACTAATTAGCCTACTAATGTTAGACACATAACACATGATTTATTTTGAAGAAAAACAAAACAAACATGTCCCAACTTTCCTATTTAGAAAGTGAGAGTAACACTCAAAACACAATATAAATTTAACATTAAAATAATTCATTATATTGTATGTTTATCACAGATTAGAGTCACATTCTTGTATCCACTAACATAGGCATAGTTAAGCCTCTCCAGAAGGTCTTTCCCTTTTCATCTCCTAGCTGGACTTTAGATAAATATCAGCTTTCCAGTTTACCTGAGTTCAATTTATTTAGGAAAGGCAGGAATGGTATGTAATTGTTTTCCTTTATTTTCCAGTTTTTAAAATATGCAGTGGTTTTGCATCATCCCATAAAGGTGATCAGTGAAGAACTATTGTTTAATTATCATTTTAAACTCAGTGATCCATTGCAATTTTTTTTTATTGATGCTCAAATTGCCCTATTTTTGATAGTGGAAGCTTCTTCATTTGATTCCTGTTTTCTTTTGACATGGACTCGTTATGTCAAGATACACCAGGCTCTTCTTATGCACGTTATGGTAGAGACATGGGATAATCCATTTTTCTAAAGAACCGTGCTTCCTTTGATTGAATTTTTCTAAGTCTGTGCTACATCCCGAATCTTACATCACTGTGTTTTTCTGTCTTTTATTCCTCCAGCTTAAAACCTATTATATTCGTCATCACAGGTCCAGCCTTCTCATTACAACTCAGCAAAGTCAGCCCCTCCACACAGGTTTTAAAGCATCCTCATTCAAGGACTAAAAGCTTGTAGTTTCTTGTACCCAATACTCACTTAATCCCCAGACACATTTTCTACTTTTGGAGAAGTTAGAGGTGGGACTTGGGAAGAAGTAATTTTACATTTTAGCTAGTCCATCAACTTGCTGGGTATTACCTTCTGATTTTGTTTGTCTCAAATATTCTGCATTTGTTTTAAGTATTGAAAATGGACCTCTTGGACCCAGCCATTTGGAAATAAATAGAAAAGTGTTCAAAACTGTATGGTATTACATTCATGGGCTTTCAAACTTCTTTGTCCTGCAGTGAGAAATCCATTTTGCATTTGAAGTGCTTGTTGGACTCTCAGTAGATTAATTTTGTCACTTAACACAATGACCAGAAGTTTGAAAAATACTGGTCTAGTTCAACTTCTCTCTCAATATATAAGTAAGAACTGGATCTGTCAGTGAATGACCTGCTAGAGGGTAGAAAACCGGTAGATTTCCTCGGTACAAAATGGACACTATTCTCGAGGTAGAAGGTGCCAGCCTTCCCAAGCTCATCAGATCCCACACGTTGATCTTATTAGCTATAAAATCAGGGGTTAATATTCTTTCCATCTCATATTTTTTGGAGGCAAAGAACCAGACAGATTGATGATTTCACTGTAGGATAGATATTAAATGGAACTTTCTCCTTAGGCAAAAAGACCGTTTTGTTCATCTAATTTCCTAATTAAGTAAATCAAACTTACTTTTAACTTAAATATTAAGCTGTTAATTTTCACCCTTATCCTAAAACATTCCCTTGGGCTTGTAAAGACTCAGTCACCTAGAATTTATCTGTCAAATGTGTTTCTTTCCTTGGGTTTATCTGCATGACATTAAATAAATACTTTGAACTTTTCAACTTTTCAAACAATTGTGTTGAGTCGACATGGCTGATCCAGCCTCCGTGCCTCTGTGCTCTGTGTATGCCAAGTGACTGAAAGTGACTTGGCTTTCATTGAAAATGACTGAGTGAGGGCAGAGAAAAGATTTTAAAAAACTAAAAATTAGGAATAAACAAAGAAAATTCAGTTCATCTTCAGGAAGTTATGGTACTTTTCTATTCACCATATATATATATGAAAAACAAAAGCAAAACTATATGTGTATGTATATATGTATATATATATATATATATATATATATATATATATATATAAAACAGGGAACAACTCACGACCAAGCTGTATATATATATATATATATATATATATATATATATATATGCTTTTCAAATGAACTATGTTCATACTGATATAATATACATTTTGCCTGCCAAAATGCTTTCATATGGCAAATAATTCTTAGAAGCAGAGAAAAAAAATTGTGTGGAAAACTAGCTATGTACTGTTTGATGATTGATACTTGTGTATTTTTAATCATCTCTATTTCTTTCTTAGGTTAAATTTCCCTTTTTTTTCTTCCTACTTACTATCTCTTTCCTCACATATGGCTCTAGGAGCCTCTCCAAGAAAGCAGTTTGCTTTGAAGATATTTTATTTCCGCTCATAAAGGATTCTTCTGTTCTACTATTAGAAATAAAATCACAATAAAATCCTAATAGGATCCAATCCCTTCCTTGCCCTTTGTATGTTTGGAAATCTCTCCGAAGTCAGCCTTATGAAGTCAGATTTGGAGGTTTGAAGTCCAGAGATGTGTCTCTGGTGTTCTGAGGAGCAGGCACTTGTATAGGGAGCAACTCACAACCAAGCTGCGCGCATCCAGAATGATATTTTCTGAATATGCTAGAAGATGGTATATTTGAAACTTTAAATTATTTCTATCTTATAGTAACCAATTAACTTTTAATGAATAATACATATTATTACACACATTTATATTATAGTAGCATACCTATATATGTGCATCAATAATAAATAAGATTTAAGCTGCCAATGTTGAACAGCAATAAGGAACTTAAAATTTCTGCCCTACAAAATAAATGAAGAGTTTGAAATTTAATCAGTCCTATTTTATGTTGAGGCAAATGTACTTCAGCTTTTTTCTGAGAATCATCCCTTCTGCTCTGGTTTACATAAGAAATTGGTTGAAATCCTCTAAAGCATTCGTTTTCAACTTTGCCATTATAACACACCTTGCATTCAAGGTTTGCAAATGATTAACTTTCAAAAAAATTATAAATTGGAACAGATTAAGTGATATCTTCTTTTCACTCTCTTGGACCCTGACAAAATTTTAAGCGCTAGAAACAGGGATGAGGGTATCAAGCATGTTGATATTTGCACATGATTTCTGGTTTCTTTGTTGTCACAGCTTTTGATGCTTGTACTTACCAGTGTACGATTTATTAGTTATTTACATTCCTGTGAAGTGTATTATTGTTATAAAGTCTAGTCCCTTATTCCCCTAATGCATATTCCCCCCACATTTCTGTCACGTTCTTTTATTTCCACAATATTTTGGGGCTACAGAAAATTCAGGGAATGCGCATGAATATGTGCCGCACATGTAAACATTATCCATCACATTCATCATTCGGTGGAGGAACATGCTGATTCTAGAGCTGGAGGAGGTCCTTGAGGACAAATAGGACACCAAACAGCACAAACCTGATGACGCTCTCACATACTCTACATTATGTGGAAAGGTACAGCCTTTCTATCGTTATGCTGTCTTTTGCATGAAGTTCATGCTTCATCTTCGTTCCTAGACTTCATTTGAAATCTACGCTCTCAGATTTATGAAAAAATATACTTTTTAAATATTGTTCATAAGTGTGGTCTTGATATTTAGTAGCCTACATACCGTATACTCGGCATTTAACTTAGAAACCTACTATAATTTCCCAAGTTTTTCTGGTAATGGGAAGGTCCTTTAAGACATTTTTTACGTGCAGTGGGCTCTACAAATATTTACTTTTTTTTTTCACCTTTAAGAAACTGGTTGAAAATTGTAGAATTAGACTTTGAAGCTGTGTAGTGTATTTTTGGACTATTACATTTCTATCTAAATCTACAACCTGCTAGGAAAGATCGGATCCCTTCCAGCTTGTGATTGTAATATATGATTTGTGTGGACTCTAGTCTGTCTCACAAATGCGTTTAGTATTTTCTGAACTGAGCTTCTGTTGTGTGCCAGGCAGGTTTCTAACTGTGCGTGTTCAGTCCACTGATTGACTGACTGAGAGCCAAGTTATTCTCACTAACACATACTCAATTCCCAACTACTACAGAAAAGATGGACTCCAGGGCCTAAATTGGACCCTCACTAACAAAGCTTGCTTTCTGCCAGTAGTCATACTTAAACAGTGAATGAAAATTCAGTGACCTATATTCTTCCATTTAAAACCTTAAAATTTTAAATTAAAACTTTGTCAACAGTAATTTTAACCATACTGAGGCAAAAAGAGCGTTCCCTGCAATCTGGCAGCACTAAATATAATTCATAACTATCAAAAATCCGTTTTCTCTGCATAACTTTTAAGAACGCTCCTGATGTCTTCAAAATTCCATGCAATTTTCTTTAAAAGTTGGTTTGGAATGCCACTGTGCATCTTGAAGCCCACATACAGTGAGTTAAATTACAGCAATAGCATATTTCTCAACCACCATATAGTTGCAAATCCTTTATCCTGAAGTACATAGTAAAGGATTTTCTCCTTGAACAGTGAAGAAAGTTGAACTTTGGGGTTGTTTCAATTTAACACATGATGTGCTGCTGCACACTTAAAGCTGCGTTTTGACTTTCCTACTTTTTCTTCTTTATTCATACCTGCTTCCCATAAAAAGAGCTAAGTATGTAATACTGATTATAAAACTGGATCCACATTATCACTGTTTTCAAAGCATCATATCCCTGCACTGGCTAATGTAAGTACTTCCTTTTCAGTAGGTTAATCTAAATGCAGAATAGAAGGCTGTTTATTCTCACAATCATTTCTATCACTTCGTCATAACCACTACTGTTCTTCCCTGTGTAAATGGCATCACTATTCACCTTTTTACTTGGCCAAAACTTTGATCTCCCTGATGCTTCACTTTCTTTCTACCTTTCATCACATCCATTTGCAAGCCCGGTCAACTCTATCCTCAAAATATATTTAAGTAGAGCCAAATCCACTGATAACTGTGGTAACCACTTAACTGTATCCGCTATTTGTCTTCTTCCTATCTTATAATCTATTTATCACAGAGTGGCTTCAATGAACATTCTACAATTTTTTGAATGAATTAAAATGTTATTTAAATTAATTTTTTTATGACTTTAGCAATATGGTGTTTATCCTGGGTTACATATAGACCTAAAACCAAAAGAAACATTAAAATTTAAACATTCCGGTGCCTCGCCTCCCATTTAGTTTAGATTCAAATAAATATTTAGACATTTAGCCACCATAGGCCACCCTTGGCACAGTGTGCTCAGCAAGACAAGAGCCTTAGCTTGCCAGAGGGCAGTGTCAGGCGGTCAGCTTCTGTAGGAGACCTTGTGGTAGTCCCACGTCACGGTTCACCCAGCAGTCAGGAGGCTCTTCTTTCACCCACCAGATGAAGGCTCAAGTATAAGGAGGTAAGATCCACATAACATAGATACAGGCATTACCCTGGCTTAGAAGCTTCAAGCCCCCACCACCTAATATGTCTTGGAACAGTCAACAGGCATAGCTTCTAGAATTGCCACACGTTATAAGTCCAGTTATATCAATGATTGCATTCAGGTAATCGAAAGCAATGGTGTCCCTATCAGGTATTTATAGTTCTCTCAAACCAGACAGATGCTATTTATCAATCAGGGATCATTGTTACAATAAGCAATAATAGTTGCTTATAATAACATGGTTAAAATACCATTTTAGAATTGCCAGAGAACAGATCTGGGAAGTTAACCAAAGGTCAGATTTTCATGGGAAAGGTTTCTTAGCTCTTACCCACTGTAGGAATTTTTAAATCAGCTTCAGATTTGACTTTAAATGTAAAAACGATTCTATATGTATTAGAGGGCAGATATTTAACCACCATCCATACCACATTTTTTATTTCCTCTGCCCAGCATGCTTTTTAAGAGAACATTTATTATACTCCTAAAATTGAGACAGAGGAGGTAGGGCATATGAAAGGATGACAGTGCTGTTTCTGAAATCCTCCCCTCCAGCCTCTGGACCAGCCAGTCCTGGCCTCACCTGGGACTCTGATACTTTACGTATCGTCCAGACATAGCCACAGGAATAAGTACCATTAGATTCCTATTTTATTTTTGCATGAGGGAGAAAAACCTAGCTAATACGAGGCAGCAAAATCACCCAGAATCTTGCTTGTGCCTATTCAGTCTGGTCTCCAAATGACAGAGCAAAACAGAAAAAAAAAAAAAAAGTCATTGAAAATTTGACACTCTAGCAATTTGCTTTGCTACTATTGGGAACACTGGGAGACAGGCACCCAGTATCCCCTAACCAGCGTAGAGTGTTCTTGGCAAAAATTTGTCAGTTTTGCAAACATCTTTTAAAACAAGTATTTCTATTATCTAATTTCTTAGGGTTGGGGAAATGAGGAATCAGAATGGAAGCTTCCTAGCTAATATGAATTTTTGTGGGAAAATATTGCAAGAATGTATTATATAATACGCTACGAATTCTGTCTAGAAGTATTTCCCACTAGTTTGATTATTGGTTCCGAGATTATGAAGAAGTTTCAGTGGCATCCTATAGAATTTGGCTAAAAATTTTTCAAGCTTCAGAGCTATAGGAGCTGTGAGAAAATGCTGATTCCTCTGAAGCCTCCATTTTCATTCAGAAGAAAACTGAGGCCTGGTTTTTCCCAGCTCTAGAACCAGAACTAAGCTGTCCTCGATCCCAGGCTGGAGTACTTTCCCTCCCATTGCTTAACTATGGCACTTTTTCCTCCTCTTTGCCCAGGAACTTTTCTGTGAGACAACCAGACATACCTTTACTCAGTAGTATTGCAAAGGGGGTAGAAAATATGAGTATTTTCCAATTAAATCATGTTATATGATAGTGGAATATTATTTTATTTCTATCATGTAATGATTTTAGAAATATTTTTATTAATTTCTTGCATAAGCTTTTTCAAATAAGATACAATTTCTTACCTACTTATTTAGAATAAGTAGGATTACATTATTACTTTTTATTAAAAAATGGGGAAAATAGTGTTCGTTAACTGAAATGTATGAGGCTTTCACACACAAATGTCTGTTAAAATATCAAAACATAAGTTTACCCAGGTTCTTGAATAATATTTAATTGGGTATACAATTTAGGAATTAAATTTTTTGTGTGTATTTTGAAGATATTATCCCACTGTCTTCTGGCTTGCATTATGTTGAAAGAGCTGCCAATCATTATTCCTTTGTTAGTAATTGTCTTTTTTCTTTGCTTGCAATATCTTCTTTTTACTTTTAATGTTGCGCAGCTTTTCTGTTATATCTCTTCCTATGTGTTTCTTTTTATTTATCACGTTCAGAATTTATAGATCTTCCTCAACCCAAGGACTCAGTTCTTTAATTAGTTTGGGGAAAGTTTCAAACCTTATTTTCTCAAACATTGCCTTTTTCCCATTATCTCTATTCTGGACATTTAGCCATATATATTAGACCTTCTCATGCTATATTTTTAATCTATTAATCTCTCTTTTATTTTATCCATCCCTATGCTATAATGTATGTTATTTTCACATCTGCTTACGATTTGCTGATTTTTCCATCAGCCCTGTCCAATTTTCTCTGTAAGCTATCTGTTGGATTTTTAATTTCAGTGATCATCTTTGTACTTTCTGGAAATTATGATTCTTTTTCATAAATCTGCTTTGTCTTTTTTATAGTAACATGTTACTTGCTCATGTTTTCAGTTCTCTTTCTATTTCACAGTTTGGATATACTTTTACTACATTTATGTCTGATAATCTAAAATCTGAAGTCCTTTAGGGTTTTATTCTTTTCTTTCTTCTTTTTTCTGGCTCTCATTCATAGTGAATTGGGTTTTTTGTTTTGTTTTGTTTTTAATTGTGAACTTCTACTTGATCTTTATCTATGGGAACCCACTGTGACCTGTGTTAACGGATGTGCTTTCAAAGATCTGTGTTTGCTCCACCAGGAACTCTGGTACACTACCAGTTTGGACTACTTTCAGTTTCTTGGGCAGTTTGGACTACTTTCAGTTTCAGTTCTTGGGCAGGGGTTTCTAAGAGCAGAAAAAAGGGTAACTCACACTCCATATTCATGTGATTGGCCTGTGACTTTGATTCTCAGAGGAGATATTTTTTCCCCTTATCACACATGGCCATTAAATTCAAAAGGCCACAAATATTAGCAAGCTTCCTCAAGGTAGCTGTGGCATTCATACTTAATTTTTGGGTCCTTAACTTTTTACATTTACTTCATTTGTTTAAACAGCTTTATACATTATAAAATTCATGCATTTTAAGTGTACATTTCAATTATTTTAGTAAATATGCAGAGTTGTGAAATCATCACAATTCAGTTTTAAAACTTTCTTTCACTCCATTAAGATCCTCTTCTCTGTTTACAGTTAATCACCGTTCCTGTTCAATTTCAGGCAACTAATAATTCACTGTCTATATAGATTAGTCTTTTCTGAACATTTTGTATAAAGGGAATCAAACAAGATGTGGTCTTCTGCATATACCTTCTTTCTCTTAGTAAGTTTCTTGAGATTCATCTATGTTGTGGCATGTATTAGTATTTTGAGATTTGTCAGTGTTGTGGGATGTATTAGTATTTTATCCTTTTTATTGCTAAATAGTATTCCATTTTATGGCTATACCACTTTTTTTTATCCTTTCACCAGTTGATGGACATTTGGGTTATTTCTACTTTTTCACTATTATAAATAATGCTGCTATGACCTTTCTCATTCAGGTCTTTCATTTGAACACGTGTTCTCATTTATCTTAGGTAGATACCTGGGAAAAGTATTACTGAGAAGCATCATAAGTTTTTTCTTACTTTCTTACTAAGTCGGTTATGTATTTTAAAGAATGCTTGTTGTATTTTATCCAGCATTTCTATCTCTGTTGAAGTGGGAAAAAATTTTGGCAAGTCTGGAGCACAAGAGTTTTTGAAAGAGAAGGAGTTTTTTTTGTTTGTTTTAAATCTATAAGAGACGACTGGGCGCGGTGGCTTGTGCCTGTAATCCCAGCATTTTGGGAGGCCGAGGTGGGTGGAACACCTGAGGTCAGGAGTTCAAGACCAGCCTGACCAACAGGTGAAACCCCGTCTCTACTAAAAAAAAAAAAAAAAAAAAAATTAGCTGGGTGTGGTGGTGTGTGCCAGTAATCCCAGCTACTCAGGAGGCTGAGGGAGGAGAATCCCTTGAATCCGGGAGGCGGAGGTTGCAGTGAGCTGAGATCGCACCATTGCACTCCAACCTGGGTGACAAGTGAAACTCCATCTCAAAAAAATCTACAAGAGAAATTTGCAATTTGAAATTTATGTCATTTGAAAATACTCACTTGCAAGGTAATGATCATATTTTTGCATGTCTTTTTTTATTTTTAGTTATTAGAATCATCAAGATTCTTTAATAGCACAAGAGGAAAAATTTCAATAGGATGTTTAAAGTATTAGCCCAGGATTTTTTTTTTTTAATTTTGAGATGTCGGAAACTAACCTTAAGAAACTAATTTTCCGGCTGGGCACGGTGGCTCACACCTATAATCCCAACACTTTGGGAGGCCCAGATGGGCGGATCACGAGGTCAGGAGATCGAGACCATCTTGGCTAACATGGTGAGACCCCGTCTCTACTAGAAATATGGAAAATTAGCTGGGTGTGCTGGCAGGCGCCTGTAGTCCCAGCTACTTGGGAGGCTGAGGCAGGAGAATGGCTTGAACCCAGGAGGTGGAGCTTGTAGTGAGCCGAGATAGCACCGCTGCACTCCAGCCTGGGCGATGGAGTGCGACTCTGTCTCAAAAAACAAAAAAAAATACAAAAAAAAACTAATTTTCCTTCTGCATTTTCAGCCAAATAAATATATTTTTAATTTACTCAAATATTTAAATACAGAGTACTTAAATTCTACCTTTATTATTGTGATAATTAATTTCAGACATTTTAAATGATGAAGCAATTTAATTAGGGATTAATTCCATTTTGCAGACATGGTTTTGACTTGTGCTTTCACTAAAAACATAAAAACATTCACACATGTCATTCTTATTTCTCTGTTTGGGGTTTTCCTTTCCCTAAATTGGATCAAAACTATTGAGTAGTTGAAGGTGTTTTACATATATATGTATATGTATGTATATATATAAATTACACGGCTAGCAACGTGTACTACCACATGTGAAGATAATTTTTCTTCTTTTTACCTTTAGGTTATTTAGGGCTTTGAGGTCAACATTTTAGTATTATTAGTTGCTTTACAGTTTTATATTTGCAGATCATTTTAATAAGTGCACAGCTATTTTATAATTTCCTGTGTACATTGAAATTAAAGGGAGCACAGGTGTGTTTAAATGTTTATCATCTATGAGCACTTAGGATTCAAGGGCTTCTGCTGTATTCTACTTCACTAGCCAAATGCATTAAAATAATTTATTGTGCTATGTTCCTCTTTTTCTTTTCAACAAAATCATTTTTGCAAGATCTTTTTAAATGGATGTTGTTTTCATTCATGGAAAATTTCAAGAACGGAAGGTTGATTTAAATGCTTTTAACCAATCATTTAACATTAATGCACTGAACATTGTGGAGATGCTGAAAGCAGTTTGAGGTTCTGGTATATGATACTCTCTAGTGAGATTTTATTGTCTTGAGATTCTGGCATATCTATCTTAATAGAAAGTTGAAGATAGAGTTTTTATTCAGTGTATGGATTACATTAGTATAGGATGTTATGAAATTTATTTTTCCATCAAGTATATGTATTAAATTTTTGCAGTCATCAGATATCTATTGTCATTTGTAAAATATTGTTATTGCTTCTGTGTGTGCCATCTAAAGAACAGACTGGATTTTCCTTGGTAGAGTCTGTAACGAACAAACAGAAAAGGTGATTAACATGCAGCTCTAAATAGAATTCAGTTTTTTATAGTACTGCTGCAAGGAACCTGTCTTCATCTTCTCCCTGCATACTTTTCATTGCCAAGTGTACCCACATCTTTCTATTTTCACCTTGGCCTGGTGAAGCCTTAGCAGTATGCGTATAAGAAGCTTCTGGTTAGACCGGAAGTCAGCTCATCTTCAGGGTTGCCAGGGTGATGTTGTTATTGATATTATTATTCACATATGCATACAAACAACAATAAAAACAATACAGCTTTCATTTATACAGCTTACTAGACACAGCAAATCTAGAAGGGAGGAGGCATTATCCCATTTTACAGATAAGAAAACAGGAATCCAGGGAAGTTAAGCAAATTGCCCAAGATTATACATCTAGAAGTAAAACTCATTCACATAACCTCTATTCCCAGGATATCCTGACTTTTTGGTTCAGGAGGATTTCCTAGTTTCTACCCACCTTGTCTTTCTTGCCTTTCATTATCGCCTTTCTACTTGTTCTTAATTGGTGTGTCCATTTGTTTCTTTGCCTTGAATGTGGTATATGAATGCATCTCCACTTCAGACTGTTGAATAGATCACACTTAAGCACCAAAGAACATGTGTATTCACTTATCCATTCATTCAATCAACCAGTAAGTGTTTATTGAGTATTCATTATGTGTAAAGTCCCATATTTGGAGGAGCATAAAGATAAAGATAGACCTGCCTCCTTTTGCTTATATCCTCTTTGAAAGCAAGGTCTGAGTTGTGTCTGTGTTTGTGTGTGTATGTGTGTGTGTGTGCATGTGTTATTTAGAAATATGAGAATGAAGGGAAGAATTGCAAGAAGCAGCTAAATGAGTTGAAAGTGGTGGGGCTTTGGGAATGTGGAGGCATACAGCATGAGACTGCTAGTTGTAGTATTTGACTTTAAAAATTTGTATGTGTGTGTGTGGTGTGTGTGTGTGTGTGTGTGTGTGTGTGTGTTTCTGACAAAAGTAAAAAAAAAAAAGTAAATTTCAAAAAAGCATCCCACACTTTGTAGAACGGCAGTGATATAGGTCCAATTTTAGATATTTCAGAAACATAAGAGTCTTGCATGGCTAGTGCCTAAGATATGGAGGGTAAAAGGCATAATGCTCTCAGTCAACAGGTATTTGTCGAAGACCTAGTATATGCCTATCCCTGTGCTAGATACTGCAGACACAAAGATAAAATATCATTATTCTTATTTTCATCCTACTCACTCTGTCGCAAACTAACCTGGGGTGCAATAGACCTATATAACATAATATGACAGGTGGAATATATGATGATATTCATCTACCAGATACCTGGAAAGTATAGACAAGGTCCTCCCAAGTCACCTGGAGCTGGCACTGATGGCAAGGAGAGATCGCCAGCAGACCTGGAGGGAAATGGGCAGGAGCACTGCTCAAGCTTGGACTGATTGGGAAGGGCATGGTATTCGCCTTCAGTATTTAGACTGTATGGTGGAGAATTACCTGAGATGAGAGTGGAAAGGGGGTTTGGAGTAAGGTGTTGTCAAGCTTTAACTCTGAGTTTAGACTCTATGCTATAAATGTTAGGAGTTGTTGGAGATGTTTGAAGAGGCAAGTGTCAAGTCAGATTTATCTTGCAATGACAGAACTTTAGCAATGGAGGATGGATGGCACTGGGAAGAGCTTCATGAAGAAATCAACAATAAGGAAGATGTTAGAGTACTTGAGGATGAGAAATTTCAGGTTTCTCGGGTTTTTGCTTTTGACTTTCTGACCTCAAAAATTTTATATACATATATGTTGAAATCTGGTATTCTGGTGACACCTTATCAGTGTCATTGTATATATTTAGAATTTATACTTATATATTAGAAATTATATTCAGAATATATATATTTAGAATTAATTTAAATCTTATCTCTGTAGATTATAAACTTAATGGCCAAAATATTTCAGGTAGCACTGTAACATACTAAATACCTACTGTTTAATATCACATGAACATCTGTGACTCAAGAAACAGTTTGCAAAAGGAATTCTTAATGAAGTTTAACCCTTTACGTTTGAGTTGAAGAAAGTAATTGCTATGTATTGTCACTTGCCTAAAATGTCTTTCATTCTTATTGTTAGCAAACACTGTCCAATGGAAATTTAATGGAAGCCACAAATGTGAGCTGCATAGATAATTTAAAATGTTCTAGTAGCCACATTGAAAACAGTGAAAAGAAACTGGTGAAATTTATTTTAATAATATACTTTATGTAATACAGTATAATCAAAGTATTATTATTCCAGCATGTAATCAATTAAAAAATACTAATGAAATGTTTTACATTCTTTACTTATAGTAAGTCTTTGAAATCGGGTGTGTATTTTACATTTACAGCACATCTCAATTTGGACTATCTATGTTTCCCGTGCTCAGTAGCCATGTGTGTCTTTGGACAGTGTAGCTCTAGAATAACCTTCTGTAGTGTTAAAACTCCACTTCAGGATTCATTCTAAATTTATTGAAACGTGAGAAAATGGCTGTCAGTGTGGACTTTAGTTTCCTTCTTTGTGGCAAATATGCAATCAGTCACTGAACATGAATTTTATTTTGTTTATTGTCTTAGTGACTCAGGGTGTTGATTTATCCATCTAGTTAACAGACCTTAAGTTCACCTCCTACCTCATCCTTCTGAGGCTTTTCCTTTCTTTTTATAATCACATCCTTTTGTTCTCAGCCTCAGTCGCGTTTATAAATAAAGCAGACTGTTCATCTGACATCTTGGAAGACAGACAAGAACATCAGACAGAGAAAGAAAAAGGAAACCATCTCCTTTGTAACTGCTTGCCCTCTTGTAATGAAACCTGCAGTATTTGATATGATAATGAATTCTTGAAATTGTTTTCAAGATGCCATCTCCCTAATTCTCTTGGGTAATGAATAGCGAGAAGCACTGTTCCCTCATTAAGATGCCTGGAGGGGTCTTGGACACCCATGTGGAGAAGAGCCACTGTAGAGAACATACATCTGAATTGTGGACTTTGCTGTATGACAAACCCCTGCAAATGATGACATGTCACTAGAATATTAGAGTTCAGCATTTCAATTTTACATATAAGTTAGGATGGAGCAGAGAGACCAGCTCTAAGTATTTTGTTAGTCTTCACAGTTATCAACCTTCAATATCTGTATTATTAGTATTATACTGATAAAGAAATATACCTAGAGTATTTGCCTATGTTGCCTAAGGATACAATGTAAACAGTAGAAACAGGATTTAAAACCAGATGTCACTGACCCTAAACTTTCCGCTACGATGTACTGCCTACTTAGATAAAATCTCTCATCCCGGAATACTCCATGCTGTAAGTTTTCAGTGGGGCATGGTGCAAAGGGACCAGGAGACAGTTTCCAGTCTCAGCCCTGATATTAACTGGTTATAAGAACATGTGCATATTCCTCATCTTCCCTCTAATATTTTACATCTGCATCTGTCACAGGCAACATGCGAAGAGTAGTGATGTTAAAAATTCAACCCATTTTTCCAGGAGAGGTACCATGATGAAATCAAATTCTGTCTTCCAAAATTACTATCTGCTTAAAGGTATAAGCTTCAATGCTTTGGAGGCAAGCAGGCCTAAGTTCAAAACCCAACCTTGTGTCTTAATATCTGTGTGAAGACAGGCACATTTTTTAATCTCTCTGGATCTCAGTTTCTTCACTGTAAATTGGACTGTGGTAAAGAATTAATGATAAAATATAGTAGATATATTTTATTCTTTGAGAGTTTTACTTGTAAAACATTTCTTATATAAAAGTTAAATTATTACTGTTAGGTCAGGCGTTGTGGCTCATGCCTGTATTCCCAACACTTTGGGAGCCCAAGTGGGCGGATCACCTGAGATCAGGAGTTCTAGACTAGCCTGGCCAACGTGGCAAAACCTTGTCTCTACTAAAAATACAAAAATTAGCCAGACATGGTGGCGCACACCTGTGGTCCCAGCTACTCAGGAGGCTGAGACATGAGACTCACTTGAACCCAGGAGGCAGAGGCTGCAGTGAGTTGAGATCTTGCCACTGTACTCCAGCCTGGGTCACACAGGGAGACTCGGTCTCCAACAAACAAACAAACAAAAAATAGTGTCATAGGAATTCAGAGAAAGACAAAGATAATTTAAGAGCAGGAATGTTATCAGGGAACATTTAAGAAAAAATGAAATTTTAGGCTGGTAGAGAAAGGAAGGGAGGATTTGGACAGGAGAACTCAGCAAGGCAGAGTGATATTGTATGAAACAAAGGGAAAAAAATCAGGCATGGCGTGTATTAGGAAATTTGACATTTGTCATGTTTTTTGAGCATTTAGACATGGTCCAAGTTGTTGAGTTTTTGGTCATAACCAACCATAAAATTAAGTGGTTGCTTCTGCCTGAACATATAGCTGTAGCTTTAAGAAAAGAAAAAGAATAGATCTGTTGAGGTGTATTGTCTTTTATAGACTCAGCTACTGCACTGTGTTTCATCAACTACAGATTCTGATTTTTTGGGCTGCTTCATTGTCTCATTTTTCCATGACTGTATTTTTCCATTTTTCAAATTTACTGTCCTCAACTTTCACCTTCTTTTAGAATAACAGCTTTGTGCTTTTTATTAGGTTTCACAGAACTAATTTAAATGCTTATTGATTTAATACTACTTATTTAATTTATTTAATGTTATTTATTTTTATTTCATAACATCATTAAATGAGGCCAGATTACTTGAATTTCTAAGCATAAATCTCATGTAATTTTCCAAAATAAGTATTTTAAATATACTGAATAATTTATAAAAGCCTTCAGAAATTTGAGTTGATTTGGCTTTGGTTATATTGATACACATACACACACACACAAACTCTTATAAAACATTTTTTTTTCTTAAAAGTAAGGGAAAGTTTGTCCTCTCTCAAATAAGTCCTACTAGAATTAATGAAGACTGTATCCTGGCTTTTTGGTTCTTTTGGTTCACCTGATAGAGTTTAAATATCCTGTAGGAAAGAGTTCATTTAGCCATGCTTGCCTCTCTTAATGGGAGCTAAGTCATATGCAAGATTATTCCAAATTTTTCAAACAGCATGTGTTTTAAATAAATCAGGTTAAATAGGAAATAGTTGACTTGTAAAACATTGAATCATTTCTGTATTTTATATGTATTTATAAATGTGAAAATATTTTTCTAATATGTAAAAATTAAGAAATAGCAGAATGGTGTAGGAGATACAGTGTTAAAATGCTCTAATACCTTTTTAGTTCTTTTTCTGCTTTAAAAATCTTTTTATTGATGTAAATATAGAGAAAATTGCACACCTATCATAAGTACGCAGTTCAGTGAATCTTCACAAACTGAATACACTCTGTAACCAGAATTCAGATCAAGAAACATTTCTATTATTGCCACGATGCCCCCATGACCCTTTCCAGTCATTACCCTACCCCGAGGGTAACCAGTATCATTACTTTTAACCACGTTGATTAATATTAACTTATCTTATACTTAGAAAACATTTTTTAAACATATGTGACATTATAGAAATATCTGTATAGGTGTTTTTGTTTTTGTTTTTGTTTTTTGAGATGGAGCCTCACTCTCTCTCTCCCAGGCTGGAGTGCAGTGGCGCAATCTCGGCTCACTGCAACCTCCGCCTCCCGGGTTGAAGGGATTTTCCTGCCTCAGCCTCCCAAGTAGCTGGGATTATAGGCACCTGCCACCGCGCCTGGCTAAGTTTTGTATTTTTGGTAGAGATGGGGTTTCACCATCTTGACCAGGCTGGTCTTGAACTCCTGACCTCATAATCCACCCACCTCAGCCTCCCAAAGTGCTGGGATTACAGGCATGAGCCACCGTGCCCAGCCTTGTATAGGTTTGATAGTATGTTTATTGCCCTTTATGTTTATTTTTTAAAATATGCAGTTTTAATGCTATCTTCAGCCTGAAGATAAACTAATTTTTAATTAATTACCTGTGGCCTCAAAGAAGAGGGAGACTGATACATGTGTGCATATATACACACACACACACAACACACTAAAAAGATTTTGCCCTACCACAAATTATTCTGATTTAAAGCAGTGTATTAGCAAGAAAACATGTTATCAATGGTAAGAAGAAAAAAAAACATTATTCATTTAATTTTGTTAATATTTGGAATTATTTGGCATTAAAACAGAGGATTTTATTTTTAAAATCAATATTTGCGATATCATGTCACTAGGCTTTAATGGAAATAAATTAGAAACTTCCTAGAATGGTAGAGGAAATAATCTGGCTTTATGAATCAATATGTATTATGCCTTTTCCAAGCCTTCTTAATTAATGAAACAATTTTCACCTTAAATTTTTATTTTAAAACATGTAGAATTAATAATAATTATAATTTTAGTATGATTTTAACATTATTTTGAAAATCTCTTATCAGCTAATTCTAACTTTTTAACTTCTATACCACAGCCCTGAGAGGGACACTATGAGGGGAATGTATATTCTTAAAAAAAGGATATTAGTCTGAAATGAGCTTGATCTGGTAACATAGGCTCTATTCAAAAATTGGTTAGCTGTGGCATTATCAGATATAAATTTTGGTTTGCTACATATTTTGTTTTGGTATTGCCATGACTTAATTACTGGGGCTAGCACCATGATACCAAGGAGTGTGATTTGACAGGAAAATTCCTGAAAAATGATAAAATGTGTACCTTCCTTTTAAACATAAAACATGTTTAAAGTAGACATCAGATGTAAAAATGGAAAACAGTAGGAAAATGTATATTAGATTAAATGTTTTGAGAAAAATATAAGAAATATTCCTATTTGTGCAGGTCTTGGCTTTTAGATATGTGAAAAAGCAACTGCCTAGACTATTTATTGCTTAGTCAGCTGAATGTAAAAATGGAAGCTTCACTGACATTCAACTTTCCTAATTTATTAGAAATGTCAGAAAATCATATGTATTTAGTAGCTTTGCTTAGAACATATTTGCACGTGGTGGTTTAATAAATCCCTGTATCTCTAATTTTTTACCTAATTATTTGTTTAATAGACTCACAAATTATATATCAGAAATACACGTGGATAAAGAATAATCACTCATCATCTTACCATAACAGTATGAGAGTCTTTCTTTTTACCCCTTGCAGGCTTATAAAAGCATTAAGACATGAGAGAAAAAAATTGAGGAATAAGAAAAGTACAAGTGATAGGACTTAGAAAAGAAAAACAGGCCGGGTGCGGTGGCTCACGCCTGTAATCCCAGCACTTTGGGAGGCCAAGGTGGGTGGATCACGAGGTCAGGAGATCGAGACCATCCTGGCTAACATGGTGAAACCCCGTCTCTACTAAAAATACAAAAAATTAGCCAGGCGTGGTGGCGGGCGCCTGTGGTCCCAGCTACTCGGGAGGCTAAGGCAGGAGAATGGCGTGAACCTGGGAGGTGGAGCTCGCAGTGAGCCGAGATCGCGCCACTGCACTCCAACCTGGGCGACAGAGCAAGACTCCATCTCAAAAAAAAAAGAGGAAGGAAAAACAAAAGTGTAATTATTGTTATGCTGGGTAATGGCTTAATTAAATGAACCACCAAAATGATAGGACATGCTATTTGGTATTTGCTGTAAAACAATCAGTCAGTGTATCCACAGAATAAGGGAAGTAGGTAGGGATATATAAAAAATGCTTTTGTTTATGGGTTAATTGTTGCAGCTAGGTGTTGGATACATGAAAGTTATTATACTATTTGTCTACTTTTATTTATGTTTAAAATTTTCCTTGATAAAAAAATTTTTAAAATGTGTACCCCAAAGCACACATAGAACTTACTTAAATAATTCTTCCTGTTTCAGTGACACAAGTGGCATCAGTTGCCTTTTTCATCATGTAGAAGGACAAAGGGGAAAATCTGCTTAGTAATGGCAGTGTTTTTCACATTAAATAAATAATGACAGAAATTGGGAGACTTATAGCCTTTTTTATATGACTTTTTCAAGGCCAACATTTTTCTGATTGTAGTTCCAGTTTCAAGGAGACAATGTATTTTTTTCTTCTGCTACACCAAATTAGAAAATTTACCTTTGTTCTGTGTTTAATACTATACTTTTCATGTTAAATCAGGGTATTTGATTAGTGATATGTTTTCTTTCCATAATAGAAAGTTAGTTCCATCCTAATTTGACTCAATCTATTGATCATTAAACTCTGTAAAGAGAGGCAGTTCTTACCTGATTCTTATTTATCATAAAGAAAATTACAACATTAAATGATCACCTACCTGCCCCAATTGTATAGATTTAGAAGTCATTTTACACACACACACACACACACACACACACACAATTAATATGATATGTGTGTGCATGTATAATTTTTATCTCAATATTTTAGATGTGAACAGGGAAAAGTCATAATCCGTTGGTCCCCTCACTTCATTTGAAAGAAATTCTGATACTCTGATTTAAGCAATTAGTTTTTATTTTATTAAATACTATGATTAAATCTCTCTACCTTAAGCAATGCAATGATATGCTTACATATTTTTAAGTGGGTTTTATGTAGGGTACTCCTGAAAATAAATTATGTTGACTCCTCATTTTCCAAGCTAATGAAAGGATATTATAAAAGAGCAGATTAAACCATGCAGGATTGTTCTTCTCCCAGCATAAGCAGTATTTAAATACCAAAGATAGAGATAAAATAGCAAGGGAAACTTAGATCTGAAAGGGCAGGTTATTTCTGGGGAATAGGAGGGATGAATATAGCTAATCTGCAAACTGTCGTGGCCACCTTCTCTCTCTGTTGTAGCCTGCCTGGGCAAGAACACAGTAACTTGCAAGGCCAATACAATCTTTCTTCCTGACACTCCAAAACCAATATAGGCTCTAAATATAGTAGAAGGGAAACAGTCTCAACTGAGAAAGGGAATGGAGTGAAAGCAGTAGAGAAATCCTATGCATGGGCATGGTATGAGCTCTTAACTATAGGGACTAAGAAACAGGGACTCACTCAGGCCATCTCTTCCCACCTCAACCCCACCCCCCAAAAGAGGATATATTTAAAGGCAAATAACCTAGGTGTGAAACCGAAGAGGTCTAGGGAACTAAAGCAGCTCTCTTGTGGGTTTCTTCTCATGAGGGTGCTGCTGCATTCAGTATCTCCTCAGTTTCCTCCAAACTTCTCAACATCTAAGCGAGCTAGTTCTCTGCCCCTGTAACCACTGAAAATTTCCATCCCTTCAGTCCCTTTGGTTGTCCATCTTTAAGACTGCCCATATCCTTTATCTTTCTGGAGGTACAGTAACAATAATCTAAGTAGGTCATTTTGACATTACCCCTACAGTTTTCTGTTTCCTTTTTGATGATGCCACACATCAGTGTTAGCTCAGAGCCTCTGCGTTTATGTCTGTAACTAGCCCTTTTCAAATAAAAACAAAAGATTTCAGCTAGTGGGCCTCAGACTTGGTCCTGGCATCATTCTGAGAGTCGATGTTTGTTATAAGGATAAAATTGGATGGTTATTAAGATGGTAATTCGCCTCCGGAAGTCTGAGACTGAGACAAATCCTACCAGTCTCGGAGAAGATGTCAGTCTCTGAGAAGATACATACACAAGACACCATGAGATAGGTTCCCTGGGGACAGGGACCTTGTCTTTCATGTTTCTGTTTGCATCTTCTGTTGCTTATCAGTTTGCCAAATAAGACTAACATTATTTCTTATATTAAATAATTATTCATAATAGTAACTAATATTTATTGAGCACTTGCTATATGCCAGCCCTGTTTTAAGGATTTCACATTTATCAACTTAATCAAGTATCACAGCTCTTCTGCTAGGGATTTATTATTAGTTGTTATTGTTATTATTTCCATTTTACAGATAAGAAAACTAAGGTATAGATAAATTACATAACCTGCCCAAAATAATGCGGTTTTTAAGTCATGGAGCCAGAATTCAAATTGACAGAGACCAACTCCAGAGTTTGCTCTAATCATTATTCACTTAATAATCAAATGATAAATGAATAAATGATGATAAACATCTTTTACCCCAAAGCTAATGCAGAACTCTAATTTTAAAAACACATGGTCCTTTTGCCTTAAGGACCAAATGAGTTTCTGCTCCCAAACATCAATCTTATAATTAGTAACCCTGTTGAAATAAAAAGCCATACCCATCCCTACTATCCCAGACCTTGTCTCCCTAGGGCGATAGCCCCAGTTCTGTATGCCCCAGCTGAAAGAAAAAGGAATGTTAGGGATCTTGAATTTACCTTACTAGTTTCCTGTCATAGGAGGATGCCAGAAGAAAGCAACAACCACAGTAGATAAAGAAAAGCTCTTACCTCTTTCTAAAGTTTCATCCCTAGAATATGTTGCTCAGTTACTATCCCAGAATCCAGTTTCAGATCTGCACTCCTCCTCCTTTGAGAGAAATGAAAAGGGGTTAGGGGAAGAGAAGAAAAGAACTTCACAGCTTTCTTCTAGAGCCCAGCAGTGGTGGTCCTTTTCATGTAGAAGTCCAGGAACAGTTCCAATCAGTAAACCTGGTGGAGAAATTAACCAATTTTATATTTGTCTTAATTCAGGAAGTCACAATATTTTTTTTATTTATGTAGAAATATTACAAGCTGCAAATACACCCTTATTTAGATGTTCTGATGAAAACACCTTCTTGGGGAATGTAAATTAGCACAGCAACTATGGAAAATAGTATGGAGGTTCCCAAAAAAAACTAAACGTAGAACTACCATATGATCCAGCAGTCCCACAGCTGGGTATATATCCAAGAGAAAGGAAATCAGTGTTTATCGAAGAGATAGCTGCACTTCTATTACTATTGCAGCACTATTCACAATAACCAAGATATGGAATTAACCTGTGTCCATCAACAGATGAATGGATGAAGGCATGGTGCATATTCACAATGGAATATTATTCAGCCATAAAAAAGAATGAAATCCTATTATTTGCAGAAACATGGTTGGAACTAGGAACTAGAGGACTTTATGTTAAGTGAAATAAACCAGGCACAGAAAGACAAATATCACATGATCTTACTCATATGTGGAAGCTAAAAAAATTTGATCTCATAGAGGTAGAGTAGAATGGTGGTCACCAGAGACTGGGAAGGGGGTAGGGAGAGATGAAGAGAGGTTGGTTAATAGGTACGAAGATACGTTAAAATAGAAGGAATACGTGGTATTGTTTGATAGCATAGTAGGACAACTATAGTTAACAGCAATTTATTGTGCATTTCAAAATAGCCAGAAGAGAAGATTTGGAATATTCCTAACACAAAGAAATGGTAAATGTTTAGGGTGACGAATATCTCAATTACCATGACTTAATCATTACACATTGTATGTATGTATCAAAATGTCGCCTGTACCCCATAAATATATACAATTATTATCTATCAATAAAAAGAGAAAAAAAGAAAATGAAGACATCCCCATGGGCAAATAGCCATGATATGAGTTAAAGTAGTCATTTGGGATTATGCCTTTCATTATCAGGTACAATTAAGAGTTGGCTTCTTTGTACAAGATTCTTTCTTGGCCAAATTTCAGTACTGTCTATTAGAAAATTTTGCCTTGGAGTTAAATTCCAGCGTGGGCAGTTACTTGCATTAAGCTAAACAAAACATCAGATCATCATGCTCTTATTCACTTTTAATTAATGGACCAACAAATTTAAAGATAGCACTATATCTATAATAAAAGAATTTCATCCTTTTAATTCACTTAAG
Organism: Homo sapiens; assembly: GCF_000001405.40. Taxonomy (NCBI): domain Eukaryota; kingdom Metazoa; phylum Chordata; class Mammalia; order Primates; family Hominidae; genus Homo; species Homo sapiens. Next base: position 107,988,678 of record NC_000005.10, on the reverse strand, counting down.
CAAGAGTTTTACATTTAAAAACTATCATCCAAATTTGATCTATTATCAATAGAACCCATTATTTGGATCTTTGATGTTTCACTTATATGTGGTAAATAATATTTAATTTAAATGCTTTGCCTTCATTTTAATAGAATGATTTATTTGGTCCTTTGCAAAAATACTACTCCTAAAACTAAACGTAGAAAAGGACTACTTGTAGCAGCCTATATATTCAACTCATATCAAATTTTCAGTGCTCTAAAGGTGTTGATTTTGCTTATGAAAGTGTTAGCACTCTGTATGACATCTTCAAGAGAAAATGATTGAAAAAAAATTTTAATTGCAAAAGTGGAGGGAAAGTGTTGACCAGTAAGTTCCCAGATTAATCTGTTTCTGCAGTAGAAAAAAAGTGGTAATGAATTGAAAGGAGATATCTTGCTAGACTCTTAGATATAGAATTACTTGGTTTCAGACTAATCACAGAACTCAGGATATTGTAACTGTATTATACGCAGGATATATTTGAAGAGGACTTCTGAATATCTCGTCACTTGATTTTTATTATTTTAATTATATTTTTTAAAATGAGAAATATTTTAAAATTGAGAAAACCTGATGACATTCTTGTTTTTAATTGGTGATTTAAAATTATCATTGGTAGATTTTGTGTGTTCGTTTTCAAACATATCTGTATAAAAATAAATCCAACAGTACTCTTTTAACCAATATTTAGACAGTAATATCTAACTGATTTACAAAATAATCGTCTCAGCTATCAGCATCAATTCAGTTTCATCTAATGCATCCTGTAATGAATTCAACATGGCCAAAGAATTATATTTTATTATTAAAATGGTATAGATGTATTCATTGTTTGGCCTGACCAGAGCTTCTCACTCCATCCTAAGGGTATTCAAAAGCTCTTTTCCAATTTTGTCATACCCAACCAGGGTTTCATAGCATCTATTCAACATGTGCTAAATTACACTAGATTTCTTGGTTTTGAATATCTTTATTATAAACATCGATTAAAAATAGTAGACAAGATTTTCACGAAGAGGTTTTATCTTCTGGACACACAATATGCAAAGAGCATGAGCAGGGCTCATGCCAGGCCACTGAAACTGTCTTACTAGTTGTGTGTCTTGAGCTACTTGAGCCTTTTGCTTCAACTGAAAAAAAACTGAAATATTTAGGAAGGAGTGCACACATGAACTTATAAAAAGCACCCAGCTCAACAAGTTTCGTTCTGCAAGTGATAGTTATTATTATCTTAAAATAAAAATATTATTTTCAAGATCGGCTTTAGCACCAGGGAGGTAAAATTCATTCACCTTCCTGACCATTATGAATTTGAAATTTCTTTTTACAAAAAGGTGATTGTTGGTTAAAAAAAAAAAAACAAGCAATAGCAGATGTGAGAAGCTGAAAATCCATACTACTTATGTGGTTTTGGTTTTTGCATATCAATTAGAAAATATTTTAATGCTACTTTTAAAAAATAATCAAAGGACTGTACAGAAAAGATAACTCAATTTTATGTGCTATATTATACTTTAAATTCCCTCTCTTGTGTTTTCCTATCTCTTTTCAAAGGAGCTAGTTCATTTTCAGCCATTCTTTCATAAATGCCATTGCTCAAAAATGTATGAAGGTTTCAGTTATGTGACATTTTTGTCCTGAGTTTATTCGTGTTTTCAGTTTAACATGTCAATAAATTTGTATAAACTTTTGGAAACTACAGTAGCATTAAAATTAGAAAAAAAAAGTGATCAACCATATAAACATAGTTTTCCCAAAATTTATCTTCCAGGTTAAAATTACATTTTTTGTTAGATGTTTCCACCCTCAAATCTGATTCTTAGAATATATTTTAAATTTTCAGTGACTAATGGTTTTCAAAATTGTCATTATAAATAGGGTTGTACAGTTGTATGTCATTCTACTAACTAGAAAGTTATAGTGCACTATTGTAAAATCTGCTTTATCTTTTAAATGAGAATATCAAGTTCTTGTTAAAATAATTTGAATAAAATATAATTTAAAAGAATATTGTACTTTAACCTTACAATTTTAAGTGATGTGATTTAGGTCTTTTTAAACAGTTTACTTGATTTTAGTAGGTATCCCTGTTATATTCAAGAGATAAGGAAGATATGACACATTGGGATTTTAATTCTGTAGTGTAAAGTAAGATACTTGCAATCTTACATTGCAAACAAAATGATAAATATATATTAATATAAATTGCTGTTAGGTTTGTGTTATGTTGTTCTAACATTTGTTTAAATTGCTTTTTTCTTTATATTTAATCTTATAATTTTTTTAGCCTTAAAAAGATTAATTTGCTAGGGTTAGCATCATTTGTGATTGTAAGTTAAACATGCTAACAAAATAAGTCTATTAGAATAATTGTTTATTTCAGGTTTTCTTATAGTATCTTTGTTATGGTTGGCATAAGAAGGCAAGAAGTATATTTATCAGTATAAAAAGTTTATACCTGTATCAGATATTAAACTACCTACCTCAGCTACAGATATGGGTTATCTCATAAATTTATTATGGTTGGCTGTGTAGAGTAGATTCAATTACTGATAATCTAATAGATTATATCTCTAGTCAAAAGAGTAGACTTATTTTAACCACATATAATATTATTATAACTTTTCTAAGTTGTTAGGTTTTGTGTCTTTAAACTGTTTTTATAATGTAATTTTTCAAACATTGACAATAGTCTACAGAAGACTATAATGAAACCCTGTACACATAGCCCAGCTTTAACAGTGACCAATAGACAGCTAAACTTGTTTCGTCTGCACTCTCACCTTCCCTACTTTCTACCCACACACTGGATTATTTTGAAGCAAAACCAAAAGAGATTATGACTTATTTAAAATTAGCAATTTGTATTTATAAATAGTTGACCATTTGCCTCTTGCATGGTGTTATTGTTTTTTGACAAATAGAAAACATTAAGAGTTCCCTTTGGGAGTAGTTGCCATAGTTTAATATGAGATCATTCAGATGTATATAGATCATAACAAAGGTGAGAAAAGGTATGTGGATATAGATGACCTGATAAGATGATCAAAGTAATTTTATGTTTCTCAGCAGTGTAGAAAAAAATGAAGTAAACAAGAGACTAATTTAAGAAGGTCCACTTAGGGCAATCTGAAAACACACATCATAGGCATAGAGAGAATAGATATCAAACTCTGACAAGCTTTCAGCAGAAAAGACAGAATGTTCTCCAAGGTAATCCTGGAATAACTACACAGTCTGCATCACCTCCACTGAACTTTTAGCTTCCTCTTGAGACACTTGGCCACATGCCATATCAGCCCAATGCCAGCAGTACAAGGACTAATCATCCTTAGATGTGGCATGCTCTGAAGGTGCATATAATTCTTTCAAAAACTGAAATAGGATCACAAGACTGAGGCATCTATTTCCAATTAATTTGGTCACAGGAGTTTATCTGTCATCTTTGTTCTGTCACAGCAGTTTGTGGTAAACCTGCTTCACATGGATTATCAAATGTTAAGAACAGTGGATTGCAGAATTTTCCCTCCAGTCAGTTCCTATTTTGTCACTTTTGGTTTAAACTAGATGAAACTAGCCATGGGTTTAAAAATGAACTTGACATTTTCAAACTTCCATGAAAAGGAATTGGTCAAACTTCTGGCACAATGACATAGTAGGTTATTGTATACACCATACTAATTCATTCTGATTTTCTACAAAAGGTAGGTATAAAGTTTTCACTCTAGAAAAGTATACACAACTTCAGCAACAAAAATACTCTTGTCCTTTTTGCCCCAAAATGCACATATAAGGATTCTATGCACAATATCCTTATTGTGTGCCAAAATGAATGATAGCTTTCTGAATATTTTCTAGTATTCTCAGTATTTAATAGTATTTCTCAATATTTAAGTATATCTGATCTATCTTAAAAGCATAACAAATTATTTTTTCCTCTGTGGTCATATAATGCCAGTGCAAAACAAGTAGGAATTTAGATGGCATGATAGCCATTTTTAATTTTTATTTGACTTTGCTTCAATGGTTTCATTCTATTTTGGTTTCAAGAAACAAAGGCGTGCGTGGGTTTGAGCAAGTAAAGGGAGAGGACATTAGAAGGATGCTGTGTATGCTATAGCAAGTAGGTACCAGGAACTCACAGGCATCTGGGAACTGAAGTTGTGTGGCTGGCTTGCTATACCCTGGAACTAGATCCCAAGTAACCTTGAGGACCTCATCAGCATCAGCATGAGAGACTAGACCTTTTTTAATACTGTCATTCCAACAATATGTGCTCACTTGTTAATAGTAATATACTCTGTATGAATTTTGTAAAAATGAAGTACAATTTATGTTACAAATTAACATAATTTAATAGCTTGAAAGTTTAGGGAGAGGGAAATGGGACTGTGACTCTTTGAAGTTTTTTAAATACCTGAGCTTACCTTTATAACAGCTGTGGGAAGTTACTAATATTACCTCTATATAACTTGTCCAATTTGATGCCACCAGCTCATAAGGAAAAAAGCTGAGAATAAAAAACCTTACCAGTAGAAATCCCCAAGGCCGAGCTTGCTCACTAGATAGTCTGCCTGTGATAGAAATTAATAGAATATAAAGAATTTACAGATACAAGAAGACTTATAAAAATCACTTATGTTTGAGGAGCAGACTTGGCGACCCCATTTTCTTTTTTTTTCTTTTGTTTTCTGGGCGTCAATTATTTTTCTTCACTGCAAAACACGTAAAACCAATCCAGGATACCCTCCCCACCTTTGTTCTCACTGTGTCCTCCTGTTCTTCCTGTCTCCCTCCCTCTATTATTCCCTGCCATGCCTAGTCTCTTCCATTTCTATTTATGATGTGTTGTTAATGCAGGTGAAGTATGATGCATCTACCCAAAATAATTTGGGGAATACAGCAAAGATGCCAGTTTCCAGTCCTCTCCGGACTTTGCCCTTCTGTCCTGGCTTAGGTGTTCTGACTTTCTTACCACTAGAAGCACTTCTTTGGGATGGACCCGAGAGGATATGGTTTTATTCTCTGAATTTTCTGGTAAATTTCTCTCTGTTTTGTGGAGGGAAGTTCCACATCAACAATATCCCCCTCTCTCTTTGCTATCTCAGTATTTTTTTTTTTATGAAGTTCATTCCTTGTTATGCAAAAGACAAAGAATGCTGGGTGGGCCCAGTGGCTCATGCCTGTTATCTCAACACTTTGGGAGGCTGAGATGGGAGGATCACTTGAGCTCAGGAGTTTGGGACCAGCCTGGGCAACATAGCAAGACCTTGTCTCTACTAAGAAAAAAAAAAAATTAGCTGGGCATAGTGGCGCGTGCCTGTAGTCCCAGCTACTCAGGACGCCAAGGCAGGAAGATCACTTGAGCTTGGGAGATTGAGGCTGCAGTGAGCTATGATCCTGCGACGTAGTGAGACTCTTATCTCAAACAAAACAAAAACTGACAGCATGCAACTCAGACACTGGGCAGTCAGGTTTCATTTGGAGGAAACAGCAGGGCAACACCCCATCTGGGTAAGCAAATAGCATCAAAGAAAAGTCGTCAGGTCTAGGCCAGATGAAGAGAATAGGACTTGTATGAATTAATAAGAAAGGGGAGAAGCAGAGGCTGACTGAAGGGGCTACAAAACCAGGGAAAAAAAAAGGAATGACTTGATAATGGACTGCTAAGAAAATCTTAGCGAACTCCCCAGCTTTTATTTCTGAGAACAGCCTTCTAGGTGTGGTCCCCATGGCCAAACGTAGCAGTGGGGCATGGGAGGAGCACTGTAGTCAGAGCCAGGAAACATGGAAACCACTCCTTTTGTTTCCAATCTCAAGTCTTGATTATAATGGAAGTGCTGCCAGACCCTTAATTATGAAAGTACAACAGGGCATTAATATAATTCATCACCTGTTAGAGGGAGCACTTCTGGGCTATTTACTAGAAATCTATTAAATATGACATGAAGACAGATTGCACTCCATTTCTTAACATGACATTATAATCAGGATGTATGCTCAGTAAAATGGTTTATAGAACTCTTGGCTGTGTGTCCTATCAATTAACCTAAAATCTCCATAAATGAAGTGTAGCTAAGCAGCACCTTTAGCAAATGGTTGCATGTTTTTCCTCTGGTTCTCAGTAGCGGAAAGTTTTGTTCTGAAATATCATTGTTATTTTTATAGCAAGTTCATTGCTATGTGGTTTTTTTTGTTTTTTTTTTAAAGCATTGAGAAAAGCCTCATAAAGCAAAGAGTACTCACTTCATAGTTCTGTTACTGAATATTGAAGGATTTTTTAAATGAACCTGGTACATTTCCTTGACATCCTAATATAAAAGCCTTTTGTGTAGATAAGGTCAATATTGATGGCCCAGTACTGTAATCCTATAAAGTATGCCTGATGTACCTTAAAGTACAGTTATCCTTTTAAGCTTTCAGTTTACAAGTGAAAGAAAATTTATTTATGTACTAAAGACAAGACTCTCTTTTACTTTAAGTGGAGAGTACTGTATATTCAAATATCTTTTACCTTTGTGCTTAATATTCATCTTTGCCTCTTTTTTAACCTTAAGATATTATATGAAATTGCCCTCATTAAGCTATCATTATATTCATAGTTAGGTCCCTACTCTTTGAGACTCCGTATTATATTAGAAATGCTGCACAGTGAACTAGCAATCATGTATAATATTTTTCACAATCAGCCTTAGTTTAGACCTCTTTGTACATTTTTCTGTAATAAAGTTACATTCATGGTTTTATCCATAGGGAGGCATTGTGTTTTCAGTCGTAATGAAGGGAAGTGGTAGAAAAGGTAAATCAGCATGGTGGGGTAAAAAATTCAGGTAGATGTGGCTCTAGAATCAATGCTGTTTTTACTTACTGTGTTTGTTCATTGGTTTTTCTCCCCTCCGCATGCTGGCAAGAATATCAAGGAGAATGTTTTTTTTCTATAATGTTCCCTGCCCTGGTGCCATAATTTGTTAGATTTTAAAACAGAAACTGCGAAAGCCAACTGAGATTTCTTTAAAGAGAAAATGCTTTCTTCTGGGCAGAACGGAGAAGTGTTCCGTTAGACCAGTGGGACACTCAAAGCGGAATGGAGTGGGTGGGTGATGATGACCTCGTCAGTCCTTCCTACACCATTGCCTGTCCTGACTGAGTAGCTTCCCACCTCTGCTCTTTCCGTTCTGCTCCAATAAGGGGCTACTCCCCTAGCAAAATCTGTATGCTGTGGAAATGGAGAGGAGCACTGACCCACAGTTGTGGTCACTCCATGTAAACATCCTCCTAGGCATATCCGTGACCAGCACAGATGTGCAGAAACAGTAAAGAAGAAAATGTTAGGCTGATACCAGAATTCTGACTTACAAGGCCTTTAGCTTTGAACAGGATCCAGTCCATAGGATTCATTTTCACCCCTGGTTCTCCATGTACTTAGCGTTATCTCCAACTCCTTTCTAGCATGGACTCCTGCTCAAGCCATGCTGAACTCCTCCTCACTCTCTCTTTAGTGTCTACCCTCAGCCCAGTTTCTGTGACGTTGCCTGTGTCTCAGATGCCCTCCCATTTTCCCTCACAGTTGTGTCTCATCTTCTCTATGAATTATAAGCTCCCTAATGACTAAGAAGCACTTACTCACTTTTGTATACCTCCCAGAATTTAATACAGGATATCGTACTAAGGAGATGTAGTAAATAGCTGTTGTGTTAAAAAATATTATTTTGGCCGGGCGCGGTGCCTCATGCCTGTAATCCCAGCACTTTGGGAGGCCGAGGCGGGCGGATCACGAGGTCAGGAGATCGAGACCATGGTGAAACCCCGTCTTTACTAAAAATACAAAAAATTAGCCAGGCGTGGTGGTGGGTGCCTGTAGTCCCAGCTACTCAGGAGGCTGAGGCAGGAGAATGGCATGAACCCGGGAGGCGGAGCTGACAGTGAGCCGAGATCGCGCCACTGCACTCCAGCCTGGGCGACAGAGCAAGACTCCATCTCAAAAAAAAAATATATATATATATATATATTATTTTATTGGCCAGTCATGGTGGCTCAACGCCTGTAATCTCAGCACTTTGGGAAGCCGAGGTCGGTGGATTACTTGAGCCCAGGAGTTCAAGACCAACCTGGGCAACATGGTGAAACCTTGTCTCTACAAAAAATACAAAAATTAGCTGGGCATGGTGGCATGAGCTTGTAGTCCCAGCTGGGCTGTGGTGGGAAGATTGCTTGAGCCCAGGAGACCCTGTCTCAAAAAAAGAAAAAAAAAAATATTAAGTAAAATTTGTGGGTGGTTTTAGATCTGTAATACCTGTAGGATTAAGTTAATTGAAGGGTAGTCATGACAACTCTTTAAATAGAAAGATGATTATTTTATCCCCTTTCTGTCTTTTCTCTTATAGGCCAAGCTTCATCAAGTCCTTTTATCATTTTGTTCATAATAAGATTTTCACCATTCTAGGTGCCTTGCCACTTTACTTTAGCTGTAGTTTTTTCTCTGCCTAGCTTCTGCAAAATGAAACTGGAAGCTCTCTCCCTTTAAAAATTTCTGATAATGCAGTTTAAGGTCTTTTTAGCTCATTCGAAAGCCACATCCTACATAGGTTCACGCATGTGGTCAAGTGACACTTCTTGGTCTATTTCAAATAAATGACTATTTCTTTCACCAACAAAAAAGGATCAAATTTAAAGATTTGTCAGAGCATACCAGATGCATTTATATTTAGAAACCATTATTGTTAAGGATTATTTATTTATTTCTTAAATCTCTTTTCCTTTTCTTCATATACTTTAAGTAAACAGGATATATTTCTTGAAATCTAAAGGCATGAAAATAAACCTTTCAGTTTGTTTTGTTGTATCACATGCATCTAAAATTGATGTTCTCTGAAGGATCACTCAGGGTTCATGATGAATATTTGTTCAAATAAACAATAAAAGTCCTAGTTAGATGTTAGCCCCGTAATAGAAATGGTCCTTACCAATAATCAAGCCCCTATAATAGATTCATACTCTTTTTAGAGAAGACCACATTTGCTGCCTCATTTCCAGAGGGGGCTTGTGAGAGAACCAGCGCCGGAAGTCACAGCTGTCAGACTCTGGAGTCTCAGCAAGGGATGCTGGCTTGGAGAACCAGCTTTCCAAAGGGTCAAGGAAGCAGAAACTGATTTCTCACACACCATTACGCAATTTAACTAACATAACAAATGCCAAATAATTACTGGCACTAATGGGTAGGTGGATGTTTACTTTGTGTGGTTACCATGGATTCCCTTAACATTGATGGGTCCACTTTGATTGAAATGCTGGAACTTTAAGGAAATAGTAATGATATGATTAGCTTGACTCAATAATTTGAACAGGATTTATTTATCTGAAAGATGATTAAACTATATTATACCCAACTTGCTTTGATTTAATATATTATCCTATTCTGTGGGAATTGTTTCAGTATTACATAATTCCGTTTACTCCAAGGAGACATGTATATATTTTATGTATAAAGCTTATTGAGCTATTAAGTTTATTGACTTATACATAAAGTTTATAGAGCTCTTAATGTATGTCAGGAACTGGAGTAACCGTTTCACATGCATTGTCTCTTTTAATCTTCACAAGACATATTTATCCCCATTTTACAGTTAGAAAACTGAGATAGAAGTTAACTTGACAATGATTCCACATCTGGTAAAACCCAGAATTTAAACTCCATTTGTCACCAGAGCCTATGTTTCAGCCCTTATATGTGGTTCTGTAATCTCCTGACAAATTCTTCCTGCCCCCTGCACAAACAAAACCAGTTCACTGAGACCATGGTATTGCAGTAAAGAAGGAGTTTAATTAACGTGAGGCTAGCCACATGCAAGACAACAGAGTTATTACTTAAATCTCAAATATTCAGCCAGTCTCTCCGAAGGCTTGGAGATTGGGGTTTTTTCAAGGATAGTTTGGTGGGCAGTGGGGTAGGGAATGGGGAATGTTGATTGGTTGGGAATGAAATCATAGGGATGTGGAAAATGGTCCTCATGCACTGAGTCAGCCTCTGGGTCAGGGCCATAGACAGATTGAATCACAAGTTGTAGGTCCAGGTAGAATCAGTCAGTGGCCAGAAATGTAAAAGTCTGAAAAAACATCTCGAAAGGTCAATTTTAGGCTCTACAATAGTGATGTTATCTACAGGAGTAATGGGGAAGTTACAAATCTCATGAGCTCTGGAACAATGGCTGGATATCATTTAACTGCAAATATATCTTAGCAGAATTCAGGCCCCTCTCATAATCCTAACCTTGTGGCCTTTCATTAGTTTTACAAAGGCAGTTTCAGCCCCCAAACAAGGAGTGGGAGCAGTTTTAGGGAGGGATTGTTATCATCCCTGCTTCAAAGTTAAACTATAAACTAAATTTCCTCCCATTATTAGCTTAGCCTACATCCAGGAATGAGTGAAGGCAGCCAGCGTGTGTGGCTAGAAGCAAGATGGAGTCAGCCATGTTAGATTTCTCTCACTGTCATAATCTTTGCAAAGGCAGTTTCAGTCCCTATCCAGCAGTGTCAGCATTACCTGGACACTGAGAAATGCAAATTCCTGGGTCCCACTGCAGGCTGACTGAATAAGAAATGCTGGGAATGGGGCCCAGCAATCTGTTTTAACAAGCCCTACAGGTGATTCTGATCATGCTTCATAAAGTTAGAGATCATGGCCTTCCACTGTTCCCTTCTTAGGCATGGGTCTCCAGCTAGCTTTCCTAACCTACATCTGCCCAGAGAGCTGCAGCTGATTTCTGCCTTTCACTTCCCATCCTCCCAGCCCCTCCTTTAACCACGTTCATGCCTTTAATGAATCCAGCCATACAAGAAATGTTATTTATGTTTATTCAAAGAACAAACTATGTGCCGGGTTTCTTGAACAAGCACTTTATCTAGTCATTATCTGATGAAAGTTATGAACTTCCTGCCCAGAGAAGTGTACATTATGTATGTTCATGTAGATTGTGTTCATCGTGTTTGCCTGGAGCCAATCCATTGAAAGTCCATAGATTTCAGGTGAAGACTCTCAGGCAGTGACTGTAAAGAATGCCAAGATTATACCCAAGACCCATATATGCCCCTCACAGCAACAATAATAAACAGCCCATCTCTGTTCATTAGCATTTTTCTTGAAAACAGTCTTGCCTCTGACAATTATCTATGTGTGAACTTAAGCAAGACTAACCTTTTCCGAGCCCCAGTTTTTTCTCTGTAAAGTAGGAGTAATAATACCAACCTTGCAAGATTGTTGAAAGTTTAGCAATAATAAATGTAAAGTTCCTAGCATTATAGTAGGGCACTCATTAAATTACGTGTGTGTGTGTTCCTTATCATTTGGAAAATACAGAAAATTACAAAGAAAATAAATGAAAACCCATAAACAAAATAAATGATAACTCAGAGATAACCACAATTGCTTCTCATTTAAAAAAAATTGGAACATGTGCAGTTTACTAGACCCTAAACTAAACAGTTCTTTGTTAACCCTCTCAGGAAGAGTTATCTCCAATGAATAACTTAGTATAATACATGAATAAAACTTAGCTCCTGCTTGCCTATACCCAACTAGATATTTTTTGCCCCATAATAGTGGCAAGCGATAAGCATATTTTTAGTTTTAATTTGGTACTTAAATAGCAGATATTCCCAACCCTATTCTCCAGTCCCAAGCCAACCCAATCATATATGAGCTTGGAAAGAGAGAAGGGAGTGAAAGTGAATGGGATTTAAAATGTATCTCATTGTCTTAGTATATTCTAATACTTATAATTCTCCCTCAACTCCTGTGAGACTAGAATCAGCCATCTTTTATCTCTAGCTTATATGGCTTGAGACCTTAAACACTGTTTATTAATATATTGAAGTCTGTTATATATGTTATTGTCTTTTCTTTTTTTAATCCAATTGATTCTATAACATGAAATGTCCCAAAAAGCAGGAGGAAAAAATAATGTCATTAAAGCATTTTTAAAAAATGAAATGTGTTCCTTTTTTCTACTCATATCTCACATGGTTGATTCTTCATTGTTGTTTAGAACAGGCATTCCCAAATAGTCAAACTGCAAGCCTAAACTAGACAATCATGAGAAGTCATGGGCAGACAATTCCTGCCTTCAGGTTTCTGCTGCCAGTATCATCACCACTCAGTCTTTGTGTTTATGACTCCTTATCTCTGAGTGAGAAAGGGTAGGATCCTTTTTTCTTCTTTTTTGTCCATTATCTAAGTCTATATAAAATTAACAAATCTACCCAATAACTCTTTGTTGACTGAATATTATTATCTATTAGCTTCAAATAATCCTAACAATTCAAATAATTTCTTTCCTCCCTATTTCAGACATTCTTATACCTACTTCAGTAATTGTTAGTTTGAGGGAAATCCAGGGATGAGATGAAAAGTTGCAGATAGGGAATCCTAGATTCTTCTGTTTTTGTAATACTTAAAATGTTCTTTATACTTCTTATAACCAGTAGACATAAGACAGACTTTTAGGCCAGGTGTGATGGCTTACGCCTGTAATCCCAGCACTTTGGGAGGCAGAGGCAGGCAGATTATGAGGTCAGGAGATCTAGACCATCCTGGCCAACATGGTGAAACCCTGTCTCTACTAAAATATAAAAAATTAGCCGGGCATGGTGGCGCTTGCCTGTAGTCCCAGCTACTCAGGAGGCTGAGTCAGGAGAATCACTTGAACCCAAGAGGCGGAGGTTGCAGTGAGGCAAGATCGCACCACTGCACTCCAGCCTGGTGACAGAGTGAGACCCCGTTTCAAAAAAAAAAAAAAAAAAAACAACAACAACAAAAACCCTCTAATTATCATAATAAAAGCAAAAGCAAAGTGTCAAATTTACATGTAGATTGGTTTAGATTCCATGCATCCTTTTTTTCTTTTGCTTTCTGGAATTCTTTGTGTCTTATTGAAGAAAACAGTAAATTCATCCTACCCATTTCAATTAATAAGTCAAATTATGCTAATCCTAATGCCATTACAATGAAAACCACACTATTTTTATTATCTAAATCCCAGACAATGATACATTTATTTCAGGTACTTTTTAATATAATAGAGTGTGCCAAAACACATTTTAAAAAACACATTCATTTTAAGATTTCACCTACATCTTTAATCTTGAATACCGTATAGAATAAAAAACAAATATCAGATAGCTTTTAATGGAAATACATTATAAGCTGATGGTATGTGAGATGTGAAAATACATATTATGACATTTCTGTATGTAATCTGTTTACTTGCCCTTGGACTTAATCCTAGTAATTAAACATATATTAAGAACATTATATAATGAAAAATAAGATAACTGTAGAGAAGTCAATTTCCAGAAGTTTTTGGCAAGTTTTCTAAATTGGTAGATTTGTGTCACCCAGCCTGTCTTATCCTGGATGTGCTAATGAGCAGTCAAAGCCAATATATGAAAAAAAGGAAGGAAGAGGAGACATATCCGAGCATATTTATAGGCAATTCATAGCTCAATGACTAGACTCTGAGTATCTAAGAATTGATTTTATAAAATAACATATTTTAAGAATGAGAACTTTCTCAAGTTATTTTACTCCCAGAACAAAGACTATAATCTTACTATATTTTTAGGACTCTCGTCTAGGGCAGGCTTTTGATATAAATAAATGATGCATTAACATTATATGAAGACAGAAGTGTATGTGCCAGCAGAAAACTAAATGGGGAGAATTGTATGTTTATACAACTCCAAGGTCAGTTCACTAACTCCTTCCTGAACATCACAGCTCAGATTTTTTTCTTCTTTTGATACATGTTCCTTTTTCTGTTAGTAGATGTCTCTTTATCAAACATTCCATAAATCTGAGTCTAGTGAGATAATTTTTTATTAACTCTCCCTTTACCTATTTCTGTGCAGTTTTGTAAATATCTAATAAGCAGTTGCATAAAACAACCTAGTAATCTGAAAACACTGGACCTAAAACTAAAAAAAAAATAGAAAATAATCAACTAAGAGACTATATGGCAGTTGAATTTTCAGTCAATAAATATTGTTGATTAACCGAACACTGTTCCTTAAGAGCATTGCTGTTAATTGTCTCTAGGTGTGTTATTTAGATCCTTTGGAGACTGCAGCAATGGTGAAAGAAATATTGTCTGATGGAAATTGCTCTGGATCACATTTTTGAGTGGAAATTAAATTTACTTACCTACTTAAAAATTGCCAGTGAAAAAAGTCTTTATAAGTATTAAGACATAATTGCCTTACTCTTTTTTGTTTAACTGTATAATAGGGTATCTAGTTTGAAGTCTAGAAGGTAAAGGAATTTTTTTAGAAGAATGCATTTCACAATAAAGTTATTTTTTACTAGTGTTTTCCTCTCTATGCAGTTACTCAGTACGTACGTTGTTGACTATCACAGTCACCTAGATTGATGAGGTCTCTATCTTTAACTTCTTATATTGACTTAAACATTCTTTTACATTTTAATGTAATGTAATTTTACATTTTTAAAACTATTAGATTACTGATCTTTTAAAAGTTCCACAGTGACAAGAAACAGTGTAGTAAAGATCACCCTTTGCAAAACCTTGGTTATAATTTTACTTTCTGCCTTGCAAATAGCAAATCTACCCAAAATGGTATAATTTTTTTCTGTGATGAAGTATTAACTTACACAGGCTAAAGGAAAGCAACGGATGGAATTGTTATCAATTTAGTATCACATTAATTCAGCCCCATAAGTTGCTACTCTTTATCACTAAATAAGATTTTGTCTAACTAGAGCCTATCACAATTAGTTAAGTGTATTTTTTTTTTTTTTTTAGATTACCCCCAAAGTCTTTACCATAAGCCAATAGGGGCCTGTTGATTGGAGATATTCAGGATTCAGTCCTGGTGCCTGTGTTAGATTCCATTCTGCGTTTTTCATTATTTCCTGGGTGACGGAATTAAAGGCATACTGATTAAGTTTGGAGATTACACTAAGCTAACAGGAGTTACAAACACTTGGAATGCTAGATCTAGAATTCAAAATGATCTTAATAAATTATATAAATCACATTTCAAAACTGTGGAACAAATTCAAGGTTATATCCTGAGAGAGACAGAAAAACTATACTGTCAGCAGAGGGAGGAAGATTTTCTGAGCGCAGGTATGACAGTTAGCAGAGTGGTGCACACTCTAAAAATGGGGTGTCCAATCTTTTGGCTTCCCCAGACCACAATGGAAGAAGAAGAATTGTCTTGGGCCACACATAAAATACACTAACCCTGACTGATAACCGATGAGCAAAAAAAAAAAAAAAAAAAAAATTACAAAAAAAAATCATGTTTAATTAAGAGAGCTTATGAATTTGTATATAGGTCACATTCAAAGCCATCCTAGACTGCATGTGGTCCACAGGCCACAGGTTGGACAAGCTTGCTCTAAAACAAGGCTGAAAAGGCTAGCTTTGCTCTGCATAAGGCACGTTTAGCTCTTCTGTGGCCAGGACTACAGAAAATTAAAATGGAGTATACCCTGAACAGGCTCCATTTCCTGAAGCCCCAGTTCAGTGAGCTGGTGAGGGCAGACCCAGAGAATGTTGCATGCATTGAGGGCACCTTTGAACATTGTCCATAGAGAAAGTGTGGGTGCCAGGCCCTCTTCAAACACCACCCATTCAGGGAGCGCATGAGGACTAACAGGGATGGAGATGGGGTGAGAGGTTGTTGGCTATTAGCAAAGCATGCTGTAAAACTCATATGATACTGGGATTTAGGGAATTAGGAAATAATTATTTGTTATATTTGGCATTGTATAAGCTTTTATTAAACTATTTTGACAACTTCGAGTTTCCACATTTTAAAGTTAAGTGTGAAATTGGGAAAGGTCTGTAAAAAAAAGTGACAAATCTTTATGGGATGTAAAATAGATCATATGGGAAAAGATTAAAGGAGTTTGGTTGCTTAGCCAGGAAAATAGAAAGCTAAGCGGTGACTTAATAACTGTCTTATAGTATACTTATCATAAGAATGCTTATAAGAATAAGAATAACATATAAAAATAGAATGCTGACCAGTTCTCCATCCCTGTAGAAGAAAGAACAAAAGAAAATTAGTTTAAAGTAGTAAGGGGAAGCTTGATCTTACATTGGAAGAAACTTCTTGATTATAAAATATTATTAAGCCTGTCTAAGGCTACCAAGGAACATAATACAGACTTTGAAGATGTTTAAAATGAATGAACACTTACCTAGTTGGGAGGCTTAAGAGTTGACTGGATGGTAGAAACGAGCCAGACAACCTCTTGAGGAAATCTAACAGTTCTACCCTTGTTATAAAATATGAGTCATCTTCCTTTCTTATCTACCTATAAAGATACATTTACACCATTTATATTAAGACTTTATTTGATAAATTCAACATACAATTTTGTTTACTGTTTGCCTCTCTGTAAATAAGTACACTTTTTGTTTTCTCTTTTCTTTTCTTTTCTTTCATTTATTCAGCAAGTATCTTTTGAGTGCCTGCTCTGTGCAAAGCACTGTGCACAGGGCTATGAGTGATACAAAGAAGAACTGGACATTCCTTTATTCTTCCTTCACACACATTTGCTGGGCACCTCCACTCTGCGAACACTGTGCTACATGCTCAGAATTCAAATACATGTTCAGAGAGGGCTCTAAAGAGCTCACAATCTAGTGAATGAGTATAATAAGTACACAGAATTGCAGTGCAATGTGGTGAGGCCTTTGCCAAAGGTATGAGCAGGAGCTTAGAAACACATGGGATACAGTGGAGGCATCTAATACAGAATTGGGGTGAGGAGTTAAGGTTTGCTGGGGGAGATGGCATGTGAGCTGAATTGGAGTGGGGTGGGAAGTGAGCCCAGTATGCTCTAAAATGCCAATAATCATGTGAACTTTTTGTTCCTACCTAACAGGCTATATACTAGCAGTAGACATGAAAACGTTTGTTTCACTTTATCAACTAAAATGTTAGTGATTCTGTCCTCTGCCCTTTGTTTGCTCTTTAATAAAACAATGAAACCTAATTTACGGTCAGTTCTGTTATAAAGTGACAAAATCATCACACCACGCACCAAATTGTAGCTTATGAGAAAAGAGAATCAGGGGCGAACACTCAAGAACTTTATCAGGAACACATACAATTTTTAAAGGATGGGGACCTCATAAAAAATAGCATAGTTTTACACGTATTAAGTGGTTAAGAAATACATGCTAATACCACAGAACTACATATATACTACAATCAATGTGGCAGTGCGCCTTGAAAAAGACCTTAAGTTTACGTGTGGAAGTTGGCATCAGAAGGTTATGGTGACATGCTGGAAGTAGAACTATTTGAAATCCCATGTAAAAATGTACCAGCAGATGTGGAGGGGTGTGCTCATACGTAACACAGAATGAGATAGCTGGTAGAAGTTTAAGATGTGTGCTTGTGTGTGCTTTGTGAATTTCATCTCCCCAGCCCAGTTCTGCCTGGTGAAGTTTTCCATGTTGAACTGGTGTTTTCCAGAAAGAAACGGTAAGCAAATGTAATTTGCATTATGCTCAAATTGTTCCCTCATATATCAATCCTTTTGGAATAAATTTGTGACTTCAAAACATGTTTTATAGAAGAACTGACTGTACATTGTTGCAAATTAAGTTTATAATTTTTTACCTCACTTCTGAAATTTCTAGCATACTGTGTCTAGATTCTGTCGGGCATATCATAATTTTACATAAATCCAATTTTCTACTTAACTGACGCTCACATAAGCAACTTCCATTTCTTCCAGAGCAACATTTTTCTCTGGGCTTTTCTAACACGGGGAGCACCTGCAGGGAACTTGGCAAAACAGGTGAAGGCCGTGGGAGCACAGGTAGTTTTTCTTGCCGTCAGAGCCTCCATACCTACAGCAATCCTTGGGGAGGTGTGGTAACAAGGGCAGCAGGTCTTTTTCCACTCTGGCAAGATAAATGGCCAACGTTTCAAAGGAAAAATCACAGGAAAGTGGGACTTTGGCCATGATCAGCCTCTACTACCAGGCACGCAGAGAGAGCCATGCATGCAGGAGCAAAGTTTTGCCTTCTAGTAGAGTTGATAGGTCTAAAGAACAGGCCTTTTCTTTCTGCTCTTATTTTTGGCTTTGATCATAGATTCTGGCCTAAGGGATAGAAGAAAACCGCACTAGACGAAATTAAAGTTAAGGGCAGAAGCGGTAGCAGCTGTGGGGTTGGGTAGTGTCCCTCAGTGGGCACCTGTCCTTTTTCTGAAATATTTTTCCCACAGAAAATATATAAGGGGATGTTTTGCTGTATATGCAATGTGGTGGTCATTTTTTTTCATCTAATTCAAGTGTTTCTGCAAGTAGTGCAGCTCTCAGTTATATTACCTAAGGCAGGAGAGAAGAGAGTTTTGAACTTGCGTTTGGTAACAAAGAGAACCATCACAGGTCCTCTTGTTCATGCTGAGCCCTAGAGTCTCCAGCCCAGAAAGGGAGTGGAAAGTTCTATCTGCCCAACTCCCAAATTAAACAGCCATTACATAAAAAATGGGGAGCTGAAGGGTTAACACACACCAGATGATACAATCCTTACATAGCCTGAAGCAAACATTCAGCTGACAAAAATGTTATTGTATGTTCTCTTTTGAAAGCCTTAAGATATGCTTGGGTTAATTAGATTTCTAAATATGCAAATATGCCCTAGTGAGGTTTTTCTGAAATGCATCATTTTAAAATTATGTAGCATGGCATTAGTGTTCAAAATACTGAATTGTAAGATGATGCCTGAATAGCTTACTAACATATCATATAAATTCATAATTGATCAAACCCATGTATTCCCCACTGTCCACATTATACTGTTCAAATTGGGTTAGAAAGTTTTATGGAAATTAGGTTCTCTAGTATGCTTTAGGGGAAGATCAAGCAGTAGTTTAAATTGCAGCCGTAGTTCTTGAAAAATGCCAATTCCCTTGTCTAATATCAGTGTTTCCAGTGTGCTCAGTTTAGGCAACATGAGGCTTCTACAGTCCTGAGACTGTGGATCACCTGAAGGAAATTAGAAGAACACAAACTTTGACCTTAAGGGGAAAAAATATTTTAACAAGGGCATCTGAATTGACTTAACTTTGTTCACCTGCTTCTGCCAGTGAATAATTTTGGGATTTCAACTTCTAAATAGTTTTTTTTTGAAATATGAAGAAAGATATCTTTATTTGGGTGTTCTATATAAATGGGTTTCTGGTTAATTGAAATGTTTAGGCTGTATCCATTAAACAATAATGAGTCATTTTTTCTGGAAACTTTTCTAAAATGCATTGCATTTTTCAGAGATTTGTTAAAGAGTGTATACTAAAGTGTACTAATCATAAACGAACAATTTCTGTGTGAGTCAAATGTGCCATGTCCACAGTACCCCATGCGGTATGGAAAGCTATTTATCCATGCTTTCAATGACCTAGACCACGGTGTTGACAGCCTTTTCTGCAAAAGGTCAGATAGTAAATGTTTTAAGTTTTCCGGGCCACCTAGTCTCTGCTGCTGCCACTCCACTGTGTCATTGCACTGGGAAGGCAGCCATAAACAATATATAAGTGATGAACATGGCTGATTTCCAGTAAAACTTTGTCATCAAACAGGCAGTAGGTTGAATTTGGCCTGCAGGCTGTGGTTTGACAACCTCCAAGTTATGCTTGGGTAATTTTGGGGAGTTCTTTCTTTCTTGGGTTTTTTTGGGGGGTCATCATGGCCATTTTTGATGTTTTAGTGTTCTTGTATTCCTACTTTTAGCAGTATATCCTTTCTGTTTACTTACTTTGATGTGCTTTATACTACAAGGAAAAAAACTAGCTTATCAGAATTGTTTCTAAAATAAGAGCCACTAGACTCCAAGCAAGGTTCATAAGGCTTTCCTATAAAGAAAGTACAGAGTGCATTTGATATGGCATTCCTTCTCAGTGCTTATTCAGAGGCAATTTTTATTTATTTTTGGATTATTCACCTAATTGTTGGCATGTAAACTAAGTTTTATATTAAAATAATTTTGTTATGATTCATTAGGTTTTTGTAATGATTCATCACATTCACTTAAAAGTAAGAACAAAATTTTCAACTACATTTTCATGGGCATAGTTTAGTGTTTCTCATCCCATGTTTTCCATATTTATGAATGGTTTAGCAAGAGTAACAGATGTGTCTACTCTAAAAGAAGAGACTAAATTGCCTTTTACAAATGAGAAGAAATTGCCCTGCCCTCACCATGATCAGTGTACTAGAATATTTTATGCTTACATCTCGGTTTACTTTATATACATAAGTAAACTTCTTTTTTTGAATTTTCAGGAACTCTTTAATCTGCACACACAGCTTAGTTGTTGAGAGCACTGGATCTGTGTTCAAATCCTAGCTCTATCACTTATAGCTGTGTCATATTAGACAAGTTACATAACTTTTCTGAAAAAAAGAGCTCTTCATCTGAAAATAGGGACTCCAAGGATACCCACCTGAGAGCATTGTTTTCTGTTTCTTTGATGCTGTTGCCCTTGTTACTCTATTCCTCCTCCTTTCTGCCAGTGACACTCACATCAAGTCTAGTTTTAAAACTTAACACATAATCAAAACATCATATTTATACCTTTAAATATGTACAGTTTTGTCCGTTATACCTTAGTATAACTGGAATAGCTTTTTTAAGCTGAAAAAATAATGTGCTATTTTCAATACCACCCTGTTAAAGCCAGTTTATCATTGAAGCAGATAATAACTAACATTAGATAAAATTATTTGTCCCACCTTAAAGTAGGTGACCACATGATACATGGAATATAGGAAGTTAGTATTTGTAACATAAAAAGCTGCATCCAATTACAGAAATTTTTTTTACCCTTTTTGCTATTACATCATTAAATATTTAAGCTGTAATTTACATCTAATTTGGGATGCATACTAGGTAAAATATTGAAAATGTTGTTTTTTTCCTATTCTTTTTTTTTTATTATACTTTAAGTTCTAGGGTACATGTGCATAATGTGCAGGTTTGTTACATATGTATACATGCACCGTGTTGGTGTGCTGCACCCATTAACTTGTTGTTTACATTAGGTATATCTCCTAATGCTATCCCTCCCCCCTCCCCCCACCTCATGACAGGACCTGGTGTGTGATGTTCCCCTTCCTGTATCCAAGTGTTCTCATTGTTCAGTTCCCACCTATGAGTGAAAATGTTGTTTTAAACGGGTCCTAAAATATAGACTGCCAGCTCTCGGAGAAGGGTATATAAACTTAGCTGTCAACATTGGTCAAGTTCTTCCATGCCTGCACATCTAAGCAGTTCTAGAGATTTGATTCTGATCTTCGATTTCCTACTTACTGTCACCACAAGAATTAGGTAGATCTAGTTTCCTACTGAGCAACTGTCCAACAGTTAGTGTTATAATAATATTTACAGAAACATCATTCTCAATCTCCTTGGTATACACAATTTAAAACGATGTACAAAAAAAGAAAAAAAAATTGAAATCCTAACTCACAAGGACTCCAATAATGATATGAATAGTGTAGTTGATGGAAGGTACCTTGGGTAGATAATTAAGCAAATTGGGTTTTAATCTTGTCATGCCACTGATTCACATTGATAGCCAGATCAAGTTACTTAATCATTCCAGGCAAGAGTTGTCCCATCTTTAAAAGAGAAGATGGTACTTTGGTTTTATGATGACAGAATAAAGATACTTCTGCATTCTTCTCTTGAAAAATTACCCAAAACAAGGAAAAAAGAAACACACATTTCAATTATTATTAAAGTAGATCACCGTACTCCTAAAACACAACCTGCAAAACAGGAAAGCAGATGGAAGAATAAAAAAATGTTCATAATGATGGGGAATTTGGGAACTAGATGTGGTGATAGTTGTACAATAAGGTAAGTGTAATTGATGCCACTGAATTGTGCACTTAAAAACAGTTAACATGGCCAATTTTGTTATATACATTTTACCACACAAATTTTGTAAAGGAATGATAAGGATTTAGTGAGAGAAGTGAGGTCGAACAAAAATGCTTCCAGGTTGAAAGTACCAAAGAGCAGCTACCCAGTTTACCTCCCAGAAAGGTCTGAGAAATTGGGAGCCAGGTAGTGAAGGTGTGGGTAGTGGAAACAGGGATTGCTTGAAAAGTATGTGTAAGTTACAACTGGATCTCCTGATCTCTCCTTCCTCGAAACATTCTCTGTCACTGGACAAATGACCTCACCACTTCCATCCTGGCAGGAAATGATGCTCTTGGAAGATTGAATTAGAGAGCCTCAGGGCTTGGAGACTGCAGGGTCTCAAGAGGGTGAGATCAGTCTGAAAACAGGGGTGAGAGTCTGGTACTAAATGTAATATCCCAGCCCCTTCCCCTGAGTAACTCCAAAATACAGATAGTCAGGGCTTATCCCTTTGAGCCATTTCTGATTTAAAAATATGGAGATGAAGAGCCAACGCAATGGCTTGCAAGAGTTGAAAGTAGTGTCTGGAGAGGAGGAGGGGAAGGGATAGGGCAAATACCCCAAAGTTTTCAACAGGCTTTTTATTATTGTTTAATTTTTATGCCTGTAATACTCTGGTTTTAAAATGATTAAAATAAATTTACAAGGTGTAAAATCAGGGAAAATTTCTAAGAGCCCATTCTACCTTTTGTTTGTTTTAGTCAGATTCAATCATATCGTCTTTTATAGAAAAAAAACTGTCACTAGACTCTTGATTTTTTTTCCCTAAGGGGAAAAATATCACCAAAATAGCTATTTGTAAGAAGTGCTAATTGGTGTCATCATATTTTATGTGTAATTCATATTTGTATTGGGAACATATTTTTCCCTCCAGTAATTATGTATCTGTACACTAGACTATGTCTATTTCAAGATCACTAAATTGGTCCTAATTCAGAGTGTCTAACATTATAACCTCAACTGGCTATACCTCCATGTATAATTTTTCCTATGAAGGAAGCATTTGCTAAATAATGGAACAGGGTATGTTTAAAAACATATTTGAGGGAGAAACATTCTATCTAACATCCAGCTGCTTTGCATTTGCATGGAAACTGTGTGCTAGTTTCAAAGGATCTTATCTATACCTTGGAGAAGGTCTGGGATTTTCTATTTTACAGCATCTTATTTCCATATAGAGATATCTCACCAGCCTACTCACTCATTGACCTCTATTTTAATTCATTTTTATAAATCGAAACAATGAATTGATTTAACAGGCATTGTTATAATAGGTATTTTTCAGGAGAATTCTGCAATTGATTTCTGCAGTTCTTTATATTTGATCCCATGAAAAGACCATTTTCATCTTTTGTTTTTATTTTCCAAACATACAAGCGTTGTTAAACCTCTTTAGAAACTGCTTTTGAATAGTCATTCTTTGTGTAGAAAAACTACAGTATATTCCTTAAGTGAAATTCAATCAACTACTTTTATGGTAACTGGGCTTAAAAGACATCAATGAAAATACCCACACAAGCTCTTAAGATCAAGGCATTTGTTTCAGCTGACTTTAGTATGTACTTACCCATTGTGCATCAAATGTTGAGCAAAATAGCCAGATTTCTAATAAGCAAGTACAATATAGACAAAAGAGAACACTGATTTAGGGTCCTGGTGTCAAATGCGGTAAAACACTCTGTTTATAGCAGGTCAGGCTTGGGTTTACAATTAGCACTAATTACTGAGAAAAAAATCAAAACCTCAGCTTTAAGGAAGGACACTTTTCACTGCAAGATCAAAGCCAGTCTCTGCAGAATAGGGAAGCCTCTACCACTTAATTGCACTGAAGTGCTAATTGGATTGTAAGGTACTTTCATGAGTTTCCCCAATTAGCCAGCCATCCCTGACAAAATCCAAAAAGAAGAGATTATGAGTTCTTAGAGCTTTTGTCTATATAGTTGTGATTTGTATACCTGGGTGAATGTAGCCTTGCCTTCTTTTTATGTAAATTGAGGTCTTTGGGGTCTCAGTTATTAGCTTGCTATAAATAGCCTTGAAGGTAAAGCTATCCATTGTATATAAAGTCTTAACTGTGTACTAATGATAATGGGACAAAATTTAATGGGGACTATCAGTTCTATTAAGATTCTTAAAGTATGAGAATTGGGTACAGCTTCTTGGCTCAGGATTTTTATCTTGTGTAGTTATGATCCAGTTTGGATATTTGTGTTACATTTTATATTTGTATTACATTTTATTACTCTTCATTCTGGGTAATTTTTTTAAAGGAACAGATAATCAGTAATTTCGTAATGTTTATTCTCTAAATAATAAGTTTTATCCCTGAGAATAATTGATGGCTCTAATTGTACTTTGCCTATACACTGCATCCCCTGTGATTTTTATTGTTGTTGTTTGATCATATAAGGCAGCAGCAATTCTGCCAGCTCACCACATGAAAGCACATATGACAAAGTGATCTCTTTGGGCAAAATTATCCATTTGGATGAAGAAAATGGGAACCTTTGGTTGATGCCAGGTCTTCACTACACAAAGTGAAGTAAAAAGTTGCCAGCTGTGCAGTGAATTCACCTGTCTGTACTAGAGTGGAACCATAATAAATCTTATAAAGCTCCCACTGACATAAAAACTATGCTACTTTATTCATATTTCTCAAACTTTGTTTGGACATTTGCCTAAGTGATAAATGTGTTAGGTCTCCATTGTACTGGTAAAGCAAGATGAACTTCAGAAATATTTAAAGGATTTTTAGATGTTCTGAATTATCTGATGATTAACCTCATTAATTAGAAAAGAATCTATTTCCTACAATTTTTAGTTTCTGTTTTATAAAGCCTAGAGTGAGTTTTCAAATAATAAAATTGTTTATTTGTTTCTCTGAAGTTTGAGTCTGACACAGAGAAGCAACATGATTTTCCATGCTCCCAGAGCTAAATGTGCTTTCTGCTCAGTTATTGTATTTTATAGTAAATGGAGGTATTATGATAATAATAACATCTACTGTGTATGAAATTTATACTATTAAGTATTTTACATACTTTATCACTAACTCTTACAATAACCCTAAAAGAAAAAGTAGTGCTATCCTCGTTTTAAAGGAAATAAAACAAGTTTAGAAAAGTTCACTAGCACAGCCATTAAGAAACACAACTCCTAACTAGAGAATCCACCATTAAAACCCATTTTTTTTCTGACTTCAAAGCTTTTGCTTTTGTCTCATTAAAATTAGTGGCAAATTAGATCCCTTCCCTCATGTTTAGTCTTAACACCTTCCTGTACATTTATTTTATAGGACTTATTATAATTATGTATAATATACACATACACACACACAGAGTTTTGTTTAATTTCTCATTTCCCATTTTGGGACCAGGGGACTATGTCTGTCTTATTCATCAGTGCTAACAACAGTACCTGGCTCACAATAGGCCCTCAATGTATGGGTGGATGGGCATGCCAGTATCAGAGCCATGGGCTTCTAATGCCTCGACTAATCCCTTAAATACTCTGTCTGGTAAAGTTCTTCAGTTTATAAAATATGAGTACTTTAGTAAAAGATCAGGACACCAGAATCTTAGAAATAATAAAAAGAAAATATCTTTGATCTTTGATAGTATGAGATTAGCACCTCCAAATATTTTAAGTGTTTTTTTCCTTCACTGGGAACATATAATTTTCAGTTTCAAATGAAAATGTTTCCTAATGGAGGATGGGTTTTGTACCATGAAATTACTCATATAACTTTTAAAAATTAGATTTGGGTGGTATGCATTGTATAAAATAACTGTCTTCTCTATCAAACCTTATACTTTTGCCAAATTTGGGCACATCTACAAAGACTTCTATATAGATCATGAAATAACTGAAGTCATTAAAAGAAATGTATCAAGCAATATAAATTTATTGATATCTACTTCTCCATTCTAATTTATGAAAAAAAATTAGCTTATAGATAGACATGTCTCCTTCAAAATGAAATCAGATTTGTTCATTAAAAAAAAAAAACTTTTAACGCTTGCCCTGTTATTTAATTCCAGAAAGACTAGCTCATAGATAACTTTTAAAATGCATTTAATAATGTAATAAGCAATATCAATTTAAAAATTTCCCTTGGCATGCAGGATAGTAGCAATAATATCCATGTATGTTTTTTGAGTTTTGTATGTAAATGGTATTTTCTATCCCAGTAATATGTATTTGTCATCTTTAAAATGAAAAAATACCAATATCCAAGTTATACAATACATGTGTTGTGTAGCTGGTCTGACACAGAATGGATGGGTCAATGATTGGTAGCAATTTATATACTAGAATGTTATGGTCACAGTGAAAGCATAGATTGCTAAATGTCATTAATGCTGTTTTACTCTACATAAAAATTTTTATACTACAAATTATAACTATCATTTTATAGGTTTAAATAATTTTTAACTGGTGAGGTATACGTAACATAAAGTTTACCAGTTTAACCATTTTTAAGCGTACGGTTCAGTGGCATTGAGTATATTCACAGTGTTGTACAACCATCACCACTATCTCCAGACCTTTTTCATCATCTGAAAGAGAAATTGTATAGATATTTTATTTTTAATCTTAAAATGGTTCTTCCTTTCAAAGAACTATACAATAGAAGTATATTTAACAGATCTATAGTGAACATAATTTTGTGCTCACATTTGTTATTCCAAAGGCATTTCACTGTCTGATGAGTCACATTTACAATTAGTTTCTTATTGTAAATGTAAATAAAAGTATCATTTTAAAAATGTTAACCTTTTCTTCTTCAAACCCCAAGAGCCTGTCTCCTAGCCTGTGTTCCCTCTCACCTATCTGCACAGACATAGACCCTATCCCATGATCATTTGAAATAAAAAAGTTTAGCTGAGAAGCCCATGCAACCATGAGATAGGCTGTCTCACATTGAAATGCAAGCATTCTTGAATCAGGTATCTTTTAACAAATAAAATATTTATCAGGACATACATTTTATGATTTTATGTTCCATTTTATCCAAATCTTACCAGGTTTTGACTCATTTTGTCTTAATCATGAGTTTGAATAATTTGTAACTACTTCTTCTGTCCTTGCCCCTTGCCCCACTCTTACTGCCTACTCCCACTCTACACCCCCATCACATTGGTTAATCAGAAGTTGCCTGGCCAGATGTGGTGCCTCACACCTGTATTCCTAGCACTTTGGCAGCTCAGGCAGGTAGATCGCTTGAGCCTAGGAGTTAGAGTCCAGCCTGGGCAACATGGCGAAACCCTGTCCCTACCAAAAAAATTACAAAAATTAGCCAGGCCTGGTGTTATGTGCCTGTAGTCCCAACTACTTGGGAGGCTGAGGTGGGAGAATATCTTGAGCCTGGGAGGTCAAGGCTGCAGTGAGCCAAGATTGCACCAGTGCACTCCAGCCTGGGCAACAGAGCAAGACCCTGTCTCAAAAACAAAACAAAACCCCCCAAAAAAAGAAAAGAAAAAGAAAAAAAGAAAGAAAGAAAAGAAAAGAAAAAAGCAGCTGACAGCACCTAAAGTTCCCATGTCTGTGCTTCTTGCATGTGTTGCTTATTCTACCTGACGTGTCTCTCACCAACCTGGACCCCCACTTCTTTCCAGCCAGCCTGCTTCTCCGTATCACTTTTTACTCAGCTTAGACTTCACTTTATCAAGGAAAACTTCTCTGGCACCCATCCTACCCACCTCTCCTCAGTTCCCCAGTAACTTCCTGTGCATACCCTCTGGTAACCTGAGTCACACTCTACTGAAAATGTATACTTACTTCCCCTTCTTTGTCTATAGATTTGGAACTCCCTACAGTTTGGATTGTGACTTACCTGTATCTCGATTTCCCAGCACAGTACCTGGCATGAAGGAAAAGGCAGTCAGTAAATAGGTATTCAATAAATGTTACAGTATTAGCATTTTTTTCAGTTGTAGTAGTAGTAGTTGTAGTTAGACCCAAGAACAATGGATTGCTGGATTTGTATTTTTTATTTATTCAGAAACCTTTTTGAATTACTTTGGGACAACATGGATTAACCTATGGGACATTATGTTGAGTGAAATCAGCCAGGTACGGAAAGACAAATACTGCATGATCTCATTTATATGTAGAATCTATATTGAACTCCTATAGAAATCTAAAGTTGAAATCTAAAGTAGAAATCTAAAGTTGAACTCCTGGAAGCAGAGGGTAGGCTGGTGGTTACCAGAGGCTGGGAGTAGGAGGGAGCAGAGAGTTGGTCAAAGATACAAGTTCCAGTTAGAGAGAAGGAATATGTTTTTGAGGTGTGTTGCACAGCATGGTGAATATGGTTAGTAATAATGTATATTTTAGAATTGCTAAGAGAGTAAATTTCCAATGTTCTCACCACAAAAATGATATATGAAGTTATTATTCCATAGTGTATACATATCTTAAAATATCACATTGTACACCTTAAAAAAAAGAGAAAGAGTAGATGAATGAGTAACTATTGAGGGACTTACTGAGGACAAACTGTGTCCTAGAACCGTGGATAAATGAGTAAGCTTTAGTCCAGATGAAAAGCAAGGTAACTAAAGGAGCAAAAATAAAAAGGAACTGAGAACCAATAGTAATCACAGAGTTCTCCGGATTTCTGTCCCTATGATTCCTGTTCTTGATTAATCTGAATATCAGTTTCCACAACAGAGTAAGGCCCTGGGACTTCTGTGTCACGTGGGAAGGAAAGTACGTAGATTAATTTTAGTCACTGAGAACAGATCTACTGAAACATCCCCTGAAGGTAGTATGGATTTTATTACAAAGTGCTGAATAAACCTCCCAGAGCTTTTCTTGCCTTTGTGAGACTATGTTAGTTCAACAGATGAGAAAACAAAGTTTCAAAGAAGCAGAGAGCTCAGAGGTTGTTTCTGACCACAACTTCAGCAAACTTCTTTAAGCCCTATTCTGTGTCAATCAAGGCCAGGTTGGAAAAGACCTGAAAACTGTAATGTTTTTAGTAACAAATGTCACACTTAGTCCCCATATTATAAGAACCATTATGACAAAACTTTATGCATTGGGGATGTAATAAAAGCCACTCCTATTAAAATATAAACAAGATGTGGTGGTTAGCATGCTTTTCACAGTGTGACCATTGAAATGTACCAAGCAAATAAACCGGTGAGTTTGATGAGTGAGCATAAGGGGGCGTGAGGTTGATTAGAACCAGGCGAAGGCAGGTGGGGCACAACACAACATATGTACAGAAATAAAACATGTTTCAATAATAAAGTGTTGCCTGTGTGTGTGTGTGTGTGTGTGTGTGTGTGTGTGTGTTTATAGCAGCCCTGTATGTTAAATAATGACCATGACTCAAAACACTTTAGTTTTCTGTATTACCAAAAGTAAATTGAAAATATATAAGGTACTTCTAAATTATTCTTGACTACCCCTCTGTACACAAAGTGCTCCTTGTACCCTGCTAGACCCAGGGCTCTGTGACTGATAATTTCACCCATCAGCATTCCTAAATTAAGGTTAATGGCCAGCCCTGAATGCAGAGGGCCCCCACCTATGAGGAGAACAATTCCATGGCCCAAGCACTCATCAGAAATATCATGGCGTGTGGTGCGTGTAAGAGAAGGCCCTCTGATGTAAGCACCAAGGCTGTTACCATGGAGACCACATGATTCAAGTCACTTCCTGATGCTAACGCACCTGATCTTCAATTCTTCACTAGTTTCCACAGAACCTTGACCATACTTGACATTTTAAACTCTAATATGCCAGAATTTATTTTAAGAAAATGAGTGATCTATATACAATTTAGAACATGATGTAATTTTTCCATTATTTTCTTCTCAGCATTATGACAGGATTATTTTCCATTTAATTTCGAATGTAATTCTTTTAACTTAGATATTTCTGAGAAAGCACAGGTCTGCCTAATACATGAAAAATGGGTCACAGGTATTAGCTGGCAGCCACATTATCTGGGAAAAGGCAGGGACTGGAAGAAGAAACTGTTGTTTTAGGGGCATGCCAGGAGCACCTATATACATGTTCACTTGACAGCTCTTGCACCATTGCTTGACGAAGTGAGGCCGCAGGACAGAGGAGCACATAAGAGCTATCTATAGATTAAACAGCTAAGTCATCTATGTTTCAGTGCTTTTTAAGGACAAGTTACCCTCTGGCTGGCAAACTATAGAAGGAAAGATAATTTAAGCTTTTCTTTCTTTTCAGAAGGAAGTAGGAAAAACTATATGAGATGTTGATTCTCAAATTTTCTAGCTGGCTGCAGTGCAGATTACTCTGAGGTCCATATAGTACATGTTTAGTTCTGAGATTAAAGATTTTATATTAGTCCATAAACTAAACTAAAAAATTAGAACTAAAATGGGGGAACATTGATGGCCATAAAGGGAAAAGAGATATTTAAACCTATGAAAAAATAAAGAAGCAGTTTTATATCTTCACGTGCTCTAAACAGCCACCAAAAAATAAATAAATAAATAAAGACAGAACCTGGGCTATCTTTTCTCCTTTTCTTTTTACTCATGTTTCTTTTTTTTTTTTCAAGCTACTCCATTTCTGTGTACCAAAGTTGACTCATAATCATAAGGGAAATAATCGCGCTGTTCACCTGTATTACATGGCCATTGAACTATTTCAACTTAGACCTTTTCTCTGCCGTGTCAACAATTAACGATGTATTACTTGGACACTGGGCCTCACTCCCTGCACAGAATGCTTCGGCCAGAGACTGCTGTTTAAGGATACTTTGCCTGTGTTGATGTCTGCTCCCCACAGAATTGACCAGGTCATCTTAAAACTGCTCTGTGAACATGGAAAATGGAGATTCATTTTTCAGCATTTTTGTTTTCTTCCTCAATCCAACTGAATCACTAGGAAGTTTCTACCACAATTATATTTTAAATATGTACAAATTATGGCCTAGGCAGTCAAAGTACAGTTGAAAGTGCTTACTTTTTCTATGTGTGTATGTCAGTATGTGTTTGTGCAGTGTTTGGGCGTGCAAACCAATTTAGGTTAAATCTGAGGTGATGTGAGCGCAGAACTGTATAGGTGTTTTAGTTGGAAAAATAGTATGTGCTGCAAATTTAGAACGCATATGTCATCAATGAGTTAAAATTTGTATGGAGATCTGAAAGATGATGTCAACTCTCTGTTCACTAACATCATTTTTGAGTGTAGTCCTTTTTAAATAATATATTTCTAACTGTGTATTCTAAATAAGAATTAAAGCTTCTCTTCTTGTGAGTGATTTTTTTTTTATAATTAGACCTGGAGCCAGTTTTCTCTAACCAATGGGAAAAAATCTTGTTTCCTTTTTCTCCATTCCAGTGTTAGAACTGTTTATTAGCATGTTACTTCCTCATCACACTAATTGGCTGAGTATAGTGAACAGTCGGTGGAACCAGATGTCGTTTACACCCACTCTTCCTGGGTCTCTGTCCCTATTATCCTCACCTGGATTACTTACAAAGCTGGGGCCCTTTGTCCTGTCAGCTATATACTTCTGGTATAAGGAATCTTAATCAGTGACACCGAAAGGTTGAGAAACCACAAAAGAAAGAAAGGAATAATCAGGAAGTGACTATATTAAGTAAAGCAGTGAAGCCATGTAAATCTCAAATTAAAGGAGTCAACCTCACAGTACTGAAGGTGGCAAATTACATCCTAATTTTAAATGTGAAATCGATGCTAATTCACTTGCTGCCATCTCAACACTATCAGTGCCTAGAGTTGAGCACTGAGAAAACTCAAAAATTTGTCTTTATTTTGAAGCAAGTTCTTTTTGGTGCTTCTCTTAGTTTTTTCCTAAGCTGTCCAGTAAGTATTCTCTCTTCTGCCCACCCACTGAAAATTAATTTTATGAAATAGTAGTACAAATTTTCAATATTTCTTGAAATCAGCTTGTCTTGGGGAGTTAGGAGCACACCACCCCAGAGTAGTCAGTTTCTTTTATTGGCTGCTGTTCTGAGGTACATTCTGTGGACCAGCTGCAGAACAAGTTAATTGTCACTGTGGGGATTGAACTAATTATACTATTTTTGAAAGCCTCCTGTGTGTCAGACTCTTAACGTAAATTTTCTTTAATCCCTAAAACATCTCTATGAGATATTAAAATACTTTCAGATGAGAAACCTAAATCTCAGAGTTTAAGTAACTTGCCCAAAGTTAGATTATAAAGGGAAAAACTGGAGTTGGTGCCTCTGGTGTATCTGAACTCTGATCACTACGCCTTACACTTTTAGAAAGCAAGCTCCATGTTACCAGCACCATCTTGTATACAAGTGAAGTGGCAAGCCAAGTTTTTCTATAGCAGTGGTTCTGAAACCTCGTGCAAAATAAACACCTTGGAACATAGTAAAATTGCAGGTTCCTTAACATACCCGCAGAGATCTCAGGAATCTGAGGTTTTAACAAGTGCAAGGTAATTCTGAAGCAGATTTCCATTTTGAGAATCACTTTCTAAAGATATTAATAAAATTATTTCTATTATCTATACATTCATCCATTGTGTGTGTGTGTATATCTAGAAGTTTCCATAATAATTTTCACTTGAAGGAAAAAGAAATTGACTTTTACTACACAATGATTATGTTTTTGATGGTTTTATGACAACCCCTTTGCCATTGATAAGATTCCTTCTGTGTCCACTTTCTTCCTCCCAAGAAAGCTGAAGGGTTAGTTTTGCTTTCTTCAGATGAATTAGAGGTAATTGGTTTTGAGGTAATTGATTTTTTAGCAAGTAACGCTAAAGATGTTTTTATTTTCATGGGATCAGAATTTATTTGAGATTGATATCTATTAGTATTTTGAGGAACCTTTCTCTTGACACTTTTAGCCATAGACATGATATTAATTAGTAGACACAACTTATTTTAAGAGATGTTTGAGAGGTGGGCTATTCTGAAACCAGATATAAAAGCAGGCTACCTTGAGAATCTCTGTCTCTGAGCATTTGGAGGAAAAATAGGTGTAGCAACACTTTTTTGTTATGAGACAAATTTTTAGTTTACAAAATTAGTTTTTCCATAAGCCAGTGCATTTTTCATGGAGAAGGGCTGTTGGTGACACTTACTAAAGTGCTGTAACATTTTGCTAATTTGAAAAAGGTCTGCTTCAGATCGATTGCGACCTTATCAATAGGATGATCTCATTCATCTCCTTTGGAGGCTCTTGTCACAGCGCACTGCAATAGCTCTGAGCTGCCTCTACTGTGATTGCAAAATCAACATTAAAGAGGGTTTCAGATCACTTTGTGGTAAAGTGAAGCATCTTTCTGATGTTTCTTAGTTATTGGTTTTTAAAAAGTAATCTTTCTTAGTTTTTTTGTTTTTAAAAAATCTCAAACTTATGCTACTCACGTTAGACACTCTAATTTTTTTTTGTTAAGACTAAGAGCTATTTAGGTGAGAGAAAGAACTATTTTGTGATGTGTGTTGAATTTATGGTCCTTTGGCCTAGTACTTACTCCTAGTTAATGTTAATTTATTTATAAAAATTATTCTATTATTTCTTGTAATTTTTTAAAAAATCAAGAAATAAAAGATGTCATCCTTTCTAGTTTACTAGCTTTTAGCATTTTATTTTTCTAAGAAATTGTTTTATAATTAAAACTGATCATTTTCTTTCCTTGAAGTTGGGTAAAACTTAAGACAGTCAATTTTC
This sequence comes from Homo sapiens, assembly GCF_000001405.40. Classification (NCBI taxonomy): domain Eukaryota; kingdom Metazoa; phylum Chordata; class Mammalia; order Primates; family Hominidae; genus Homo; species Homo sapiens. The sequence continues at coordinate 107,955,016 of NC_000005.10, read as the reverse complement.
AAAGTGCTTTACATATTCCATTCTTAACATCTACGGGGTGTCAGTAAATTAACAAGATTGAATTTCCTGGGTGGCTTTGGAAGTAAATCTCTGGCTTTATGAGCATGTTTAATATCAAAATAGAAATTTTGCAACCTATAGTTCTTAAGCCTCATTTTATAGATAGGAATTTCCTATAACCTTCTTCCATTTATCTTCTGCTTTTTATATTTATTAATTTTGTTCTAACTTTTCTAATATTAATTTATCTCAATTGTCCTTCATTTATAGTCATCTGTGATCAAAACCACTTTCTTTCCATCTGCTGTCTTTTCATTCATCTCTCCTTTTAAAATCTGTTTCCTCTCCTGTAGACTCATGAATATGCCATGGTATGTCAACTTCTTGGACTAATTAGGAGGGTTTTTAAAAAGAATTCTCTACTTTGGAGATTGTCATTCCTCCTGTGTACCAGTCTGAACAATTAAAATCAGCTGTCTTTGCCTACTAATGATTTCTTAAAGGAGAGTGTTTCCTTTTGAGGTCCCTTGCACTCTGTAACAGTGCTCCTTCCATGGCCTACAGGCCCACTGACTGTGGTTCACTGCATGATTCAGCCTGCTTTCTGAACTGCTCTTTCCTAATGAGATATCACTGGTCTTTTAAAGTCATTGCTATTTTAAATTATTTTTGTGTGATTTGAATAGGTAAATGTCAGGAAAAGTATTTATTTAAATGGCCCCATTTTGGTAATGTACATAATACTTGATGGTTATTTTATATCCATTTTATTTTGTGCATAACTTTTCTCATACTTTCTTTCTTCTCACTTGGAATTAGTATATTAAATAAAATGTTCTTTTAAGAGGAATATTTATTCAGAACTCAGTTTCTATGGTTTTAATATTCAAAACTATCAAAAATATTTGCAAGCATTTTATTCATGTTTTAGAGATATGTCAGCCAATAACAAGTTATAAAGAAATGTGATTCAACACAGTGAGAATTTATTGAGTACCTACTAATCATAAACTTATCTAGGTCTTATGAGAAATACAAAACAATTTAGAGTTTAGTCATTAGTGACACAGTAAGATATATGATTAAGTATCAAAATAATTGGTGGATTCAATCAATGATGTATGATTTTAGAGGAAAGAGAAATTAACATGAATTAATTACTTTGCAGGGTTTCATTGAAGAGCTGGCATTTGCACTTGTTCTTGAAAGATGGATATAATTTCAATGTACTCGCTATACCAAAGACTTATTGATTATATTTAGAAGGTAAAAAGGAAGGAGTCAAAGATGATCTTACGATTTCATGCAGGGATTACCTAGAGAGTGAGACATCATTAGTGAAGAAAGATGTCATGGGAACTGGCTTGCAAGAGAAGGTGAAGACTTTGCTTTTGGACATTTGAAGTGTGAAGTCTAGTAAGAAGGCAGATATACAAGAGAACAAATGAGATACCAAAGCTAGAAAGGGAAGCAGTATTGTATGATAGAGAGCAGCACATAACTGGAGTTTTGGAGACCTGTGTTCTAGTTCCTTTCCTTACACCAACTAGATGGGTAAATTTAGTCAAGCAACTTCATGGATTCCATCTGCCTTTTTTTTTTTTTTTTTTTTTTGAGAGAGAGTCTCACTCTGTCGTCCAGGCTGGAGTGCAGTGGTGAGATCTCGGCTCACTGCAAGCTCCACTTCCTGGGTTCACGCCATTCTCCTGCCTCAGCCTCCCGAGTAGCTGGGACTAAGGCGCCCGCCAGCACGCCCGGCTAATTTTTTTTGTATTTTTAGTAGAGACGGGGTTTCACCGTGTTAGCCAGGATGGTCTCGATCTCCTGACCTCGTGATCCGCCCACCTTGGCGTCCCAAAGTGCTGGGATTACAGGCGTGAGCCACAGCGCCCGGCCTACATCTGCCTTTTTTTTTTAAAGTATGAAACAAGAGTCTTGAAATTCCTTGTACCTTTAACATGCTGGAAATAAACATTTCAGAGTTCTCCACTCAAAAGCAATAGCTGAATCTACAAAAGTACATCTGACCTGTGAGAGGGGAGGAATATTTGGTGGGAGTAATGGAGGAGGACTGAGCCTTGAGGAATACTGTAGTTTTGAATGTAAATTATATAGATATAGATTTCCCCCTAGTTATTTGGATTGAATATTTATATATTATGCATCAGGAAAGTCAAATTAACTTATTACCTATTCTAAGAAAAGCTGGACTTCCTTAGTCCAAACTATATTCATGTACACTGTATAGTTTAATCTGAATGTGTGAATATTTCAACATGCCATTTATGCCGTTTGAATAGTTCAGCTAGCCTTGCTTCAATCTCTGATTACTTACTCCAGGTCTACATTTTGGAACCATGCCAATATTTGAAATGTAACCACTGAAAACGTCATTGGGTTATCTGAGCTTTTTGATGGTATATTAAAATAAGACAATCACATTTGTGCGTTCAAAATGTAACATACATCAGAGAACCTGTAATTCAAACAGTTCCACGAAGACCTAACAATACTTTCTTTAAGATTTGACCCTTTAATAAGAAACAATTATATTAAAATACTCATCATTTCTAACCAACTCTGTGACTGAAGTCTGCAAATAACAAGTAAACTTTATCCCTAAAGATGATACTGAAATAGTTTCAGTTATAGTGGAGGCAGATGTAGAAAATTGCCAGCACCTAATACATCCACTTTAATTTCAAGACTATTAGTGATACAAAAAAATTCAGTTTCTATTCTGTCAAGGGAAATAAACCATAGAAGGATCATTACAGAAGAATACAAAGAGTAAATGTAAAAATATTTGAAAGAGAGGAGCCATCAGTTATTTATTTTATGTTTCTGCACATAAATTGGCATATATGTGCCTACTTGCACAATTGACTAAAGGAGTTTTTTTTTTAATGCTTGTGTTTTCCTATTGTCGATGTTCTGCAAGTGTTAAAATAGTCAAAATTTTCAGAAATTAATTGAGCTTATATATGGCAAGAAATATTCAGATTATCATTTATTCTTATGAGAATTTACTGTTTTGGGACAGCTTTCTTTTAGACAGTTGTGAGAAAAAGCTTTGAAAAGCCAATTAGAGTTTTGCTTTTTTAAAACTGGTTTTGTACAAGTAAAGGTTGTTTGCACCCATCTCACAGGTGCTGTGCAGAGAATTTTTGTTGCTACTGTTGATCTATGAAAATGTATTTGATGCAATAAACTGCCATTTTTAGCACAATTATGTACTAAATGCTTTAATACACTATTTAATCCTCACAACAACTTGTTTTCATTCTTGGAGAGAGAACTTGAGACAGAGAGCTGACATCATTGCCTGGGATTACCTAGGCTAGTAGATGGCAAAGCCAGAGTTAGATCCATTTGCTTAGCTCTCTCATATACTGCCCTTGATTTCTTGGCCATCTGCTCAGGGCACCATGCTCAGTGCCAGGTACGTCAAGATAAAAAAGACTTTCTCCCTCACCTCATGGCATTCAGTCTAGCAGGGTAGGTGCATTGCAGCACCAGGCCCACTAGGCCCTGCCAGAGTATGTGCTTCCCCCAGTTATCAAGTGCCATCAGCTAAGCACCTGTTCTGCCAGAATGCACTGGCAGTTTTTTATCTGAATGCCAATGTGACGGTTGCTGAAAGTAAGCTCTACACATAAATAAAACGTTTTAATTGTTGTGACACTAAATTACTAAATTACAAGTACTTTTCAAGTCTTCTGATATTCTCTCAGCAGAAAATAGGGAAGAAATATTGCATAAGACCAAAATTAAGCAGACATATTACCCATATGCATTGAAAATGTGTTTATGCCATGTGCATCAGAACTCTCAGGCACATCGAACCCTGAGACTGAGCCAGTAATGAGACTTACTTTTTTCCAGCACCCTGTGACCTCCTGCCTAGCCAGTCCATTATGACAATGGCAGCAGCAACTGTGCTCAGCTCACCACATGATGACAGCCTTTCTAGTGTGTGCCTGCCATTTATTAGGACATTAGTGGCAGGCCATCGTCCAGATGCCCAGCCATGACTGTCACACAAAGAAAACATTAGCTTTCTTGGATGTTGCTATTATAATTTGAAAATTAGTTTTGCCTTCATGGCTGCATCACATTTGGAATCTCTCTGTGATGTTGTTATTAGTTCGTGCTCATGGTGTTCATGATAACTGTCACACATTAATCACGTCCATCATGTGATTCTTAATTTGCTCTATTATGACAAACGGATTTAGACACAAACTTTCAATTACCTATTTTGAGGTTAATAGCAGATTTGAGGTTGTAAATTGGTTCCCAAATATTCAATTTAGGGAAATTATATCTCACCCAGCTCTAAAACATGTTCTAAGTGAGCAAATTGTATTTTTTACTATCACTGCAAAATTGTGCCAGATGAGACCATATGAGACATCTGAGTGGAGTACTGTACCCAAAAGTTTCTAACGGAATGGCATATTTGTACATTCTGTGGGACGTTCTGCTTTTTGCCATTACCTCATTTATCTACCCCATATTTATATGTATCTCAAATTATTCCAAAACATTTTATTTTACAAACTCTGTCTTTATGGGGAATATTATATAATGATTATTCTATATTCAGAATATTCACAGTGTTAATAACTTCCAATTAAACTTTTTTAGTCTAATGGCAAGAAGATATTTGTAAAGATTACTATATATTTTTATTTTCTCTGAGATCCCTTTGTTAAATAGGGATCAAATATTGTATATTTAAAATAATTGTATATCTAAAGTGATCCCGGAAATTTGCTTTCTAAATGAGCAGAGAGGTCTCCTATAGGGTCCTCTCTGGTTGCAGGGACTTCTGTCTTTTTCTTGGAGGGTTTGCCTAGGCTAATGTTCCCCTTCTTCAACAACCCTCTCCCTTTCATGTGAATTGCTGTACATTTCCAGGAAATCGTACACTTTCATCTGTTCAGAAAAACTTTCTTTTCTGACAAATCTTAGTAACAGGAAATTAAAGGCATATGGGACAGCAGTCAACAAAGTGACTGCAGAAAGTTATGTGAGATGGAAACATGGAAATTACGAGGTGGGGGGCATTCACAAATCATCTGGTTTAGAAGTCATGTAGAACGTAAACTAATAGTCGAACTCAGGAACCAAGCAGCTTGGATTTCGCTCCTGTTTCAGCTACTTCCTGTTGGACAGTGGGCAAGTCACTTAACCTATCAATTTCCTCATCAGTAAAATGGGAGTATCTATTTCTTGGAGTTGTTGTGAGGATTAAATGAATAATTTTGTAAAGCTCCTAGCATATCATTAAGTGCTTAGTAAATGTTAGCTGCTCTTATCTAGTCTGTGCTTCTATCCAAAAGGAAATTCTTTTCACATGGTTCTAAAAGGGTGATCATTCAGCCTGTACGTAAAACTTTCCCTGTGAAGAGCCATTTGCTCCTCTCCCAAGTATTTTCCCCTCATTTTTGGATAGTTCTAATAATGAGAATGGAAGTCTTCCTTCTTGTGATTTCTGTGCTTTGGGTCCAGCCCTGCTCATTAAAACATGTAGAATGTGTTGTCTGTAAAAAGATTTTTCAAATATTTGAAATATCTTGTCTATCTACTCTTCCAGATCTTTTCTTCTCAAGGGTAATTACCCAGGTCCCTTAACTTTCATATATAACATTCTTTGCAGGCCCCTTACCTCCCTACTTGCCTTAAATTGGTCATTAATGTCCCTGTTAAGATATGGTACCTAGAATAAAACCAAATATTATCTGACCAATGTAACATGTTACTTCTCTTGTTGTATATATAAGTAACATCATGGTCTAAGATTTCTTTCTTTCTTTTTTTTTTTTTTATGAAGTGCATTGACAGATGTGGTGTGGAAGCCACTGTGCTCTTAGCTACTTGCCATTCACCTAAAATCCTTAAGATCTTTTCACACTAACTGTGAAAATGCCCTAAGCCATTTTTGGTACTATTGATCTTTGACCCCAAGTGCAAGACTTCATATAGTTACTAGGAGTCTCCTTGTTGATATAGTGATGAGAAAAAGACAAAGGTTGAGAGAAGTTTTAGAAAGGCTTCATTAGTTTTTTTGAAGTGCCTAGCTTAGTGTTACACACAGAGCGAATGCTCTGTCTGTATTGACTATTAAATTTTCAAATAGTTAACACTCATTGAGCGCTTGCTATGTACCAAGAGCTATCTTAAGCACTTTATAGGCAAGATCTGCTTCTTAGTGGCATTTTATAGCATGAAATTTATACTGTAAAGAGAGGTCCTATAACTTTCTCAATCTCACATAACTAGTTAATGATGGAAAGGAAGGCAGGAATTAAATCATGTATGCCTTGAAGGCCAAGGAAGAAATTTGGGTTTAATTCAAAAGCCATTGACATGACATTGAAGGGTTCCCTGGGGAGTGGCACAGCCAGGTTTATGGATTTGAAAAGACAGCTCTGTTTACTCTCTGGAGAGGAGATTGGAGAATAGCCAGAGTGCAAGGAGGCCACCACAAGGCTATTAAAAAGTATAAGCAAGAGATGGTTAGGCCCTGGAGAAGAACAGCAGAGAAGTACATGGTTCGAGGTCTGTTACAGAGTTTGAATGTTCAGGATTTGGTGATGGAATGAATGTGTGGGCAAGGAAAGGAAGGAGTCCAGGGTGACTCCCAGGTGTGCAGTTTCAGTCACACGATGCTGAATTATTATAGTCACAATTATTATTAAAAATACAAATTAGATAAGAAGAATTAATTACATGGTTATGATAGGTAAATACTCAGAAAAAAGTGAGTGACTAAATGTATAGATTATATATGTTAAAGTTAAAACAAGAGACTACTTTCAAAAGGTTTATTTCTCTATTACCTCTTATTCTTAGGGAAAATTATATATGATAATATCCTTATGAGAAAGTGGAGCCTATTTTTTTTTTAACCATAGTGCCTTGAGAGATGTTTCTCTCTAAAAGAAAATGCCTTTTTCCCATGAGGAAAGTTGGCGGGCAGCAAGTCCCATTTGTTCCTTTAGGTTTCTGAGGCTTTATAGTCTTCTCTGATATATTTCTATGAGATGAAATCATGGGTACATGTGTCTAAACCCATCTTCTGTTCAGAGTATCTTTTAAATGTTTAGGTAGAAAAGGAATAGAGTGGAAGGAGGTAAAAGAGAGTTTTTTTAAAAAATAAGAGATTCATAGAACTTTAGCTCTGTAAAGGAACCTTACAGATAATGTCTACTAAGCCACTCGTTTTAGAGTTGACCAGAGAAGTTATTCTTTATTCAGCCTGGAGCCCTAGATCCTCAGTCTAGGGTTCTTTCCACTGTCATGATTTTCCTGGAAGCTATCTGCTAGAACCCTGCTCTTTAGAAAGGGCCAGTAGATAAAGAAACAAAATTACAAGTTAAGGAAGAAGTAGCTTCCATCTAATTGGTAGAAATTATCAGAACAGAAGAATATATTTTAGTGAGAACTTCTCATCTTAGGAATTAGTAGGTTTGGCAGGTGAGAAAAGGGGGAAAAGAGCTTACAGTGGATACTCCAATGACAGTTAGCAACACATGGTCAAGGTCAGTCAAGATAATGAGCCAGTAAGCACCCACAAACCTAGGGGTCAAGGTGAGCCAAAGTTGCCAAGTGGCCTGGTGGGCATATTTTAGATACTCAGAAGAAACTCAGGCACCTCCCAGCCCAGGCAAGGCCTGTGCCATGTTACCTGCCAGAGCTTAAAGCCCATAGGAAGGAAGAGGCATGAGACATTTCAACTCAGAAGCTAAAACTAAAGTCTTAATACACAAGAAGCTGAGACCTTGAAATCGTCTCCATTGCCCATAGCAATGCCGCGGTAAAGGCCATTGTACTTTACCTGTCAGGATCTGTCAGCCATCATTTTCTGATCAGCCCGTGAAAAAAGTCATGTTGGTGTGATTAGAAGCTGGAACTGGAGTTTACTGAGAGACGTAGGTGAGAAAAATAATACATCTTTCACAATAGAGGAGCTAGATCAGTGCATCTTACAAGGGCTTTCTTTTTTAATTATTTAATTAACTTTTGAATAGGTAATACCTTTACATGGTTTGAATTGCAAAAAAACAAAAAGGTATATGAAAAAAAAATCACCCTCCAGATGTCACTGTGCGCTACCCAGTACCCATTCCTGCTAATTGCTAAGCATGGTTCTTATGTATTATCCATTCATGGGTATTTTTCTCCATATGCAAGCCACACAAATATAATATTCTCATTTCTTTTTATTTTTTACAAAGTGGTACTATAATATATACACTATTCTGCATATTACTGTTTTCATTTGATAATTATGATTATTTTCTTAATACAGAGTCATCTCCAGCCCAAAAATTATGCAGGGGCTTCTGTCCCTGACAAAGATTTCAAGATACAAGATTGTGATTCAAGATTAAATGAGATTAGCTGGAAGCTGTGGCCCATGCCTGTAATCCCAACACTTTGGGAAGCCAAGGCCGGAGGATCACTTGAGGCCAGGAGTTGGAGGCCAGCCTGGTCAACAGTTTGAGACCTCATCTCTACAAAATAATAATAATAATAATAATAATAATAATTGGCAGGTGTGGTGGCACACACCTGTAGTCCTAGTTACTCTGATGGCTGAAACAGATCACTTAAGCCAAGGAGTTTGAAGCTGCAGTGAGCCATGATCATGTCACTGCACTTCAGCCTGGGCAGCAGAGCAAGACTCTGTCACTAATATATATATATATATATATATATATATATATATATATATATATATATATATATAAAATGAGATTGATAAAAGTAATAATACTAGAACAACTTTGGGCATCGTGCTTAGAATGCCTTAATTTAATTACACTCATATGTCTGGGGTTGTAGCAGATGGGGTCTTAACCCTATTACTAGCCAATCTAATAATACTGAGTGATTAAAGTAATTATTCCATTTCCTTATTTTCAAATAGGAAAGTGGTAGACTGGTCAGACTTTAAGGTAAATTCTAATTCTAAAACTGCTAATACTGTGTGCTTTAAAATCTCTATTTCAATGCACTGGAATATGTCTGGCTGTTAGATTATGTTATAGGGGTACATGCTCTATACAACTTCCTCCAAAAATGGTTGTCTTAAAAGTGAGTTTTCAAATTGTGAAAATTCCAGATATTCAGCAAAACATGGAGAATAGTATACAAACATCAGTATACCTTAGCTTAAAAAATAAATGTTTACAAAGAAAATTGAAGTCCCGAATTACATTTCTGTCTCTGCTCTCCAAAAGTTACCAGCCTTCTGATTTTAGTAGTATCATTCCCTGGCACATCTTGATACCTTTGCTTCATTCATATGCATCTGTAAACAATGTATATCATTCCTTTGCAGATTTTGAAATTTTATGTAAATTGTATGTGTACATTCTTCTGCATCTTGCTTTTTTTGTTTGTTTGTTTCTTGGCATTATGCTTTTGAGATTTAGCCACATTGTTATATGTGGTCCTAATTATTTCACGTTTGCTCTTATATGTTATACCATTATATATAACAACCCCAACTTAATTTTCCATTCTCACATTGATGGGCATTTAGGTTATTTTCCACTTTTATATTACAGTGCTGCAATGAATATCCTTGTGTATCTTCTTGTGTCTAAGAATAAATATAGGAGTACATCTTCGACTTTACTAGATATTGCCAATTTGCTCTCCAAAGTAAGTTGTGCTAATTTATACTCTCACCATCAGGTATAACATTTCTCATTGCTCAATATCCTTGCCAATGATTGATGTTGCCAGACTTTTTAATGTTTGCCAATCCGATTGCTGTGAAACTGAATCTCCTTAAGGTTTAAATTTATATTTACTTGATTTCTGATGAGGTAGAGCCTTTTTAGGTATGTGTATTGAATCTTCAAGTTTCCTCATATTTTAGATTGTCCATTCATATCTTTTTTTTATTTAGAAGATTCAATTTTTTTCTATTGATTTGTAGTTATTCTTAGACAGTCTGGATGCTAATCTTTTGTCAGTTATATTTTTTACTGGTATGAATTCTCCAAATTCATGGCTTGACTTTTATTTTATTATGTTATCTCAATGAACAAATTTTTCATTTTAATGTAGTTGAAGTTATCTTTTGCTTTGTTCAGTTTCTTCTATTTTGCATTTTTAAGGCCTTCTTTATTCCAACTTTATAAAGATAATTTTCTCCTGAAAGTTTGAATTTGCTTTTTATATTTAGATCTTTTATCTACTTGAATCCAATAGTCTTTTAAAAAATTGGATATACGTTTATTGAGTAGTCCATTCTTTTTTCAGTGTGATTTAATTGAATGAACAAAAAAGACATTCCAGAACATGTGGCAGTCTCATCAAAGTTAATAGGTTAACAAAATTATCTATTTGAAGATGGTTGTCATTGCTGAAAATATTTCTAAAATTATCTTTTCAAAATTACATCCAATGTCTGCTGTTCCTTACTTAACAACTACCAACATTGGTAAACTTTTTCCTTTAAGGGCAGATTTGATTTTTTGAAAGATTCAAACTCCTTTAGAACATGCTTGCTGATGAAGCTGGAGAGTAACGTTTTGGTTTAATTTAAAATGAAATGTTAACTTTGAAATGTTAAGATGGCCTTTCTTGAATGAACATAAAGTGATTCTGAGAGCAGACACATAGAAGAATTTCTCAAACTATTTTGAAATAAAATTGACCTTGATATAAATAAGGGCATAAAACCTACCATTACATTCATTTGGAAGTTTATTCTTGGTATATTTAAGTCAGGTCCTCATGACTTAGCAAGACAACCAGATGTGTAAATAGAAGAATGAATGAATGAAATAGTGATAAATGCAAAATAGACAAATGTACAAAGTATATGGAAATAAGGTATGTAGGGAGGATCTCACTGTTGAGAGGAGTCAAGGAAGGCTTACATGGTGATGACATTTGAACTGAATCTGGGAGGATGAAAATGAATTATTCACATCAAGGGCATGGTATACAAAATGCACAGCATATGCAACAGCACAGAAGGACAAAGTTGACATCAATGTACAAGGCACCTTCAAGATCAGGGGTTTATTTAGTGTGGCCAGAAGTGCTGCATTTGGCAGTCACAGATTGGTACCTCACCACCTAATGTAACTACCAAAGTCTTTTAAGCATGGAAGCAACGTGATCAGATTTGTATTTTTGATCAGAATCATCCTGGCAGTAGTGGGTTGGACAAACTTTCTCTGAAGGACCAGGTAGTAAATATTTCAGGTTTTATGGACTGTACAGTCTCTTTCACCACTGAAACACAAAAGCAGTCATTGATAATACATAAAGGAGTGGGCAGATGCTTTATATACCAAAAGCAGCAGGCCAGATTTGACCCTGCACCATCATTATTTGACCAGTGGAGTAGAGGATAGCTTGGAGTGAAGATGCGTTGAAGAAGGGAAGATTAACTACAATGATTGCAGTAGATTGGGTGAAAAAAAAAAAAAAGATGAGGTTCTAAACAAAGACTATGAAAGTTGGGGTAGAGAGAAAGGGATGAATGAGAAAAATGTTGCAAAAGAAATTTGGCAACACTGCTCTGGAATGTGTGGGGCTAGTGGTAAGGGAAAGGGAAGACCGAAGTTAACCAAAAGGTGGATGGTCATGGCTTCAACTAAGGTGGTAAACCTAGGAATAGATGAATGGTGTTTTCTGTTTGTGGGGGAAGATGGTGTGAGGGAAGGAGGCTTAGTGAGGGAGCTAAGAAAACAGGATGTATTTCAGTTTTGGCATACTGAATGGAAAGGGCTCACAGGGAGATTTGGTTTATTGCACTTATGTCTCTAAAGCTTAGGAGAGTCTGGGACTCAAAGTGTAGAGTTGATTGAAGTCTGCAGGATACAGGAAGTGTTGTGTAGTGGGAGTCAAGCAATGACAGAGCCTGGGCTCACCTACATTTACGTGATACCAAGGCAAAGAAGAGCCAGCAAGAGCAAGCAAATACCCAGAGAGGCAGGGCAAGGAGCATTCCACAAAGGAGGGATGAACAACTATGCCAGCTGCTACCAAAAGGTCAATTCAGTGAAACGAGGACCTGAAAAGTGTCCATTGTATTTGGAAAAGGAAATACATTGGTGACTTTTGTCAGAGCAGTCAGCATGATGAAGCAGTTGCCAAAATACTTAGAGAAGCAAGTGGAAGGTGAGGAAATGGGGAAAGGAGAATTCCACTTAGGTAAAGTATGGTTGAAGAAATCAGATAGGTTTTTTTTTTTTTTTCTTTTCAAGAAGGGAGATAATTGTGCCTGTTTGTACACAGAGAATGGGAGATCGTTAAAATAAGAGATACTAGGGAGAGGCATTGTCAATGGGACAAAATCCCAGAGTAGTAGTCATGAGTGCACTGGAAGCACAGGTGAAGAGGTTGGCTGCATATAAGGGGAAGATGGGTAAAGGGATTGAGTTAAGTGGAAAAAGCTCCAGCCAAATGTCCTGGTTCTCTCCCTTGGAAGTCATTCAAAGCTAATGTAATGGGCAAATCTTCATGGTTTGAGTGAGCCATTTGTGATTAGATAGTGAGGAAGAGATAGGTGTGTCATCAGTAGTTATTTGTTGGTAAGAATTTGCAGATCAAGTTGGGTGATTACTGAGAAGGCCCATTTAATTGCAGCAGAGGTTATACAAAGAGATGAGGAACACACACGTTTGAAAAAATGGCTGTGGAACCTGCCATTGGGAAGCCTTGAAATGTCATGGTCTCTCCCCTCCACCTCTGCTCTGAACTTTCTAAGAGGACAAAGTTTTGTTTTTCCTTTAGAGCCTTGCACGAGCTGAGGAACCATGGTGGTGGGGAAGGACCAGTGCGGGCATGTTAGGCACTCTGAAGATGGTCATGGGGCTTCAGTAGATGTGCTGGTATTGCCTACATCCAGCTGTGTACGCCCTCAGCCCTGTGCTGAGAGGTAGAAGCTCTACATGGGAACATCTGTGCCCCTGGCCTCCCATGGTCAGGGACCAACATGGTACCTTTGAGTTGGTGGCAGACATTATCACATGCAGCTCAGCCCTTAGCCATTTGAGAGTGAACAGTCAGAATCTCCACAGGCCAAGTGCCAGTAGTTCAGTAATAGAACTTTCAGCCACGACGGTCACGGAAGGAAGCCTACGAATTCTGTCACCTTCTTTTCTAACAGCTGAAATAATTTAGCTATATTCTGCCACATGAGCTCTATTGGAGGAAGGGGGATGCATAAGATGCTGAATTAGGTTCGAATTGAATTATTTAGTCCTCTTGATGCTGAAAGGTCCTTCTTATCTTTTGAAATGTGAGTGCTAACTTGAAGACAGTGAAGAGTTTCTCTTTCTATATCTCTAACGTGGGATCAGGATTATATCCGTCCTTAGTCACCAAGTCTTGTGTTAATGGAACTAAAACTCTCTGGGGAAGCATCCTAAACCTATTTAACGTTCCCAAGCACTAAAGTTTGCATTAGAACTTTTACATGAGCTAAGGTGTCTATAAAAATACATGCTTGCAGCCAGGTCCCTAGTGGCTTCACATCCGAGGAAACTGTGGAGCATCCGTCATTCTACCCGAGGGTTGGAATAACTCACTGTTGCAGATACTTCCATTATGTAACTCAGCCGAGGGTATTCTGCACTTGTCACAGCAGAGGTCAGCCATGATTCTGTAGAGTAGTGCAATGATTCAAGTGACTTTTAACTATTGTTGCCCAAGATGCAATGATAGAGAATCATGGAGTTTTTAAGATGAGTGGTTGATTTCCTTTTTACTCCATTAAATGCCATGGCTTTTCAATGTTGCATCATCATCTAGTTCTGTATCTTAACCCTTCAGCACCCTGGTACACACCTTGCTAACAAACCTGTAACTCTGAAATGTAATCGCAGAAAAAAGTGTGTGGGGTTTTTTTTTTTTCACTTGATTTAACCATAATTTTGTTTGAGACATTGTTTAGAATCATATCTTAGGTGAAATATCCTGAATTACTAGTTAAGTTTTGCTGTTTGTATGGCAGATGTTTAATAAAGCACTTTCTTCCCCCATAAATTAGATATTAGAAGCCAAAAAGCTATGGTTCTCAGCCTAGGCTACCTATTTGAATTACATGGGAACCTCTTTAAAATACTGATGCCAGGCCCTCCCACAGATTAATTGCATTTGATTCTCTGGGGATGGGGTCAGGCCCCCAGTATTTCTTTCAAAGTTCTCCAGGTGATTCTAGTGTGTAGCCAGGTTTGAGAACGCCTGCCTTTTAAAATGCAGATCCAATTATGTGTATTAGTTTAAAACCTTTCCTCAACAGCCTAAGCCTTAGCCTCCTTACTAAGGAGCAAGGCATTTAAGGTCCTTCCTAGAACGGACCCATTACCCTCCCAGATAAGCTCATGCTACTCTCCTGTACACGCCCACCCTCCAACTACTTCATTTTCTCTAATAGGCAGTCCTACCTTCCATCTCCATGTGTTAGCAAATACTTTGGAGAAGAGACCATATCCTTCCCCACTAAAGTATTTCCATTTTTAAACATGCCCCTGAAGATCACCACCTTATTTAACAAGCCTTCCCTGATTCTTCCAGGCAACATTCACTCCTCTCTGTACCTTGCATGCTGACCACCTTGCATATACGCCATCTCACTGTTGTTGTTTGTCCATGTGTCCCCCTCCTCCAAAAAACTGAGTTTATGTGGTAGTTGGATTCAGGCCTTACTTTTCTTTGTATTTTTCACAGTGCCTAAGACATAGGAACTACATGAATGGATGAATGAATGAATGAATGAATGAATGAATAAAATTTATTCTAAAAATGCATTATATGTAGCCGTAGGTAGGTTCCGGAGTCAGACTTCCTGGGTTCAAATGACAACTCTGCCACTTACTGGTTTTGTGACCTTGAACAAGTTATTTCATGTTTCTAGTGTCAATTTCATTATCTATTAAGTAGAAATAATACTCTTGGCCTACTTCAGAGGCTTGTGAGACTGAAATGAGATGCTAGTCAGAGTGGCTAGTATACTGTTTAACACATTAAGCACTAAATGCTCACTGTTATTATTCTTATTACCCCTTAATTGATTTTCATCTGGATGGAACTGTAAGAATTATTTGTGACAGGAATAGAGCATGAAACAGGTGAAATATAGTCAATGAAGTGTGCATTAGCCTGGTCTGGGTCAGCTGAGCCCTCCTGGTCTTCTCTTCCAGGGCCTTCATTGACTAATCTTGAGACAGGAGTGCACAAGAAAGAGCTAGTAGACTTCGGAAGACAGAGAGAGGATTCTGTCTTTTGAAAGGATATGCTATAGCAAGAGAGTGAAATAATTCCGATTGTATAATATATGCACAGAATTATTCTATACAATGATTGAAATTAGGAAATACTGGAGACAGGGTGATCCTCCGTACTCTGACATGAAATAATGAGAATCTACTGAGGGTAGAGACTGCCTCTGAATTCCCCACTATACAGCAGCCTGACATTAAAAGTTGGATACACACTAATACTTCATGGCTAGAGTCACCCACCCAGAGGCATTTGTTGAAAGCAGATCTGCATACTCCTCCCTGACCCGTGGCCCGAATCTGTGGAGGTTCTAGTAGTTAAAAGGAAAAGAAAGAAGATTGAGAAAGAGGACAGAGAGGAAATAAAGAGGTCACTTATTTACTCTTTCTCATGTTGCGTGCCCCAGAAGCACGAGGATTGTCAAGTCTCAGATGTGCAAAATCATGACTGTGATAACGGAGAATTATATGAATTCAACCTGAAAATAATGGAGCTGTAAACATTATTACGACATTTTTACCTACATATTACTTGTAGGTAAAATGAAAAATGATACACTATGTCCAATAGCATAATACCTGGCACATCATATGTATTCAGTAACTATAAACTGTTGTTGATATTATAAGGATGATAATGATCATTCATGACTCATTCAGCAAATCATCCCCTTCCAGAACATAGTCAGGAATGTTGGTTTGGACGATGCGCTAAAATTCACGCTAAATTCTATTTCGTCTGAATGGCAATAATATTCTATCTTGATATTCAACCTTAAGAGTTTTTGTATTTTAGAAAAGAAGTTTGTAAAGGTCCTAGAAATACAATATTATGAATAACTGGGTTTATATTCAATGCATTTTAAAATAATTGTTTTCCTATTTAATTATTATAAATATTTCAAAACCTATGGAAGAGATAAGACCAAAGGATAAAGAAGGGCCACTATTATTCAGGTATAAAAGTGAAGCATCTGGCTGTTTTCTAGAAGATATGTTTATGGAAATATAACATATGGGCAACATATGGAGAATGTCGGGTTGGAAGCTCTCTGGAGAGTATACTAATATATCACCACTAAGCAGATGTAAATTGCAGTGCCTTAGTCACCTACTGACTTTCTCTCTTAGCAATTAAAGGAGTTTTTCAATAGCTGAAAGTGAAGTTATTTTTAAAGATAAAAATCATTTAGGCACCTATTTACATACAATGTATTTATTTTTATCTTTAGTGTTTAAAGTTCATGCTACTTCTTCTGACTACAGTTTGTGAAGACCGATGTCACTAAAAGACAGATAAATGACTAACAACCCCTTTCACCCTAGGTTCATAGAAACTAGTGACTTTGATGCCTAGAACCATGTTTTCCCACATAGTTTTTTCTCAGTATGAGCTACCCCGTTTTTTGATTACTGATAAGCAAGTTGATCTCAGCTTTTCTGTTTTCCCAGGATTTTTTTTTTTTTCTTAAACAGCTTGGCTGTATCATTTTGAACAGTACTTCACTGGGTTCTTTAAAGCATTTCTAACACTCATCCGGCTTACATTAATCCCATTTCAGGTCACCATAAAGCAGTTGTTTTCATGTCTAATCAGCAGGCTTGCATGATCCACAAGAAGCCTGTCGTCAAGTGCACGTCTTCAAGCTGGTAAATTTGCTGCATTCTGGGATTCTGATGTTTGTGCTCCTCTCTCAGTGTTTACTGTTATTTAAAGTATTACTCACATGTGATGCTGATGAAATTGTGCAGATAATCAGATGTGGTCAGTTCAGGTCTCTAGCCATGTAGGAGAAGGTTGGAGATTCATCACTTTGATCTTGACCTTGTTGCTACAGTGAGTGCACACCCTGTCTGCCGACTCAAAGGTCATACTGGCCTTCTTGATATGATTTTCTACTCTGTCAGTCAGTATGCCATTAGGCAGAGTGCTGCCAGTGACCCCTGTAATCTCAATATTGCCAGTGAGAGGTGTGTAGGATTCTGCCGATGGGGGCAAGTACGTGATCTCATGCTGTAATTCAATTCAACATGTATTCACTGCACACCTACCATTCGCCCAGAAATACACAAGATGCCACAAGAGAGAAATAAAGGTACAGTTTCTACCTTCAAGGAGCTTACAGTATTATTGTATTATGATGAAAGTTCATCTCATGATTAGAATGGAGAGACAATAATTGCTATCGGAGGTCAGAGTAAGCTTATCAACATTTTGGCCACTGGATTTACTCTGCAGTAAGATCCGTAATCATGGCCTGTTTTTCTGTGTGTACGTTTTGAAAGCTCCCATGACAACCTACAACAGCAGCCCTTGAATGACTGCCTCACAGGCTTTTAATGATATTCAGAGCTGTTAAGTGGAGTTTCCCAGAGGACAAAAATCAGTCTAACACTGGCTTCTGAGTCCTTTATTCCACCCTCAGAGAATGCTCACACAATAGATTGAATAAGATCGGGCTGATTTGCATCCCTGCTTCACCCATTGGTGACTGAGCATCTCACCCTGTTTATGCTCAGATGATTATTGGATGTTTCACATACGTTGTATAATATATTTTTGTCACTAATTCACATCCTTTTGTGTTTACAAATGAGAATATGGATTTTTTTTGTTTAGTAATATGACTTATTTATTACCCAGGTTTTATCTTGACTTTCTTTTTTAATTTAAAAAACATTTTTCAAGGCTGACATTAGCCATTGTGTTTTTTCCCATCCAATTTTTTTTAATCCATGGTTACTTTCAGTGATGAATTGTTTAATCTAATTTTTGTTCTTTTTTGAGTTTCTTTATACTACTAGTGAAACTCCTGCTAGACTGCTTAATATACTTAAAAAAAGTGTGAAAGACAAGTTTATGGTGGGTAAAGCTGTTCATCTTGTTTCTGTTGTAATTTATAATCCAGAGAGTTTACCATTGTAAATATTTTAAAAAGTCGTCTTGCCACCCAGCCTCATATTTACACATGGGATTTACTGGTCCAATGTTAGGTCAGAAGTCAATATGAAACAGGAATGGAGGCTCTGATGTCTTGTCCCTTGGAAATGTTTTCAGAAAATTCCACAAGCAGATCACTGTACTGTGAAAATAATGGGCTGCTTAGCACATCTCCAGTCTTCACCTACATAGGGGCCTTTGTGTAACACATCAGTCATTCTAATGTAGCATCATCAATAGTTTCAAATTCAAGAATAGTTGTTAAATCTGCCAAGGTAGAAGGTGGTGCAAGGGGAGGAAGAATAATTAGCTAGAAGGTAAAAGAAAAGCAGCAAATGTATGAGGATTCTCAGCCCCTGGGAATTTTTTTTAAAAAAATAAATAGTAAATTAAGTAACTTGCAAGCATTTTTGACCCCATTTAACAGTAAATTGAGTAATCTTGCCACCCAAAACAAATAAATGTAAACAGAGAATTGATACCTTGCCTTTTTCAGCTATTAAGAATTTGAAAAGATTTGAGTGTAAAACAGTTATATAAACTTTGAAGATACATGATGCCTTAATGAGAGATTATAAAATTATTGAATTTGAAAAATTAAGTTAATTTTCAAACTCATCTCATATTGCAATTGAATGCAAACTAAAAGAAACTATCAATACAACTTTAGAAAAATGGATACCATACTCCTAGTAATAACACAAGGAAGTAAGATTTCTTCAAAGCAGATTGCATACTGCAAAGTGGCTGATTTGAACTACAGTATTATTAATATATGGGTGTTGATGATTTGACTGAGTGTTGTAAGTTTAAAAGAGAATTCCCAATTAAGTTTTTCTGTGTACTTGACCCTACAGCCCCACTCAGATTCTCCAGGATTTCTTGAGCTTGCAAACAGTTCTAATTGATTAGCAGGTGGCATGCAGTTTGCTGTCTTCCCCCACCCTTTCAGGTTGCTATGGTGATACAATCTTTGCTTCCCCTCCATTGCTTCCATGTTCCAACTGATCTATGGAATGAGATCTTGTGAACCTATTGGACAAGCTGGTGCTGGCATTTCTATTCAGACTTGTTACCTAACACTTCTGTTTGGCTTAGTAATTGGAAAATGGCCCTTTATACCAACTTACGTGCTTACATCTTGCAAAATGGTCCAAGAAAAAATAATGATGTAATTCTGTTTATTACTACCTCTCTATTGTTGCTCCTAAAGTACAAGAATGTAAAATGTTTTGAAGGCAAACCTTGAAAGCACATTCGTCTTCTTTCTTAAAGATTCTTAACTATCACTGTGAAAAGCGTTCCATTACCACTGACAATACTTTTTTTAAAAGACGTTAAACACAATATTTTGAGATAAGGCGCGCACACATACACATACACACACACACACACACATATATATATATAAAGAGAGATGCCTCTTTTGTTTAAAGTTATTTTGAAAATCAAGAGCATTGTTTCATTTGTTTTCTTTGGTGTGTTTTTACAGAAAAGCTTAGGCATAGCAGTAACACTTAGGTACTTTTGCTGTATTCTCCTTCCAGTGTAAAAAGGACAGCAGTCACTTTCAAATCAATTCTTAGGAGTCCTTGATTCTTGAAGGCTGCTATTCACACATAACAACCAGAATCTAATATAGGCAAACTTTGCATCTTCAGTAAGGAAATAGACATTTAATACATAAAATATGACTTCTTATTTAAACAATATCTTATGTGTGTAAAGTGCAAAAAAAAAACAAAAGATACCATCTTGTTGATCTACAGACCATTCTTTTCTGTAGACTAATGGCAACGATAACCTTAGAACAACTCATTTCACAGACCACCTGACTTGAGGTCTACATTTTCAGAACACTGATTTTATTTCCAGTCAAAAGAATACTGTGTTTTAGGCCAGCGATTGTCACCTACATGTTTAATATGACATTATATTCTTTCCAAAGTACATTAAAGTATGTGATAAAGTTTGTGTCATTAGGGCAGTAGTTCAAAATGCATTACCATACTTTACAGGAAATATAATACATAGTGAGAGATTCCAGCTCTTGTGACCTCCTGAAATGGCCTGTCTGAAATACAGTCATAGCAATCGCTGGGATTCTCCCTCTCCACCAGCCCCCAATAAGGACTTAAGGAACTACTTTTCAGATATGGTAACCAGAGCTAGTCTGCAAAATAAAGTGCCTAGTGAGAGAACGAGAAGAAAATGAAATTAAGAAAACTTTACAATAGGAAAGAAAGTAAAAAAGTAACCTTTAAAGTTGGGAGTGTACTTCTAGTTTTAAAAAGAAAAAACACCTTTGGTGACATTATAGTACTTCAAAGAAAGGTTCAAGGTTTGAATGAACTTTTCAATAATTTTACTTTTTGGGAAATAGTTTTAAAATATCAGAATATCATGTCTGCTTATTCTGTCATATTGACTATTTTGAAGCCAAGAAAAAGATCAGTCGTATTTATGTAAAATGGTCATTTATGCTATTGGATGACAATCAAAAATGATTTTTAACTAGAATTGTTCTCGAAGTTCACAGTGCAATATACGCAATTAAATATGCCATTTTTGAGATAGAATTTTGGTCAAACTTTACTTTTAGATTATTATTATGCACAATGAAAATAATTTCTTTCCCAAAGCCTAGATTTGTCATGGAAAGTAAAAAAGGTAAATAAAATTAGAGTCAATTATGAGAGAAGTATTTCAGATACTATAAAAAAATAGAGTTTTTCAGATCTCACAGTGTAGCACCTGTGATGTCAAAAGACAGGTAGGGCTTAAAGGCTCCTGAGTCCATGTTATATGGCAGTACAGTAATAATGCCTTATACTCAAAAGGAGCCACAATGGTCATCTCGCTGTAGGAATTCAGACGGCTTCTTTTATATAATTCATGTTTGAAGCTGATCATGGGGGATATGAGTTCACATCCTTTCCTTCCCTTCCCCAATCCCTATCTATGTTTTTGTTTCAAAATTGTCAAATGAAAAGAAATGTAATGGTCAAAGTCAAAACAGTTAGGGAGATATATCCTAGAATAAATCACAGATTTTTTAAAAATTCCTAACACTACCTCACACTTTGCAAAAGGAGGAATGGCAAGCCAAGATGAAAACTCATAAGCAGAATCAAAGACAAATTGGTAAAAAGAAAGGAAATAGAATTGTATGCATTTCTGTGACTACATTTAAGTCTATTCAGGGAACAGGGTATTGTTTAAGTCTGTATACTTACCATAAATTCCTTGCATGTTTGAAATAATTAGGAAGACAAGAAAGGATTTAGATTTTCCATTTCTTTGCGTTCCAGCTACCTTCATGTAAAGAATACTTGAGAAGCCTATTAACTCATATTGTCTTAAGTCCAATGTAAGTGACTATTTATTGTTTGTAAGTCGTAAGTAAAAATTTGCCTACTGGACCAAAACAAAGATAAGTAAATAGAAAATATTTGTGATGCACATACCCAGACCGAATGTGTGGAGTAATCAGTGAGGAGGTGAATTTTGAACAGACCTGTGAAACTGGATAGAATGGCAAATGCAGATGTCTCCCAAGTTCCATCTCATTCTTTACCTGTAGATCCTAATTCTGTGCTGCAGTAATGGTAACTCAATGATATCAATCAACCATTTACAAGGCACTTTAGCATAGATTATAGCATATCCTCAGAATAAACCTGTAAATTCAGTACCGTTCCATACCTCAAATAAGAAACCTGGAACTTTTTTAAAGTGACATGGCCAAGCTTCCACTGCTGGACCTCAAAATTCCTTTCCTTACTGCTGCCTTCACCCATCTTCCTATACAATTCCATTTTGTCTTTCCAAACCACATATATCTCCTTTTTCCTCTTTCATAATAACCATGACCTTATATCCAATTCCTAAATTTCCTAGTTTATATCCACAATCAACACTGAACGAGACATCTTATGTATTTCTTAGCTGGCTCGTTGGTTTTGGCAGTGATGGATTTCTTAAGCTTAGAAGTAATTTGGATTCTAAAATCTGTTTTAGAGATAGTCTATGGATTTTTTTCTCCTTTGCTATTCCTTCCAGTATCTCTTTAAACATATTTTAACAGGTAATAACTCTTATTTAGAAATAAATCATGTTCATTTTGAATTTTTTAAGAATGTCTTTGATTCTTGAAATTTTTTCACCGTATGCTAAAGGAGAAGAAAGACTGTTTAGTTCAGTGATTTTACATACAATTGTGCTTTTAAAACAAATGACATTTGTTTTATTATATCTGTTTGGGCTAGAAAGTTCAGTGGACAATGGTCAGCACTTTATTTCAAACTATTTAATCAAATTGCCCAAATAGATTGAGTAGTAAAGAGCACTTTCCTCTTCTTTACAGTAATTCTACCTGCTGCTAGCCACATGGAGGTCATTAAAATATCCAACCTCATTCTATTCCTAGAAAATTTTAAACACCAACGTATTCTTTAAATGTAGTCTTTTCCTAAAAATCTAGTATTAATTAAGAGTACTACTAAGAAGATAAATTATACCAATGAGAACATTCTATTATATGTCTCATAAAATTATAAAATAAACTTTCTATTCACGTGAACATTTCATTCAGTGAAATTTATTGATGCCTGTGCAATGCCAGGTAATGTGCAAAGTACTAAATGAGACATTAAAATGAGCTAGACAAAAATCCTTCTTCTAAGAAGGAGAGTCTAGACCAGTGTCTTTCCAAGGGTATGCCTCTTTCTACCAACATCCAAATCGTCTGCAGAACTTGTTAAAAATGCAGATTCATGAGCCCCACTCCAGATCTACTGAATTATAATCTGCAAGTGGGATTCAGGAATCTGTACTTTTAATAAGCCATCTTATTATATAAACCAGTGATTAATAAGCTAGTGATTCTGAGGCTTATTAATTGGAAAGGCACCTGTATGTCAAGAAGACAGACATGAAAAGATGTAGAAATATAATACCGAGTGGTAGTTATGTTAATAGAAATGGCATTGATAAATACTTGAATTTATGTTTCTAATGAATATAAAATGTGAATATGTGACCTAACATATGGAATGAGCACCTGGATAAATACTTACCTATATTTCTATGCCTTAGGTGTCTTTAACTTTTAACAGAAATTAAACATATTCTAGAGACTCTGTTTTGAACTAGATATGTCAGAATGAGGTCATGTTTGCAAAAGTTAGGAATAAATCTGCTATGCAATAAAGTAGAAAGATACCTGTATAAATCACTCAATTAAAAAAAAAATTCTCAGCCTCATGCCTGTAATCCCAGCACTTTGGGAGGAGGCTGAGGTGGGCAAATAGCTTGAGTCCAGGAGTTCAAGACCAGCCTGGGCAACATGGGAAAACTCCGTCTCTATAAAAATACAAAAAAATTAGCCAGGCGTGGTGACACACACCTGTAGTTCCAGCTACTTGGGAGGCTGAGGTGGGAGGATCACCTGAGCTTGGGAAGTCAAGGCTGCAGTGAGCCGAGATTGCACCACTGCACTCCAGCCTGGGCAATGACAGTGAGACCCTGTCTCAAAAAAAAAAAAAAAAAAATTCTCTTTAACATGAACAGCAATAAAAATGCTGAAGAGGTTTTGACTTCTTATGTGTTTCCTAGCAAAAGCAACATCAAGTCAATCTAGTTGAGGCCAACAGTACATACAAACTGGTCAGTTCAGATGTGCAACTGGCAGCATCTCAGAAATGTCCATCACTTGGGTTTTATTGTTCTGCTCAATTCAACCGACTGCTCAGCACAACCAAAAGTGATAGTTCACACTGGTCACAAAGGCTGTATACATAGCCCCAGGGAAAAAAATGTCTTTATTTACTTTTTATCCAGTACTTCAAAATGGTAAATAGAACTAACTTCCAAAAGATGCTGAACAATCAATAGAAAATGTCAAAGTAGGAAATATTGACAAACTAGTATAAATAAAACTTTTCAAAAAATTGATGTAGTTTTCCAATATTTATTTAAAAAGTACTAATTCCAATAAATCAGTCACCTTCATAAATATGCATGCATAATAGTTTGTCCTGTAGGTCATAATTACATATAAATAGGTAACACAACAAAATGAAATATAAAAGAACTTAAGGAACCTGCTAGATCCTCTATTCATTTCACTTCTTTTCTTTTGTGTTCTTCCATTTAATAAATGCTTACTAAGTGATGTTGCCAGGCACTGGCATGGGCACTGGGGCTGCCACGTAAAATGAGCACACATAATCATTTCTTCCACTTGGGGTTTATGTACTAGTTGGAGAGGCAGTTCATGAAAACTTGAACCAATCAAGTAATAAAATAGTGCTTCAGGGAATTTACAAGACTTTGTGACAGAAAAGAACAGGCTAGGGGCCTAACATTACATAGGATTGTCAGAGAAGGCTTTTCTTGAGGGAAATAGTCAAAGTACAGGCCTGAAGATGAGAAGGAGTTGGCCACAAGAACAGCTGGGTAAAGAAACTGAGAGAACAGTGGCCACAAAGGCCTGGCAGAGGGGAGAGAGTTTGGTGAGTCGAAGGAAATGATGGAAGATGAACACAGCCCCAGAAACAGGGGGAATGGACAAGAAGTTGGATTGGTGGACTGGGACATAACTCATATAGGCCGTGGTAATGTGCTTGGCTTCTATTCTAAATGCAACAGGAAGCCGTTGAAGGGTGTTGTACAGAGAAGTAAGATCAGAATTACTGTTTGAAAAATTTACTTTGGCGGCTGTGTACAGAATGGTTGGGGATAGGAAAAAGACCAGGTAGGGGACTGTTGCTATGGCCTGAGGAAGGGTGACAGTGGCCATGGAGATGGACAAAAGTGAATGGATTCATGGTTCATTAGATTTTCTTCTGGAATTTACTTGAAGTTGCTAGGAGCATCATTTTCACAAAGACTATATCCAGACTTTATGGGTGTAGAAGTGTAGGGAAATAGAGTATAAAAATTTTGCAATTGCTAGCTCCCATCTCTTCTCCCGTCCTAGACTCTGTCCTTTTTGGAGTGGTCATCACAGAACCATTTGCCTTTGTATATACAGATGGGGGAAGAGATGGAACAGGTGATGCTCCTACAGGCTTTCTGTCTTTGATTCCTCCCACAGAGATCTAACACATTATGGGGTCCTCTGGATACATCAGCAGATATTTCTTGGAATCATTGTTTCATAGGTATCTGACTCCAACTCCAATTTTTGCCTTTTACACCAAATTAATATTGTCAATAAATCAGCATTTTAGATTTAGAGTAAACCTGAAGCTTTTAGAAACTCTCAATACCAGAATAAATTACATATATTATGTGTGTGCTTAAGTATTTTTATTTTACTATTGCACACACATATATCCTATCCTGGCTAAACACTGTTTTTATAATAATTTACTATGTGTTCCCACTAAGTAGTAGTAAAGGTAATTTTAGAGCATTTAGGTTAATTTATCAGATTTAATAATGCCAAACAAATATGGCTCTTTTAAGTAATGAGACCAGAGTAGGAAAGAAGCATCAGGACAAATCTGAAACCACAGAATAATTAGATTTAGGCTTTCAAAAGCACTTGGCTCCATATCCTCCATCCCACCCACAAGGAAATAAAAGGACAAGGCATTTAAAAATGAATTATTCTCTGAAGACTTTCCCTACTGTGTCTGTTTAGTCTTCACAGTTTTCAATATTGACAGTGAGTTTCTTTTCACCACCAATATGGCAAGTTCCTTTGAGATAAAGAGAGATTTCACCTTTCATTGCCTTGTGTTATTTCCCCTCTACTGAACTATGTAAAGAAAGGTAAATGGTAAAATGGCAGTGCAAGAAATGGAGAGCTTTGGACTATTCACTCCTGCACAAGAAGATTGTTTTCTTTTTTATGGTGTCAGTTGATATTTGGAAAAAAAAAATCTGCTTTAGCAAAGAATTCTTTTTCCAGAGAGGTGATGAGGAAATATGTATAACTTCTGTTTTAAGGGCATGTTTTCTACAAATGGCTGCTTACACTTAGAGACACTGATAATTGTGTAATTGTAGGTGAGCCCACAGCTAGGTAGCAAGTGAAAGACTAGGACTCAAAAGATTAGGGATACATGCCTTTTGCTCTGCTTATAGTAATAATATAGTAGATAATCCTGTTAAAACCACTACCTCTTTCTCATCAAGCTCTCTCCTTCCCCCCAAAAATGAATTTTTGAAGCTATTGATCAGTGAATTAAATGTGCCAATTACTTATCTTTCTCAAATCTGAGCATATAAGATTACTTAGAAGTAATATTACCAGGTTGAGTTTCTGTATGTACAATTAAATGTAATATTATTTCAAAATACAATACAGCCTCTTTCAAAAAGAGTAACTAGGGAGTATTTGGGGTGGGGGTCATCTTTGCTGACTTAAAAAAAAAAACAAAGTATGTAGCTTTTTGTCTCTTGGAAAGAATCCTAGAGCCAAACTCTCTTAAGTAAATAAAGGTTTAAAAGAATAAATGTTTCTCAACTAATGGTGTGATGGATTGCCACTGTATATGTATTTCCCTGCAAAGCTAGTCAAAGTCTTTTTTCTCACTGCCTCTTTAATCTTAGTGAAAAACCTTTCCTTAGAGCTTGAGCAGGCCCCATAGGAGTCCTATTTTTTCTTTGTGTGTTTCTACATGCTGCTTCTCTTTACCAGATTTTAAGATATACTGGTTTCCTGCACCCATGTTCAAAGAGAAATTGTATTTTCTCATATTAATTATTATTTAGAATTTTCTTTGTTATGGCAGGGATTATCCAAGAACCTCCTTTCCTAGGGTAGCCTTAATATTTTAAACAGGTTTTCAGATGGTGAGAAATGCAGTCATTTTTAAATATCATTTGCCATTCTTAAAATATTTGGATATTTGGTATCTAAATGCCAGAGGAGGTCAGTTATAAGAGGAGGTGAATTTAAAAGAGTAATTGCCAACATGATCTGAAAAAAGCCATGTGCAACCTCGTTCACTCTTGCTTCTTAACTTCTTGGAACACATGTAGAATACCAGTCAGCATATGGCAAGAAAAAGAGTTGGTTGAGTGTCAACTTATCATTATAAATCATCAAAAAATTAAGATTTTTTTTCCCCTTTGTAAAGAATACTGCTTGGAAATTAAAGAACCTTTTCTACGGAAGAAAATTACTATGCTAGTGACAAATACAATCTTGTGATAGATAATAGGCTCTTTTATATCAAGTTTATTTGCTAGAGAATCATTATGTGTTCATAGTAGCCTTATGAGAGCTTATTAATTGGAAATTTTATTTTCTATATGTTTTGGTTTTTACATTTGGCTCATACTCCTTTAAGTAAAAGAAAGTGATTGTTCCTAGCTATTGAGCACATAGGCTGCTCAAGAATCAAAGTCATTAAAGCCTTCTACCAAAGAGTCTTAAGCATTTGCTTGGCCGTCTACAACATCCACTTCTTTAGGAAAGTAACTCTAGAGTCAGAGTAGCCATTGCATTTTTCCCTCATACAGTTAATTGCCTACACCATTGCATGCAACATGGCCCTGAGCCATTATTTAAATATTGCTATTATATAATGTAGTTACAGTTCTTATTATTAGAGGCCATTTATTATTTATAACATATCACTCTGTCATGGCTAGTTCACCAAAATAGATTAACCTTTAACATTTTAAATATTTAAGAGAAATTGATTTAGCATTTATTTTCTATTTAGTGTTTTTATTAAAAGTCATAGGACTTTAGGGGATTCATTTTAATAACCACTGAGACCTGTTCTGTATATAGCTTTAAGTTTAACTTTTTTTCTAAAAACTTGCTCATTCACTTATGCAATTTTCAATTATTATTTTTAGATACATCCCTTATTGCTTTATTTTCATTTAAATGTTTAACCGGTAATTTTATTGTGCTTTGTCTTTAAACAAAATTCAAGTAAATAGTCCAGTAAAAACAAATGTTTCCAACTGAATGGGCTAGCAAAATCATAACTTACTGGAGAAATCAGTTGTAGATAGCTCCAAAATGTGCATTAGTAACTGAAAAGAATGTATGTTTGAAGTACTAAGTGTTCCTAATTTATTTTGAAGCAGAAAATAAATATTGTCACTACCACCTTCCCAACTCTCTTCTTCCATATTATCTTTTTTAATGAAAAAAAGGAAGCATTTACTTCTTTCCCTATCATAGGCTAGCTAATTATTCTGCCTTCCTAACTTTTGACCTGAGAACCAGCTACTAGATGAGTAGGAGGTTTGCCAGAGATCATGACACACATTAATCACCAAATTAAACATCAGAATATTCTCACCATACACAAGGGCAGAAACGTGAATTTACCTACTCAGGAGATGCAAGGAAAAAGAATAGGAAAGGATGCAAGTAGCCAGAAGGATTATAACTAGTATAATCAGAAAATGAAGATGCAAGTAATACAGGTTTGGTGGGGAGGTCAAATATGTTAGCAGCCCTACCTGTTACTTAATCTCTCTGTAATCTCTGTCAATGCACTCCTCCCTCCCCTTCCTCATCTCTATCATTGAGAATAGTATAGGGTTAAGACCTTCAGCTCTGGAGTCAGCTCTCCCAGTTACAGCTGCAGAACCATCAGCAAGTTACTTACCTTTTTAAGTCACTATTACATCATCTGTAAAATTGGATTTATGCAACATATTTAGTGAGTGCCTGATATGTTTAGGTACTTTTCTAGGAGCTAGGGCTTAGCAATGAACTAAATAAAGTCTGTGCCTTCAGTACTATCTACCTTATAAGGCTGTTGATGGAGTCAATAGGATATAAAGTTTGGCACAGTGCATTGTGTAGAGAAAGTGCTCAGTCGATGTTAGATGCTTTGTTTATCAATGCCACAATTTATGTGCAAAAACATTGCATTAGGTGTTACAAGAAATGCAAAAAAGTCTGTGAAAGCATGAAACCCTTCTTTTAGTATTAGTAGTCTGTTTGCATATTAAGATATTGATTACTTTAGTTTGTAATTCCCTAAAGTAGACTCTGAGGCAAGGATTTGAATGTATGTAGTTTATTTAAGAGGTTATCTCAGGACATACTGGTAGGGGAATGGGGATGAAGGAAGAGTCAGAAAAATAATAGCCATTAGAGAGTACATTAATGAACACATTACTACTGTGGACAACTGGCGCTCATTCCCGCTTGGGGGTTTCTGCAAGAAGCAAAGCACACCTCAGGATTGTCTACCCAAAGGAAAAAGAAACTGGGATATTTATTAGCCATTGCCTTTCTGTCATTGGCCAGGGGCTGCTCTTGGGCAGATAATTCTGTGGCATTTCTAGCCAGCACCATATTCAATCCAGGCATGCTGTGGGGCCAAAACGTGCTGTCAACAAAGTCACAGACAGGTACGTGCAACAGGAAGCCATTGGCCTTTTCACAAACAGTGATCGTTGAAGGAATATGGGAGGGCAATGATAGCATCTGCTACATAGATCTTCACCCAAAAACTACAACATAAAGCAGGATGTGGCAAGATCAAAATACATAGAATCGTAAGAGAAGTATAACTGTGCAAACATTGGGTTTATAATTCTCTTTTTAGAATAGAGATGAAAACAGTATGGAAACACAACACATGTGTTATAGAAAATAAATATACTTGGGAGTTTTTCTTTCAAGAACCATTACAGGTAATTGTTTGGCACTGAGGAACATTTCAGAATGGCCACCACTATTTGATCAGCTCTTTCATCAAATTAGAACTTAATTACATCACATCTATATGAAAAATCAATCTGTTTTTTTAGTTGCTGAAGCACTTGGAGACTCCAAAGTAAATCAAATCTTTACATCAATTTTCCAGGAAAAGAAAATGATAAAAATCTTTGTCCTTGAGGTTCCACTTGACAGGGTCAAAAGCAATTCTTTCATTGCATTATACCATAACACAAATGAGAAAATGCAAAGATTTCAGAATTGCTCTATTTCACATATTAGCTTCTTAGTTTGCCTCTGCAGCTGAGCAAGTGTTATTAGGCACAAGAAATTTTATTGAATTCTTAAACTGGTCTCGAGAATTTCGTGATGGATGGTTTACTCAATTTAAAACAGATCATCTGGTGAAATTGCTTTCAGGTTAAAAGGAAGGTTCCTAAGATTCTTCTTAGGGCAGATCCTCACAATTGCCTGGTTAAGTCCAGAATTGCTGAACTGTAGAGTATAAAGATGCTGGGTACATTGATAGTGAATATGACAAAAAGAGAATTCTAGATGGAGACTAGGGCAGCCTCAAAGCCAAACCTTGTCTTCTTTAAAGTTTTATAGAGGATTAGTACTGGCCTGACCACTTATTTACCATTTTTTTAACCCATCTTATTCTGAATAATCTAAACCTTCATTAATGATGATTAATTTGACATGAAGTTCTATGCAAATGCCTAGATACCATCTGGAGTATTCTACCCAGTTACATGTAATAAATATTTTCTAATAAGACTCCTTGTACCCAGTTAGAAATGTATATGGCTCTCTGCCATGAAGCTTAATTTTTAATGGAACCTAAACCACATTAATGCAGACAAATAAAGTGATCTTTTATGTACTTCCTTCATATTTTTGGTATTTCTTGGTGAAGGCTGCAAGCTAAGGTCTGAAAGGAACGCTCTCAGAAGACAAGTCTTGCAAAGTCGGGCGTAGTGGCTCACCCCTGTAGTCCCAGGTATTTAGAAGGCTGAGCCCAGGAGTTCAAGTCTAGCCTGGGCAACAAAGTAAGACCCCATATCTTAAAAAAAAAAAAAAAAAAAAAAAACACTAAGCTCATATGCCACTTCTTTAGGCAGAACTTCTCTGGTTACTGGATCTAAAATAGTAGCCCCCTCTCCTAGCCCCACATTGCCATCACTTCATCCAGTTTAGTTGTCTTCAGCACACTCATCACTCCCTGAAGTTCTTGTTCCTTCATCTGTTTGTATGTTTGTCTGACACCCTCCATTAGCATATTACCACTTTGGAGGAAAAGAATTGTCTGGCTTGTTCGTAATATGCCAGTGTCAAGGACAGTGCCTCCCACAGTGTGGGCACTCAATAAATTTGTGTTGAATGAATCAATGAAAGAGTGGGTGTTAAGAATCCTGTGCCCTTGAAAATGAATGTAGCATATCAAGTACCCTAGTGTTTTAGGGAACAATATTGACCCTTTCTAGCTTAAAAGTGCATTTCATTTTACTACAGCAATAATATAAGCTTTAAAAAGGAGCAGCTTTTCAGGAGTAGAATGCTGAGCCATTGACCATGGGTTTTCTGAAAAGGAGCACTAAGTGCAGGGCTTGAGAAGATGGACAGGAGAAGATGCTCTTGGCCATTGTGCCAGGCAGCTGTGGAACTGTATTTGGGAAGTATTTAGGAGTTAAGACTACATGAATTGGCCAAGACCTAGGAGGCTCAAAGAAACCCTATTTTCTTAGGGCCTATATCGCAGCCATTCCCTAGTTACCAGGGCCTATTTACCAAGACTGGGAAAGGATGAAAACGCCATAACAGGCCACCAGAGGAAAGGACAGGCAGAGTGTATTGGAGGCAAGCACACCAGGGGTCTTCAGAGCAACCCAGTTTGTGCTTTCCTGAAATGACAGGTCATTTATTCCTTTAACAAATATTTATTGAGCACCTTCCATGGCCCAGTACTATTTCAATATTTCAATTCCTGCCTTGTTTTTTCCTTCTCCTCCTCCCCACAACATACTGGCATGCCCATTGCTACAGAGTCATTCTACTTTTGACTCTATTATTTATTAGCCTTTCATGAAAAATTTGATTTTCAAAAAGGGCTTTGCCACTATAACAAGTCTGACAAGCTTTCTCTGCACACCTTATTAACACTGGTAGGAAGTGCTTTAGGCACTAGACAGAAACACCTGTTCCAAAACACAGAATGAAAGAAAAAATTGTAATGCTTTATGACCCACTACAGTATTCATTCCTGCCCCGCAAGAAGTTGAGAGGTCTCTGAGCTTATTCTTTATACCACATCATTTATATGTAGGCCTGTTTCTTTGAAGGTGGCAGATGACCCTGTGCCTTTTGGGTAATTGAGATTGAAAGTTAGGTTTCTGCCTGTTATATTAACCTCACTCTGGTTTCTTATTTGACTGAATATGAAGTAGCCGGGCTTTAGGATTCCTTCTGTTTTATTTCCCAAGATGTGAGTGTGACAGGAAATTTTATTTTAAAACAATTTATGATCTACAGACTTACTGACAGAAGATGTTGGTTTAAAAAACAAAGACAGCGTCAATCTTAAGAAATTGGGTGCAGCTACACTGATAGTCAATTGCTGAAGATATCTCATTCTTATTCATGGAGCTTCCATGGAGGGTTTTTTAACCTATTATGTTTTCAAGGTCTATACAGTCTTCTGCCCAGTGGGCCATTACCCACTGGGATTGAGCCAGTTAAGATCCTTGCATAGACTCAACATCATCTTTACCAAAATGAAAACAATCTCATGTTGTCTTTTGAATCTGTTTGAAGGGAGCAGTATTTTTAGGAAAAAATAAAAAAGATAATTGAAAAGCTCTGTATTCATCCTTCTGTGCCCTAGGACATTGATTTTTCAGACATTGTAATGTATTACATGAAGAAATAGTCCCATAGACTTTCATACATATTAGTGACTCTAGTGCCCACAGCATTAGAGCACACATTGCAAACCATCCGCTTTCAGAGATTCTGCATGCCTCGTGGTATTTCTGTCTGAGCTTAATCCATTTTGGAAATGAAATGTTCCATACGCTAAGGGAAAAAGCAGGTCTTATTGGCCTCTCTCTGTCTTTCCCAACATCGCTTAGTACTTGTGTAGGGAAGCCAGCAGCAGGCATCATTGTTCAGAATCTGTCAGGTGATACCCAGGTCTCTGCCATTAGCTTTGGTATCCACGTTTCAGTCTGCTGGCTCCCAGCAATACTGCCCCACCCATGTGCGCAGAGAAAATGTGAGCTTTATATTCAGCAAGTGCTGAATAGTCATTGAAATGGAATCAGGATTCAGTAAACCTGGGTCAAACCAGGTTTGGGTTATGTGACTGTACCTTCCCTGGCTTTCTAGACAGAGGGAGGAGCAGCCAGCAGTGCTCAGAGCAAGAGCTTCCCAAGGGGAAGCCCAAGTGTTGGACTGTTCACCTTGGGCAGCTCTTGCTGCCCCTTCCTGGTTTCCAGCAGCCATCATGACAGCTGGCTTGGATTTAACTCTTCAAGTTGTATGTGGAGTTGGTTTAACAGTAAGTAAGAAAATGTTGCCTTGTTGTCTCCATTTTCTACATTCCTTTTTACGACCAGCCCCTTCCTCTATGCCATGCCACCATCTATGCCCTGTGCTTTGCCATACTGTTTCCTGCTTCTCAATGTCATTGCCTTCAGCTATGGAAAATCTACTAAAGCGGCTCATTGATACTCAGTTTTGCATTACTGATTTCTTAATACTTTACATGCAAATATATGGAATGTATGGGATATATGCACACAGCCACTGCCCTTGCATCATATTTGGCACACTAAATGAAGGTGGCAGCTGTTTAACTTTACAGAATTTCTGAAGAAGCCTCAGGGACTACATTATAGTCATTGAGCTGCTAGTGTGTAAATAATTAACTTTTCCACTGGTTGGAAATAAAAATTCAATGA
This sequence comes from Homo sapiens, assembly GCF_000001405.40. NCBI lineage: Eukaryota > Metazoa > Chordata > Mammalia > Primates > Hominidae > Homo > Homo sapiens. The sequence continues at coordinate 107,921,191 of NC_000005.10, read as the reverse complement.
CCAGCTCCCCCATTCCCATTTAAATCTGAAACCTTCTATTCAAACTGTTGTGCCTTGTTAGATGAACAATACAATGTTATTTTTTACTCAATTTATTATAGTCAAACAATGTTAGTTTTTAAATCATTTACCCTTTGAATTTTCATGCAGCTATCTATGTTCTGTGGCTTTTATAATGTATATAATAGTATGTATTTTTTTTCAACAAGCCATAAACAAGGAAGTTCTATGAAAACAGAAATGCATTGTAAACCATGGTCCTGACATGAGCAACTTAGTTCCTAGTGAGATTGTGGAGCAATTTTCACGGCTTTTAAGGCAAAGCAGAAACTTGTAGTGGTGACAAATTATACCGTGGAGACCTCTTAAACACTTAGCCTTGGTGAACATTAAACCTGTCTGTTCAACAGGTTTATTGCAGGATTAGGTACTTCCTGGAGAAGGATTCACTCTGCCTTTGACATTGATGTAAATTTGGCTTCTGCTAGATTTATAAAAGGTGCTATACAGAAGTCATTCAATTTTCTCAAAAGTTCACTTATGAATTTGGGGTGTGGATTTATTCATATTACAGACATCTCTTCATTATCCCTTGAAGTTGACCACCTAAGAAATATTCTCAGATTCATATTGAGTTAGGTTGTTGCAATCCCTTCTGATAATTCATGTCTACCTAGAAATTGTATTAACTCTTTCTGGCCACCATAATTTTGCTGATTAAATGACAAAGGCAGTGTGCTACTAAGATTCGGAATTCCTATACTAAGATTCACATCCTGGCCAACATGGTGAAACTCCATCACTGCTAAAAATACAAAAATTAGTCAGGCATGGTGGCAGACGCCTTTAATCTCTGCTACTCAGGAGTCTGTGGTAGGAGAATTGCTGGAACCCGGGAAGCAGAGGTTGCAGTGAGCCAAGGTCGCGCCGTTGCACTCCAGCCCAGGTGACAACAGCGAGACTCTGTCTCAAAAAGAAAATAAAGATTCACATCCACAGTTTCAATATGAATGTGATTGGCCCTGTCACTTTGGTTCTCAGTTTGCAGATTTCTCAAAAACATACTAATATGGCATTTGAAATGTCTAATTGCTGAAGAGGAGTGACAACACTGAATAACTTTGCTGTTTTGCTTAAGTTTTAAGTATGCATTTTGCAACTGTGGCATAAAACTAGATCTTAGAAGGTTGCTTGGTTGCACTATATAGTCATCATTCAATTCATTTATTCTGTATTTAGTGAGTACTATACCCCAGGAATTGTCCTAGTTGCTGGAAATAAAGCGCTGAAGAAAAGCAAAAATTCTTGCCCTTTTGGGACTTGCATTCTAGTGTCAGTAAATGCTGTAAATACAATCAGTTGGTAAGTGATCTGGAGAAAAATGATGCAGGGCAGGGAGGATAATGGAGAATGGGTGCAAGTGGCATTTTAACAAGGGTAGTCAGGAAAGACCTCATTGAGAAGAGGACTCTGTAAGAAAGATCTGAAAGACGAGAGAGTATGAGCCATGAAGATTTGGGGATGGGAGGATAGAGCATATCTGGGGGATGGGACAGGAGGATGATTCATTTGTTGGTGGAACAGGGATGAGAGCAGTGTAGCTGGAGTGGAGTGAGCAAGAGCGAGAGCAGTAGAGTTGAGATCTGGAGGTAAAAGACACTGGAGCGTGTAAAAAGCCTTTATGGCCTTACCCTCAGTGAGGTGAGAACCCACTGTGAGCAGAGGAGGGACCTGAGCTGATACACTTTAAGAGGATCACTTTGGCTGTTCATGAGAGTAGATCTTCTGGAGACAAAGGAGAGGTACCTGTCAGGAAGCTGTTGCGATCCATCAGTAATCCAGGCTTGGACCCAAGTGGGAGCAAAGGAATTGGGGAGAAGCTGTTGGATCCTGGATCGATGGAAAGCGGAGCCAACAGGACATGCTAATGGATCAAATATGGGTGTAAGAGCAAATGAGAGTCAAGATGATGCCAGTGTTGTCATCCCAATTATTTATTATGTAGCCAAGATAAGGAATCCAATCTTTAGTTAGTCAGGACCCTGCAATTTTTTTTCTTTTTTTGACTCAGTGCGTAATCTGTTTATCTGTCTTTAAAAAGAACATGATACTGGTAATATTTTTTGTAAAGTAAACAAAGTTTTACTATGGTGTAACAAAATAGAGATACTGCTTGAGAATTTATTTGCCAGACACCCAGGTTCATCACACAGCCTCTCCCACAAAGTATAGTCCACTAGCAATGCAAGCCAAGAGAGGGTTAAGATTAAAATATAATGAAAGCAAGAGCTCATGCATGGCTTCCCTGGATCTACAAAATCCAGAAGAGGGCTGAGCAAAAGCTGGTGGTGTAGTTACTCAGCAAAGCAGCAAGGCTAAGCATTGGGAATCAACAACAGAATATGACACATTTCTTGTCTTTGAGGAGCTTAAAGTCTCATGAAAGCACTGTCTATCATAATTCAGTGGAACACTAGGATTTTATTTATGTCATTTACAGAGATTTATCAGTAAGGTAACTATTTCAAATACAGATACTGATATTGATATATATAAATATTTCAACATGTGTTTATGTATATAGAAAGCAGTAATATAGGTATGTGAATGCAAACTTATCCATATTCTTGTTCCATATTTTAGTATTCAGAAATTGTTTGGCTACCCTGATTAGTAAAATAATAGTAAACTAAGAGTTTATACAAGCTACTCAAGTTTTCTGTCTATGAAAAAGCTGTTTGGATAGTACCCAAATTATTCAGAAGATACTGATCAAGATTCTTTTTAAAAACTCTCTGTACATTTGAGTAATGTAATCTCAGCAACCCTAGATTTGCCAGTTCCCAGCCAGCCCTTAAAGTTACCCTTGACTGGGTTACGACTGTCCAAGGAAGTTGGAGAGCAGTTGTGTGCAGACTCTGAATCACTTCTGGTTTTGCCACCATAAGGGCCGCCCCAGCCCCACAGCCTCCAGGGAGCTCAGCCTCTCTTCACAGCAGGCCCCCATTGCTCTGGGTCTTCTGCCACATGGGAGCTGAGGGAGCTGCCTGCATTCCTGAGGGTGAGTAGATCTGCCTGGATGCTCACCAAAAGTCTTCCTCAGCAAGGAATGAGGGGACATGGCATGGCAAGCCAAAAATGTGGAAGGTAGAAGGAGACCTTCACTGAGGATTGTTATTAACGTTTCAATGATTCTGTCCTGATTCTGTAATAAACATTTAAACCATTATTTCTCAGTCTGCCCAGTGGAAGGTAAATTCAATAATCTACTTCTTTCTGAAATTTTCTTGTGAAATTGTATTGCTGCTTAACTCATGTAAGTTATTGAGTTTGTTTTTTCCTTTTTCTTCTCCTAGTTTTAAGCTTTCTTTAACTCATTTTGGAATAAGCCAAAAAGAAACAAAATCATAAATTCTAAATCAAGCACTTAAAACGGAACTGGTTCATTGATTAAATATGAAAGGGAGCATCTTTAGCAAAATGAAAGCCAAGCTTTTAAATCTTCACTGAACATTGGTTAATCTTAAACCGTCTTGGCACTAGTTTCTTCATACAATTTTGCATATCAGGTGTTTACAGACTAAATAGTAGATGAGCTCCAAGTACACTATGTCATTTAGTGTCAATGAGCTAACCCTGTTTATTCGGTTCTGTGCTTAGCAATTGAAATCATCTGCATGAAAGTGCTCAGTATGCTACAATTAAGAAGCAGACTTGTGGAAGGCACACTCTTGGTTCATTTTTTAAAAAGACCATCTGTTTCTTGGTATGCTACTTGTGCAGGTTTTTCTTTCATCTTTCACCTTCTTTAAAAAAAAAGTCCACAGCTTTGTAAAGCTTTTGATATTATTTCATTCTTAGGTTTTATAGAATGCTCATTCTCTGGATTTTCAGCTGTGGTTTTACCAGCATCCTCACAAGATCATTTTAAACCCTCAGTAATCTTAGAAATTAGAATAGAAAAATAAAGAAGGCTTCTCCCACCCCATTTGCTCTCTTCTAGCAAGTTAACAGTTGCTGTCAGCAGCCAGTAATAGTAGCTGTAATTGTAATAGTAGTGGCGGTGGTAGTAATCTATTAATATTTGCAAGTTAACAGGGTAAAAGATATTCAAGGTTTACAAAGTGAACTTTTACTAGTTTCTTTGAAAAGTCTTTATGAAGGGATAGAAATATACTGACAGGCTATGAAATAGGAAATCCTAAGTAGGATTCTTCACCAAAAGTTGCTATGTCTTAGCGATACACCTTTGATCATACTCAGAGACTAAATTTTTAGCATGTTACTAAGAAAACGGTTTCTACTTCTGAGTATTTTTAATTCCGAAAACAAAAATTTTTAACCACATATGTTTGAGGCATTTTCTCATTCAGTCTGTTCTGAAGGTGAACTATGTACATTATTTTGTGGAAGATGAACAAGATAAAGGGAAGAAGTAAAATATTCTTTAGTTAAATAGCATATTTTATGCCCAGGAGCCATGGGAAGTAGGACAGCTTATTTAAGAAGTTTATTTTCTTATATAAGAAAGAAGAAATATATTTGTATAGCCTGTGCTCTGGAATAAAAATAGCAAATTTTAGACTTGACTTCATTTAAAATGATTAAACATAATGTCTATTTATTGTTGAATATCTTTGAGGAAAGAACAGCCTTTTCTGAAATTGTATATTCCAAATACCTTTATTTAGTTTCATTTTTATCTCATGAGACTGTATTTACAAAGTTAAGCAGGAGGTGATGCAGCTTTCAGGAAAACTATAATGTCAGAAAAGACATTAGAGTACATGGGGTAGCCCTCCTCCCCTACCCCCATGCTCAAGTAGAATGTGTATAAGGTTGGGTTCTTACAGTGATTTTAGTCTCAACAAAGAGCATTCCCAACCTCTGTTGTAAATTTTGTTTTAGACTTTAAAAGCATGACCTTAACCATGTTTAGATGGCCTTACATTTCATAAAACCTTGTGAAAACAAAGGATTGATTATCGTAGTCCCAAACCACCTAGTCTTTATTGAATAAATATGGACATAACACTGGGGATCTGGACTTTATGTTTACTGCACCATGTACACTGCCTAGCAGTGGCTTAGGTAAGGTCTGTGCTACACAGAAGATCTTTAAGCAACCAGGTTATATTCTTATTAGACTGCCCCATCAGAAGAAGAAAAATCTATTGTCTGGAGCAAAGAAAGTATTAAATGAATCTTTATACAGTGAGAGAAAATATCTGCAAAAAGAAGAGAAGTCCAAGGTGCCTACTGGTAACATACAGATGCGGCAACATGCATCCTTTGTCTGCTGGCAGATGTGTAAAGTTCTTTGAACCAATAGATGTCAGCCTGATTGAACACAGACAGGGGGAACAGCAGGAACTAGCAATAACGATGAAATGTTTGGGAAGTCAAGTTTGGATTAAGGTATTTGGTTCTAGCAGTTGAACAAGGCAGCAGACGAGGCTAGAGCAAACCCAATCCTCCTGTTTAGCTGTTGATTTATTATAAGTACCAAAATTACTTTTACTTCTACATGCAAAAAGGTACATTCAGCTTCTAAAATTATATGTCCCAAGACTAGATTACGCAAGAACATTGTGGCTCACTGTAAATTTCTTAGAAGCTAAGGGGAAAACATCTCATTACTTTCATAAGTTCTTGCAGAAAAGAAGACTGTTGTGTATTTTTTCCAGACTATTGGTGGAAATTTTTCTTCACATATAAAGAATAAACCAGTCCCCTATCCCAGCCCTTACCCAGTCTGGGAAAACGTTCTTATGAAATAGCAGTTATCTAAAATAAAAACACCAAAGACATATTAACTACGGTTCTTTTTTTTATTGTTGGCATTGAATACAAATCAACATTAAATCTGAGGCCATTTTTAGTGTCAGATTCCCAGATCTAAAATAGGGTATACAAATTTAAAAAATTGGCAAAAATGTTTTACTTATGTTTTATGCAGCTTGTAATGGTTGAGACTCTTCATTTAGAATTCAAACATCCCTCTCCAGATTCCATATGGAATAAATTTTACGGGGTGCCAAAAATAATGAAGAGATGCTTGGGTCTAAGCAAATAATATATTTTAAAATTGCAATTATAGTAAGAAAGTAGATTTTCTTTATACAAAAGATAGTTTATTATCTTCTTCATCAAAGACTAAAGTGTAGTTCAGTGTTCTATCCATGTTTATTTTTAAAACCATTAACTAAATGGAGTATTTTCAGGAATCTTTTGGTTGCAATTAGTAAAAACAGCAACTCAACTGATTTAAACAAAGAAGGGAGGTTTATTAGCTCATGGAAATTAAGAGGTAGTTCTAGTTATATGTAAGGTTTGGAGCAACAGTTCACAGTTCTCAGGCTTCAGCTCTGTTTTTCTCCAATTCCTTCCACTTTGTCTTACTCAATATATTGGTGTTATTCTCAGGCAGACTTTCCTTATGGTAGCAGAAAGGGCTACAATAGTTCTAGACCTTACACCTCATAAGTACCATCCTGAAGAAAGAAAGAATCCTCTGAGCATTCCCAGCAAAAGTCCCGGGGTCACTTGGGTGGGGTTGACTTATGTCAAATGCCCACCCACCACTGTGGCCAAGTGGATGGAATACACAAGTGTGCTTTAGCCAATCAAGGCCTAACCCCAGAGTTGAGGATGGCTTCAACCACCTAAGTACAGTTAAGAATTCGGGATGGCCTGATTCTTAAAGGAAAATTGAATAATTTGGTGGGCAGCAGCAAATATTCCTTGCACCTGTGGATCTAAAAAAGAATACAGACTAGATGCTTAAGCTGAAATGAGTTGGGGAAAGTTTATCCTGCCCATCATCCCCTTTACCTTTCAGCAGAGAGAACTCATAATTTGGGTATTTCCAGGTAGGGATATTGCAACCTTATCTTTTGGAAGGAAATTCACTTTTCAAAGGAGTAGTGTAATCAGTACATAAAGGAGAGTTTTCCCCCATGACTCTAGTAACCCATCAATCCACTTAAATTGACTATACTCTCTGATTTGAACCACTGTTCTCGTTTCAATGAACTACTTGTAGGGTTTAGAGAAAAGTTAAATTTGATAGGAATCATTTCACCGTTTTACTGGAGGTTTTTAAACTAAATCTATAATGAAGTATTCCTATAGAACTAAATTTTCATACCATAAACTCATGGTTGCATTTTATACTTATATCATTGTGTGAAGTGCCTCCTGTTAAAAAAAAAAAAACTCATAAAATGAAACCTAAAGTCTTTCCCCTTTATTTTTCCTGCCTGTCTACATAATATCATCCAAATATGCCCATTTCAATCCCGTGTGGCACATGCTCTTGTACTGTTTTTCACAGCTCTAAAATTGCCCTGGTTTGGCCCTAATTTGGATTTGACTTTTCACCCACAGCTGATAGTTTTTGCAGAATAAGCAGTGACACTATTGCCCTGAGCAGATAGCATCTCTTTCATATTGTTGACGAAGCTAAGCCCCAAATGCTGTTCTTAGATGTTACAGAGGAGGAGTCTAAGCGTTAGAGTGTGCTCCTTTCTCCCTCCCACCCTCCACCCCTCATCTCCAGGATGCAGTGCAGTCAAGAGTTGGTGGACCTACTTCACTTAAAGTTCAAAAATTCTCAGGGGAGCTCTAAATCTTTTGAAACTAAGTAGCACTCTCTGAGGATCAAGGGAACATAAAAAGTGACACCATCATCATTGTCATGATCATCACTGTCATCCACATCACCACTGTCTCTTCATGGTTCTTCTCTTCCTACACTCCCATATCAGAAGCAAATGTTACTTCTCTTAACCCGACCATCTGCACATATACTTCTCTCATCCCATCTCCTCTGCCCTACTCCAAGACTTGACATGCCATTTCTACATTCTGCCTACTTGGAATGTAACTAAGGCAACAAAACAAACCTCTCTTCCTTCAGTCTGTCAGTTCCACAAAAATGCCACCTTCTCATTGCCCTTCATGGCTACTGTCTTGGTGGTAAATAATGTAGTCCATACCAGCTTCTTCAGCTCCTTCTACCCTCCCCATGAACTCATATATTCTCCTAAAGTCTCTCTAGCAACTCTCCATATGTATTGTGAGCCTATTGTGTAAAAAGCTAATCATTGTTAAGATAAAAAAATAAATAAAATATGATCTCTACTTTTAAAGCACTTATAATCTTATGTTAGCTATTTCCCACCCTAGTTAAGCCACTGATATCCTTCAAAGGGTCCCCAGTGCCCACCTGCACATCAGACCTTAGCTCCTCCCTAAGTCTTACACTATACTTTTTCAGAACGTTTGATTCCTTGGCCAAATATGGAAATAAGTGGCAGAGCTAAAATTTGAACCCAGGTTCTTGGGGCACCAAATTGTGCACTTTCCTTATTATTACATTTGTAATTGCACTGATAATATATGAATACATTGTCCCGTAAAAACCTGTATGATGCTACAGATAAAACTGAAGTTCCTTTTAGCTACCAGTCTCCCTCCTAATCCTCTCTTCTCTTCCTTAGTGGAAAACACTTTCGTAGTGGTCATACTTCCAAATAATTTTATACATATTTATATGTATGTACCCATCCAAAATTTATCGTATTTTGTTTTTATTATGTAAATAGTATCAGAGTGTAAATATCTGTCAATAACATGCTTTCTTCATTCAACAGTATTCCCTGAGATTCATCTATATTGATACATATAGATGTACTTTGTTCTTTTAGCCACTTTGTGTATACCTTGAAATGAATATACTATGTTTTATTTATATATTCCCATGTTGGTAAACATTAAGCTCTTCTTCATTTTTCACTATAATAAATACTTCAGTGAACTTCTTTGGGTGCAGCGAGCAATATACTTCGCTGGTTAAATCCCAGCTCTGGACTTACTAGCTATGGGACCTTAGAGGAGTTGCCTTAACAATCTGAGTTTCATTCTCTTCATCATGGAGTTGTGATAAGGATTAGATGAATAATGTATTTAAGGTGTGGAGTTACATGCTTGGCACAAGGTAAGCACTCCAGATAAAGAAAGTTGTTAGTATTGTAAATGTTTGGATCCTGAGCTGTATTCATTTTCAGTTTAATTGCTACTTCCAAATTGTCCTCCAGATTGGCTACATCGATTTATACTCCCCTCAGCAGTATGAGAAAGTGTCCATTTTCCTAATTCTTGCCTACACCTTGTATTATCAAACCTTTTTATTTGCTGTTCTGTCCAATGATAAAGGTCCTTTCAGTGACATTTTAATTTGCATTTCCCTTATTACTAGTGAAGTATAACATTTTAATATATTTATTGGCCGGTTTTATTTCTTCTGTAAATTATTTGTAACCATTGCCCATGTTTCTATTTTTGTAGACCTTTGTAAAATTTAAAAATATATATTCTTGACCCTATTTTGTTACATGCTACAAATATTTTCTCTTATTCTGCCACATAAATTTATCTTGGCTTAAAATGTATTTGGCTTTTAGAAGAATTTAATTTTATGAAGCTACATTTTTCAATCTATTCCTTTATGTGCTTTAGGTCTTAACAGTTGAGATTTGAATTCCAACTCTGTCACTTACTGACTGTGAGGTCTGGAACAACTTCATAATCTCTGGATGCCTTCATTTCCTCAGCCATAAAATGAGAATAATAATAGTATCTACCTTATAGATTGCTGCAAGGTGTGTGAGTTAATATATATAAAGTACCTGGCACAGAATAAACACCACATAAGTGTTTTCTATTATGAAGTAACACCTCTGCAACACAAAGTCAGATATTCTCCTCTAGTATCATAATTATTTCAGTTTTCTTTTAAGGTTTAAGTCTTTAGTCCACCTGGAATTTGCTTTTTATATGTGATATTGGCATCTGTGTATTTTAATACACGAAACATGAATTTTCTCTACATCATTTATCAATATCCTTTTTCCTATGATTAGATATAGCACTTCTCTTATAAAAATTTTCATATATCCACAAGTCTGTTCCTGGAATCTCTTCAGCTAGTTGTCTATTTTGACATCAACACTATACTGTTACTACTGCAACTTACATAATGACTGTGTATCTAGCAGATTCATCCCTCTCTTAACTACTTTTTAGAATTATCTTACTTATTCTCACATAATATTCTTTCATATTAATTTATGATCAATTTCTTAAACTTTTCTTAAAAATCATGTTGGTATTTTTAGGGGATTACATTGAATGTAGTTTTGCACAGAATGATTTTTCTGAAGACAAAGGACGTATTTATAGCATTAGATTTTCCCATTTTTAAATTTGGTATAGCTCTCCATTTCAGGTCTTCCTTAATGTCCTTTAATAAAGTTTTATACTTTTTTCAACAAAGCTATTTCATATTTTGTTAGGTTTATTCCTATATAACTTTTTTTGATGTTTTTTCTAATGTCAGTGGAATCTTTTCTCTAATTCTAACTGGTTCTTGCTACTGTGTTGGAATACAACTGGTTTTGTGGATCTTGTAACTAGCTAACATACTAAATTTTTAAAAAATATTTTTAATGGTATATCAGCTTGAGTTTCTTATACTTTTTTAGGTAAGCAATTATATCCTTTGGAAATCCTGATCATTTTGCCTCTTTCCAATTTTTATGCCTCATATTTCTTCTTTTTTATTGTGATTATCTAGGACCATGAATATACTGGGTATTGGGAATGTTTGAGGCATCTCTTAACTTGTTTATGGCTTTAATGGATACTTACACTACTGGACCATCAAATCTGATGCTTGCTGTCAGTTTCAGATGGATACTTTTTAGTGAGAATCTCTGCTACACCATGCTGTTTCTCATTTTGTCGTTTTGAAGACCAAAACAATTAGTCTTAAAATTGTATGTCAGCCTTCTAGAAGTCCTAGTAGATGTATTTATAATTTATCACTCATTAAGTTTTTAAGATTAAAAGATTTTTAATTTACTTCATTTGCGTCATACTTAGTTTTCAAAACAGTCAGGCCCAATTGTATTATTTCTTTTCTTCCTTTTCTTGAATTGCTTGAATAGTTTGTCCCCTAATCCCCCATGGCCAGGCCTTTACCCACCCCAGATAACCTCCCTCCCCAAACCCCCATCCCACACTGCAAGCAAATGACACTGGAGATTCTGAGTTGCATTTATTTGAGTGGCTTGTGGTGAAGTCACTTTAGTTCAGTGTATGTAGCTCCCCAAGAATAATTTAGTGACTTTACTTTTCTAAAGAAGCCAGGTTTGTAGAACACAACCAAAGTGTATCATATACATTCAGCAGCAATAACAGTAAGGTAAATATAAATATATTTGTTTGCCTTCCTCAGGACTGACTTTTATTCCTGAAATGTTTAAACCTCCTTGGAAGTAGAGGACTGCTCTGGTCTGATCCCAGTGCTTCAAGAGTGAGGCTTGATGCATTCTGACGGCCTGGCTCAATCTTTGTGCTCAGCCCTTCTGCTCACCTCTCTTGTCTCTGCACTAGAGCTTTATGTTTTATTTAGAGTCTCAGAATTCACTGGGTGAGGATGTGAAGAAGATGCTGCCATTATGTTTTCTTGAAAAATCCCTCAGGCAAAAAGGCCTCAATTAGTGAGAAAAGTAAGATTTTGCTACTTAAGCTTATGATGCAGGATAGGCTGAAGAAATATTTTAGTTTAGGGGCAAAATGTTTCAAAGGCCTCCAGAACTAATAGCTATTCTTTGTATTTCCATCATTCTCATTGTTGTTCAAGGATCTTAAAGACAATTTCATTCAACCACCTTCCTAAAGTTCCATGTGCTCATTAGGCAAGGCAGCTAATTATGGTTTGAAGCTCTGTTAATCTAAAGAATATGCAAGTTATGTGTAGCCACTGAGCAATAAACACTGTTCACATACAGTAGGTATCATTATTTGAAGCTAATTTGACAGTCTTGAAGCACTGTGCACAAATTGTGGCTCTTTCCATGGAAACTTGGCTCAATTGTTCTTTCTGAAGTACTCAGAATCCACTTAAATGAGTTAATAATGAGCCTTCAAAACGGTCTGACTGGAAATACTCCCTTCACTGTGTTTTTACTCAATCTACATTGATTCACAGTATAGAATTCATTTAATTTTGTTCATTTTTTACCCAGAATCTCAATATAGGTTGCTCTAAACATCTATTTATGTTCATTTAAGTGTACAAATGAGACTATCACAGGTTCAGTTAATCATAGTTAAGATGGGGCACAATCTATCACGACGGCCACTTGCTGTGCTGCAGCCAGCAAAGGTGTGCACTGACAACGGCAGATAGAACCATTTCAGAAGGAGTTCACTGTCCCAGATCCATAAGCCTGAGGCTTTGGGGGCCATTAATACAGTTCAACTTCTCAAACTGGCATTTAACATTTAACACTGTCCTCAGAAGATCTCAAACTACATTTCCCACCCTGATGCTAGCGGTTTCTTTCCAGAGATATAAAGGCTCCCTCATATGCTCATTGAACTCCATTCTACCACGAGCATTCCCACCCAAGGGCCTTTGCCCCGCAGTCCTCCTGTCACTTTTCAGCTGTCTTGTGCTTCAGTGGCCCTGCTCATAGCCCACTTCTCCTAAGTATTCTGACTACTCCAGCACATATGAGATTATCCCTACCTATAAATCCATAGCTCTTTATGGAGAATTAATTGCATATAGGTTTTTGGCCACATATCTCAGTTTTTATGTATGTCGTTTTCTCAGATGAGCTCAGACTTCCTTTAACTTTGAATATATGGATATTTTTAGCTTTAAATGATATATTTTAATGTCTCCCACTCAACCTATTCTTTTGTATTCCAGGCCTAAGGATTGTGCCTGAAACTTAACCTAGTAGATCTGTATTATCATTTGTTGAATTAAAAAGTGGATTCTCTGCATGTGAGAGACAGTATTTGAATATTGGAGAAATTAGCAAATAACCTAACTTGACTAAATAACCAAAATACATCAGAATTAGTTCTTAGCCTACTGCCAGGTAGAATCATGTTGGTTATTTGTTTGCTTTTTTGTTCTTGCGATAGTTTACTGAGAATGATGATTTCCAATTTCATCCATGTCCCTACGAAGGACATGAACTCATCATTTTTTATGGCTGCATAGTATTCCATGGTGTATATGTGCCACATTTTCTTAATCCAGTCTATCATTGTTGGACATTTCGGTTGGTTCCAAGTCTTTGCTGTTGTGAATAATGCCACAATAAACATACGTGTGCATGTGTCTTTAAAGCAGCATGATTTATAGTCCTTTGGGTATATATCCAGTAATGGGATGGCTGGGTCAAATGGTATTTCTAGTTCTAGATCCCTGAGGAATCACCACACTGACTTCCACAATGGTTGAACTAGTTTACAGTCCCACCAACAGTGTAAAAGTGTTCCTATTTCTCCACATCCTCTCCAGCACTTGTTGTTTCCTGACTTTTTAATGATTGCCATTCTAACTGGTGTGAGATGGTATCTTATTGTGGTTTTGATTTGCATTTCTCTGATGGCCAGTGATGGTGAGCATTTTGTCATGTGTTTTTTGGCTGCATAAATGTCTTCTTTTGAGAAGTGTCTGTTCATGTCCTTTGCCCACTTTTTGATGGGGTTGTTTGTTTTTTTCTTGTAAATTTGTTTGAGTTCATTGTAGATTCTGGATATTAGCCCTTTGTCAGATGAGTAGGTTGCAAAAATTTTCTCCCATTTTGTAGCTTGGTTGGCTCCATGTTTTTTGTTTGTTTGCTTTGCCTCGTTTTGTTTCATTTTGGAGAGATACTACTTTGCAGCTGCGCTGAGCCAGGCACTGTGTTGAGAGTTCACAGGTGCTTAGTTCTGAGCCCGTATGTATGTGTTTGTGGCTGCTGAATAATTTCATTCTAAAAGCACAAAGGATGCTTATAAAGTAATGTGACTGATCTTTAACCAACATAACTAGAGCTTCCCCATTTAGATCATTGTCACTGCCTTCAAATTAGTCGTCTTTTGAGACTACTCCTTATTCGTTACACTGTAGTCACACTTCAGAGGTCTTTACAAGGTCAATGTGTGAAGTGTAAATGGATGGTATGGTCAAGGAGAGGTAGAGGACAACAGGGTAGGAAGGTGCAAATTAGCTATTAATATTTTGCTCCATTCATCAATGAATTACTATATATGTCATGGGAGTTTTATCTATTTTACGAAGATATTAATTGTGATTTGAAAGTTTGACTGTATTTCTAACTCTGACTAGAAAATGTCTGCCCTTGCATTTCAGTATCACATTACTTGCCATGCGGAATGGAAACTCCTCTAGAGATATTGCCTAATTGAAAGAAAATTAAGTTTAATGTAACAGTAGTATTATAAGCTACCTAAATATTTCATAATGTTAATGAATGTGTAGTTTCTTTGTTTTGTTCAGACTGTTTAAATGAAACGGTATTCCACTCCTTAGTTGCTTTTAAATCTCTTTGGTTACTTTAGTTTACTATTCATAACAATTTGCAGTTATTAGCCCTCTTCCTAGACGTGTCCTCCCCACTCAAATGTTTTTACCTTATGTCCTTTTTTCAGTTTTATCTGATTACCCAGTGGTATGAGGTGAGATGTTGGGATCCTGTATGGTCAGACAGACCTGGACTCCAGTCCTGTCCCTACTTCTTATTAACTGGGTCCTTAAGTTGCTCAATCATCTGAAATGTAGCCTTCTCATTTAGATGATACAAATAGCACCTACATCACAAGAATGGGCTGAGGATTAGTTGGTAAATATACATGAAAGCACTTAGCATGATGTTACCACAAAGTAAATATTCAAAAACTGTTGTTCCTTTTGTTGTTTTTATGTTCAAAGTGCTTTTCATAACAGTGGGTGCTATATTGTTTTCCCTCTTATTTTACTTATATTTAAAATAGTTTTTATCAATTAAGCATTAGTATATGAAGCTTAAAGTAATAAATACTGGATATATTTTATTCACATTTAGCATATACATATAAACATAACATCTTGAATCACTATGATGTTTAAGGAACATGCCTTTTAAAAATATGTATTAGTAGAAATTATTCTGACTACTTGGCTGGCCTGTCATCTAGTTTCCAAGAAAAGGTCAAAATATACATTTGGATCCAGGGAATTTAACCAGATTTGCTAAACTTCTTGAAAAAAAAAAAAAGCTTCACTCTAGGCATGTAGTCTGCCTCTTTTCCTTTTCAGTTTCTTTGGGCATAATATTAGATTGGTTCCCAATGTGGTCATGCCCTTATATTCCTGCTGAGTTTGACTACAGTCCCATACTTCATTCTAAGAAATGTTGCCCAGAGGCATATATGCACAAAGGTAGACACACAAATTACCACAGGAGGCTGTAGCTGCCTGAGGCAGCTGAGGCCCAGAGAAAATGTGAAACATATAGAATTTATTAAAAGGGAATCTCCACCCCAAAAGTGTGATATGAAATTCCACTATGGAAATAATTCCAGATGGACAAAGTCTTGAAAATAATCTTTTAGTGTGGGTGAGTTATAGCTTCATCTGTATATCCAGAGAGAGAAGATATATACATACATGCACATAGCACATACATTGTGATCATATGTATGCTCAGAATGACCTGTTGTTGGCTGTATTTAACTATACATGTCTGTAATTGAGTGTATTTGATGTATTTTGAAGAGTCATTTTTCACAATATATACTCAGTATATGTTATTTCACAAATAGCAAACAAATGTCAACATGGATGTCTGAGGAGGTATCCCATACACCTTGTTTTAAGGTTATTCTTGCTTAACAACAACAACAAAAAAAGTAGATTATATGAGAAATCAAAGCAAAAGGAATTAATCAGAACAATGTTGGATAAAATCTTGAGTTTGGGATAAGCTCTTTTTAGAAATACATCAGATATTTTATAAACAGAAAATGTTTAAGAAGGCACAGAATAGTTTTATATTTATGAAAGAGGAATTGGTTTTGTGTTAATGATTAGTTACAAACTGTTTTTATGTATATATACAATTAGTTGCTACACACTAAATTGAAATTTTTCTCATCTATTCAAATTTTTCTCATCTCTTAGACTATAGAGCAATAATTTTAAAATTACTATTTGAAGCATTATTATTCTTTTATTATTAAGTTTTATGAAGATCCACAATCCATATATATATATATATAGCAAAAAAGTTCAGCTGCCCTGTTTGAGTTGGAAGCAGGAAGCTAGGAATCTCACTTATTTGGGATCTTCCTTTCCTCTTCCCTCCTCTTCCCTCTGCTTCCCACCTTCACCCTCCTCCTCCTGCTTCACCCCTGGAAATGAGGGACCCAGAGGTCCTGCCGCAAAATTGGGGGTTCTTCAGCATTGTGTCAGAATGTCACTCCTGGAGTTAAAAAATCTAATAGCAATTAAGCATATGTTATATTTTCTTAGAATGATAATATATAAGCATGGATATTATTTTACACATTTGGTCCTTTAGCAAATTTATTTAAGCAAAATATATTTTTGGGTTTTGTTATTACATTTTATTATTAGCATGAATAAATATTCCATTAAGGAGCCCAACCTGTCAGTGGATATTACTTACCTGCCAAAACCTGAGTTATCTAGTGTTTATGATGTCTGTGCTTTTGCTCTAGGCCCCAAAGCAGGCTATTTAAGGAGAGAAGGTGGTTTTTCATCTTTTAAATATGCTTGGTATAACTAGAAACTAGATATAGTTATATATCAGATGATGTAACAGAAAGTTTCCTTTCTAAGAAAGCTAGGTTGGAGTGGGGCAAGACTGGAGTCAAGAAACCAGTTAGACTTGGTCGTTGACTGGGGAGAGATGATGAGGATCCAAATAGAGCAGAGTCAGTGGGGTTGGAGATGCTGAAAGAGATGGTAGAGTTATTTAGGAGACAGGATCAATAGTGAGTTACTGATTTGAACTTGGAGGCCAGTGGCAGCGGGAGAAGGGGGTGTCTCTCCTGGCTCTGATCTGGACAAGTCTGTGGTGCCATCGTGAGATAGGAAATAGGAGGAAGAATAGGTTTAGAGACAAAAGAGTGAGTTTATAAATGGACATGTTGCTTTTGAGTACCTCTAGAGCATCCAGGTGAAGCCCCGGAGGCAGAAATGCAGTGGAGAGCTCTGGAAAGGGGATCTAGGCTTGGAGTCATTAATATTTTAGAAGTCTGTTTGTTTTGTAATGAATTATGCAGATATCAAAGTCAAAATGTAATTCTCATAAATATGTAACTATAGATATTTTAGAGAAAGCTGCCCTTGTAGTACTTGGATCGTATAATCAATACTTCTCTCTTGCCAACCAGTGACATGGTGCTCTAATGGCCTCAAGAAAAAAGCACTTGAGAAATGAAGAACAGCAGAGGAAAATTGATTCTGAAGTTGCACCAGTAAAGCTCAAATCATGGTGTAAAAACGAATGTCCCAATATTTTGCATTTTGTGTTAGGATGGTTTCTATTTTTCCTGGTAATTTTGGCATTATTATTTCTCCCTAAGCAAGTTATAAATCTCCCGTAGTTAAAGACCTATCTTTACCTTTTTCCTTTTATTCTGTCTTTGCCTATCAGCAGATGTCCCACCACAGTTCTTTGATATAAGAATACAGGCTTCTGGACCAGGCAGACCTCAATGTGAATCTTAGCTTTGCCGCTGACTAACTGCATGACTGTAAACAAATCATTCCACCTCTCTTTACTTAGTTACCTCTTCTGTAAAATAAGATCTATGCTAATATTACTTATTAACTTGAACCACTTGAAATTGCTGATGTTTGGACTATAAAAACAGCATTTCCGTGTGGCTTACCTTAATACATTGCAGTGTTATAGTGAGGATGAGATACTGTTTCAAGTACCTTGAAAATGCTCAATAAATACATTTTTCATTAGTTATTGTATGTCTGACTGCTACTAACTCTATAAATATACCTCATTAATTCTTTTTCAGTGATAGTTTATTTTAAAGGTGTATCAAGTAAAGCTAATATTTAAATTGAAAATCAAAAGCAAAAAATAATGTAGAATGACATGTCTCACTGTTGTAAGGTCTGTAAAATATCAAATATTTTCCAGAGTTATGTTGCCGAAGTCTTTTTGTTGTTTTTGTAAGCTTAGATTACAAGTCAGGTTACAGTTACAAAGACAAAATCTAAATGATTTATTAGTTTTCATTTTGATCATATAGAGGTTGATGAAATACACAGGAAAGTTCTTCAGTCTTATAAATGACTAACTGAGACAAAACACAAAATTTCTATTCTCTTCACTTTTTATTCAGTCAGTGTAGTGAATGATGATTTTTATTATACAAACTACAGTAAAATTTCAATTGTCTGGAGATCAATTATCAACCAACTTCAACTAGAACATGAACCAAAAGCCTGCAAGTTATTAAAAAAAAAAACACTTTGTGCAATTAAAATAGATACCACAAAGTGCATGCATAAAATCTCTTGTACTTTTGTTTTTAAATTTCCATAATAAGAACTTTTAAAAAATAAATAAAGGCAGATGGGAAGAAAGTACTAAAAGATATTTTTAGATGGTCTCCAAGAGTACATCATCTTCAGGTAGCTGCTTTACTTAACAGAAGGAGGAGAACAGCCTCTGAGATACCCATGCTTTGCTTAAGTCTGAGGGATAATCCGAATTTACCTGTTTGAAATCTTGCAGTGTTAACAATTTTGACCGCCGCAACTCCTACCCTAATAAAGGAATGCTGTGGTAGGATAATAACACATGGCAACTGCTCTTTCTTACCTGTGTCTCTGATACTCTGAGCTGCATTAGTAGATTGCCAGTAATAAATATTTCTTTAAAAACCTGCTGTGATGATGTATTGGATAAATTAATTTATTGATTTAATGTATCAATAAATTAAATCATTTCAGAGAAATCTCTTGTCCTTTCCTCCCATATAAACCTATTAATTCCAACTTTATATACTGTTGTGACAAGTGTGATGATCTGATTTCTCAAAGTATCCAGCTAACTTCGGAACTGCTGAAAAACAGCTATGAAAACAAGGGAAGAGAGAGAAATACACAGAAAAACTAAAAAACCACAGCATAGTACGGAAACAATTAGAACAGAGATTCCAAACTCCATGGGCCATATTCAGCTCACAAACTGGTTTCGTTTAGCTCTCACGATGTTCCTCTACACGGTGTTTTTCTTTTGTCTTGTTTTGGTTGCTAGCAGTTAAATATCAGGTAATTCACATTTTTAAAAGTCTATTTCAAGTCTCTCTTGAAGAATTCAAGATCTAGCAACACTGCAGCTACATTCCTAAAAGGTATTCGTTCTTGGGAATTTAAACTGACTGCACTGTATGTGGTTCCAGTTTACCACAGCCCCCACTTTCACGGAGGGCATTTCAGTATTCCCAGTGCCTACCTTTCCCCATTATCTCCCCAACTCGGAGGCCCAGTGTTGGTTGCCATTTATCTTTGTGTGTTTTTGAAAATACTCTGGCTGAAAAGAAACCGAACAATGTACTTATTACATCTGAGTCACCATCAAAAGCGAGCAATAGGAAGGCAGGCCTAGAGGAATGAGTGGCAGATACAGAAAGGGAGCAAGTGCATGTCTTTACGGAGGAGAAGTATATTTCTGTGTGTTATGTGCAAACAAAGTGTGTCCCTGTCAAAATAATGTATTAAAGCACCTTCACCTGTTGCCTTTACCTACATGGGCCCGTTAGGCATTGGGGTTTAGTAACGATCTCTTCAGTAGTTCTGAGCACAGCTTCTTACTACAGCAGAGTGAAATCATTATCATTAAGTAAAAGTTTGCCTAGATCTAATAAAGGCTATTTTAAAAGATAATCAAGAAAGTAAAAATTTCCAGAACTATTTCTACCCAAAGTAGTTATTAATAAAATGAGAAACCTTTGGTGTATAAGCTGAGCCATTTGAAATTGTCCGTATTTAACAATTTTTGACCCACAAAAGTGTCAATTTCACATGAAGTAACCCACTGTAAAGTAGTAAGATTGTGCTATGTGTTTATTTCACTTATATGGAACTCTTTCTTTTCCACAATACCAAATAAATGAAACAGTGCTTTATCCAGGTTAAGAAAATTTATAGTATACTGAAGAATCGTTACAAATATTATGTAACTCTTATAAAAGCGATCAAAACACTAGATCATGCTTCATTGCAGTCTTAAATGCAGCTTATGTTCATGGATGTGATGATATACTCAGTAAAATCATTAAAAATATTTTTCAGTTGATAAGCCCTCCATTATGAGCAGACAGTGGTTTTACAAATCCTCTAATCCCCTGAAATGTAATACTGTCTCTGGAGAGGCTTACTATATTTAGCATCTAATAAAATCTGTTCAAGAAATTAAGTACATTGCACTTTGTTAGTTCTCTGTGGATGCAACTTGCTCCTTTTATAGGGTTCGCTTTAAAAAGAGATTGTCACCTAAAATTCAGTAGATTTTACTATATTAGGAGCTTCAATAAATTCAAACTACTTAAGTAGAAGCTTTTGGGAATGGAATTTTATTTGAAATCTTTCATTACTTGTTGTCTGAAGAGTTCTGCCAAGTAATGCATTTAATGCACACAAATAATTTTTAAGCACATAGTAGTTATAAGCATATCTAAAAAAATGTAATCAGTAGAGAGAGAACTACATTGTCTGATATTCTTTAGTTAGAACAGTT
The DNA here is from genome assembly GCF_000001405.40 of Homo sapiens. Lineage (NCBI taxonomy): Eukaryota > Metazoa > Chordata > Mammalia > Primates > Hominidae > Homo > Homo sapiens. The sequence continues at coordinate 107,900,543 of NC_000005.10, read as the reverse complement.
TGTTGTTGTTGAAAGCATAAGATTTTAGAGAACTAAAATGTTAAATTCTGCCTTTTAACCTTCAAAGCTATTATCACCAAGGATAAATTGCATTTCTTAAACTAATAGTTTGTTTATAACTGTATATATAAATATTTATGATATTACTGATTTGGGAGAACTGTCAATCATAGTCTGTTTTCTTGAAGACATCTCTCTTGACCTGAAAAATAGTTGGCTGAATGTAATCACTATTACATATATTGTGGGTAGATGATAGAAAGAAGTAAATGGAAGCATAATACTATTTCATCAAGATTTGCTTCAATTAAACCAAGTGGAATTAACCTTACTAAAAGACCAACTGAATCAAGTCTTGTTAATAAACTTATTTTAGCAAAACCAATCCTTACTGAAAATACTCTTTTACAAAAAATATCAGGTGTTTACTTGTTTGTTTTCATATATCTTGAAATAAAAATATTTAGTGTATGTAAGGTGCTGGTTACATCAGAAAAAAATGTTTCAAATATGTTATAAAGGAAAGATTCAAATTATAGAAACTATTTCTTGAGACTATTTGGAAAAGTTTCAAGTGTCCAAAATTTACTTTTTTTAATATTTAGGGGGTACAAGTACAGATTTCTTAAAATGCATGTGCTGGGTGGTGAAGTATGGGCTTTTAGTGTACCCATCACCTGAATAGTGAATATTAGACCCAACAGGTATTTTTTCAACCCTCACTCCCCCTCCTCAGGATTTAATTTTAAATATTATATTACTCAATGGTAAATACAGTTCTCCAGTTGATAAAGTACATCTAGATGTATACAACTTACGTTTAGAAAATCATCCATTCATTCGTATGGAATAACCTAAATTTAAGTACAGTGACCTTTGAACAATGTGTAGGGGCACCAACTTCCCATGTAATCAAAAATCTTCTTTTAAGAGGACTGGAGTGCAGTGCAGCAATCATAACTCACTGCAGCCTTGAACTCCTGGGCTCAGGTGATCCTCCCACACCAGCCTTCCCAAGTAGCTGGGACTACAGATGCCTGCCATCACACCTTTTAAAGTTTTGTAGAGACAGGGAGGGTCTCACTATTTGCGCAGGCTGGTCTCCAACTCCTGGCCTCAGGCTGTCCCTCTCGCCTCGGCCTCCTGGAGTGCTGGGATTACAGGTGTGAGCCCAGCCCTTACAACTCTTTGATTCCCCCCAAGTTAACTACTGATGGCCTACTGTTGATCAGAATGCTTACCGATAACATGAACAGCCAGTTAACACATATTTTTATGTTATATGTATTGTACACTGTGTTCTTACAATGAAGTAAATAGAGAAAAGTCATTAGAGAAATGCAAATCAAAACCACAATGAGATACCATCTCATGCCAGTTAGAATGGCGATCATTAAAAAGTGAGGAAACAGCAGATGCTGGAGAGGATGTGGAGAAATAGGAACACTTTTACACTGTTGGTGGGAGTGAGTGTAAACTAGTTCAACCATTGTGGAAGTCAGTATGGCAATTCCTCAAAGATCTAGAACCAGAAATACCACTTGATCCAGCAGTCCCATTACTGGGTATATACCCAAAGGAATATAAATCATTCTATTATAAAGACACATGCACATGTGTGTTTATTGCAGCACTGTTCACGATAGCAAAGACTTGGAACCCAAATGCCCATCAATGATAGACTGGATAAAGAAAATGTGGCACATACACACCATGGAATACTATGCAGCCATAAAAAAGGACGAGTTCATGTCCTTTGCAGGGACATGGATGAAGTTGGAAACCATCTTCTCAGCAAACTATCACAGGAACAGAAAAGCAAACACCACATGTTCTCACTCGTAAGTGGGAGTTGAACAATGAGAACACATGGAAACAGGGAGGGGAACATCACACACCGGGGCCTGTTGCGAGGTGGAGGCTAGGGTAGGGGTAGCATTAGGAGAAATACCTAATGTAGATGACGGGTTGATGGGTGCAGCAAACCACCATGGCACATGTATACCTATGTAACAAACCTGTAAAATATAATAATAAAAAATGTTAATAACAAAATCATAAGGAAGAGAAAATATATTTATTATTCATTAAGTGGAAATGAATCATCATAAAGGTCATCATTCTAATCATCTTCACATTGAGTAGGCTTACAAGGAGGGGCTGGTCTTTCTGTCTCAGGGGTGGCAGAGGAGGAAGAGGTGGAGTACAGGTAAGAGGAGGCAGGAGAGGCAGCTACACTCAGTGTAACTTTACAGAAATACAGCATAATTGTTGTCTGTTTTCCTTTTTCACTAAAAGTGTTTATGGTACCAATTCTTCTTCCACCATTTGCTTTAGTTTCAGTGCCCACTTCATAGAAGGGTCCAAGTCATTAAAAAAGAAAAAAAAGTCCAAAACCGTCTTGAGTAATGGGAACCCTTCTGCCAGATTGTCTAATGTCTATTTGTTTCCTTCACAGCTTCTTCTACATCTTCATCCTCATCATCTGGCATTGGTTCAGAAGTACTACTTATCTTCATTTCTGTTAATTGCTCTGGTGTAGTGTCTATTAGTTCTTGAATTTCCCCAAGATCAGATCCTCATCTTGAAATCCTCTACCCCTCACTTTCTTTTTCTTTCTTTCTTTCTTTCTTTTTTATCATATCCACAATCTCATTCCTGATTTTCTTGATTGGCCCTGTCATAAATCCTGTGAAGTCATGCACATCTGGACAGTTTTCTCCAGCAGTGATTGTTTTCACAGCTTTTTTTTTTTAATAATAAGAATGGCATCTTCAATGGTGTCATGCTTCCAGACTGTTACATGTTGTATCTGGGTTCTCTTTCACAGCATTGATAATTCTTTTCAAAAAGTACCATGTGTAATGAACCTTAAAGGTCCTTGCAATTTCCTGATCTAGAGGTTGAATTAGAGACATTGCATTTGGAGGCAAGTAGACATTTTGATGCCTTTGGTGTTAAACTCATGGAGTTCTGGGTGGCCGGGGGCATTGTCCAATATCAAAAGAACTTTAAAAGGCAGTTTCTTCCTGGCAAGGTGCTTCTCGACTTCAGGGACAAAGCATCCAAGGATCCAGTCCAGAAAAAGGGTTGTCATTATCCAGGCTTTCTTGCTGTACAACCAAAAGACTGGCAGCTGGTATTCATCTTTTCCTTTCAAGGCTCATGGGTTAGCAGCTTTATAGATAAGGGCAATCTTGATCATGAATTCAACTACATTTGCACAAAACAGAGTTAGCCTATCTCTTCCTGCCTTAAATCTTAGTGCTTGCTTCTTTTCCTTACTAATAAAATTTTTTGTGGCATTTTTTTCCAGAATAGGGCACTTTCATCTACATTAAAAATCTGTTCAGACAGATATCCTTTCTCTGGTATGATTTTCTTAATGACATCTGGGAACTCTGCCGCCTCTTGGTTGACAGAAGCTGCTTCTCCTATTATCTTAGTATTTTTTTAGGCCAAACCACTTTCTAAAATTATCAAACCATCTTTTGCTGGCATTAAATTCACCATATTTAGATCCTTCATCTTCCTTTTGCTTTAATTTGTCATTTACTGTAATGACTTCACTTTTTTCTTAAATTATACTAAAGTCTATAGGTATGCCTTTCTTAAAGTAATCCTGTACCCACATAAAAGCTATATTTTCAATACGAGATAAAAATGTGTAGTATTTCACAAAAAAAATGCCAAATTTTCATGCCTGCTGGCCTAGCTGCAATGACAGCTTCACAAATTCTCTTTTCTTATTTTCAATGGTCTTTACGTTGGATTCATTTATTCTGGTATGGCAGGCAACTGCAGCTGCAGACCTCAGTCTATAGTATGTATCAAGCAATTCAACTTTTTCTTGTAATGTCATGGCTTTTCTCTGCTTCTTGGGAGCATTTTCAGCAACACTAGTGGCATGTTGTATATGTCCCATGATGTTATTCCTGGTTTACAGTATTGCATTAAACATGATAAAAAAATAGACAAGAACTGCAAGAGATCACTTTTTACTATGATGTGCAATTTACTGAGAGATGTACTGCTCAGGTGGAGATGAGTAGTGTCACACAGTATTTTAAGTGGATACTCACAATACTCACCTTCTAGTTGGCTCAGCAGTGAACAGTATTTGCACAGTCATAATAATATAAGTATCTTCTATTTTATTTATTCTCCTGCCACACTGAAAGTGAAGACAAGGACTTTCTTTTACTCATCTTTTTTTTTAATCTCCTTTGTTATTTTGCATGAAGTAATCATACAACAAATATTAGTCAAATTAACCTAAAGTTTAATAGTTCATTGCATAATTTCTCAACGTTATTGACTCTCTTTAACTTCATAATTCTTAAACGAAATAATGATGCGGGATACTTCTGGTTAACATACAAGTGAGTATCCCCATCCAGAAAGGCACATCCAGCAATTCTTTTTTACAGTCATGACTGTCCAGTAGTATACCAGTCCCTGAAGAGGTGAGAATATCTTTAAAGAGTCCCAGTTTCACACCCCAAAAATGTCAGGGAAGAGGGATCCAATGGACAGACCATGTTGATGAGCCATCTACATTGTCTGTCACCTTGCCTCCAAATGGAGGAGATTGCCAGAAGTGAAGGGGGCAAAAGAGGATGACAGAGAGAAAGTGCCAGAATTCAACACAAAAACGACGTAAATCATTGTTATTAATACCATGTAACCTCTTGAACATAGAAACCTGGGAGGAAATGTGTGCCTGCATAAAGGAAATAATAGGTTTTTGGTAACAACACTGGACACACAGACAGCTCTAGCTCATTAATCACTTCCCCATATTCCCAACAGATAACCAACCCCGGTCAATCAAAGAAGAAACAATCTGAAAGGAACAAACATAGAATCATTTACAATACCTATTAACTTGCATTTTATTTGAGAGCATCATTTGCAGAAAAGCGGGGATGGGGAGTGAAGTGAGACCAACAGAACAGGAGTGATGCTTGTGGATCTTGTGTCTAAAGGGTTTTGAATCTATAAAAATTAAAAGAGCTTGTGAAGTTCCAGTTAAATAAATTGCTACAGAACAATGAAAACATGTCCTGATAAAGGTATTGACCTAAGATACAAAGGAAGAATACAGCTTCAGACATTAAAAGCTAGATACATAAGAAGGGTAAGAAATCATGTTGGACTTAGGCTTCTTTGCAGCAAACTGATGCACCTATCTATAAAGCCTCGAAGGTAAAATTAAGATGATCCCAAAATTTACTATTTAGCCATGTTGTTCCTTCCCAGGCATGAGGGTACCAGTCTTCCTCAAGCATACAAGAACTTAGGGAATATATGATGAATCTTTCTTTAAAAAAAAATTCTTAAAGGTAGTATCTAGCCACCAGAGATTAATCACAATAAAGATCTCAAGAACTTAAAAAAATTGTGGATAAAAGTATGCTAAGTGTAGAACCAGAGGAAAACAACCATGAGAATTGTGGTTACAAAAGACAGAAACATTAAAACCTGATAATATAAAAATAATAATATTGCTAACAAAAATAAAAGGAGGAAGAGGGAAAAGGGAGAAGTGCCTGCCAGTTTTCTCATCTTTCCTAGAACTGATTCCTAAGAGATTCTGTCTGAATTTAAAGTGCAGAATTTTTTAAATGACTCCAAATTATTAAAGGTTTCATAAAATTTTGTCTTAATTGATGTAAATTCTTTTAAAAATTATTATATTTTATGGTAAAGAAATAGCTGAAATTCTGATTCTTATAGTTGCAATTCAGTCTCTTTATTTTGATTAAATTTATGTAAAAACAAATACATTTTTAAAAGCATGTGTAATTATATATATGAATGAGATTTATGTATAAATCTCACACATGTATAATTATATATAAGAGTGAGATTTATATATAATGTCCCCCAGGATGGATCAGCTCCAGCTGGTTTTCTTCTTAAGTCATTGCAGGCAGGATTCAGATTATTTGCAACTGAGAATGGTTAGTCAGGTTTGGAACACATGCCTACCCCCGGCCTGAAGAAGGCAGGGAATCTTGCATCATATGCCCCAAACTGCATCCTATGGAAAGGAAAATTGAGGGTTTGTTGTGAGAAAATGAGAATTGATGTCAGGCAGGTAAAAACCACCAATGTCCCCCATCTTTGCCTCACTTTAAAACTTGCAGTAGAGTAAGCTTCTCTCCCACTCAGTATGCCACTAGAGGAATTAGCTGATTTAGTTTCTTTATCAGATCTGTTCCTTCATTCCTTTCAAAGTAATTACAGGCTGCTTCTTCCCTGTCTCATGACACTGATTATTAGCTAAAGCTAATTCATCAGCTGGATATAGGTGAAACACCTTTAGCTATCTTTCAGGAAAAGCTTAGTAAATTATTTGTCATTCTTCAACCCAAGAAATGTTCTCCCTGTAAGTAAAAGTTTATTAGATACCGTGAGAGGTCTTTGGGTTCAGCCATTTTCTGTCCCAGCTATAATTAGAAAGCTAGGCAAATTATATCAACTCCTAGGGAAAAATCCACACACATACTCTTTTTAATAAATCTAATTTACTCTATTTGCTTGGTATTAACAACTGTTAATGTTATGTCCAAATTCCCTTCCTTCCTCGTTGGAAAGAACTATATCGCTACAGCCAGTACATACAAATGGTTAGTTAATTACTCGGCACAGAGGGTTATGTGATTCATCACTGCAATGTGGAAGTGAATGTTGCCAATTGTCAGCTTTTTCCAAACTGCATACTGTTATATGGTTTATGTCGCAATCAATGGTGGCAAAACTCCAGAAAGAAATACCACCTAGGTGTCAGAGACTCATTAAAGTGATCAGTCTGTAGTCCTTCATCAGTGATTTCCAAACCTAGCTATGTATCAAAATCACTTGGTGACATTTAAGAAAAAATAAAAAAATAAAAGAAGACAGCATTTATCCCCAAACCCACTGGAATCAGAATATTGTTGGTTTTGGGTCAGGGACAGATTCAAGATTTTGTAGTGCCTGAGGATTATATAATATGTAAGCTCTCATTAAGAAAAAGAATACAACAGTATCTTGTTTTTACAGACTTTTCAAAACATATTACCATGTGAACACACTTCTAGGCCCTTCTAATGTATAGGTCCATGTAAGTGATAAACCCTGAAGCTCAACCTTCATTAGCTTCATGCTGAATCTACCTGTGGGTTAGGGCCTAGGGATAAATGTGTGTGTATATTTGTGTATGTATATGTGTGTGCACATGTGAGCAGTGTGCTTTTGTGCATGGTTTAAGCTCCCAGATGAGCAGATCCAGAACCAGGCCTCTCCCTTCTGTAGCATCCATCCTGTTTATTCTATGCACCTCAACTGTTTTCTCTCAATGTCTTTCCTTTCCCTCCCTGCTTTGTTACTTCCTCTTGTGCTTTCTTTTTCTACCTCCCATTCCTTTGATTGTGTCCCCTACTTTTTCATTAGTTCCTAACCCTGACAATGATACCCACAAGTCCCATTGCTGGATTTTTGAATTGAAATAATTGCTGGACTTGAGAGATAGACAGGTATATTAGACAGCAAACTGGGAATGGAAGAGGCCATTGATAGGAAGATAATAGAGAATATCGAAAACAGAATATAGAAAATGTATTATTTGCTGTATTCTAATCTAGTTCTCTACTAAACTATCAAAACTGGAAATGTTTTGAATTTCATGTTTTTGTTTCCTTTGCCTTTCTTAAGGCAGAAATGCCCATAGCAAAAATCATTGCAAATATCTACACTAATCCACACTCCAGACAACAGCCTCTGAGTTACAACTGTACTGGTTGCAGTTAGGGAGAAACAATTGTGCTACATTTTCCATGTTTAGTTTTAGTTTGTAAATAGCTTTATGCTTTTTTTTCCACATAATTTTACATGATTTTAGGTGTTGGATTTTGGCACCAGTAAATAGCTTTGTTTGCCTTGGGGAGCACTGGATTAGAAAGAAAACTCACTGTAGGAAATGTCAAGTTCTTAGTTTTACTCTGGGAAAATTAAGTGATCTATTCAGTAGAAGCCTTTTAAAAATGTTTTTCTTTTTACTTTGTAAAAATAAAACTTGCATAATGTTGAAAAATTTTAAATACACAAACATGTAAGGAAAAATATGTATTACCTGTAATCTCCCCCAAGCAAAGACATCTCAGTGACACAATCATCACAGTGATTGACATACTTGTAGCTACCCAATAAATATTTTTAGAATAAAAGAATAAGTGTGAACTCTTTAAACAAGACCCCTTTCTGATTTTTCCCCTAAGTGCTTATAATTGTGATAACTAATATGTACACATAGACAGCCCCTAGCTTATATTGGTTTGAGTTATGATTTTTCAATTTTATGATGGTGTGAAAGCAATACACATTCAGTAGAGACGGTACTTAGAGTTCTCATACAGCCATTTTGTTTTTTCCTTTCAGTATAGTATTCAATAAATTATATGAGATATTCAATAACTTTATTATAAAATGGGCTTTGTGTTAGATGATTTTGCCCAACTGTAGGCTGATGTAAATGTCTGAGCACATTTAAGGTGGGCTAGGCTAAGTTACGATGTTCTGTAGGTTGGGTATATTAAATGCACTTTCAAGTTACGATATTTTCAACTTACGATGGGTTTATTGGGACATAACCCCATCGTAAGTTGAAGAGTATCTCTATTTAAACAAATGTATATTGAATAATAAGAAAGACTCAGCTAGTCAATGATGACGCAAAGATTAATAAGAGTGGTCTTTGCCCCTTCAGTGGAGTTTATATGCAGTAGAAGAAATCAGTGTATTCCTACTAATCCAAGGACACTTAGACACACAAGGACACAAAGAGCAACTATGTAAAATTCCATGTAAGAAATTCCTTCAAAATCTAAGAGCCAAGAAAATTTTTTTTTCTTTTTACATCCTTGAGTCCTCTTTTTCTCACTCCACATTCAATCTATGAGCATATGCTGTTGGTCCTATCTTTAAAATTGATTCAAAATTCAACCCCTTCTCTCCATCTCTATTATGCAGCCCTAGGCCAATCCATTATCACTTCTTGCTTGGATAATTGCAATGGCCTCCTTATTGGTCTTCCTGCTTCTGTTCTTACCTCCTTACAGTCTGTTCTCAACCCAGAAGCTGGAGCAATTCGTTGAAAGTTTAACTTAAATTATATCACTCCTGTGCCCCAAATATTTCAGTCGCTTCCCATTTTATTTAGAGTGAAAGCCAATATTGCTAAAAATGGCCTACAAGGTTATCTTTCCACCCTCTTTTCCATTAACTCCCTGTTTCTCATCTCAACGGCACTCCATCGTTTTGGAACAAACCAGCAGTCTTCCTACCTCATGGCTTGGCACTAGGTTTTCTCTGCATGGAAAGCCTTTCCCATGGATATCTTTATGGATTACTCCCCCACCGTTTCAGGTTTTTGTCAAATGTCACTTTCTTCGTGAGGCCTTCCCTAGCAGACTTCATTAAAACTGCAACACTCTCATCCTGGTCTCTGCTTTATTTTTCTCCAAAGAATTATTGCCATCTGAAAAATTATATAGTCTATTTATTTATTTGTATTCAGAATACAAGCTCCACAAGACCAGGAATTTGATCTTTTTATCCCCAACCACTGAAACATTTGCCTGACACATAGTGGGTACTCAATTTGTATTTGTCGAATGAAAGAAAAGATAATCTATTCACTCTGCCATTATCCCCCATGTTCTTCCCTTTTCCTCTGTTTTCCTTTGCTTCACTATCAAAATACTTTTACAATGTTTATTGGTCAGCCTGACAACATGTATGTTTTCACCAACCTTGGTGTGTTTAAGTGGTGTTCACTGAAATCACATCCTACTCTGATACATAGTAGGTTAGACAATTTTTTTTTTTTTTTCCTAAGACAAGGTCTCACTCTTTCTCCCAGGCTGGAGTGTAGTGGTGTGATCTTGGCTCAATGCAACCTCCACCTCCCAGGCCCAAGCAGTCCTCCCGCCTCAGCCTCCCCAATAGTTGGGACCACAGGTGCACATCACCACACCCAGCTTATTTTTTTTTATTTTTTGTAGAGATGAAGTTTTGCCATGTTGCCCAGGCTGGTCTTGAACTCCGGGCCTCAAGCAATCTGCCTGCCTTGACCCCCCAAAGTACAGGGATTATAGGCATGAACCACCATGCCCAGCTTCAGACAGTTTTTTTTTTTTTTAATCTGAGACCAGCTTAAAACTGACATTCGGTCTTTACAGTGGTCTGAAAAACTCAGTTTAGGGAGTTGGACAAGGCAGATGTATGACAGAGACACTAATGTACTTTCCCATCTCTGCAAACTAACATATTTAAACCCAGAATTCACTTCTCATAAAGTGAGGAAATCTAATGTAATGTCAGGATTTTGGAAAGGATACATAATTCTTTGATAAGTAATATATGTATTTATGCAGGCTGGAATAAAAAAGAATCATTGAACCAGGGACTTTAGGTTCTCAGCGAATGTTACAGTTGTAAGGTTCTTTTTCTTCCTCATCTTTAATTTTAAAATTTAATAGGGGGATTGTCAGGGGAACCTAACATTCTACTCAAAGGGTTGGTTCCCACCAAATACAGCACCACTGAAAACCAGAGCAGTGGATCAGGTTCCTGTTAAATATATGTTAGTTCTAAATATGCCCCTTGTTTTTGACATTTTTGGAAGTCACATGATAGGAATCATTTCTACATACTCAATCAAATTTTTGTCTGTTTTCAAAATAAAAATAAATAAGAAGGGGCAAGGGATAAATGCTTATCCTCGCTGCTGCTGCTGCTTAAGACATTTGTTTAAAAAATTCTTCACTTGAACTGACTTTTCCACCAACTTGTTCATCTCATAGGAAGGAAAGCAGATGCAACCTATAAATAAGGCTTGCATTACCATTTCAGGAGTTACAGGGCAGGAGAGCCTCTTCCCAGAAAGGTCAAGGGCCACAGCTAGCTTGCTCCCTTTGTGAGTCAGACAATACCTACGTGTTGCTCTTCTGAATTCAGTAAGCAGAGTTATATAAAACGAATGCCCCTGTGTACAGCTGCTTGAAAATGCTAGCACAATTCAAATTTTTAGTCTCTAATGTTATCTACCATTGATGGGCAATCATTTTTATTATTTGTGTTTTTCCACTTGATTTTCAGGGATTCAGAGTTTCTAAATAAAAAGTGCTCCACCATCTTTAAAATTTTCACAAACAATTGAGCATTTGCAACATTTTCTATAACCTTATTTATTCCTGAATTTACTTAAGTTTCACGTCTTCAGATTACATGGGAAATTATCTGGTGTTTAGAAAGCTATTATTTGCTGTAATCTAATAATAGAAAAATTATGTGCCTTCCCATCATTAATTTAATGTAATAGATATCTACTAAGTATTACAAGGGTAGAGGCACTCTGCTAGAAATTTTTTTAAAGTGTGGCACCATGATAAAGATACACAATACCATTAATCCTTAGGGAAATGGAAATTAAAACCCACGAGAAGGTACTACTACGTACCCACTAGAACAGCTGTAATCCAAGAGAGACACATTACCAAGTACCAAGAATGCAAGGGAAACTGGAACCTTACATACATACTGGTGGGAATGTGAAATGGTACAACCACTTTGGGAAAACACTTTAGCAGTTTTTTTAATAAAGTTAAACGTAACACTTACCATGTGACCCAGAAAGTCCACTCATAGGCAATTACCCACATGAAATGAAAACATATGTCCACACAAAGACATGTATGCGAAAGTTCACAGCAGCATTATCTGTAATAGCCCCAAGGCGGAAACCACCCAGATGTCCATCAGCAGAATGAAACATTATACAGCATTGAGAAATGATACCAGTATACATAACACTACCAGTATACATAACAACGTGGATGGATCTCACATGCATAATGGGCAGCTAAAAACCCAGAAGAATGTTTGGTGTTTGACTCTATATAAAGTTCAAAACAGGAATGGTAATGTGTGTGATTGGAAGTCAAGATAATGATTATCCTTGTTGGGAGAATAGAAGTGACTGAAGTGGGGATGAAAGACCGCAGGCGTGCTGGGCTTGCTCTGTTTCTCAGCCTGGAAACTGTCACACAGCTGTGTGAACTTTACTAAAATTCATCAAGGTGTACCCTTCAGACATGTGCAACTTTCTACAGTTAGTTATGCTTCCAGAAAGTTAATTAAAACTATGAAAAATGAGTGACACTTGATTTTCAGACATTCAGAGGTCCTAGATAAAACACACTCCATATTCACTGCTTCAAGGATTTTACAATCTAATGGGGAAGACAAACATGTTGATAAATAATTTTAACATGAAACAAACTCTGGTAAGTGCTACATTAGAAATATAAAATAAGTACAATGAAGAAAAGGAAAATGTTTACAAAATATTGCAAAAAAAGAACTATCTGGAAAAATGTTTTAGAGTGTGGTCAGTGTACAGTTTACTATAGATAATAGGAAGAATATAATAATGTATAAAAATGGATGGAAAGGACATTAATTAGAAGTAAAGAGATTTAAAAGTATTGGATTATATACAAAGTAACTACCGTTTGAGAGACCAAACTGTTTTAAAGTGTCAGAACACATTAGCTATTTATATCCTTAAAAGGGAGCTCTTTTGTTTTCACTTGACTGACTTTGCCCAAGCTGTAGGTTATTCTGTTCCAGTGGTTCTCAGCCCTAGCTGCACATCAGGATCACAGAAACTTTTATAGCTTCTCCGGAATCAGATTCTCCAGGGGTGGGACTCAGGCGTCTGTACTTTGAATAGGCACCTGTGATTCTCCTGAACAGCCTGAGTTAGGAACCATCCCTGTAGTCCCTGCGGGGTGGAGGGAGCCTTCGCAGGGACCATGAATGCAACAAATGATTCTGAAAGTGTCATTTCTTTGTTTTTGGAGCTTCTGTGGCTTCTACAAAGAAGAGCACGTTTCATATTTATCTCTTTGTAACCGTGCCAAGAAATTTCTTTGCAAATGGCTTTTATCGAAGTATTACATGAAAGATGTTAATCCTACTGTTAAATTTTAACCCTAATTCTTTCAAGCACTAGGGCTTTTCTTCTGATTTTATTACAGGTACATAGATCCATAGCAGAAGATAGAACTGGAAAGGACAAAACGGCACATGCAGGTCGCTTGTTAATGCGCTTGTATGACTAATCTTCCTTCTATTGAGGAGGAAATGTATTTTTAGTTCTCACATTTATATATCCGAGGTTCCATTGTGAAAATGTTGTCACTTAGAAAATTGTAGTCCTCTACTTAATTCATTCACTTTGTTATCTATTCTTAGCTTATCCATACTTTTTTTACTCCTTGTTTTGAAATCATTTTAGAATTACAGAAAAGTTACAAAAATAGTAGAGTTCACGTATGCTCTTCACCCAGCTACCTCTAACTTTAACAACCTCTACAACCACAATACGCTTATCAAAACCAGGAAATTAACACTGAAACAATTAAATTAAGTGAACTACAGGTCTTATTTAAATTTAACTAGTTTTCCCTGATTTGTCTGTTCTAGTATCTAACTCAGGACCCCACATGGTGTTTAGTTGTCATGTCACCCTAGTTTCCTCCAATTTGTAACAGTTCCTTGTTCCTTTTTTTTTTTTTGTATTTCATTACCTTGACCCTTTTGATGAGGACTAGTGAAATAATTTGTAGAATGTTTTTCACTTTGGATTTGTGTGATGTTTTCTTCTAAGTACATTGAAGTTATTCATCTTGGCAAGAATATTGTAGAAGTGATCAGGGAGTATATATAATGTTAATATGTTTATATTTATCTGATTATTTGTATCAGTATGGACTTGTGGATACTTACTTTATGAACTATAATCCATACTATCATTATTTATTTTGATGCTCAGATTGTTCCAGCTTTGGTCACTGGCAGCTTCTTCTGATTGGATCCTGTGTCCTTTTGAAATGCCCCCATTGTTTTAAAAGCTTTTCTTTTTCTGATACCACTAGATGTTCCAGACTCATCTTGTACTTTCCCTGCTCCAGTCCTGGAATCAGCCATTTCTCTACGAAATGGCTGATTTCTCTATGAAGCTCTGATTCCTTTCACTGGAGAATGATATTTAGAAACCAAGATCTGAGTGCTGCTAGGGTGCCGTTGCCCTCAGTTCCTCCCAGCAGAAAGAGCTAAGAAATAGATGTATGTATACTAAACCAGGAATACACATACACAATACTTATTACTCACTTCTGTAGCTATCTATGTATCTGTGTATGTGTGTGCCTCTCCTATTTTCTTATTTGTAACTTGTTTCACTAACAATGAAAACACTAGCTGTCATTATTTACAATCCTAGATTACACAGAGTAGTTACTGAATTCCTAACTCATACTCCTGTGACAAATTTACTTGCTATAGTACAGTATTTGTTTGCTTACAGTTCTTTTTGGTTTTCCTCTTATACAGTCAACATCATGTTTCCAAAGTGACTTAAATTCATTTTTAATTCCTATCCCCTTTGGCATAGTTATATTATTCATCTGGGTTATGCTGTTTATTTGGGTTCATTTGTTACTGTTTGTATTCCTCTTCAGATTCTTACACATTTTTTTTTTATTTTGGGAAGTGTGTAAAGCATTATTATGGTTCAGAGAGTCAAAGCTATATAAAAAGAGCTATTACAAGAAGTATCTTTTCTTCTCTCTCTTCTTCCTCACAACCCCACCCCCACATCTCGTGCCTGCTTCTTTATTTTTTACCAACCTTTATAGTTACACAGTATTTTGTGGTTTCTGGTTTATGCTTCTCCTGTTACTTGTGCACAGATGAGCAGATTAATATGTATTTTATTATATTCCCTTGTGCTTTTTACGAAGGGTGGTAGCACATCATATAAACTCTTTTGGCCTCTGCTTTTGTTTTACTTAATGATTTGAAAATCATTCCAAATTAATTCCTAGGGATTTTCCTTATTCATATTTTTAGAGTGGCATAGTATTATTCAGTTGTGTGGTTATAGCATAGTTATTCGAGCACTCTCCTATGTATGGATATTTAGGCTGTTACCATCATTTTGCAATTACAATCAGTGCTCCAATAAATAAACTTGTATATACGGAAGTAATTTTGTACTATTAGAGGTATATTGTCAGAGTAGATTCCTAGAAATGGAATTTCTTGGTCAAAATTAAGTGCATGTGTGCTTAAGTCTTTTAATCACTCTGTCATTTGTATGTCTATGGGAATGACTATTAGGGGGTTAGTGTATACCCTTCATCAACACACAAGTTACTGAACTACAGCTTTTAATTTGTGTACCTTTTTTAAAATTTAACTTTCTTCATTAGTTGCACTTAGCACATTAAAAAGTATATTAAAATTGCATTGGAGTTAGGAATTAGTCTTGCATAATTTATCCCTTTTCAAGGTTCAATAAATACCATTGTAATGTGTCAACAGCCTCTAATGAAGGTAGTAATGATACATTACATTTACAGCCCTATCAGCCCAGGTACAGACTAGAAGTTTATGATCACTGATAGAGAGTAGGCAGTTCAAGACTCTAGCAGTGACATAATGACTAAGTATTTATATAATGCTATCATTTGCCCAGAGTTTTTTATTTTTCGAAATTCTTTCAAGTCTTTTCATTTTATAGCAACTACACAACTGTAGGATGGATTGGGGAAATATCAAATAAATCATGACATTTATGTAGTGCAAAGTCCCTTACATCTGTCATCTCACTTGAGCCACAGACCAATCTCATGAAGTAGACAGGACAAATAATCAACCTCCCCATTGTCCAGGTAAGGACGCTGAGACTCAGAAAAGTTAAATGTGATCCCGATGTCAAACATCTACTAGGTAGTAAGGCTAGAACCGAACTTGAGACTAGACCACATTACAGGTTTTATAGCTAGCTTGTGAAACAACAATGAAAAACTGTCCAAGGACATGATATAGTCAAAGAGAGGCAAATTACGTGCTGTATATTTTGGAATCAAAAGGTTCCCTCAGGCCTCTTGGACATAGGGTACATACTTGGCTACCTGAGTGGTAAAGAGAAATCCGTTCTGACCATATGCAGGGCTCTACTCCCACCCTAGGTGCTGCTGTTGCAACAGAATAAGCACTGGCCTTGGAGCCAAATAACCTCAATTTGCACCCTGGTTCTGCCACTTTATTAGATTTTTGGGCCTTGGTGAGCTGTTGAACCTCTGTTTTCTTACCTCTGAAATGGTTATTGTTCTGCAGAGCTGTTGGAAGAATTAAGAGTAACTTCATCAGAGAGACCCTCCCTGAAGCCCCCAGCTAAATGTTGTTCTGTCCTACAGTGGTCAGTCCATTTCCTTCAGAGCACTTGTCACAATTTAGAGTTATGTTTACTTTCATGTTTATTTGTTTCACATCTGTCTCTTCTGCTAGACTATAAACTTCGTAACATCAAGGACTCTGCTTGGTTTTGTTACTCTGTGTCTCTTATACCTACCCCAGTGCCATTAATCACTGAATAAATCTCTCTGAAATGAGTCTTCCCACTTTCTTGTACTTGTTTTTACTTCAGCCACGTAGAATACCTGCGGCTCACTTGTCCTTTCTCATCTCTACTTTCACACATGCTGTTTCCTTTGCCCAGCATACCTATCCTTGCTCCTTTGTTTATCTGGAAAACCATTACTCATCCTTCAAGACCTAACTCAGCTGTTCTGTGAGGGCTTCTGATGTATCCACATTTCCCTGAAGCGTGAGGGGGCTCTTACACCCCCTTAGCGTGCCTCTGTTACAGTTGTTGCTGTATTCAATGGATATGTTTAAGAACCTTCTCTGTACGAGGCATGTGCTAGGTGCTGGGCATTGACAGCAGTGAATAGGAGCTGTCGTTCTAATGAGGGAGTGGGCCACAAAGAAGTAAACAAATAATAACATTCCCAATAGCAATAAATGCTAGGGTGATCAGTTCTGAGAAGTTGACCTTTGACCTGAGATCTGAAAGCTAAGGAGTTGGGAAAGGGAAGAGATGGGGGGTAAGCCTTGGATTGTGACTGTTTACTGGGCTGTTCCTTATTTCTACCCCACGTCGCACCCACCCCCCACCTCCACTCAACTGGCCTCTGAGCTCCATGAATCTTATATTCCCAGTAGCCAACACAGGCCCAATATGTCACACTGCAGTTCCACCACTGGTGGCATGGCCTATCAGAACTACCAGGTGCCTTGCCCCATGATTCTGCTGGGAGCTGGCTCCCAACTTAAAATCCACTCCCCCACTTACTATCTTGTGACACTAGGAAAGTTATTCAATCTCTCTGTGACTCCGTTTCCTGATTATTAAAGTGGAAATAACAATAAGACTTAATAGGGTTGCAGTTAGTAATAAATCTGACAATACACCTGAAATTCTTAGCCAAGGGCCTGGCACATAGAACGTAGTCAGTAGATGTTGGCAAAAATGCTCTAGAGCTCACGAGGTGCTTATTAAATAAACGAATGAGTTAAGAAATAAAAAAGTTTCATTCTAACTTCAGTAAATAGTAGTAAGTCAAAAGAAAAGCCTTCAAACATCAGTGATTTTACCACCCAGAATCAATAGCTATTGACTCTTTATCTGCTTATAAAGCAGGCTGTGATAGTCCAGGGCTTTTCTGGATAGCACTGGGCTTTCGTGTTCTAGCCTCAGACCTCAATGAAACAACTGCACAAAATCTACCAACCTCAGGCCATCCTGCAAGTGGTGCTTTGTCATCTTTGGAAATCATAGTTTGAGCACTTTGTATTAAAAGGGATTTATTTTATGTATCCCCTACTTCATTTTTCTTAGCAGATCTTCAGGATATCATAACCAATGAAAGTCATGATGATACCAGAGAGAACAATTTTCTTAGGTCAGAGACACCAAAATTAACCTGGGATGTTGCTCCTTCTATACAAAAATAGTATTCAGACCATTTCTGCAAACTTTTAGTAGTTGGCAAATCCCCCAAACCCCTTGGAAAACTTTAAATATCAAAACAGCATGCACAAAGATGAAAACATTAACAAACTGGTACATAGAGAACTTTTTTTAAAAAAATTGTCTCTCTATTGTATTTTCACTGGAAAACACTGGGATCATGATTGTTGTTTTTATAAACATTAAATATCTGGCTACTTGGGAGTGCTTTCCTACTGGAATGTACGGACATGAGTTTTCTAGTAAAAAAAAAAAATACTGAGGTAATTAGCAAAGAAAGATTTTGCCAAATATTCTCTTCTGTGAGCTGTAGGAGTAAACATTTGTTAACATGAGTACTTAACTCTAAATTATCCATCTAGTCAACACATTTTGGGAACTATCATTCACCTTTATTGTCACAGAAATCAACTTATGCTATCTTAGAATGAGGAAATTATCAGAAAACCATTTCTCTTTTCTTTTTGATATTTGTGGCACTGTTTTCAGGGTTTTGATTCACAAACCAGTGCACCATAAACTGGTGCTGGGGTATTGAAATTTGTTTTCTGGGCTCCTTAAATATAAAGGTGGGCACATTTATCAAAGTCGGTAGAAAAGAGCCACATTCACCACTTGGTCGCTGTGATGGGGTGATGGGTTATGGGACTTTGCAGTGATTAGTAGTGCACATCATAGATTATGGGATAAGTGTCTGCACTTTAGTGGTGGTACAATGCTAAACAGCCGAGAAGACTACAGATACTCTCATAGTTTACAGACGACAGGCTTCATTTTGTATGTTAATAGAAGGAAGACTTCTGATAGGATGAGGAAATTCACCATAACAAATGCATTCTGTTTACTGCACTCTAGCATGGCACCAATTAAAATCAGCAGTATGTATGATGTACTCTTAATTCCTAACAGTCCCAAGAAGCGCTAATGTGAAAAATATTTTATACTTTTACATTTTACAGGTCATGAACAGATGGAAAAAATTATGCCAATTGGTAAAGACATTCACTTGCAGTATAACACTCCTCAAAATGGTGTTTACGTGGGTTCTTCTTTAAAAAAAAATTAAAGTTATCTTGGGTAAAATTAAGTTAGTACTTGGGTTTTTTTAAATGTTGTATCTGTAATACATTTTAATTTATTCCTTCTGCAGAGCTGAATGTTTGAAAGTACAGGTAACCTTGTAATGAATAAAACTGATAAAAGGTTGTGTTCAATGAAAGGGAAATTATGGAATGATTATTCACTTTGCAAATGGGTTTGTCATAGGGAAGCTTTCCTAAAGCATTTCAAATTTAGTTTAGTTTATAAAACGTTCATTTACACACAAAATTTCAGGAACAAATTTAGTGAGGAAATGAGATGAATAGTCATAATAAGATAGAGCTCCCTTACACTGCTAACATTAATGCTTTCTCTGCGTCCCTTCTTGCAGCACTGATAGCCATTGGGCGATACAGCATGACAATAGAGACTGTGGATGTCGGATGGTGTAAAGAAATCACAGACCAAGGAGCCACCCTGATTGCACAGAGCAGCAAGTCTCTGAGATATTTGGGGCTGATGAGATGTGATAAAGTAAGAGTTGACTATCAAGTTGTTTGCTTTCTACATATCAGTATAGTTAATAGCTTGATGTCATATCCTCTCTCCTTCTCTATCTCCACCCCCGTGTATTATATATTATATATACATTTTATATGTATATATGCAATTATAGCTATGCATTGTTTGCCTGCTTTTGTAAACTAATCTGAGATTATCTTTGTATTTCCCCACTTAATAATGAATTTTGTGCTTAAGTAGAAAGAAAAAGTAATCATATACATAGTCAACTAGAGTTTGGCATCCTATTCATAAGTCCATGGACCAAAATGTAAAAGATTACATGACAAACTGCAATTTGCAGGGTCTAACCGTAAAATTGTATTCTGGGTTTCAAGTTTCCAGCAACAGTAAAGGTGGAAAGAACAGTGCCAAATTGGTTTTTCACAAGTGTGTAATTTTGGTACTGAACATCTATGTATTCTGGCCATTCGGGACCAACAAAGGGCCAGTAAGGGGGTATGTGGGAATTTGCATCTCCCCATACATCAGATGCCACTCCCAGCACATGATAAGAAGTGGTTCCAGAGGTCCTGGTGGAAGGCCTGTAGAACCAGCCAGGGATGTGAGCATGAGTTTAGGAAATGGTGTAGCATTTAACGTGGGACCCTTTGAAGACTGAGAAAACAGATAATAAAAATCTATACTGACACCTGTAATCCCAGCACATTGGGAGGCCAAGGCAGAAGGATCACTTGAGCCCAGGAATTTGAGACCAGCCTGGACAACATGGGAAAACCCTGTCTCTATCCCCCTCTCCCCCAACAAAAAAAAATTAGCCAGGCATAATGGCACACACCTGTAGTCCCAGCTACTCGGGAAGCTAAGGTGGGAGGATCACCTGAGCTCAAGAGGCCGAGGTTGCAGTGAGCCGTGATTGTGCCGCAACCACCTCAGCCTGGATGACGGAGCACGACTGTGTCCCAAACAAACAAAAAAAACCTATACTGGACACCAGGCACTCCACAGGTGTTTTCTTCTTTGTTTATTCCATGTTTTACCTATAACAAGTCTAAGAAATAGTTATTTGCATTGTGAAGGGGAGAAAATGGAGGCTCAGAAAGACCAGTCAGTGGCCCCAGGATACTCTGGCAAGACTTCATGCCGGGTCTTTGGAGTCTGTATCCAGTGCTGCTGGCACAACCCAGGGGGCAGTCTGTGGCCACGGGGACTGCTTCCCTTGGAAAAGGTCCAGTTCAGATACTTGCTCAGAAAGTGCCGCCATCTTGTACTAATTTACACATGTGTGCTACTTTTGTAAATGGTGATTAGGAACAAATCTAGCAAAATAATGTGAAACTAAATAGACACGCCATTCAAAGGGCATGCATCTTCTAAATGTAGCAAATGTGGGGGCAAATGAAGTATGGCCCAAAGCTCTTGTGTCCTTTGTGATTTTTTGTTAATTGGCTAATTCTTTTCTCCAAACACTTTAGAATCCCAACTTATACGAGACCTTTGCCAGCTAGTTATGTTTAGAGAAATGTTATTATATATTCTCAGCCCAGCCCAGAAGCGACTTACTTTGTAACTAAGCAACAGCACTGAGATCCGGGGCTTGCGAGTCTCCCACAAATCTTTCCACTAACCAACCTAATGCCGCTGCTAACCCTGCCACTTTAAAATGACTTCTTTTAAGACAAGTTAAAGGGTCCACCATAGGCATAGTCCTCTAGAAACAGGAATCAATGACAGCAGAACTCCTCAGCTTCCAGCAGAAGGAACTGCCACATGAATGCTAACTAAAGCTACCAAAATGTACACATTCATACATATGTGTCCGCAGCCATTCTCAGAAATTGTCATATTTCTAACCTGTAATCTTTAGATGGTTAAGATCAGCTCCATCTTCGGAGATACACTGTAGAAGTTGTATGTTACAGTTACTACAGGAGAATGTTATTCCAGACATATTTGCTGACCAGCATTTTGCTGATTTTTAGTTAAGAAATGGGTTATTTTCTACCCAAATGCAAATTAGTCCAAAATTAAATAGAGACAGTATTCAGATTAGCTGTATCCCTGAGGGTTTTAGCCCTTTTCCTGGGCTGCCTCTGAATCCTTTCTCTAACCAGAGAGCCACTCTGAGAACCCATTGGCTCCAGCACGACGCCGTCTGGTCAGAGCCTGCTGCAGTGCAGCCCAGGGAGATGCTGGACCCAGCCTTGCTGTCTGGCTTCCTCAGACTTAAAGCAGCTCAGAGCCAAACACGAGAGGCTCTGTGAGGATGGAAGACAGTTCCAAACCACACACAAAGCACAAGTAAAGCCTTGCACAGAAAAGCCTGCTTGTTGGTTTAGTTGGATGGAAATCTAAAGTAGCTATTCAGTTTTCAGATTTTGTATCATGCCATCCATCTCCAGATTTTAAGTTACCATCAAGATTCAAAGGAAGATATGAGTAACAAAGAAAAGAAATTAGTAGCAACGGTATGGTCTGCGGAGAGCCAGAGTTCAGGTTCAGATCTGGGCTTTGCACTTACTAGTTGTGTCACCGCGGGCAGTTACTAACCTCTCAGTGCCTGTTCCCTCGTTTGCAAAATGAGGATGATACTAGTACCTATCTTGTAGAATTGTGAGCATGTGAATGAGTTAACATACATAAAGCACTTAGAATAATGTCTATTATATATAAAATGCTCTGTTACTGATTAGTCTTATCATCCATATCATTATATTAACCTGTGTTGTGATACTGGAATTTTCCAATGAGAAAAAAAAATTATATTGCCTACTATCCCATTTTGAAAGACAATTAAAAAGAAAGGAAAAAAATAAATTCAGACTAGAGAATGCTTTGCCTTTGTGCTTTTTCCTCACCTAAATTTAAAATTAAGATTATTTTTTATACAAATATGTCAGTAATTACACTTTCTACACACTTTGCAATGGAAAAACTAATGCCTCCGTAGGACACTTAGTATTTGGTATGAATTTATTAACCATCTTACTCCAGCACAGGGATGCAGAAAGATTTGCAGTGGGAGAAAAGGGTGAGTTGAAGATAAGACTGTTCAAGTACTTAGGGTAACAGAAAGTAACAAAATAATAGTGAAAAATAAGAATAGAGACAGGAAACAGAAAAACTATGATTAGGGAACGGAGAAGAAGATACACCATCTCCTGGCAGTCTGTGATCATCTGTGCCAGCAAAGCATTAAAGAACAAAATTAATTTGGCCCTGTCACTTTTCTCCCTACCTTAACCAAATCTGCTAACCACCAAGAAAACCCATTAGAGTTCTCCTCTTGTTTCTGCACACCAGTGGAGCCAGTGGAGGAGGCAGGGAACCTCAGCATCTACTCAACAAACCCCTTGGTCAGGAATGGTGTCAGTAGGATCCCTGCACTAGAGAGAGATGTGGTTTGTGAAGTCTGTGTGTCCTTGCGCTGGCATTCCGTGATCCTGTGGTTCTGAGAAAGAACATTCTAGTTGCATGTTCTTTCACAGTCAGTTTTATTGAGGGCCACTTATATTTAATTTGGAGGCTATACTTTACCAAACTGATGCTTTTTTCCTCATTTCACCTTTTGAGGAATTGTAAGAATAACAAAATGCATTGTATTTGTTGTAGGAAAACAGTGTTTCCCCCCACGACCCCCACCCGCCGTCTCTCTTGGTTAGGTTAGCAGAGAACAAATGGGAAAAGTTAAACGTATTCGTTGCAGATGAAAGCAACATGTACTTGGATTGTCAAACAAGGGCTAAGCTAAACTGCAGTAAATATGTTTGGCTGCAACATTGGTGATTCCTGGGGAGGAGTCCTCCAGTCGTGCAACAATGCAGCATTCCCCAGGCAGTTGTAAAGTCAGGAAGTGCATTAAGAAGCCCCTGTTTGAGTAGCTTTTCTGATTCCTGGATGGATAAGCATGTTGGAGGGTTTTGGAGCTGACGCCACTTAATCTCCTAAACTTTAGTGCATTGTAAGAACCAAGAGAAGAAAACGCTGTGTGAGACGGCTTTGATGAATTGGGGTGAGCTTATATTCTTAAAGACTGTTCAAAGGCTTACTTGACCTTGGGAATTAGAGTTGACCCGAAATCACCTATCAACTTAACTCACATTTATCTGGTGATTTACTTAAAAATACTTGTGTAATCAACGGGACACTCTAATAAGAGCAGTATGTTCCCTCTGTTTTCCGCAATTATAAACAGCGGCTTTGGTCGTAGAAATTATTTTTGTGACTTCAGTGAATTCTAGATTCTCTATAGATCTGTTTCTTATAATTGTATTATATTTTCTTTTTCTTATAAGGCAGTTTGGATGGAGAACAAAACTAAAAAGGACCAAAAAAAATCATGATAAAGCTGTAGGGCAAATGGAAATGCAGTGTTCAAGGTTAATGAAAAATGTTTGGGGTGACAAGGTTGATGAGAAGGGAGGAGGCACTGTGGCCTGGCACTGGCGGAAAAAACAGCCCTCACTGGAGGCAGGCTGGCTGTTTGCGAGGCCTCGGTGATAAAAGTGTCGTGGTGGAAACCTCTGCAGTGTGTGTTAATACAGAAGTTTGGAGATGCAGGCCTGAATTATGAGCAGTGAATAACATCATAAACGTAGCAATTCTCAAATGCCAAACCCTTGTGAAAAGCAGTTGGATGGAGAAATGCTGGAGCTTTTAAAAGCTCCCTTTCACTTTCTATTTTTTTTTAACTTCATGCAGAACTAATTTTATACACTGTTCATTTGATTTGAAAATGCCAGCGTCTGGGGTATCATTAAAGAGCGTTATTGAGGGAGCCACTCTTGGCAAAGCATTTTGCTTAAAATGCTTGGTTCTTATGTCCCTGCATAGTTATAGATGGGAAAGAGAAAGTGTGCCTCGGTTTACCTAACCCCACGCCTCTGCCATGGCCCGGAGCAGATGGCTACCCTTCTCCTGGGAGGTTTTTTCTTCTTGGCCAGTAGAGGCGCCTGGAGGGCTGTGAGGGCCACGTTACTTAAGGAACAGACATAAATAGATTGTGAAAGGTCCACCCTAATGTCCTATGACCAAAGCCTCTTGGAATTTCTTTGATTTCTAGTTGACATAAATTAGAATTACACAGGCGTGAAGAGCCCGCCCAGAAAAGATGAGAGAGGCTGCTGGGGAGGAGAGCCGCCTCTGTGTGAGCCTATTGATTATCCAGCTGCCTTCAGGCCAGGGACCTCTGTGGAGGCCGACTGCTATTGATCCACACCATGAAAATAATCGAATTAATTCATTTCTCATCAAACTGACATTGCCAAGACCTTTCTCCTTACCTGCCCCAATTCCTGAAGTTCTTAGTTGAGGAGTGAAATAGTGATTTCTTTTAGTAAATGTTGCTGTATTCTACAGGACATAAGAAATCGTGGTTTTCACATGGAGTTCCACATTTTTAAATGGGAGAGAGATTTTTTAAAATCAAATCCATAAGAAGCCAATACAGAAAGCAAGTAATAGAAACCAATCAGCTCTTTCGAGCCAGGAGTCTGCTTTACCACCTGAAAATACCTAGGGCCAAGTTTTGGGTGCCCAATTTAATGTAAAAATATTCAGGAAAAATTGACCACTGCATATTTCAGGAAGTAATTATGGTAAGAGAAAGCCTCAACAACCTAAATATTTCTGTGGAGAAAATGGAGTTTTTATCAGCTTGTTTAGGAATCATGAGCAGGAAAGCCCTATGGGGAAAATAATATAGGACTCTGTAACTAATGTACAGAACTAACTGGAAAAATCAGTTTCAGAGAAAAATAATTTGAGGGCACTGTGTCCAGGACTGTTTTGGTAGCAATTCAGCCATGAAACAAAGCATATACCTGCAGGGACTCTCCTCTTCCCTGCCTTGTCTGCACAGCTGTTTCCAGGTTGCCCATAGCCAAAATGTAAGATTTAAAATTGATGCCATATCAAAGAAAATAAAGTAAAAAAAAAAAAAGAGAGAGAGAGAGAAAGAAAGAAAAGAAAACATTCTATCCAAATAAGGCAGGAGTGTCAGACTGTGCAGTCCTCTGTTGTGGGTGACATAACCCTTACTCAGACAGCCCACATGACATGTGCCCCAAAAGAAAGGGGCAATGAGAAATGGTGAGAGTGCAGCTGGGGCTCTAAAATCTGAACTTAAGTCCTTCACTTGAAGCATCAGCATCTTGTTCCTTTTGCTGATGAAACAGTTTCTCCAGGTGATTTTCACATAGGAGCACTTTAAAACACATTTTACAACCCTCTCCTGATTATTCCTGGTAATTGAAACAGGGAAAAACACATCAGCTGAAATTCAGAGGTTACCTTTCAACCTCATTTTAGTTAAGTGTTCCCATCTCCTCCTCTTCCAACCCTGTTCACCTGAACTTCTAAGAAGTGGTAACTAAAAGTCCTTTCCGGTATTTAAATATGAAACCAAGAAACACTGATGTGGAACTTTATAAAAGAGGTGAAATGGTTGAGCACTAGTGTCAAGTTGCTAGGTTTTCAAATTCTACCTCCATCATTTTACTGTCTCTGGGACCTTGGGCAGCTTAATCTCTAAAAGCCTCAAATTCACCAACTGAAAAATGGGGATGATAATGACATTTATCTCATAGGGTTGTTACAAAATTAAATGAAATATTGTGATAAAGCCCTTAGCCCGAAGTCAGGCACACTATAAGCACTCAATAAGTGTTAACTACTATTAGCATTATCATTATATTTATTCACATATACATACCTGCTCTGGAATCTTGTATCTGGTATATTAATCACCTGTCCAACAGGTTCATAATATTCTAGCCATGAATATAAATTCACAAGCTCAGATCTTCATAGAAAAACTAGCCTCCTGAGACTAAGGCAGCAATTCTTGAAAATGTTAGAATTTTTTTTTTTTAATCATTAGGACTCACTAAATTACAGCCAGACTTGCAGAGAAAGAAGAAACCTGGAACCGGTAGAAGTCAGTCCTTTCTTTTGAGCAGAGAGTGAAGACCTGCCAAGTCAAACAGCCAGTCAATGTCCAGGCTGAGATTTGTTTGGTTTGTTTTTTCAGGAAAATCAACATCTGTGTAGAACCTTTTAAGGGAACGTGCTGCAAGTAGCTGCTTATGTTTTGCTGGCCTCTGTTATGGGATTGATGGATAGTGAAATTGTTTGCTTTTAAAAGGGAGAAGGAGAGAGCCTACTGTTCCCCAAATACTGTAGGGTGAATAGATTGCTGTGTTGAAGTTTGCCTGAAGGCACCCTGGAGCGTCATTGCTTTGCAGTAAATAATCTCCTTGGAGCTTTGATTTGGTTTCAGTAATTATATGAGAGAATTAGATTGTAGGATCATATTATTTTTTGAATTTAAAAATAGAATAGGTAGCAGCAATTCCTCAACAGAGCTCAGATGAGATCCCAGAACTCTTAATCACCTGACTTCACCAAGTAGCAACAAGACCAGCCTGCAGTGACCAGGTGACTGAGGGACTACTGCAGGTGGAGAAGGAATGGCTCAGCCCACATGCCAGGCCTGGCCATCCAGCAGCAGCAGGTCTTCAGGGCCTACCATGCTGTGCCTAGAGAAAATCCTGTTCCTGTTTGCAAGGAATTTTTCAGAGAAAAACTAAGCCTCTCCTGCCTCCAATTTTTATCATATATTTTATTAATAGTTTATTTTTTCAAGAAATATCTATTGAGTGGCTTACTATATTCCAGTCACTGTGATAGGTGATAGGTCAGAAAAAACAGTGAACAAGATATACTCCCTACCCCATGGGGCCTGCAGCCTCTTGGGAGAGGACAAGCAAATGGGCAGCTACAGTACTGTAAAATTGCTGATTATTTATTTTTAAATGACAGCCAAGGTTATGCTTCTTCTGAACAAAGAGCCTCACTTTGATCCTACATCAGCTTTCAGCTGTGGTCCTCTAAGCCTCTCTTCTTGCCATTCTATTTAATTTCTGAAAAGGATTGTCCAGGAACAGTTTTCCTTACTTTCTTGCCACCTGTTATGATCTATTTCCATCCCCACCATGCCACTGATGCTGCTCTTTTCAAGGTCAGCAGTGGCCTCTGTGTCACCAAATGTTGTGGCCATTTTTCTCTTCTCACTTCCCCCATCTCTTGGCAGCAGCATCCATATGGTAACCACTCCGTCCTGCCAGAGAATGTTTGTCTCTTGTCTTCCATTTCACCAGACTGCCAGCTTTGCTGCTATCTCTGCATTCGCCATCGTCTCCCTGTGCCGCCATTCCCTCATCTGTAAAATGAAAATAATAGCATCTGTCTCACATTGAGAGAGTTGAGTGAATTAATCTGTGTAGTGTTCCTCCTATGAAGCAAGCAATAAACGTTAGCTCTTGTTGTGGTGGTGAATTTTTACCCTTCCTACCTTCGTCTCTTTCCTTCTCCTTACTAGAATATAAGATCTGTGGGTTTCTCCTTCTATGTTATATTACCAGGACCTACCACAGTGGCTGGTACATACTAGTTGCTAGACAAATATGTATTGCATGCTGGATGAATGGATAGATTGGATTGTGTTTCTCATCTGCATTCTCTTCAACCAGAGCAGCCCCATTCTTACTGCTTTATGTATTTGAAATCTACAGTTTTGGTTTGTGAAAGTATTATACAGCTAAAAGTAAATTTGAAAACCGTCAGATCCCACTGCCTCTTAATAATTTAATGGATTGTAAAAAGTACCTAGACAGAGGAAAATAAATAAGTAAGAAAGCTTCCCCCCTTGGATTTCATATGAATTCTATATAGCTGGGGGGTTGTGACGGCAGCTGCAAGCCCCTGGGGATCAGGACATTCAGATGAGCTCAGCATCTGCTGCATGGTTGAACTTGGCATCTTTCAGAGCCCAGCCCTGCAATGCCCTGATTTATGTACAGTTCATCTTCTGAAAACCAAGAATATCACCTATTTTCAGGTTTTTGAATCTACGGATTTACCGATCACATTAATGCAGAATAAATTTTTGCTGATCATAAATTTGTCTTAGGAAACGGGTCAAATTCCTAAATTCTGCATAATGGAAATGGCAATTTTAGAAAGATTTTTTTTCATCAAGTGTGCACTTGCTGATTACCACTACCTTATCCTTTATGTAAGAAAGTAATAACTGAAACCAAGAAAGCCATTATGCACAAAAGAAAACAGACTTTTAGTTCAGAGAGCTTTCCCCCTCAATTATGTTTTTCAGCTTAACTTCATGAGTTTAATTTAGAAATACCCAGATGTGTTCCATAAATACATTGCACTTACCACTTACTTAGTGACTATATTAATTATCTTATTAGGGCCTAGTTGTTGTTGTTTTTTTTTTTTTTCAAATTGCTGATCATTTGCCGAACCATTGGTAGCACTGCAGATGACTCCCCCAAGCAACTTTCTCCATCCTGGTGTCCCACATATGTATGTTCTGGTTCTCATCTGCACCACACGTGCATATGCATAGATTTGAGCATGGCCAAGTCCATGGCCAGTGGTTTGTGGCCTTAGAGCGGCCAACACATGGTTGTGTACCTGGAGCTTGCATGCACTTGGCTGGAAACATCTTTCTCAGTGGAGGATAGCTTGGTGATACAGGGAATGAAAATGTCACTAATTTTTCTCTCTGACAGTCTGGTTGTTGGACTTCCTGTCACACTAATCTTTAATTAGAGGCTTCAGGTTAGCAAGCCCCAATTCTCACTTAACACTGCAGGCGTTTCTGTGATCCCCATCCTCCCAAGTTCTTTGCTGCTTTCTCACTGTGCTAATTCAAGTGAATAGAAGCAGTGCTAGTGTTAACAGGCAACACACATTTCATGAAAAAGAGACAGCATGAAGCCAGGCCTGTTGTGATATTGACAGAGCATAGCACTTCCAATCATTACAGATTCTGAAATGGAATGACTGCGTTTGACAAAGTTGACTGAATTTATGAGCCTGCCTCTGTCAGGTTCATTGCATTCTCAGTATCTGTCTTACTGTATACTTTGAGATTTTTAGATGAGGTTTTTTTTTTTTTTTTTTTTTTGCCGCCCAAGAGTAATATTTCTTACCTCTGTATGAAAAACGCATCCTTAAAGACCCCAGGCTACCGGTATGAGGTTCATGCATGAAGCGTTGTATGGATGTTCTGTGGTCAGCTTATTCCCATATTTAGCAGGTCGCTTTTAGGCTCCAGTAACATAGTCAACTTTTCTTCTTAAAATTTCTTATCTTAAAATTGTATTAACCCAGCACTTTGGGGAGGCTGAGGCGGGTAGATCACGAGGTCAGGAGATTGAGACCATCCTGGTTAATACAGTGAAACCCCATCCCTACTAAAAATACAAAAAAGTAGCTGAGCATGGTGGCACGCGCCTGTAGTCCCAGCTACTTGGGAGGCTGAGGCAGGAGAATCACTTGGACCCAGGAGGCGGAGGTTGCAGTGAGCTGAGATGGAGCTGCTGCACTCCAGCCTGGGTGACAGCAAGACTCCATCTCAAAAAAAAAAAAAAGGTATTAAATACCTAATCGTGAGTACCCTCTCCTTCCATATCATGGGTTTTCCACTGAGGAAGCACTAGGTCCATGTGAGAACTGGGGATAGAATTTTTTTTCCTTCCCCTTAGCTGTTGGGAAGATCAGATGGAAGCCACCTTTGGCTTTGCCTAATTAGAGATCTAAGACTTGATGCTGAAGAAGAGGAAGCCAGTCCATTTTTACCACTTTCAAAGAATACACATTTTGTTTCAGACAGTGGTGAATATTTGAAAAAAGAAGGGCTAATAAGCTATAGTAGCAACAGTTCCTTTTCCCCAGAACCTCTAGCTCAGAGGTGTCATGTCATGGGAAGTGGGCAGGTGCTTAGTTCAGACCTTGCCTTCAGATCCCCAAGAACAGAAATCACCTGTGCCTTCTAGGAGCTTTTCAGTCGGTGGCTTTAAACCAGTAGTTCTCACCTGATCTATGTTTTGGACTCTCCTGGTAGCTTTACAAATATTGATGCCTGGCTCCCTCTCCACCAAGACTCCGATATAACTGCTCTAGGATATGGCCTGGGCATTGGGATTTTTAAAAGATCTTCAGGTAATTCTAATGAGCAGTTGGGTTGACAACCACTTTATTCTTGTTTGTATCTTGCTTGCCATTGTAGACACAGTTTAATTCATCCCATGTCAGTAAACATTTATCATAAGTTTGCTATGTATGAGTCACTGTAGGGTTTATGGCAGAAGGCCTTGGTTTGTCTGAGAAAGGAAGAGGGAAGGAAGGGAATGTGAAGCTGATCACACGAGAGAACAAAGGATCCAAGTGCTAAGGTAGGAAGTTTAGCCTCTCCACTGAAGAGAAAGAGGTGAGAGATTGAAAAGCGGCACTGGATTCCTAGTTCCCTGCTCTCACCACAGCAAACCTCAGCAGAATGTGGCATGTCACCCAAACAGGGACATGCGAAGTCCTGCTGCAAAGGGAGAGAGATAGAATTATAAAAATCTACACAGGCCAGCAGAGAGCAGGCACATGTTGTCAGCTGTGCAGGATCCTGGAAAAATCAATATATCATCTGCTCTTTTTTTCTTTTCTTAGTGTCCTATTTAAAATATTTTAAACTGCACTTAGATGACTCACCTCATTTACATGCAAATTTGGGGTGTTACTAAAATTCACATTACCCTGATTTCATCCTTTTTAATATGTGCCCATCTTAGAGTCTGTGGGTACCAGCTGAAAGCACATTAAGGTCCGTTTGAATATGCATTGTTCACGATGACTTTTGCTGGCACCTGGTGAATACCAGGTTCCATGGATATCTGCTACAGTTTCCCAGAGAGCCAAGAAACGCGGAGAGAAGCAGGCTCCAGAGGCGTATTGTCCCAGAGACAACACTCTGCCTCTGGGCCACCAGGAGTCAGCCTCTGGGGCTGTTAGCAGTCATTGACATTGCCCAGGGAGTCTGTGAAGAGTGACAGACCAGTGTGAAGTCCCAAGCCCTGAATTAGGAGGCAGGCGCTGAGTGTGCTATTTGTGATGCCTTCACAGATATACTGTGGGCACTTTACTTTTCCCACCTGCAAATAAAGGGGTCCATCTTCTTCACCCCTCTCTTTCTCAAAGCAGAGCTATTTCACACAAGAACTTACTGCAGGTATACACTTGAGTTTGTTGGATGGGGTGGGAGAAACATTGCATAGCTTACAAATGATGAGTTGTTTTATTCTAGCTCATGAGCTGGTTTCCTTTCTTCTCTGAAAAATATGTGCATATTTTGTGCATGTGGTACACAGGCTGACACCTCTTTGTCCTTCAGAAGTCCACTGAAATATCACTTCATTTGGAAAGCCCTTTCCAGCCCTCAAGGAACAGGTCAGGTGCCTACTGCAGGCTTCCTTCTGCAGCAACCTGCACTTCCCTAGAAAGCACTTCTTGGGCTTCGCTGTTGGTGGTGTCATTGTTCCTCCCCTGCTAGGTTATAAGCTACAAGAGGGCAGGGACCATATCTGGCTTGCAGGCCATCCTACCTCCGTAACAAGGGAAAGTGTTTTTATGGGTGAGAGACGGGAAAGGAAGCAGTGCCCCTTTCTGGCGTAGTCACGGATGGCCTATCCAAAGGCCCGTGGTCAGGCCTGCAGCTTCATCGCATTTCCATCATGCTTCAAAGTCTCATGCAACCCACAGCTCCACAACAGACTGTTCTGCAGGCCAAGTGAGATCCATTATAATTTACATTTAGAGCACCCATTTTGAAAACATTATCAAGGACTTTGAAATGTATTTATATGCAAACTGCAATCTCTTTTATGTTCAGTAAAAAAACGAATGTCAGTAAACATTTTACAGGGCAGGAGATCAGCCAGGCCCCAGTCTGACACTTTCCACACCACACCATCTTACCTAAGGGGCCAGGCAATGTGGTACAGTGCAAAGAGCACTGTGTGCTGGGGTCCTGAATTCAAATTCTAGCTACCATTTGCTAGCTGTGTGAAATAGGAATTCCATCTGAGTAGGGGTATTCATGCTTAGATGTCTGGGAAATAATAGATGTTCACTGAATATTATTCCTTTCCTGTCTTCCCCGTCCTTACCTGAACAGAGACATACTTTTATTTTGCCTTGGTTATTTGAGTAAAATATTAACAAATTGTTTTCAAGTATTTTGCCAAAATAAACCATGCTGAAGAGAAGCGTTTGATTGTCTCTTAACACACGAAAGCCTAATACTACGTGTTTAGCAGTGGGAGCATGGAGCAGTTTTGGTGGCAGAATTTCTCCTTATCTGAGATTGCCATTTATTGCATGCTCCTGAGGCACCAGATACTAAACACTACCATGACAGCAGAACCAACCAAAAAAAGATAGACCTTCACATTCCCACTTGCCACCACATAGGGGTGAAGGCATACCAACTCCCAAAGCCCAAGAAATCAGAAGATAGGAATGGCATTGCTTTGAGTCAGGAGACCTGTCCACAATTTATTCTTTGCCATCAGATAACTATGACATTAAAAGGGAGCTTAAATGTCACAAAATTTCCAAATGGTCTGCCCTCCTGGGCCTGCCATCCTGAGCAGGCTGCTGATGCTGTAAACACCAGAGTCAAATCCTCTGAACTGTGTGGGGTTTTGCCAAGTTTTGGAAACCGACTCACGTCCAGGATCATTAGCATGCCTTTTAGTCTACACACTTGGTTTAAGAATGATCTCCAGTATGGAGGGTTGCCATCAGGTTATCCAAAGTGTAGCTTAGTTATTTTCCAAGTACTCCCTGACAGCCACATGACCCAGCAAAACTTGTTAAACTACCATCATGAGCTGCTTTGGTCTCCTGTGCAAAATTATTAGAAACTCTAGGGAAGATGTATCCAGAAAGAGGTATCTGGTGATGTCAGATGGAAAAGACAATAGCCCAAAGAATCACCATGGGTATGAACTTCAGAGGATTAAAGGAGTTTGGGGCTGCCATATTATCAGGACTTTAGAGACTGCTACCACTCTAGCTGAGCAGTCTGGGAGCAAGGTGAGCTTATCTCTACAATTTCTGGTACAGTACTATTTGGTGCTTTTTTTAATGTACTCAATAAATATTCATTGAACAATCCCTATATGAATTTAGCCAGCACATATTTATTGAGTATATACTATGTGCTAGGGATTTGACAGTGAACAAAACCAGCAAGAATATCTGTCTCATAGAGCCTGTATTCTAATGGGCAAGAATATACCAGACAGTGCCTATAGGACTAACAACAAAGAGATGACTGAAATTCTCCTTGTTGTCAGGAACTTTAAGTGGTTTAGTTTTAAATGTGATTTTAATATACTCAGATGTCAAATATTTTCCCCCATCATAAATATGTCTTCTCTTAAAACCTGAGTCAAAAAGGAAGTAACCATCATTTAATGTAAATGGCTTCTTCTGCAAATTTTATCAGAAATTACTTTTATTGAACAGTAGGTATCATTGAGGAGATAAGTCAGGCCTGGGTTTACACTTATCTGGAACTTTCTGCGGAAATTAATAAAGGGACTGTAATGGCCTAGATAAATTTGTTACACCGACTCTCTGTAACTCTGAAGTTTCTCTCCTCACCCTTCCGTTAAGAGCGGCAGCCATATCATGAAACTGTGGTGTGATTTACCTTCATTAGCATAGCAATTTGCCTCACATTTTCACAAAGTGCTAATAGATGTTAACTCAAAATAGATTAAAATATCAGACAAATTGCTACCACCTTAAAAAGAGTTACAACAATTTTGAAAATGTAAATTATGGTTATGCAGCATTTGGAGAGAAGTATAAAATCCAGTCTTTCTTATATTAAAAAAAAATTTGTGGCACATGGTTTTTCCCCCTTTAATCACAGTAATTTCTTCCAATGACAGTGCGGCATATTTCTTTAAGAAGATACATTGCATTTTTTAAATCTCATGTGTCATATAGGAGTTGCCATTGATAGTTTTCAGCAAGAGGAAAAGAAATTGAATACAGAAAACCAGGGATCATGGGGAAATTAAAAAAAAAAAACTTCATCTTTAATGTTCCCTTTTTATATTACATATATTTTATGAGTTGGAACAGAGAGAGGTTCTTTTCATTCTAGCAAGTGGAGTTGTGCATGACAAAATATCTGCAGGAATGTGCATGTAGGCATAACGATGTAAAAGGATTTGGGCTCTGCTGGTGTCTTACGCTGAATCCTCTATGGCACCAAAGCACTTATGGAGTCCATACAAAGAAAAGGTGAGCATAATTTGTACTTCTGTGGAGTAAATGAACATAACTGTAGTATAATATTTGTCACACTATTGCCAGGAGAGATTATAAGTAAAATAACCCTCCCTAAGTAGGAGCCCATGAATTTCCCCTGAATAACTTCTACGCAACAGAGCTCTAAAATGAAATATTTGCATTTTCCCCACTGCTTTGTTTCCTAGAATTTACAGAGTACAGTTAGCAAAAGGATTGCTTAGAAGATACATTATATGCACAGAGGATTACTGGTGCCATTTTTCATACAGTTACACAAAGTCAAATTATTGTCTATTCTTACCCCAAACCTATGAAAGCCAGAGAACAAACACATCATCATCTGTATTCTCAACTACAGATGTATTTTACTTTGTGCCGCCAAAATAGGTAAATTGCATTTTGGGAAATCAAAGGATATATAAAATACACTTGGGGGAGCTGGCAAAATAAATTAACCCTACCATGAAATTATTTACTAAAGTGAACAATTATTTTCTAATTTGTATACTTCATAAATCCATATCTTCATGTATCCAGTTTGCTTAAGGTGAATTATGTGCCTTTTCCTGGAAAACAGTTATCACATAGAGATATTTTCTATTTTTAAATTAATTGGCCCTCCAAAACAAATTGCCTGTCAACCCTAGGTACAAAACTCTGTACAAACCTGTGTATAAATTGGAAAAGATGTACCATAGAAAAGAGTTCATATCGTTAACAGTGGTTTTGAATGTTTTCTCTGCTCCATTCTTTTCTCATTTATTTTTAGTTAGTACTTCCTTGAATGCCAAGTGGCTTGGACTACATTTACTTCTTTGCAATGTGATGCAGATTTTCCAAGGTTCCTCTCTGACGAAATGACTTCATCTCTTAGTGAAACCTGCATGCTTTTGTTTGTTTATGGCAGAAGGAAGGCAAGTCATCTAACTGCAGCATGGGGAACATCTGTTAAAAAAAAGGAAAAATTTCCTGGCAGTGATGTATTAGTCTGTTTGTATTACTATAAAGGAATAGCTGAAACTGGGTAATTCATAAAGAAAAGGGGTTTAATTGGCTCATGGTTCTGCAGGTGTACAGGAAGTGCAGTGTTGGCATCTGCTTCTGGTGAGGGCCTCAGGAAACTTCCAGTCATGGTGGAAGGCGAAGGGGAGCAAGCATGTCACATGGTGAGGCTGGGAGCAAGAGAGAGAGTTGGGGGAGGTGCCACACACACTTTTAAACAACCAGATCTCGAGAGAACTCCCCCACTATCTCGAAGACAGCACCAAGCCATGATGGGCAGACCCCCATGAACCAAACACCTCCCACCAGGCCTTACCTCCAACATTGGGGATCACATTTCAACATGAGATGGGAAGGGGACAAATATCCAAACCATGCCAAAGTAGTTACTTAAAACCTGGACTATGTTATTAAGGAGAGTTCTGGAATCTGCTCAAGAAACCATTAAGAAAAAATAGATTCTTCTTGTACATGGAGAACATTCTAAAAGTTATTCCTTGCTTGGTGATTAATTTATTTTAAACATTACAACTAATGTTAACAAGGTTTATTTTATGAGATAACTTAGAGGTGGAACAATATTGATTAATGCTATAGAGAATTGGTGGCCCTAAGAGATCATGAATTAACTCTTGCATTCAGTGACCATTTACTGAGTGTCTCCTTCAATAGTGAGAGCTACTGTATGGTGGGCTTTTTATATCAGTCACAGTGCGAGGCATATTATTATATTTAATCGCTATAACAGTCCTATGATATGTACTTTTATCCTGTCTTTACAGTTTAGAAAAACCAAGTCTTAAAGAAGTAACATGCCTTGGTTCTCTATTTTGAACAGCCCAAAGATAAAAGGCAATCTTTAATCTCCATAGGCTTTTATTCAGGTGGAAGAGATAGGCAAGTGGACAGATAATTGTAGTACAGTGTGAGAGTGCTCAAAGAGCGGACATACCTTGCAGGGTGCCTGCCATGGTGCACTGGGAAGGGGTGCCTAACTCAACCTTCTGGGTTGGGTTGCTTAGGGAGGGCTTCCCTGAAGAAGGAGATTCTTGAGCTGAATGTGAGTTCCTCAAGAAATCATTAGTCTTCTTGATTAGTATGTTAGTGTCTGGCTTTGCCTTATTCTTGGATTTCTATTTTTTATTTGTAGTTTGTATTTGTTTTAGCATTCACTCACTAATAACTATTCCTGGCTCATGATAGTTCTTATAGATCTTAGATTGGAGCAAGAGAAATAGACATTAAACTAAGCAATCATAAACTTAGTACAATAATAAGTACTATGGGGGAAAAGTAGGGAGTATTGAAAGAGTGAATGATCTGGAATACTTATGTAACTTAGTGAGGGGAGCAGAGATAAGGCAGTGATCCAAATTTGCTGGGAAAATGACATTGAAGCTAAGAACTCAAAGATGAGTAGGAAGTAGGCATGTGAAAGGGGTCATAATGGATAAGTGGGGCAAAAAGTATTCCAGGGATGTGTAAAGATCCCAAGACCAGAAGGAACTTGAACAACTTAATAAACTGAAACTAGGCCAAGTGGCTGGATAGTATCAAAAATATGCTAGAGGAATAGGCAAGGCCAGATGATACATGACTCCTAAATGTACTGTTATAAGCTGTCTGAACTCTAGACTTAGAGCACGCATTTAAATTATATTAAATTCATCAGTTCATATTTCAACTCCGATATGTGTATCAGTTTTCCTTTTTTTATTCAAAATTGTTTTAGCTTTTGAAAATAAAACGTTATAAATCATAGCTTTATCACAAAAGGAATTAGTTATGTGGCTTGGTTAAATTTGGAATAAAAGTTCACTTAAACGCAAGCAAGTCTTAAGTAGAGAAATGCTCTGGCAAAGATTTAGTATCATCAACACAATGTTGAAATATCAACTCTCAATAATGTAAAAAGAATTAACAGATAACATAGTTTTCTAGATCACTTAGAAAACATCATGCTATTTCAGAAAAGTGCAGATAGCTGAATTTCATGATCATCATACTTCTAAGCAGGCTTTCAAAGCAAACAGCAAGGGTTTGATGTTGTTTCAGGTTTTTCCTAGTGGTCCTGATCTTTTCCAATAATGGACATCAAGAAGTGTGCTCAAAAATGTGTATCACAAGTCCCTTTTTTCAGACTAGCTTACTCGGTATAAATGAAATATTGATGTATTTGAAAATGCTCAAGTGTTCAATAAAGATTTTAAATAAAGCTACCTAAAAGTTGTGGTTCTTAGGTTAATCATTTATTTATCTAAAGGATGAAGAAAACTGTCTACTTCTGTGATATGAACTGCAATCATCTTAAAAATAATTGACAAATTAATCCCTTCACAGCACAGCAATTGTAAAGGTGTTAGTTTTAATTAGGCCTGTCTGATTGCCTTGTCTAATCAAGAATCAAGGTGGTATCTTTGATGGTTAAGGTCTATTGGGGCCATCTCTGACCTGCCAGCCATGTATGTTTTAATTATTGATTCCTCACATTTCAGCCCTTTTCACAAAGGAACTTGAAGTTTGCCGTACCTTAACATTTAAAGGGAAGAAAAATAAACATCTTCCCCAACACTTCTGTCTGGAATCTAGTGTGTCCTCTCCGGCATTCCACAATTTTTGTCCTAAAAAGGCTGTCGGGTTGATGATGAAGTCAAATGCACATTAGCTATCTTACTGCTTCTTTACCTCCCAAGCACTAGATTTTCAATGGACATTGTTAAGATCTTGACAAATCACAGTCATTTATGCTTCTAGAAAACACTTTTGATTTCTTGATGTTACATTAAAAATCCCTAAGGGCAGGTGTGTTACTGGGAGATCAGAGAGGTCAGATGAAATGGGACACATATCTCCTCACAAAACCCTTCCTCACATCGCTAGGAGGAACAAGGCGAGGGCTCTTCGTGTCACAGTGAGCCAGCTGCAGCACATCAGTGAGCGTGGGCAGCGGCGTGGTGTTGGTGGTCTCTGTGCGTGATGGTGACTCTTCTTTGTTTGCAGGTCAACGAAGTGACGGTGGAACAGCTGGTGCAGCAGTACCCCCACATCACCTTCAGCACCGTCCTGCAGGACTGCAAGAGGACCTTGGAGAGAGCCTATCAGATGGGCTGGACCCCCAACATGTCTGCCGCCTCCTCCTAGCGCTCCTGCCTCGCCTAGTCCACTGGGATCATTCAGCAGAGCAGAGGAGAATTGTACATTTGGGGAGCTGATCTCTCGGAAGGGTTTTAACTGTCACCTGTCTGTGTGTGTTCAAGTATGTGTATTTGTGTCTTGTTTGCATACTGCATACCAAAAGTGCAGTTGTCATTTGTTCCCAAGTGAGCTGGCTTTTTTTCTTAGAAATTAAAGATTATGAAAGCCACAAACTTTTTAGTTTTTAACTTCAAAGGCTTCTTTCTCTTTAAAAAAAAATTATTTTTAATATAGAGTCAAAAAATTGGATGTATTATTTTGAGCTTCTAATTGCTGCCACTTGGAGATGTCCAAGTAAGAAGGCCTTCTTTTTACATGGGATGAATTGTGCACTTCTACTGATGATGACTACAGCAGAAGTGATGTTATACGTACAGGCACTTACACTCTCTCACATATTCACACGTGTGCACATCTACACCAGGGCTCTGATCTACTCTAGATCGTTTCCTGACAGAGAAGCCTTCTTCCAGGCCACTAAGGTAGCATGTTATCCACTGTGGCACTGCCTAACTCCGTGTATCCTCGGGTGGCCAACTTGCTATCTGGTGGGTGACTTGGGGACTAGAAAGAATAAAGCCTTTTCTAAATTTGTTATATAGAGGCAACAGTCTGAACTCTCCTGGCCAGCTCACGAAAGTTAATTATACATTATTCTACAAATGCATTCTGTTGAGCACTAAATATTTTAGTTGGTTTTATGTTAACATTGTGTTAGCTTTTATTTCCTGGATAGTAACTGGTCAGGATATATTTTAATGATATTTGAAACTAATCTTAGCATTGAAGCCACCAATGTAATTAATGGTGTGCAGTTATTTTAAAAACTACAGATCATTTCATTATTTTCTTAATTTTGGTAATTATTAAAGTCTATTTCTGAGATACGAGAGGGTAGTCACATTAATAGAAGATTCATGAGTGAGATATAAGTAGACAATCTTTCTACTGTTGTTGCTCTTTTTGCTTTGCTTTGGGTTCTTGAACAGGTTTTTTGGATATATGCATGTTGTCATTTTGGACTAGTTCTCATGCTACTGCAAAGATCTATTGCTAGCTAATATATGAGTTAAGAAAGAAAATTAGAAAATCTGTTCATTGAAATTCTGTTTACACTTGTCAGAAATAAGCATTTCTTTGTTTAATTAAGGATTGCCAGCTTCAGTTAAGACAAGACCTATCAGTAAATGAATATATGTTTTGATTTAACACATCTTTACAATTAATTCATAATAGGGACTCAGGCTCAAATAACTGTTCCTGTGTCTAGATTTATAATGAGGACATCAGGGAGCCTTTTTAAGCTAAAGAG
The DNA here is from genome assembly GCF_000001405.40 of Homo sapiens. Classification (NCBI taxonomy): domain Eukaryota; kingdom Metazoa; phylum Chordata; class Mammalia; order Primates; family Hominidae; genus Homo; species Homo sapiens. Next base: position 107,860,353 of record NC_000005.10, on the reverse strand, counting down.
TGATTATCTTTCACAGTAGAACTAGAAACAAAACCCTAACTTGTGAAGTTGCTATTTATTTTTCCCTGAGTGAATATAACTGTTATTTGGTCTTTAACAGATATACTGAGGTTTGAGTTTCACTTTCTTTAAGTCTCACATTGCTAACATGACATTAGCTGTAAGAAACAAGATAGCTTTACATTTGAATGCCATTTACTGATTTCTAATGATTCTCTTTTTTTGTAAACAACTGTTTCCTTTGATTATGTCAACATGTTTCTGATGTGGCATTTTTGTTTTAATCCCAATCGGTTAGGAAAATCTAGTCAGTAAGCGCCATGAGTATTCTTCCCATAACTAAATGGGTTTCTAATTTAATTTGAAGGGAATAAAATTTGTGTAAGAAAAAAGCTGTTTAACATTAATAAACTATATTTCTTCTTACACATTGAACTGTATCATTTTCATATCCACTTCCCCACCACTGAAATATCTTATTTCACAATATTTTAACTGATTTTTAATCCAAAACTAATTTATAAGACAGTATGTATAGTAATAGTAGCTTGAGTGAATATGCAAAAGTTTAATTTTTATATATGTCATACTATATTTTAAATAGTTAAAAAAGACAAAAGAAGGGAGAGCCATCTATGATATAGATGGTACCATTTCAGTTCAAAGTTGTAATAACCTTTGGAGTGTTACAGTTTGGTTGTCAAATGGTTTCAGAATGTATAATTGATTTTTTTAAATGTTGCATTGTTTGAATCTAAAGTACAGCACTATAACATGCTTTAGCTTGGGGGGGTGGGGGTGGGGTGGGGACTTGCACTTATTCTCTAAAATGTTGACTAATCCAGAAAGCCTGATGCAACATAATCTGGAAAACTGCTTTGGTACATTTGTAGAAATCCGTAGAAATACCATATCCAGCCTCAAAGCATTAATCTCAAAAAAAAAAAAAAAAAAAAAAAAAAACAGCCAGAAAAAAGCATCACCTTGAGTGGTCCTGTGATGGTTGTTGAATGTGTTCTCATTAGATGCTTTGAAATGAGGCTTAAAATAATTTTTCTGGGCAATATAGAGTTTCTTTTTTTTGCTTAGAATGTCATAAATACATGTGAACACGTTTAATGCAGGGCTTTTTATTCTCTCCAAAATGTCAACAGTATTTTCAGAATAAAGACTATGAAATATATTGCTGTAGTGGAAAATTCTGGTCCTTTGTCTTTAATGTCTTTTTGAGTGGATAAAGAAAATTCACCCGGTTTGTAGTTTCTATATTTCCGTGAATCTTTGACCTTGCAGTGGGTTGCAATAAAAGAGAAACAAAACACTGTGTCTTTTGTTTTATTTTAGAGACAATAAATGACCTCCCCAATGCTGGTTGGGTATGATGCATGCAGTGGTCTGTGTATTTCTGTGTTTCACTACAGACTTATGTAGGTTTGACTAACCCAGAATAATAAACGAGACTGAGTTTAGGAGGTTCTAATTGGGCTGGTGATTATAGAGATAAGATTAAAATCTCAAGGATTTACATAAGTGTGTATTAGTCCATTCTCATGCTGCTAAAAGGGTATACCTGAGACTGGGTAATTTATAAAGGAAAGAGGTTTAATCGACTCACAGAAAACTTAAAATCGTGGCAGAAGGGAAAGCAAACAAGTCCTTTTTCACAAGGTGGCAGGAGAGTGAAGAATGAGAACCAAGCAAAGGGAGAAGCCCCTTGTAAAACCATCAGATATCATGAGAACTTCCTCACTATCACAAGAATGGCATGGGGGAAACCACCCCCATGATTCCATTGCCTCCCACTGGGTCCCTCCCACGACACGTGGGGATTATGGGAACTGCAGTTGAAGATGAGATTTGGATGAGGACACAGCCAAACCGTATCAAATGAGTTGTTAAAATCCCATTTCCTAAATAGTCATCATTTATATAGCCATATATTCTATTTTTCCAAAGTAAATAAATTCATAAAACATTTATTGAGTGACAAATACGTATAGGCACTGGAAATTTAAAGATAAATGAACTCACTCCCACTCTCAAGTTACTCACAGCCTAACAAGGGGACATTGTGGGGCACTAGCAATAACAGTGGAGTACAATAGATATAATGATGGGCATAATTATGGGGAGCGCATCTAGGGCCGAGCAGCAGCTTTGGGAAGGGAGAGCTCCACAGAGGAGGAGGATTTTCATGAAGGCTAGAGAAGTAGCGGGAATTTACCAGCTTTGCTTGGGGGAAGGAATGGAAGGCAACCTGGAAAATAGAAAAGTATGTGCGAAGGCATGAGGGAATGAGATAGCATGGAAAGAGCAGGGCCCTTGAGGTAACTGAGTTTAATAGGAAGGTATGTTATATAGAGGCAGCAGGTGGGAAAGGTTCCAGGAAGAAAACAAGGGCAAATCATAAACATTTTATGGCCTACTAAAGAGACTGGACTTGTGGGAAAAATCAGATCTGCTAGAAAAGCATTGTCCTAAATTATTCAAACAAGTAGAAATTTAAAATGCAGGACTTCCACTTCTAATGATATAATGGAAAGGAGATCCTGAAAGATTTTCTGCTATGTAACATCTAAAAATGTTCATTAAAATATTTTTTAAAAACCTTCTTAAGTGACCAATATACCTGCGAGAAAGCAAAAGAAAGCTCCTGTGGCCCGGGACAAAACGCGAACAGCAGTCTAGAACAGGGATCAGCAAAGAGTGGACCCTGGGTCAAACGTGGCCAGACACATATCTTTGTAATAAGGTTTTCTTGGGGCACAATCATACCCATTTGTTGTTGCATTCTCTATGGCTGATTTCATGCTACAACAGTAGAGTTGAGTGGTTTCACAAAGGCCATGTGATCCACAAAGTCAGAAAGATTTACTCTGGCATTTCACAGAGAAAATTTGCCAATCAACCTAGTCCATAGAGTTGGTTCTCAAGTATAGCCCCCAGATCAATCACATCAACATTGCCTGGGAACTGAGACACACAAATTCTTGGGCCCCACATGAGACCTACTAAATCAGAAACTCAGAGAGTAAGGTCCCAAAATCTGTGTGCAAATCCTCCAGGTGACTCTGATGCATGAGCTAAACTTTTATCTCTCTAGAGACAACCCTGGAAACAATCAGAACGTGGGACTATATTGATCACGATAGCCTAGAGAACTTGTGGAACATTTAGGGCCAGTGAATAATTGAGAGTCATACCTACCTCACGGAAAGCCTGGATCCCTGAAATGCTCTACCCTTTTAAAAACAGTGAACTACAATAAATCAAAAAATCGAAGAGGCAGATAGTGAGGAAAGTAACCATTCTCAGCCTGGGCTGTTCATGGATTTTTTTTAAGGGCTCCCCTGCAAATTAACAGCTACTGGCTAAAAACATTCAAATGGGTTTAAGCCAAGTGTGGTGGCCCATGCCTGTAATCCGAGCACTTTGGGAAGCCGAGGCAGGAGGATTGCTTGAGCCCAGGAGTTGGAGAACAGCCTGGCCAATGTGGCAAGACTCCATCTCTATAAAAACTCAAAAAACTCAAAAAAAAAAAAATTAACCGGGCATAGTGGTACATGCCTGTAGTCCCAGCTACTTGAGAGGCTGAAGTGGAAGGATCACTTGAGCCTGGGAAGGCGAGGCTGCAGTAAGCCATGATTACACCACTGCACTCCAATGTGGGTGACAGAGCAAGACCATGTCTCAAACACACACACACACACACACACACACACACACAAAACAGTTGGAGTTAGTAACTGAATCTACACTGTTTACGTAGTTTATATGGCTGACCATTGTATTTTTAAGAGGATTCATGTCAGTAGTGCTCAGTGTCTGACAAAAGCAAACACAAATCATCCCTGGAGAAAGAAAGGTACCCTCAACCCAGTCCTCAAAAGAAACCGCAGAGATAGCATGCCAGCAAATATAAACCCACAATCTAAAATCACAGAGAAATGAAAAGGACATAACCCAGGATTAGCAGGGCAAGTCAGTAGAAACAACAAATAGATCCACATCCTCAAAGACTTCAATATTACATTTTCAGATACATACTACAAAATAAACGTGTTGTATTAAAAAGGTGTTTAACACGTATAAGAAAAAAGAAACTACCAAAATGAACAGATACTTAAAGAAAAAACTAAATAAATAGTATAAAATTTTTAAAAGGCCAGGCACAGTGGTTCACACATGCAATCTCAACACTTTTAGAGGCCGAGGTGGGAGGACCACTTGAGGCCAGGAGTTTAAGACCAGCCTGGGCAGCATAGTGAGACCTGACTCTAAAAATTTTTAAAGTAGCTGGGCGTGGCACCTCCTGTCCTAGCTACTCAGGAGGCTGAAGCAGGAGGATTGCTTGGATCCAGGAATTCATGGCTACGCTGAGCTATGATCACAGCATTGCACTCCAGCCTGGGCAGTAGAGCAAGACCTTGTATCAGAAAAAGAAAAAAGAATGTTTACTATTATTATAACTTCTATTTAACATGGTAATCAGAGAGCTAAGCCAGCACAGAAATATCAAAATAAAAGAGTAAGAGCCATAATGGAAAGGACAAACTGAATTATACACAGCTGACAAGAATATAGACATAACAGACATAGACAAGCAAAACCCCAAAAGAATCTAGAAAATAGAATTAAGAGGATTTAAAAGTTAGTTGATGTAATGTTCAAATATAATACCTATTTACATTTCTATATACCAATCATGAAGTAGAAAAACGTAATTTCAAAAAATACTTTTTAAAAAAGCAACAAATACGCAAAGTAGCATTCCTTTTATGAGTCAATTACAAAACTATATTAAAAGACAGAAAAAAATGTAGACAGCAAACATCTTCACGGAAAGGAAGTCTTAATATTCTACAGATGTCATGTTGAGAGACATATCTCCATAGGCATCTTGCATTTCTGCACATCTTTCAAGCAGAGATTGCTTACTTATGTGCTGCCTTTGCTCTGGATTATCTTTTCAAAGATGTCCTTATGGTGAACAGCCTTCGAAGGCAGGGATAGTGTCTCCCTCTAGAGCAGAGGGTAAACATACTTGCTGTTCCATATAAAATACTTATTTCCTATGTTCAGTGTTCCTCTCCTGTACCACAACCCAGTACAGACACAGGGGTCACCCACCCTCTTCACATTTCCTGTGGGAATTGCAGCTTCAGAACCTTCAGAATCAGCATTTCAGGAAAATGCTGATACTCTGGCTACTGCCATTGCTGTGGGTAATAAAGTCCTTTGTCTCTGATTCAAGAGTCTAGCGTCTTCTGCCAGCATCCCTGAAACTAACAGACTGATGTAAATTTACAAGTAGAGTAAAATCTCAAACCTTTCACAGTTCTTAACCTGATAATTCTCCCCTGATTAATCTACTAATATCATGCAATTCCAAACAAAATCCTAATAAGGTTTTTTAAAAATCAAACTCAACAAGCTTTTTCTTAAATTTGTATCGAAGAACAAACCCAAACTCATTTGTATTTAGATAAATGCAAATTAAAAGATACAAGGTTTATGCCCAAAAAACTAGCAAAAAGTGAGTCTTGCATGATTAAGTTTTGGCAAAGATGTAGAACAATGAGAACACTTACACATTGCTGTGGAAATTGGAAAAGATTTTAGCATTATCTTAAAAAGGTAAACATGCACATACAGCAATTCCCTTCATAGGTGTATACCCCAGAGAAACATTAACACATGTGAACCGAGAGACTTATACCAAAATACCTGCATAGCAGCATTATCACAGTAAAACCAGGAACTTTTACATATTTAATTCAATTAAACAAAGTAGTAAAAATGAATGAATTACAACAACGTATCTCAATATGTGTGAATCTTAGAGACAGTTGAATGAAAAGGGCTAGTCCTAGAAGAATGCAGAAAGCTGTACATCATTGTATAAATTCAAAACCAACAAAATTAAATAATCTGTTATTTAGGGATGCAAGTGAATTTAGAAAAAAGGAAAAAGAAAGAAGGAACAATTGCAAAATTTCAGAGTAGTTGTTATCTATGGGAGGACAGGCAGTGCACTGGGATTCTAAGACCACAAAAAGGCCTTCAACCAAATTCATAGGTTCTATTTCATAAATTGAAGGATGGCTTTACCAATATTTGTTTTATTAATATAAAACATATTTTAAGTTAAACATATGTAACATTACATTATACAAAGCATTTAAAATATGTAACAAATTATTTTGCATCCAATATTAAAATTTTAAATTAAAAATGTTTTATACCTTATTTAAATCGATTGACTGACCATCAAGAGTTGTTAAACCTAGACACAAGCTTGCCCACCTATTTGGTTATGGAGGTTATCTCCGCATGACGCAGAGCTTACAGAATTCCATATTTAAGCAGGTGGCAGAGATGGGAGAACCAGTAGTCTCACCCTTCTCCTGTGCTGGGAGCATAGCACTGTGTAAGTTCCTGGTTTTTAGCTGACCCTCATTGGAATTCTAAGTGGAACAGCTGTTCATGTTGTGCCGAGACAGCTGTGAGAATTCGTGTGGCATATCTGTCGTGTCATTACCATAGAAATCAAAGGACCACTATACAGGTTTTGTAAAGCAGTGGGGGGCCCTTTCATTATCACTTCATTTTTAATTATGCCAATAAATCTGGTATCAAAACCTCTTCGAAGAATACAGAGACTCATCCGATAATGTGATAATCTAGAGTTGAAATGGAAATTCAGTTAGGGTCAAGCTTATCCCTTTTATTATATTATAGTATGGGCACAATTTATTTGCCCATACTACCGTTGCTGGATATTATTGGGGCATAATGCTTATAAAAATTCATTCTAGTTTCATGAGCTATTTAGTAGATACAAATGCAGTTAGAGAGGCTTCCTCAATCCCTGAAATGCAACCATCTCCAGGAAATAAACTTCAGAAAACTAAAATCATCTAAGCGTTAGCCCTTCAAAGCATCCCCTTTTCCTGTGATTTTCCTTGACTAATAAAACTATGTGTGGATGCCAACAGCCCAACAGAAAACAGAAACATTTGAAAGGGCAGGCATTATTTGATTCAGCTCTTCTATTCACCAAATGATGGAAGAGACAGTCATGCATTTCTCGAATTTTTTCCCCACAGTTTGGCATTACTTGAAAGATTTGGAGATGAGAGGCGTCAATGTCAAGTGGCCTGAGGATATTTGGCAAAACCAGGCCGGTGGGCACTCACTGAGTTCATTTCTGTAGACTGAAATCTTCCAATGGTGTGGCTTGGGGTGTGTGTGTGCACGTGCTCACGTGTCCGTGCACCATCCCACCATGAATACCGCCTACCAAATGCAGTCTATTCAGCCCTCTGTGGTTAACATAATGGAAAATGAAAAATTAGTCATTAAATACAAGATTTTTAAAAAGAACCGTCTCACAAATAGATACTGCCTTGATGGGCCTAGTAGCTACTGACAATGGTGAGCTTTATAAATAATGCTGAAAGGAATGGAGAAAGCTTAGCAAGCTTGATTTTGTTGACAGACATGATTCTACTGGATTCTTAAGCAACATCTTGCAACTGAATCATTTACTAAGTGGAAAAAGAGAAATCTTGATAATTGGTTTTAAATAAAGCTTTTATTAAAGTGTTTTTTCAATTTCAAATCAAAATTGGATTACAATATAGAATTCATGGCTGTAGAGAGGCAAATACTGGGAAAGACACTTGTAGATAACCTAAATAATTATGCTTAATGTGAAAATTAAGCTACTGGCACTCTGATTATTAGATAATTTAGATGAATTAATTTGCTCTGAAGTAAACTATAAAATAGAGAACATACTTGTCTTAGAATAAATTTGTACTAATGGGTGTTTAGTCCACTTCCCCACTCTGTAGCTGCTGTTGAATGTTACTGTTCCCATTTCTTCCCAGTCCTATTTCATTCTTAAAATTAACCAAAGAGACTAAGAAAATTAGTGATTAGAATCTTCATGTCTCTTAGAGTGAACGAAGCACCTGGGCATGATCTTCAAACAAAGAACTGGGGAGAGAAAGAGATGGTGGTGGCAGGGAGAATTAAATGAATTATGTAGAATGCTCAGTGATGTTGTAAAACATTATATCATGAAACATGACACAGAGAAAATATGTAACACATATGGGCACAGTTGTAAAATGATTAAGAAGCAAACACCGTGCAAGCACCACTCAGGTCAGAAAGGGAACATCACCGGCACTCTGGAAGTTCTTTCCTCATACGCCCCTCCCAAACCCAGGCATCTTCCTCCCTCTACATGTAACCACTCTCCTGGCCTCTGTGGAAATAATTTTGTTTTTATTTTTGTCATATCAATATAGTATGCATCCTTTAAAATGTAGTTTTGTTTTCCCTGGTTTTGAACTTTATAGGAAAGAATCATGCTGTGTGTATTGTTTTGTGGCTTTTTTTTTTTTTTACTCAATAGTGTTTATAGACTCCATCTATTTTGTTGTGTGTAACTCTAGTCTATATAGTTTCATCCCTATGTAATTGTCTTAGTCCATTCAGGCTGCTATAAAAAATGCCATAAACTGGGTAGTTTAAAAACAACAGAAATTTATTTCTCATAGTTCTGGATGCTGGAAAGTTCAAGATCAAGTCTTCAGCAGATGGGTTGTCTGGGGAGAGAGGGCTCACCTCCTCATAGAGCATTCTCACTGTGTCCTCATGTGGTAGAAGAGGCAAGACAGCTCTCTGGGGCTTCTTCAATGAGGGCACTAATTCCACCTAATCACCTTCCAAAGGCCCCACCTCCTAATACCATCACTTTGGGGGTTAGGATCTCAACATATGAGTTTTGGGGGACACAAACATTCAGACCACAGCAATAATATCCCATTGTGTGGATATGCCACTCTATTTATTCATTATACTACTGAAAAGCATTTGGTTTGTTTCCTTGGTGGGACAATTATAAACCCAGCTGTGAAGAAGATTCTTGAACATATGTCCTAGTGCACCCAGGTACATATATCTCCAGGATACATACCTAAAAAATTGATTGCTAGTATTTCCACATTTTCAATTTTATTAGGCGATGCCATACCATCACCTAATAAAATTTCAAAGAGGTTGAACCAATCCACATTTTAACCTGCAGTATATGGAAGATCCCATTGATAGCCAATTTGCTTCTGATTGCCATGTAGTGGTGTCTTATGATTTTAATCTGTGTTCTCCTGAATATTTAAAAACTGGGTATTATTTTGTATGTTAGCCGGCCACTTAGGTTATAATGTTTATAAATTCCTTTAAACTAACAGTTTACATTATGTTGCAAAGAAAGAAATAATATAGACAGGAAAGAGTTAAAAGGATTGCCATAATTTCACTGTGGATTATAGCTGTTGGAGCAAAAACTATGCAAAAAGGGCAAGGAAAGCAAGGGACTCTTCAAGAGGTTTAAAAGTTTAAAAGATGAAGCTTTCTTGCCCTTTCACCTTCTCTGACTTTATTACATCTTGATGTATGGAAGGAGGTTATTACCTTGAGTTTAAATGAGAAGCTACAGGGATCTGAGCCATGCTTCAATGCAAGATTGTACGGTTATTGTGATAATGTAATTTAATTGAATATCATGTAACCCAATGAAATAAGAATGAAAAAAAGAGAGTTGTCATTCCTCTGCTATGAAAACAAAGTTGAATGCTTTGGAAATCTAGATGAAAGGCAAGTCACAAAAAAATCTGTCAAATTAATTGTAGGGCACATAAGACATAGGATGTGAAAAAATGTATAAAAACCTAGGAAGATTTTCCATTTATATTGCTTCAAGAATGCTTTAATTTCTTACTCCTTTTTAAAGAAATTGAGACTAGAAATCATAGATAATATGTTACAGAGATGGTTTATACAAGAATGACAATGTGGAACACAAATCAAAAAGCAAAGGCCTTGGCCATATATCAAAAGATTAGCAATGAATGCATATATATATATATATATATATATATATATATATATATATATGCTCTTGTATGAAAGATAAAATATTAAAATATGTGTGTACATACATACCTTTTTAATGATTTTTAGTTAGCTTTTAAAATTAAATAACCAACTAGCTGTTCTGAGCATGCTAAAAGGAATTTTACTGCATCTACTTAGGCCAAAACATATACCCACATAGTAGAAAAAATAATGTCTTAAAAAGTAACATCTTTTTTCAGTTGAGGTATAATTTACCTATAGTAAAATACACATATACTACAGTTCTCTGCATTTTGATGAATCTATAGATTTGTGTGATAAACACCCCAAACAAGCTATGCAACATATATAAAACAAAGAATACATCGTATGTGTGTATGTGTGTGTGTATACACCACCCCAGAAATTTCTCTAATTTCCTTGTGCCACCACAGGCAATCATTGTTGTGATTTCTATCACATGTTTCTTTTGCTTGTTATTGAACATCTTATAAATGAAATCAAACAGTATGCATTCTTTGTGTGAGACTTCCTTCTCTCATGTGATTTTTTTGTTCTATCAATTGATGCTGAGAAGTATGCCATTATATAAATGTATCACAATTCATTTATCATTCTCTTGTTTATAGACATTTTGGGTTGTTACAAATTTTTTTTAGTGGTTACAAAAGCAGCTATATGTATTTTTGCATAACTCTTTTTATAGGATATAAGTTTTCTTTTCTGTTGGGTAAATACCTAGGAGTGTAATTCCTGAGTCATAAATGTGCATATAAATATAGACCTTTATAAAAAACCAGCAAACTTGTTTTTAAAGTGGTTGTTCCATTTTCCACTACTAGCAGTACCACGAGTGAGAGAGTTCCAATTACTCTACATCTTCACCAGCATTTGGTGTTGTTGGTCTTTTAAATTTAGCCATTTTAAAAATACATGGTTATATCTCAGTGTAGATTTACTTGCCTTTCCCTGATGACTAACGATGCTAAAGCCCTCTTTCAGGCGCTTATCACTCATCCCTACATCTTCTGTGAAATGTATGTTTATGTCTTTGATCTATCTTAACGTAAGGTTTGCATTTTAGCACCATGTATTAGGTTGGTGCAAAAGTAATTGCGGTTTTTGCCATTACTTTCGATGAAACTAAGTTTATATGCATATCTATGACTCAGGAATTCCAGTCCTAGGTATCTACCCAAGAGAAAAGAAAACATATCCTACAAAAAGAGTTATGCAAAAATATGTATAGCTACTTTATTTATAATAGTAAAAAATTTGTAACAACCCAAATGTGGTTTAATATTTCTAAAATCAATCATGTTGGCAATTTTTTTGTAAATAAGTTGACCATATATGTGTGGATATATTTCTGGACTTTCCATCATGTTCTAGTCATTCGTTTGTCTATTCTATGCCAATATCACATTGTCCTGATTACTATAGCTTTCTAGAAAACCTTTAAATCAGTAGCATGAGTCTTCCAACATTATTCATCTTCAACTGTTTTTTACTAAACTAGGTCCTCTGAATTTCTATATAAATTTTAGGAACAATCTCTTTTTTAAAAATAAAAAGGCCCATTAAAATTCTGATTGAGATATGCTTCAATGCCTAGATTAATTTAGAGATAATTGACATCTTAACAATATTAAGCCTTCTAGTCCATGAACAAAATCTATTTCTTTATTTATTAAAATCTTCTTTAATTACTCTCAGCAATGTTTTATTCACAGTAGAGGCCTTGCACTGATTTCATTAAATGTATTCCTATGTATTTTATGCTCTTTGACGCTGCTATAAATGTAATTTACAATTTTTTTGAAGTTGTTTATTACTAATAAATAGAAGGGAAACTTGTTTTTGCATATTGTCTTTGTATCCAGTGACCTTGCTAAATTTACTTATTAGTTCTAAGTAGTTATTTGAAAATTTCTAGAATTCTTTAATCTAAAAACTTATGTCATATACGAAGACAGTGCTTATTTTTTCTAATATCAATAACTATTTTTTTACTTGCTTTATTGCACTGGCTATGACCTCCAGTACAATATTGAATAGAAATGGTGAGAGCTGACCTGCTTATTATTTTTTCTAATATCGATAACTATTTTTTTACTTGCTTTATTGCACTGGCTATGACCTCCAGTACAATATTGAATAGAAATGGTGAGAGCTGACCTGCTTATTCCTGATCTTAGGAGGAAAGCATTTAATCTTTCACAATTAAGTATGATCGTAGCTGTAGGGTCTTGTAGATTACCTTTATAAAACTAAAAAGATTCACTTTTATTTTTACTTTGTCCATGGTTTTTATTATAAATGGGTGTTGCATTTCATCAAATGTTTTCTTAGTCGTTTAATATCTATCCTTATATTTCCCACTTCTGGTATTCTTTGTTACTTCATGTTTATATGTCTCTTCTAATATTTTTTTAGTCCCGAAAATTTTCTTCTTAGTATTTCTTGAAAGTGGATTGACATGATCATAGAGATTCTCTCACTTATTTTCTTTTGTTATACTGTGGCCTCATAATATTTCTGTATTTTCTGAGAAAGTTTATGTAAAATTGGTAATTTATCTCTTAAATATTTGAAAGAATTCCCCAGTGAAATTACGTGGGCCTGGAGTTTATCTGGAGGCAAGTTTTCTATTGTTTGTTTTCTGTTGTGTCAGTTTTTCACTGCATCTGAGTTGTAGAATTTATTGGCATAAAGTTGTACATAATCCCTTATTATCTTTTTAATATTTGTAGAATCTATAGTAATGTCACTTATATAGCACTGTCTTCAGATATGACATAAGTTTTTAGATTAAAGAATTCCAGAAATTTTCAAATGATTACTTAGAACTAATAAGTGAATTTAGCAAGGTCACTGGATACAAACACAATATGCAAAAACAAGTTGCACTTCTATATATTAGTAATGAACAACTTCAAAATAAAAAATTTGTAAACTACCTTTATAGCAGCATCAAAGAGCATACAATGCAAAGGAATATATTTAATGAAAGCAGTGTAAGACCCTCTACTGTGAATAAAACATCCTTCTTTGGTTATCTGTGGTTTCTCTCTAACAACACAGAGAACTAAGTCTTCAAAAGTTTAAGATCATCAGCCAATAATTTAATTACCTGATGGAAAAAAGTCAACAGTATACAAAGGAAGATAACAGAAACCAGAATCTCTTCCAAATCCTTTGTACAATTAAAAAAAAAACTACTAGATATGTGAAGGAAAAATCTGACCCATTTTCAAGAAAAGAAAAGTCAATTGAAATAGACCTGATATGATCTAGATGTTGGAATTATTAGACAAGTACTTTAAAGAAACTATTATAAATATGTACAAGTACTTTGAGGGAAAAAATGGTCATAACGAGTGAACAGATGGGGAATCTCAGCAGAGAAATTGAAACTATATTTTTTTAAAAAAGGAAATTCTAGAACTGAAAAGTACAATATCTGAAATAGAAAATTCATTGAATATGGGCTTAAGAGCAAATGCAAGTTGGCAGAAAAAAGTGTCAGTGAATGTGAATATATAGCAGTAGAAATGATCCAATCTGAAGAATGAAGATTTTTCTTAAAAAGCTGGGGGATGAGGGAAAGAACAAAGTCTCAGTAGTCTGTGGTACCATATCAAGCAGTCTAATATATGTGCAATTGGAATCCCAGACAAAGAGGAAGAAAAGAATAGGGGAGAAAAATATTTGAGAAAACAGTAGCCAACCCCCTGTTACCTGGAGGAACCTAAACCCCCAGCTCTTGCTTGCCAGCATCTGCAGAGCTGAACTACATTTTAAATTTTTTCAGCCTTCCAATTGCTGCTTCCACCAGGCTCTCTATAACCTCCCCCATGCATGCACAGAACAGGAGGCAGCAAAAGATTCGTGGGAAGCTTATATGCAGATTCTGATTAGTCTCTAATTTCTAGGATTTTCCCTACCCAATTTCCAGTCTCATGGACAACCCCAAATCCATTCCCTGACCCTTCAAGTCTGTAAGATAGCAGCATTCTGCTCAGGTTCTAACCTTCCCAGTACCTTCTAGACTGGGGAGTACCCTCAAGGGAAATGCCATATAAAAGTGGATCTCACCCAATAAGTGTGGCTCCTTTCTTTAAAAGGTCGAATCCCCTTCAATAGCTGCTCACTTTTTGTTGTTCTCCAGTGACTTCAAGAAGGCCACCCCCCACCCCCACACCACCCCCTGTCAGCAAACTGTTGAATTGTTATCTATGGAGGGTTAGTCTAATACAAGCTGCCAGAACCATATCCCTGATGTATTGGTTTTAAAGATGCCAAACCCTGGTGTTTTTAGTACTGCATACACACTGTCTACACTAGCAGAGGTAGGTAGCTCCTTGCCTCCCAATACCCATATTCTTTTTCTTCTTCAGTGAAAAAACCCATATTTGATGTAGAGCCACAATGTACATTTCTTTTGGCAACAGGTAGATTTTTGTCTTGTTCCAGCCACTATTAATAGTAGTTGATGCTAATCCTAACTAATTTAAATGCAAGGAGACTCTCATATAAGTAATCTAGCAATAAATACAGGTATAGCCATCATGTTGGACTTTTCAGGGAAGAAAGTGGTGAAGTAGAGAGGCCATTAGCCTGAAAACTGGAGGACATGCATTCCAGTCCTGCTTCTTCCAACTAGGCTATGTATTTTGGGCAAGTCCCCCTCTCTGGGGCCACTGTCTCCTCATCTGTGAAAATGTTGCATTAAATTAAATCGTCTCTCATTTTTCTCTCCTCATTCCACTGAACCTCTCCATGATGCAGATAATATTTTCACTATCTTAAGGAGTTACAGAGCTTGTAATTTTCAAAATTCTGATCATGAATCTCTGTTACAAACAAAACCCCCTTTATCCCTCATTTTAAAGGAATATTTTGTGACCCCAGTCAGAGTCTATGTTCCCACTCATCTTCATTTGTTGACCTTATGTTTCGAATGGAAAGACATCAATTTTTTCAAGGTACCTCTCTGCTCACAAAGATTTCCCTAATTTTTTAAGAGGCTGGAAGCAGTCAATGGTACAAATAAAACACATTTTCGACAGTGCTGAGGCTCAGAACTGTGGTTGAGATGATAAAATGGTTTTATTTTCTAGATGACTATTTTTCAAACTAGAAATATGTTTTGCATCAGTGATGTGTTAAGGTCAAGTCAAGAAAAGAGACAATATGTCCCATGTCACGGAGACCAGGATAATGAGAGTGTTCTCTGGGAGATGGCTCAGAATCTGTTCATTTCACCGGCAAAAGGTTATACCAGACAGATTGTTTCTCATTTGATGTCTAAATTAAACTGCTGACATGGCCTGCCTCAAAGTAAGAAGCATACGTGTTTGCCAAACAGACCCTAAAGAAAATCCCTGTTTGAGAGATTTGGTTCCTTTTTCTGCAACCTTTGAGGCTTTTCTGTGTTTAAGGTATGCTTAGGAATTAAACCAGGTTTTCAGCTACAGAGCAGCTCCCTAAATGTTCATGAAGGAGGCTTGGTGAATCTGAGACTTGCTGTTTTGTCAAAGTGCTGTGGGATAGAAGCGAGATAAATGCTAGTTCCTATTTGGAGTTTAGAAACATCACACATGCAAGATGCACAAGATCATAGAGGAATTACTGAAGATAGAAAGGACCTATGGAAGATTCGCTTTAGCCATTGCCCTCCACTCTGGCCCTGCTTTCCCTCAATGGCCATTTTCACCTACCTCAGAGCTCAAAGAAGACCAAATTGGCCAATGTCATGGTGAATGGTCTGCAGACCAGCAACATCAGCCTCACATGCCCTATCCCAGGCATCAGAATCTGCACCAGAACAAAATCTGCAGACGATTCAGCAGGACTGATCCTCAGTCAAAAGAGGATCAGCTAGACACAGTTCTAGGTTTGGGGGATACAGTAGGGAATAGAACAGACAAGTCCTGCTTGTGTTGCATTTACATTTTAATGGGAAAAGGAGAAAAAGCAATAAACAAGCAGACAGGTAAGTATTTGAGTTTCTGATGGTCATAGTGTTAAGGCAGGGAAAGAAGGGAAGGAAGCCTGGATGTGGATTGAGGGTTACTACTTGTACATGGTAATCAGGGAAACCCTCACCAAGAGGGTAAAATGTGAACAGAGATATAAAGGAAATAAGAGAGCAACCCAATGAGTGAGTGGTCAGAAGACCTGAATTCCAGCCCCCAGATCTCCTTCTTCCTGTGTATTGCAACATTTTGCAAGCTACTTAAACTTCCTGACCCTGGGTCTCCTTAGTGGTCTACTACGAATAAAAATACCCATGATAGCTAATTCATGGCTGATTTGTGAGGACCAGATAGGTTGCCTGTATGCACGAGTGCTGTTAACCTTGTCTGCGAGGCTGTAGTCTCCTTGGCCCTTTGCCTCTAACTCACAGGGACAAAACTGGTGTGATGTGAAGTTGCAAATTGAAGTATAAAGAGTTGAGCTTTGTGTACTTAATCTAAGCCTTCCTTGAGCACCATATACAACTCGTGACCTCACTTCCCACTATGCAACCCACGTGCCCCCCTCCCCACACTTCCTCCACCATGGACCTTCCCTCACCAATGTCCTACCTGGACATCCTCCCTCACTCCTCCTCCTTCTCACACTCTCCTCCCTATGACCAGTCCTTTAATATCCCCTCTCCTTTGACAGCTCTTCACCACCTTTTGCTCAGATTCTGGTCCTTCCCCAGGGTGAAGGCTCTCTCCAATTTCTTCTATTGGAGAGTGTTCTTCTCAATGCAGTAGCTCTTACAGAATTTACATAAGAGATTCATATCCTCCTTGCTCTCATTTGGTTTGGGCTGTACAATGTGTTGGTGTTTCTGTCTCCTTTATAGACTCTTAGAGCTACAGGATAAGCCCTCTTCTAAGAACAGAGACATGGAATGCTCAGTCTCTGTCTTGATTGCTGGGTCAGCAGGTAAAGTGATGGCAGTGCTGCCACCTGAAGAGTGTCCACCGACACAACGTATGATGAGAGAGACCCTTGGCAGGGCTGTGCTGCCATTGATGTTGTGGAGTTTGTTCCTCACTAACAATGTTTTTTTCTGGTTAATTTGAGAGAATGTCTGTATTTGCTGTTTCTGTAATCTTATTTTGTGTTTCAGTTGAGTAAGTGTTGCTGAATATCTGTAGAATGTGTGATAATTTTTTGTAAAAAAAAACTCAATAAAAGAAACATTAGCATAGAAAAATATTTTATGTTGTGTAAAACACTTGGCTGAGGAAATGTTTTAATGCATTATATCAAAATGCTACAGACTCTCAGCAGTTAGATTACAGGAGACAGCTCTGTTTGGCACTGAAGGAGACCCCACTCAGCACTGCCAGGTTGGGAGAAGGGCACTGAGGGAGCGAGGATCAGAAATAGGATTGAGTATCAAAGGGTTCCCTTCAAGGAAACCAGCATTTGGTCAGCACCTTCAATGCAAATCATTGCTCTAGGTTCCTTGGAAGACACATTAATTAAAAAGACATCCAATCTATCTTCCAGTAGCCTACAAGCTAGAGATGATCTGGGTATAAACATTAATTCATTTGGCCTGTCTTTATGAGAGTTACTATGAGCAAGGGACTGTGCAGGATGTCAAGAAACAAAGATAAAACAGATGTGGACCATGCCCTTAGTTCAGTAGTGGTGAAAAGGCACTTTCACGAGTCATCCTAAGATAATGTTAAATATGAGTGGTAGATTTTGATATTAATGATTTTATATTATATTTTGAACACAGTATTTCATAGCACTTCACAGCCCTGTTTGACGGGCTTTTATTCATAGAATTTTGGTGATTTACAGAGTTTCAAAGGTCATGCTTCCCCTCTGTTGCTCATGCTGCCAACTCCACTGACAAGCCCTTCTCACCCCTTGAACCTCTCTCTTCAGCTGACCTCACAGGCACCTTCCATAGTAAATGCTCAATAAACATTTGTGCATGGAATGAACTGGACCTGCTGTGTGCTTGCTGAATTTTATGCTAGTATGCCCCTCCATTTAGCACACGTTGTGGTCCCCTGAACTTAATAACAACTTGAACTGCCTATAACCCACACTATGGAAAGAAGTTTAATAATAGCATCCCCTCCACCTAGGAGGACAAATTGCCCTATATTGAGACTTCAGTTAAAGTCTCAAGGCTTCTCTTGCAGAGGCCACAAACTGGCAGAATCCAGATCACAGACATAAATCATGTTTTATTTCTTTGAAAACATTTAGTTTCAAAAGGTTGAGACATTTACCACCAACTCTACTTCTATCACCTCCTTCTTTTATATTACCTGACTGGAAACTGAAGACATTTGTGCTGTCAACTCTGAGGGTCAGCAATCCCTGACTCAACGCATCTTCATGCAGATTCTGAATTTTCAGTGGCATGTGGACCATGGCTGCTCTAAGTCCACACCATTCCCATGACATGAAACTTAGAACGGCAATAATCTCTACTCCCAGCTCACTGGAATAAACCTAAACATCTTACCCTGCTTCTGAAGGGTCACTGATCCCCGATCTACAAAAGTGTAATAACCATCAAGAAAATGTTGGGAGAGATATAGAAGGGGGGGCCTAGAATATTGGAGTCTTAATGTGCCATAATTGAGGCTTTAAGAAAAAAATCCTGTGACTTAAAAGCACCAGGTTTTTTTCCATTTTGCATAAAAATAATCTAACATTGGAGTAAGAGAAATAGGAAGTATATCAATTTTTAATAAATACAAGCCGCAAAATAAATTTAATAAATTATAAATGATAAAATTATTGAAAAATTAAATATTAAACATTCTCACATAAAAATGTAGAACATTTATTAATTAGGGAACATTTTCAGAGTAATACTTGCACTTTAAATGCTCTTAACTTTTTAAGCATGCAACGTTGTAGACCTGTTGAAAGTGGTCTTGGTGTGTTTGAGTGGCTGGTCACACTAAAGGGATGACACAATGGGTCAGTTCCCTGCAGGATGGTCCGTGGGGGGGCAGGTACCAGATGGTCAGGGGATTAGGCGGGAAATGGAGCCTAGGATGGGATTCCCAGGGCTGGCATTTATAGACAAGTAATAGATTTCTCTTTTCCAGCTTTGATTTCAAATACAGGGAAGATCAATCATGATTTGACTGAACATTTCTGGCAGAAATCTGGAAGAAAGATTAATACAGATAGATCTGAGTCTATTCCAAGAAATTTAGGGGAACTGAGCCCTGGTGTTCTTATTGTGGAGTTTGGACTGAAAAAGATGGGAAGAAAAGACAATAGAAGAGATATCTGGAAAGGGGCAAGCTGTCATTTTTCTTCCTAGGTTGTTGTGGTGCTTTTATCTTTTACCCTCTAATTTACACACAATTATTCTTTGGGTCTTCCCTGCCATCTTCCCCCTTACCACATAGTGGGAACACAGAGGGCTCAGTTTGTCCTCCTAGGTGGAGGGAATGACCACATCGGATCCTGTGCAATGCCACTGCCCTGTTTCATGAGGTCTTCTGAGTTGTCTGAGGAGAGGGAAGGTGGGCGTTGTGGAAATGTGCTGTGCAGACCCCCCTTCCCAGAGGGACGTAGGGCCAGCTGCAGAGAGTGAGTGAAGCTAGCAGCCAGTATCAGCTCCAGCATCAGCTTCAGCTGCAGAAGCCATTTCGCTGGTCTTGCTCCTCCAGGGCAGCCTGCAAGAGACTCTGATAGGGAATATTCATTCCAGAATGCCCTGCCAGGTTAGCCAAAGCTTTGTGGGTCTGTGTTGCTGATCACCTTCTTCCTCTGACCAATCCTGTCTCTTCTCTCTTCCTTTTATGGGTATTAATCTCTAATAAGTATTGTGCTCCCCAAACTCTGTGTCAGTGACTGCTTCTAGACAGCCAGCCTTGCAACACTTGGCAGTGAGAGGGGGGCTGAGAAAGCTGGTGGAGATAAGACAGAGTTTGAAGTTGAATCACTCACCACCTGCCTGGCAATTAGGGCCTGTTTTTCTGGTGATAGGTGGAGTACTGACAGCCCCTGCACCAGGTGGTGGTCCTGTTGTTAACACTTTCATTAGTTGCGAATTGGGATGGTGTGTTAGTAGAAGGGAACGAACTAGTGAGAGAAATCTACAGGACGCTTGACACTTAAGAAGGTGCAGACATTAAGAGAGTGGGATTGGATGGCTATTGCTAAGTGTCATTGATCCTCTCCAAAAAGATAATGCACAGCTGAAGATGAACAACAGGCAACTGAAAGCCAGGAATGCAAGCCACAGGGACTCTTCAGTTACATGCAGTGAAGCTCTCATCACCTCCAGCTGGAGGATGTGGAAAGCCAAGGACCATGCCCAGGACTTTAAGTCAGAGTGGCTGACTCAACTAAGACAGGTCTGTTAACCCAAGGTCAGGGCTCTGGTTGGGAAAACTTGGGACCTTGACCCATGGAATAAGGACATCTGGGTGGATGACTCCAAAGAATTTATGGCAAACCCCAGTATCGCTTCTCAGCCTTTTGGCTAAGATCAAGTGTATAGCAAACCCTGGTGGGAGAATAACAATGCAGGCTTCTGACGCTCTGCAGCTAAACCATGTTATGCTCAAAGGAGAATCACACACCTTTTGAAATAGAACTCCTGGCATATTAACTAGGCCCCACTAAAGACAGAGCATCTGACCAATGTATCCCGGTTTGCCCAAGATCTTCCCAGCTTTTCCGGTTTTAGCATTGAAAGTCTGATGTCACAAGAAACCCCCCAGTTCTGTGCAAACTGAGACTGTTGATCACAGTAAGCACAAGACACTAAGTGACCATGCAGCCTGAACCACCCATCATGGTTTGGGTCCTGTAGACCCACCACATCATAAGGTCAGGCAGGCCCAGCAATAAGATGGGAGTGACACATCTGGGATCAAACACAGGTGGGACCAAATACTCAAGCAAGCTGCATGAACAGGTAGCCCAGACCCACGGCACCCACCACTGTTACACAGTCCCTGCCTTGGCTCCTGCTTATGAGTGTGTGGGGCATAGTGTGTAACTAGCTGAAAACAGAGGGAAAGCCTGAGTTTGCTTTACAGATGGGTGTCTCAGTGTGTAGGTGTAAGCCAAAAATAGATGGTGGCTTCAATATAGCCTCATCAGCAGTGGCCTTGAAAGACAGCGTCGAGGGACAATTCTCCCAAAGGGCAGTTTCAAGGGTCATACCTGGCATCAACTTGTGCAGAAAAAGAAATGAGCCATGATTGAAATAGACACAGAATTTTGGGCTCTAGTGATGTCCCTGCTCTCTGGTCAGGCATTTCAAGATCCTTGTATCCAGGGACCACAGGGCACGAACAGAGGTAGAGGTGACTGACCCCGATCATCAGCAGAGAATGGGCTGCTGTTTCACCGTGGGAGCAGGAGAAATATGTGAGAAACCCACTGGGTGCTTTTTTACTCCCTTGCCCAATTGTAACTGTCAGTGGACAGGGTCAGCAATCCTGGTCTGAGAAGGACATGGTGACCAGAGGCCCTGCCCCCCTGGAGAGGATGATCTGGGCCCAGCCACAAAGGTGCACAGAGGTGGGACCTGAGAGTGAGTGGAATCTAAACTGAATAGTGGAGGAGGAGTCAATGATGGTCACCTGTGGGTCCCAAAACACCTGCCCTGCCCACACAATCACATGGGTGCTATAATTATTCATGAATTTTCCTTTTCTTTTCTTTTTTTTTGAGACAAGGTCTCCCTCTGTCACCTGGGCCAAGTGCAGTGGTGACATAGTAGCTCCCTGCAACCTTGACTTCCCGGGGTTCCAGGGATCCTCCTGTCTCAGCCTCCCAAGTAGCTGGGACTACAGGGTCTTGCCACCATGTCTGGGTAATTTTTGAAAGAATTTATTTTATTTTATTTTTTTGGTAGAGACAGGGTTTTGTCATGTTGCCCAGGCTTGTCTCAGACTCCTAGGCTGAAGCAATCCTCCCTCCTTAACCTCCCAAAGTGCTGGGATTGCTGGTGGGAGCCAGTGTGCTGTACCGTGAATTTCCCTTTTCTAAGTTTCTCCCCAGGAAGAGAAGTCCATGGAAATCCTGGAAGAGTTGTTTCCTGAACATATATGGAGAAATGAATTCAGGTGGTCCAAAGGGTGGGCTGTAGTGGACAGATCCCTCTGGGTGGAAGGACAGAGATACACCTCCCAGATCCTCTTTCAGGGAAGGACTTGCCACCCAGCTGTGGGCAGCATAGTGGACAGATGACTCCCCTGTCACTTTTGTTACCATCCAGCCAAGATGCAGAGCACTGCTTGCTTGAGGTCACATGCTCCCAAGACAGCTCTCATTGATGACAGAATAAGGCAGAGTAGCGTGAAGCTGGCCATTTCAGCCAAACTCGGTGCACTCCAATGGGCAGTACCCTCTCCAAAGCACCCACTGGCTTGGCTGAGGTCGGTCACTCCTGCATCATAGTTCTACTTCTCCCTCTGCCTAATTCTGCACTGTATGTCTTCTACTCACGGCTATGATTCCCTAAAAAACATCTTGAACCCCAAATGCCATCTAAGCTTCTGCTTCTGGAGAATGCATTCCATTGCTATCTCTGAAAGAATCTTTGGCCCCAAAGCCAGGCATCAAGGGCAGGAGATAAAGATTGCCTCCCCATGCTTGTCATGGATGCTTAGGAAGTCACCTTGCAGGCCAGGGTCTGTCCTGAAGCAATCACTGGTTAGAAATGATTAAAGCAGTGCTATCACGTGGCAAAGTAGAGCTTTAAAGGAAAGCTTCTAAGGCATCTCAGGGCATCAGTCTAGACCTAAAAAAGAAAAGCTACTTCCAGGGCTGAAGGATCCTTGGCTATGAAGGTTTGGAGCATGCAGGACCGGCATGGCCTGCTGACTTGACATCACATGACAACCCCCATCCACCATAGATACGGTGGGTATAACAGTGTCCAGAGAGAAGGCAGGGAGAAGCTGCAGGGCGTCTGCAGGTCACAGTGGCACATCCGTGTTCAGGTGGCCTGTTGATTTGTCTGTCTTTCTTGACTGCCTAATGCCCACCTGTCTGTGTTGATGGCAGTGACTGTGGTGTTTCCTGTGGTCACTGCAGTGCCAAGCATAGAGCCTATCCACAGGAAACATATTTGTAGAAGGACTGAAAGTACTCAAGAAAGGAGGCCTCATACCCCAGAAGACCTCCGGCTTTCCAGCACTGCCTTAGAAGAGTCAGTGTGGACTCCTGGAGGTGATCAGTAGTAAGAACAGCACTGATGACCTCTGGGGAGATCTGGTGGAGCCGGAGTTCCAGGAAGTCTGCATATGGCTCTAACTAAAACTCTGGGAGTTTTTTGTTTTGTGTTGTTTCTCATGGCTGGCATGGCCTAAAAAGCATGTGTTATACTTTTTTGTCACATGAATATATGGATGGATGGATGGATGCATGGGTGAATGAATGGAGACAGAGTAGGAGAGAGGCACTTCTGGAGTGTATCAGTTAGAGGGCTTTTCACTGACAGTAACAGAAAATCTGACTAAAAGCAGCATAACAATGAGATGATTATTATCTCACAGAAGTTTGGTGACAGAGTCGTCGAGGTTTAATTCCCTGGTTCAATGACGTTACCAAGAGCCCTGTTTCCTCACGTTTTGGTGCGGTGGTGTCCTCCTCTGACTTGAGTTGATCCACAGTCTATCCTCTTGTGGTTGCAAGATGGCAGCATCAGCCCCCAAGTCATATTTAGGGTAGGAAAAGAGGCTGTTCCTTCTTGTATCTCATGTCTATTTTTAAGAGTAAGAAAAGCTGTATCAATCACACAAGGACAAATTTATGCCATACTGACTAATAACCTCCAAATCTTAGTGTCTTAGAACAATACAAGTGCATTGCTTGTTCTTGCTCCATGTCTTAAAGACTCGCATGCTCACCATAATGGACCCAGGCTAAATGAGGCTCTCATATTAAAAAGAACTTCAAATTTAGTGGTGGCAAGGGAAGAGAAGGCTGGATGGTTTAGCTCCTGCTGTTAAATCCTTTGGCCTGAAGTGATACATGTAACTGTGTCTTAGATTTTGTTGACTAGAATTCTATTATGGCTGTGCCTAATTTCAACGGGATGGGCAGGTACAATTTGCCAGGTACATAGAAGTAGACCAGAACCAGATTACCAGTGAACATGAGCAAAGACTTCAAAAACAGCCTTTTATAGAAATCTCAAGCCTCTCATATCTCTATGGCCAAAATTAAGTCACAGGATCATAACTAAATAAAAACCCTATCCAGGGAGAATGGAATCAATATCAGCCTGTGGGCCAAAGAAACATTTGTGGATTGATCTTGGTAGGCAGAAAACAGTATCCACTGCCTGCTTCAAGAAGACGTATTTAGCAATGTGAGTTCATTGAAAAGGTCCTTCATAAGAGGGTTTCCTTTAGATTTAGAAGATAATGGCTTTGATGGGTTAGGATCTTACTCACTGACAGTTCCTTAATCACCACGGGAGAGTCAGATCAAAATAGATCCTGCAGTGGGTACTATTAAGGATTTCACCTTCATTCCCTAACAGCTTTGTGGGATGGATAATGAAATGTAAGCAATAAGCAAAGCTCTGGTTTGTTAGGCTTTCCCCCCGATCAAAATAAATTCAAGCAAATGACCAATTAAAACATCTTTGAAAGAAGTCCATTCATTCTCTTATTGAGAGTTAATGCGGGAGAGTTGAACTCAGCAAATCCTGCCAGTTTCTTCCTTCTCCCCTCTCTTTCCACCCTCCAGCCTCTCATAAAACAACATAAGGGGCCTGTGCCCTATTCTGCCATAGTGTTGGTCATCAGATGTTTATGATTTTGTGGCAGTATACGGGCAGTTTAGGCAAACAATTGGCATAGGAGGGGAGGATTGCAGCAGTTGGTTGAAATTCCAGAAAAATGCCCTGGTTAAGTCAGGCTCAGCACACCTCCCACCCCATGAGGATTAAAACTGCTCTATTTCTGGGGGGCTACAAACCTGGAAGCTTTTTGCCTCTAGCCCCTTTGAAAGAAAAAACAGAGGGTGAAAGAGGGAACCCAGTCTGTATTACCAACTTGATCCCAGCCCCCAAACAGGCGTGTGTGTGTGTGTGTGTGTGTGTGCGCGCGCGTGAGCGTGTATGTCACATATGGCAATTTGAAACAGTTAAACATATGAAGAACTTTTTCATTCACAGATGGCAAAAAAAGGCATTTATTTTTTCATATAACACATTCTTGGGATTTGGAGCCAACAGCCTCCAGGGAGGATCACAAATCCCCTCCGTGCCCTGGATGACTTGGGTTTATGTTTGAAGGTCTGCTCCAGCTGAAAGATGAGTAAAACCGTGGATAAGTCAGACAGTTCCCTGTTGGCTACTGGGGCCTAGGGGCACTGGTTATTTCAACAAGGCTATATGAAAAAGTCCAATTCGTAACATTTGCTTCAGATGGACCCACCTGCCTGACGCAGCCGAAGGAACAAACTTTATCCATTGGGCTAAATCCTTCTCCTGGTCCTTGGCTGGCACCTGGTGCCATAGCTCTTCTGGGAGGGCTTCTGGGGCTGCTAGGGGAGAGTGGAAGTAGATTTCCTGTGCAACTGCCCTGTCCCCCTTCACCAGTGAAGCAAGCATTGCTGCTTTCCAAGGTTCTTGCCTGCTGCTATGAGAGCAAATTGGGATCCAGAGTGCCCAGCCAAGGCACCAATGCTCTGTACGACTTGCAAAGACAATTGTTCCACTGCAGCTTCTGACAGTGGAAGGGGAGAGTTAATTAAATCTCATCATAAAATTAAGTAGCATAACTATATATTTTAGAGCCAGTGTAATTATGCCTTATCTTGGAGTCTTGTAAATTCTTTGTGACTGCGATGTATTCTTATCAGAAATTTTTATAGAATTCTAGAACTAAGGGGGTTTTAGAGATCACATAGTTGGGTGACTTCATTTTATAATGATGAAAACAAACCCAGAGAGATTATATGACAGACCAAAGCCTACAGTAAGTCACCTGACTCAACATTGAGTACTCTTGCCATTTCATTTGATTTGTATTTTGCACAGAGCTGAAGTCTACACCAGGTGAAAATAGCAGAGGGTCAAAATAGCCTCTGAAAATCTCTTAGGAAGTCACTATGCTGGAGATGAACACATCTGTCATTGAGTCCAACACTGCCAAGTTTGCCTTCAGAGTCAATGCAATCGTTATTTCTTAAGTTGCACACCAAATGAAGTGGCGGGTTGGGGTTTCCGGGGCCTGCTGTGTGGAAAATGAGTCTTTAAAGACCCACAATCTGTAAAGTTGCTTCTACCAGGAGAGGCACCCAGAACTGAGATGAACTCATGGATCAGAAGAGTCTTTAGGTGAAGACTCGAGAGATAGTAAATTCAGTTTCTCTTCCTCCATTACAGCTGAAAGTGGAGATCTGGTAGGTGTGTTGTTATTCTGAAGGTCACTGTCAATACCTATCTCAGGAGTCTCCCATTTTGCACTCTGCCAGCACCTCTTTTCCTGCCCTGCCAATGGAACTGTTGTCCAACTTTTGGATTTTGTCAGTCTCCTAGGGAGAAATGGCATTTCGTATAGTTTTAATTTGCTTTTTTCTTGTAATGAGTGACACTGCTAATCTTGATGTATGTTTGACATTTGTGTTTCTTTTTCTACTGTTTGCTCATGTCTTTGGTTCATTTTTATATTTGGGTTGTTAGATGTTAGTCTTTTTTCTTTTCTAAGAGTACTTTCCACAGATAAATTAGTGCTTTGCCTGTATATGAGCTGCAGTTATTTTTCTCTTTTGACTTTCTTTCTACATTGAGAAGGAGTTTTTTTAATGTAATTGAATTTATTAATTTCTTTTTCTATGGATCCTGAAGTTTTAGTCATAGCTAGAAAGGCCTTCCTGAAACCAAGATTATGAAAGAATTCTCAAGCGTTTCCTTTGTACTTTTATGATTTTACTTTTCACATTTAAAACATGGATCTTGTTGTATAGTGAAAAGTATGGATTCAATTTTATCCTTTATCACATGATACTCAGTTGTCTCAATGCCCTGTATTAAAAAGTCCATCTCTATCGCATGCTGAATTCTATGTGTATTTTATTTTTCTTTTCTGTTTCAATGGTTTACTGATATGGCACACCACAGTCTTTAAATATTTAGGTTTTATTAGTATGTTCTAATATCTACTAGAGCTGAGCTCTAATACCCCTGCTCTTGCCAATTGTTCTTTAGGAATTTCCAGGTTATTTTGCTTGTTTATTTTTCCATATGAACTTGAAAATCAGCTCGTTTAGGTCCAGACTAGGACACTCATGCTTTTATTGGAATCATGTTAAATCTGTAATTCCGAGGGAATCGATGTTAATGATGAAAAGACTTACTGACTAAACATTTTGGGACCCTTCATTTGTAAAAGTTTCAAGGAGATTCTGTTGGTGTCTGCACACTGACCTCCACACTCAGCAGTGAGTTCTGCTGGACCAGTATTAGGATTGTGTTTTACTTGAAGGCTGAATCACCTAGAAAGCCAGAGCTGGAAAAGGTCAAATGTTTTTCAGTGTTTTCATGGGAGTTCTGCCTACATCATTGTTAATAATGTGGAATATATAAGAATTCTCAACCAGCAGGTTATTCTGAATGACACCTCCACATAGCTCAGCAAAGCCATTTCATTACCTTTGGATAAGTTTTGCCCTATGCAAAAATTGTAAAGCGACCAATTTTGGGAACCTCACCCTTCCCTTTTTTTAATTATTCCCCCAACACGGCATCCCCCTCCCTTCTCTAAAGCTGTCAATAATAACTCCACGCTGTCTCCTATTTTCCTTTCATCAAAATCTATCCCTGGGAAAGAATCTGGTATCAGTCATTTACACCTAAGAGATTCTTTCTGTCTGACAGTGGAAAGAAAGATTGCATTTATTTAAAAGAGTTTTGAGCACCTGGGAGCAATTGGAAGAGGCAGGCAAGGAACCTTCCAGGTGTCCCTGAAATATTACCAGGTGGATCTACACCTTCTATACTACTTACAGGCTGAAGAGGACCCTGCAGACCTCAGTAGATGCTCTTATCATCTTCCTTCCCACACTCTGAATCACAAAAGAAGACAAGTAATTTCATTGTGACCGAAAATTGAAAGGAGGCCATCCAGAAGGAAGACATTTCCCTTCCGTGCCGAGGCTTGGCATTACGCATCCAGGATCAGAGTCCTCTCTCTGTAAGCCAGAAGTGGTGTGATTAGAAGCACAAATATGAAGTGCATCACATGCAACTTCTCTCACAACACACGCAAAGCAATCAATCTTAACCTCTGGCAGCCACACCAGGGAGGCTGTCTTTCCCTCTTTATTTATTGACTTGCCCTTGACCAGCCCTTAACGTATTTGTTTTTGTCATCACAAGGTTTTTGCTTAAAATCCAGCCAGCCCTATTTCCTTCCTGGGATACAGATGGCTCATCTGTCAGCTTCTTTCAGCATTAGTGACCGACACCCATGCCATATTGTAAAATAAAGCCCACTCGACTGTGATTCAGTATCATGGAAATTTTTGGCTCAACAGTTCAAAGTTTTAAAGAGCAGAGGGTCTCTGCTTTGGAGTCAGGTTCTCCCTGGCTCCAGAGAGTCTGAGTCCCCCACTCTTCTGAGGCTACCTTCTAGGCGCCCCCCACCGACGCTGCTTGGGATCTGGCAAGAAAACCTTGATGTGCCTCAGGCATCATTCTCCATTGCTACTGCTTTGGAATGAAAACTTTGTCCCGTCTCTAAACACGGCATTTGAACACTTAAAAAACCCAGAGCTTCACCCTCAGGTATAAGGAGAGTCTTTGGAACAAATGTGAAAGGAATTTGTTACTGAAGTTCCTGAATGTGAGGCACTGAGAGTTGAGAACTGTACTTCATTTTTAAACACCGCAGCAGAGTGACTCTGCTTCAAGAGCTAACTGTGGTGCACAATATTAAAGGCCCCAATTCCCTCTGACATTTCTTCTTTTCTCTCAGCTTCAAAACTTAAACAGAACTGGAAGTGAGACTTGGGATGACAGGGAGGAGGATGCAATTCCGACTATAGGAGACCGTGTTGCCTTGTCCTTGTTCCGGCCATTCTCTCTCAGGCAGGCGGTTTGGTTTTTATCTCTGGACTTTTGATTAGGATTTCATAAGAATGCATATCACAAATCAGCTGTGCAATAACTACAATAGTTTATTTTTCTCTGACTCTGGCTAATTTATATTCAGCCCTGACTCTGCTGAGGTAGAGGAAGTGTACCCTCTGTTGATCCAGGGTTCCCCCTCACCTCTCTCTCTGGGATGGCATTTGCTGTGCAGGCACTTACAGAGGGGAGAGGAGGAGTGTGGAAGGGGGTATGGGAGGCGATACTTTTGATCGCAGAGTATCTGCCACTCAGGTTTCGGCTTAGTAGTCTACCAGCCCTTCTGCCTGTGTCCTCAGTTCTTTGCTCCTGTTCACCTGGACCCCGAGGCCAAACATCTCTCTCAGCTTACCAGGGCCATGCTTGATGAGTCATCATTTTGATCCTTTGATGCCACATGTCCTGCTGAACCATGAAAATCTCCAGAAGATGGTCATGAGTACTTCCCCATCTGCCCAGATTCACTGTAGAGCCATTTCATCCCTTTGGGAAAGGCACAGGGGCCCTGTGGTATCGGATTTTGGAAAGCACTTTGGGTTTTCCTGCTTCCACGGGGCTCAGCACAGAAGGCAGAGTTAGAGATACTTCTATTCGGAAGACACTTCTAACCATCTATGAGCTCATGGATTCTTCTTGTCTCTCTTTCATCTTCCCAAGCCCAGGAAATTTTTTTCTAGTCTGGTGAGTTAAAGGTAGAGAGGAATGAATTTCTTCATTTTCCCATTCAATCGCCAGCTCTCAAAATTTTTGTCACTTTATCTTCTAGGGAGATTCAAGAGCCAAGGGTTTTGGAAGACAAAATCCAGGAACGCAATTTTGCTTTCCACCCTACATAGCATTCTTCCCCTGTAGAATGACCCTAAAGTGGCCCAGCTGCTTGAATGAGTATAAAACACATTAATATTTCAAAGATATTATTCTACCACAAAGATAAAATAGCATAGTATGCAAAAATCTCTCCTTGAAAAGTCCCCACATTTGCAGCTCCTAATGCCTGCTTGCTAAGGGTAAAGTGAAGCAATATATCAGAATGAAGAACTCCAGCAAACTCTGTGAAATTTAGCGTTAGTTTTCCAAATATGGCTACTTTTAAGCACACTGATGTTTATTTCTTCTTTTTGAAATAGTTGTGTTATAATGTCTTAACTTAGGCAAAGGACTTCAAGCACTCTCTAAGACCATATTACCAATATGGTGGTGAATACCAGATCTCTTCCTAACTTGTTCTCTGCTGCCCTTGTTCTTCTTGGTATAATCTGAGGGCAAAATTTATATAAAAATGGAGTGTAACATTCAGTATGATTTTGTTATCTTTCTTTTCTCTAACACATCCTCTAAAGGTATTTTCTTTTTAATCTTTCCCATTTAGAATTCAATTTTCCTTAATGTGTAAATGAGTGCCTGAAAAACACTATTTTTCATATGGTTAATTTTTCAGCATGTTGCTACTCATTTAAACTTCCTTTTTAATTATAAGTTCCTTTTACAGATTTTGGAGTCAACAATCCCACTGTAAAAGGAATATTTCTTTTTATTGACTATACCAACTGGAAATAAAAATAGCTATATAAAAAGGAAGATTATTTTGAAATTATTAAAGGTAATGACAGCAAATATCAATGTAGAGCTCAATATTCAACATTGTGCAAATAAAGACATAAATCCACATATATGCACGAACACCTATATAAATGTAAAGACATATTTAAGAAGGGGATAATATAAAGATACAAAGTTGGTAGACTATGGAGCAGAAAAGAGAATGGTATCTAGGAGGGAATAAAATAGTAAATTAATATTTAGAAGGTTTCTGCTACATGCCTGGTACTTCTTAAACCTGTGATGCAGACATTATAACCTCTATTTTGCCTAGAAGGAAACTAAGACTCAGGAGGGTTAAGTAACTTGCCCAAAGTTACATGTCTACTTAGCAACAGACCTGGACTTGAATTTAGGTCAGCAGGACACCAAAACATCCTCTTTTTGCAATAATACTTAATTGTGGTCAGTTCATTATCCACAGGGTGCCAAGAAAGGTGTTTGGGTATACTTACCTTGTGTTCTTTATATTTACAAAAATCCATGCCATAAGATTAGTTAGAAGGAATACAATGGAAGAAGATGGCCAACCATCCATTCTTAAACAAACTATATCGATTTCACACATTGAAAAATGGTTGGCTACAACCAACCTTGTTGAAGATATTGATTTGATCAGGCAATCTTTCAAGATATGATCCAGGTCTTTGGCAAGAGCTATACCATTTTTGCAATCCATGGAATGGTGACAGGAGTTCACTTCACACCATCACAAATTTCCCACGAGAGCTAACAAAAGCTTACAGCTTGGTAACATGTGGCAAAGTGCAATATTCAACTCACAAAGTAAAAGTAATATGTCATCATTGCATGGTACAATAATAAACTATGTATATATTATAAGTGATGCGGAGTCGGGCAGAGGGGGCAAGGGTAAATCTTCATACAGAGGACATATTGTGAACTTAGAAATAGCTGGAGATAATGCATTTATGCAACCAGACACAAACACATTCACTTCTAACACTCAGTCTAACAACTTGGAGTATAAATGCCTTTGTTTGTTTCCCTTCAGCATGGGACTAAAATTCAGGTGTTTTAACTTTAAAATCGGTTCTTGCAAGTGCCATGTTTTTGGTGATGCTTTTGGTCCCTTTAGACTCCTTGGTCCCTTGGGAAAAAAATACAATTGACTTCAGTCTAATTTTCTTGAAGATCTAATCTTTTAAATAAAATTCTTGGTAAAATATGTAAATTTTGTATAACTAATGCCTTAATAAGTGCCTTGAGATGTTTTTACTCTTTCATTTAAACCAGCCAGCCAACCAAACAAAAAAACCCCTTAGATGACTTATGTCCAAACTAAGCAGGACCAATCTTTACAAGCTTATCTTTGTATTTTAGCAGCAGTTCCCTTCTCTCTTTTCTGATTAATTATTATGTTGGTTTCCAAACTGGCCACTTAAAGGGGAAACTTTTTTTTAAATGGTTATTACAAATAAATAGAACCAAGAACTAATAAACTTAGTAATAATATATGGTTAATGAGCTTCTCATCCACTGCCAGAAAAACTGCTTCAGGATAAATTTATTCTTCTCTGAGGTAGATTTACTCTCAAAGTCCCAAGGAAGAAACCAAATATCCCAGAAACATAGGAAAATTCAAGGTGACCTTTTTTTTTCTAATTTTAAATAAAATTCAATGCTTTGGCACGTCACTTGAATTACCCCAGAGATATTCTGAGACAGTCTCAGGTAGAAGGAATAACATGGGCTCCTGTGCCAGAAGCCCGAGTTCCTGTCCCTGAACCACTACTTCTTAACCAGCTGATCCCTAGGGAGTTGCTTGCAACCCCCCCCACACCCCCACAATCCCCACCAAGCCTGGTTTCCTAACTTATAAAAACCAAGATCAATAAGTCCATTTTCTCACGAGATGAAACAAGGTAATATTTGAAAGTGTTTTTTATACTCTGAAAGTTAGTACAGATTTTTTAAAACATGAAACTCATATCTGAAATGGTACATATTTACAACAATGCAATTACCTTTGAACTTTTCTTTACCATTGTAGGGAATTGCGACCACGTTAGGAGTTAAACAGGCTTTCATATGTCCAGGCTTGTAACTACCACCACCATGGGAAACTTTTCTTTTTTTCCTTTACTCATCTTCCTTCCTTCCCTTCCTTCCCTTCCCTTTCCTTCCTTCCTTCCTTCTTTCCTTCCTTCCTTCCTTTCTGCTTTCTTTTTCTTTCTTTCCTTC
Organism: Homo sapiens; assembly: GCF_000001405.40. NCBI lineage: Eukaryota > Metazoa > Chordata > Mammalia > Primates > Hominidae > Homo > Homo sapiens. Next base: position 107,827,511 of record NC_000005.10, on the reverse strand, counting down.
CTTCCTTTCTTTTCCTTTCTTTTCTTTCTTTTCTTTCTTTTCTTTCTTTCTTTTCTTTCTTTCTTTCTTTCTTTCTTTCTTTCTTTTCTTTCTTTCTTTCCTTCCTTTCTTTTCTTTCTTCTTTCTTTCTTTCCTTCCTTCCTTCCTTCTTTCCTTCCTTCCTTCCTTTCTGCTTTCTTTTTCTTTCTTTCCTTCCTTCCTTTCTTTTCCTTTCTTTTCTTTTCTTTCTTTTCTTTCTTTTCTTTTCTTTCTTTCTTTTCTTTCTTTCTTTCTTTCTTTCTTTCTTTCTTTCTTTTCTTTCTTTCTTTTCTTTCTTTCTTTCTTTCTTTCTTTCTTTCTTTCTTTCTTTCTTTCTTTTCTTTCTTTCTTTCCTTCCTTTCTTTTCTTTCTTCTTTCTTTCTTTCTTTCCTTCCTTCCTTCCTTTTCTTTCTTTCTTTCTTTCTTTCTTTCTTTCTTTCTTTCTTTCTTTCTTTCTTTCATCTTCTTTCTCTTTTTTAGACAGTGTCTTGCTCTGTCACTCAGGCTGGAATGCAGTGGCGTAATTATGGCTCACTGCAGCTTTGACCTCCTGGGCTCAAGCAATCCTCCTGTCTCAGCCTCACAAGTAGCTGGGACTACAAGTGCGTGCTACCATGCCTGATTAATTTTTATTATTTTTTGTAGAGATGGGGCCTTGCTCTGTTGCCCAGTCTGGTCTCAAACTCCTGGCTTCAAGCAATCCTCCTGTCTGCCTCTCGAAGTGTTGGAATTACAGGCATGAGCCACCATGCCTGGCACATTTTCTTTCACAGGGAAAAGAGTGAATTGATTTCCAATCAAATAATTAGCACCTGACCCACCTCTTTATTTCTTTTTAAAATAAAGCCAATTTGTTGGTTGAGGATGCACCTATTTAACAAATATTCTGCTTAGTGCTGCCTGGAATTCAGGGTCCTGCTGTGAAGGAATGTTAAGGGACTCACTATTCCACCAGCTTTTAAAGAGCAGGGACTATCTTTGCATCTTTAGCACCAGGCGCTGTGACAATTGTTTGAATTCAGCCGTTGAAATGAATGCAGTGTAATAAGGAGAAGCCATGAGCTGACAGGTGTTGAGTATTAACGCTGGCCTGGAGATAGTCTGCTCAAGGGCATATCACCCATCAGAAAACAAGGCCCATGGCTGAGGTGTGTTTGTGTGTAAAGGTGGAGTGTAATTCAGTTTCCTCTGTGAGGCTGTGCATACACTTTTATTTGTGTCATGTGTAGATGATGGTAAATGAAAAGAAAATTGTCAGAATTTAGATGGCCACTTCCATGTGCAAGTCCGTTGATGCGACATTTTGAGTAAAATCTGCTCTTTAAAAATAAATCAAGTCCTTCCTTTCTCTAGTTCTAAAAGTTAGTCCACTTTGCCTTTTCATTCTGACTTTCCAAATAAAAGGCTTATTTTACTTATTTTTTCATTTTAGTGTAGCTTAACTTTTTTTACATAAAAAAGGAACATGGTATAGATGAAGAAAAAAAATCAGTCTATTTGTAAATATATTGGTGTGTTTCACTTCACTCAGCTGTATCTCTGGTCTGAATTAGGCTGTAATGGGGCCAAACACCAGGTTGGTTTTGTGGGGAAAAGCCAAGTAGTCCATTTTAATTACTTGTTGCCATATCTTTAAACAATGCACCAAGTGTAGAAATGTTCAAAATATCTTTCCTTCTGTCTGATTTCACTTTAGTCAATCCAAATTTGGCATCACTGCTTTCTGAAATATTTTTGATTGTAGAGCAGTTGGTGATTTTAATAATTTAGTGTAGAGAAAGAATGAAGAGAAAGAAATTGGAATTTAAAACACAATGGCAAAAAAGTTAATTTAAAGTGATGTTTGGCTAGAAAAAAAAAGGTTCCCTTAGCGATGCTATTGTGTAATTGAATGGATTAAGGGAACTGACGGGAACTTCACTGGGTGTCTCAGAGGAGGCCTCTGGGGTCAGCCCTTGGCTCTTGTGCCCCACGTTAAACAAGTTTGTCAATTTTCCATCAGATTGATTTTTCTCACAGGTCTGAAGGCCTTGTCTTATTTCGCCTCATTTCCACAGGGGTTCTTAGCATTGCAAACATCCATTTACTTTGTTTCAAATTGTGAAGAGTGATTTTTATCTCTGAGAGATTACCAAAGAAGAAACCGCTGGAATTGGGAGACCTTGTTTAATATGTAGACTATGTTGGTCATCTACCATTTTCTTTCATTATTCTTCTCTTTTGAAATGAAATACCCTTTAAGGACAATCATGTTTACCTAGTTTACCTAGAGTTCTCTTCTGCATTTGATTTTTTAAAAAATATCTGCTTATAGCAGAGGTTTCTGAAGATCAGATGGGTTGTTCTTTCCAAGACAAGTTAAGTCTAACTATGAGCAGATTCTAAATAGGCTCCTGGGAAATACACATACTTGCTAATGTTTAGGAGTTGGTCCACCTGGCCCAAGGACATCTGCAAGGACTCAAACACTACGTAAAGAAGCCAACTCCTGGCTTGTAATCCTTAGTTTCTTCATGTTAAATATTGGATCCCTCAGGTAGTTTTTCTTTTAATTGTGTTCTGTTAGTTCCAAAAAAGAAAAATTGCTTTTACTCCAAAAAAAAAAAAAGTTCCTTAAAATGACTTTTAGTCTTATGACTTCCTTTTGAGTTTTTTGGAAAGCTTATAAGAAAAACACCACATTTACATAAGCAGAATCAATTATATCTTCCATTGCTGTCCTTACACATGCTTGGCTATTTCTTATTTAAATAGGAAACCATGAAAATATATACATCGTGCATTTCTGTTTTCTTAAACTTTCAAACATTGTCTTCACATTCGTGATCTCAGTTTCTCCTCCCTATGGTGCTGTGAATTAGGGAGAATGGATATTGCCATCCCCCATTTACAGATGGCATGAGTGTGTCCTGCCTTAAGGCACACACTAGTAGAGGCAGTGTTGGATCTAGAACCCAGGTCATTGGACTCTTCAGTCTCTGCCCCTTCCACTGCATCCTGCTGCTTGAAAGGGCTTGTCAAAGACTGTGAACCCCTTGAATAGATTCTCTGGCAATTTTTCCTTTCAAAAAAAAATGGAAATCAGTTTCTCATCCTCAAGATTACAATCACTTCATCACATTAATATTAATCTTTCATTTGGGGAAAATTTCTCATTTCCAGACTCTTGACAAAGAGTCCAGTGAATAAATGAACACTGCTCTCTTTCCTACCTGTTAATTTATTATCTGTTTTAATATTAATACCCAGGGCCAAGCTTGGAAGAAGGCAAAACAGGTGTCCGTGATGTCTGAAATTCTACCATTGTCACACCTTTTTCTTTACATGCCTTTGTCCCCAGTGAAAATGCAAATAATTCTCAGAGAATCATGAAACAGTGATTGAAATTTTACTATGTGCTTATCTCTGTGATTATAATTATAAATAATAATAGTTAATATATATTTAACTCTTATTGCCAGGCTGTGCTGAGCACTTTTCACATATTATCTCATTTAACTACAAAACGACCCTGTACGTGGGTCCTATTATTCTTCTCATTTGACAGATTAGAAAATTAAGTCTTCAGTTGTTGTGTTAGTCTGTTCTCACACTGCTACAAAGATGCTACCTGAGACTGGGTAATTTATAAAGAAACGAGTTTTAATTGACTCACAGCTCCATATGGCTGGGGAGGCCTCAGGAAACTTACAATCACAGCAGAAGGAGAAGGGGAAGCAAAGCATGTCTTACGTGGCAGCAGGAGAGAGAGAACAAGGAAGTGCCACACTTTAAAACCATCAGCTCTTGTGAGAACTCCCTCACTATCATTAGAACAGAAGGGGAAAAACCGCCCCCATCGTCCAATCACCTCCCACTAGAGCCCTCCCTTGACTTGTGGAGATTACAATTCCAGATGAGATTTGGGTGGAGACACAGAGCTAAACCATATCAGTGGTTAAATAACTTGTCTAAGGCTCGTAGCTAAGTAAAGAGATAGGGAAAGGATTTTGAACCTAGTCGGGTTGGCTCCTAACCCTTTGCTTTTAATAATCATGCTCTAGGAATTATATTTTTCTACCTGTGAGAAATCCATGGTCTAGTCAAGGAGAGAATGGTAGAGTGGGATCAGAAAACCATGGGAATACAGAGGAGGGAGTGTCCCACTTTATCTATAGCAGAGAAGGCTTTACAGAAAGGAAGTTGGAGCCTAAATCTAGAAGGATGGGTAGAGTTTTGCAGGATGTCACCAGCATAGGTGAGGTGGAAATGGCATTCCAGGGAGAGGAAACAGCCAGGACAAGAAAGAGGAACACAAAAATTGTGGTGTGCTGGGCAATTGCAAGTACTTTGGTGTGGCTGGAATAAAGACATTTAGAAGTCTGAGCACTCACCAGTTGTGGTGGCTCTCGCCTGTAATCCTAGCACTTTGGGAGACTGAGGCAGACAGATGGCTTAAGTCCAGGAGTTTGAGACCAGCCTGGGCAACATGGCAAAACCCTGTCTCCACAAAAAATTAAAAAAAAGAATTAGCCGGACATATTTGTGCATGCCTGTAATCCAGCTACCAGGGAGGCTGAGGTGGGAGGATTGCTTGAACCCAGAAGGTTGAGGCTACAGTAGGCCATGATGGTGGCACTGTGCTGTAGCTTAGGTGACAGACTGAGACCCTATTAAAGAAAAAAAAAAAGAAGTGGGAACACAGATAGAAAATAGGTTGAAAAGCTCTAGGTAAGTACCAGATGACCAAAGACCTAGAATGTTCTGTGCTCCATTTCAGAATTTATCTTTTGGAGTAATAAGGGATCATAAAATATTTTTCAGTGAGGTGAGAGCGATTGAATTTTTGGCAAGGAAAAGTAGCAAGCAAGTTAAAGGAAACAAGGATACCATTCATCAGATTGTTATAATACTCTAGAAAACATAGGACTGCTGTATTAGCTATCTATGCTGTGTAACAAATCACCCCTGAACTTAGTAACTTAAAACAACAAACATTTCTTATCTTCCTTTTTGTGTATTGGGAGTCCAGGCATGGCCTAGCTGGGTATATCTGACTCAGAGTCTCTCACAAGTCTGTAATCAAGGTATCAATCAGGGCTGCAGTCATCTGAAGGCTTGACTGGGGGAGGGTTCACTCCTAAGCTGACTCACATGGCTGTTGGGAGCCCTCAGAAGACCCACCTCCAAGCTCAATTGCATGGCTCCTGGTAGGCCTCAGGTTCTCATTGGATGTTGGGCAAGACACGAGTTCCTTGTCACATGGGCCTCTCCATAGAACTACTCACAACACGGCAGCTGGCTTCCCCTGGAGCAAGGGCTCTAATAGAAAAAAAGAGAGAGAATGAAGGAAAAAGAAAACTAGGGAGAGACAGAGAGGGTTAAAGAGCAAGAGAGGACAAGCAAGAAAAATGCTAGAGTCTTTGGGCATCTAGCCTCAGAATTCATATCCCATAAGTTTTTGTCATACTCCATTTGTTAGGAGAAAGTCTCTAGGTTCAGCCTTCTCAGGGGCATGAATACCAGAAGGCAGGGTCATTGGCAACCATTGTAGGGAACACCTAACACACTGGCCTTTTGCAATGTTGTTTGAGCTGCCTATGAGGCCTCAAGATGATGATGGCAATTGGGTCATTTAAAACAAAGATTTGAAGTGAAAAGGAAAGTTGGGCCAAACAACAATTCTGTGTAAAGCAATTTTTTTTTTTTCCAGAGAGCTCTATAGCAGCTGTGTTTGAGAATGGGGCATGCCCTAGATACATTCTCTTTTACTTAGTAAATATCCAAGCACCCTCTGTGCATGAGACACGATGTTAGGCCTTCAAGTAGTACTTTGGATGTTGCTCTTCTGTTTCTTAATGGAAGCTCTACCTCTTGTGGCCTTGTAGTAATTAAAGCCATTATGATCGTGTGAAAATGTAAAGTCACAAGCCCTCATATCCTTGTAGTAGTGCCTAACATGACCAGAGGAAGGGCTAGGCCCTTGGAGTGATGACCTTGGCAAATGAAGCAGCTCTAGATAATCATCCCACGTGAAAGGGCAGGCTAAGGAAAGGCAGTGCTCAGATACGGTTGAACTACACTGTGTGCAAGCTGATCTAAACAAGCCACCCAGAATGCAAAACTGACTGGCACAGGAGCCCAAGCCCACTGCTGCCTTCATTCAGGCAAATCTGGAAAAAAAATTGTTTTGCTAGAACCATAATTTGACTGTGGCAGAGTTCATGTTCTGCAAACTCAAATACATTATTGATAGGGGCATTTTCTGCTTATCTCTACTCAAGGTGGATTATATACTTAAAAAAAATGAAGTAATCATTTCAGACCATTTTTTAAGGTAATTTAAGCAGGTTAAATCTGATTATAACAGACACCATTACAATAACAGCCTATAGAGATCTGATACCCAAATGATGACTCACTTCTTACAAACAATATTCAATATTCAAAGTAATTAGGATAGCATGTTAAAGTTTGTTGAAATGGGATTTTACGTACCTCCAGGTAATTAAGATGAGTCAGTGGTTTTCTTGAAATCTCCAGATAATTGCTTCCCTTGCCCTCTTGGGGTATATGTGAATAACTGAATCCCTGTGCAACCCAAGGCAGAGTCCCAGGTGTCTAAAAGAAGCTGTAAGTACCTCACACTTTGGTACAGAATCCAGTTCATTATTCAAGAAGCAAAGAAAGTACAGCAGTTCTCAGATAATTAAATGCCCAGCCTGTCAACACTCAATGTGATACATGAACACGTGAGAAACTACAGTGAACTACAACTTTCGGGAAAGATATATGACTAAAGCTGTCCACAGCCAAGATTGGGGAAAAAATATCACCAGAGCCCAGGAAATAATATCACTGTTCTACTCAAATATGACTCAAGTTATTCCATGCTGCTAATTTAATTTCTATCCTGTTGAGTTATTCTTTGTTTCTCTACTCAAGACTGCTGAGTCGTGTGGCATGTAATGGAGCCGTGACTCCACTAGGGAAGGGAGAGTCCCCTCTCTATGGAGCACCTGTCACCACACTGGCTCTTTGACTTCACAGAACCTTCCAAATGTCTGGCCTTGCTTCTTTCTCCTCTTCCATTCTCTTCTTTCTTCATGTCCATCCTTCTCCAGCTTGATTTGCAACATGCCCATGGTTGAGGTTATTGTTAGGACCAATGCTTTGTGTCTCACAAAAACCCAGCAAGCAGTTAAAGCTGCCCTATGCACCTCTACATATTTACCACACTAGTATATTTGGAATATTTGAACTAGGAACCCACCCTGACTTGAAATATGAATATCATAATCATCCCTTATATTTGCAAAGCGTTTTGTACCTTTCCAAGCCTCCAAATCTTTATAATTTTATTTTTACAGACACACAAAGCAAGTACTTTTGAGTTTATATTTTCAATGAAGAAACAAATACAGAAAGTTGAGTCACTTATCTAAGTCCACACATGTTTGGTGACAGGATTGGGATGATATATTATCCTTTCCAAGGAAACTGGTGAAAATAAAATCTTAATACCTCTCCTCCCTGTTTTCATCAGTTGGTGCAGCAAGCATAAGCCCCATTGTGCATGGATTCTCCACAAACTTAGACCTTCACATCCTCCTTAACTGCTCTACCACCCCTGGTGAGGTTGTTTTCTTCCTTGCTCCTGATCCAGGTTCCTGATCTCAACCCAGCACCATCAATGCTTTTACCTGGCTGCTTGGACTTGCCATGTCCCAGCAAACCAGATCTATACTCTTTTCTCGGGGTGCTCTTGTTAGCTCTTTTTTTGAATTGACACCTGGGTCTTCCCCAAGGCTGCAGCCCTTGTGTGTCTGACCCTTACTCTATCCCATCCAATATGCTTCATGGGTAGCAGGAGATGTCAGGTCTTCTTTGCTTCTGCTTCTACTTGACCATAACAGCCCCACCTCCTTTCTCTCTGAGTCAGTTCCATCATGAACTAGATCATTTGGCTATATGACCCTGCCCCATTTCCAACTGATCCATCCACTGACCTATGGGTTCCTCTGCTCTACCTTCTTCCATTGTTTTTGTATCCAGTATAGACTCCTTGAAACATCTTTTCAAAAATACATTCATTGAAGTACCTTCAACTCTCTAATACCTCTATATTTTCCTTCATGATGTCTTCCCTGACCATCTGAACCCATAAACACTGTTTACTATTAAACTTTACACCAGTTACCATCACTACTATTATGACTACCACTAATACCACTTCCACGACCACTACTATTGTTACAATTACTACTACTTGTATTATCACCACCATCTATCACTATTGAGTGAATAATACTAGTGCCAGCCTAGTGCTAAGTGCTTCACATGAATTATCTTTTATAATCTTCAAAACAACCCTGCGAGGTAGGTCCTACTATTATCACCATATTACAAATGGGGTCTGGAATTTAGCAAGACTTACTGCCTGTCGCACTTAGTTTGTATCTATATGAATAAAATTCCTACTTTAAAGCCCCTTCTATAGGCCTGGTCTGCTTTCTCAATTAAATGACAAGCTTTTTGTGAGTGGGAACCCTGTCTTATTCACCTTTGCTTCTTCAGAGCATAGATAGAATAGTGGCCAACACTTCACAGCTCAGTTAGTTGTCATCAATGAAGGTGACTTCAATGACATTCAGACATTTCTTTGAGGATTAATTATACCAAACACTAGAGATACAATGATAGACAAAACAAACATTGTCCCTTCAAAATTTATGGTAAGTAACACGGTAAAGACAGACAATTAACACGCAATTGCAGTCAGCCATACTTATATTTTGGGGGCCAGGACAAGAGTACAAATAGCCCACATAGCATATGCCTAAATGTTTAAAGCTAATAAACTGTTAAAAAAATATGTTCTATTTTCCTTCCTTGACAATTATATTTCATTGAGACAAATTGAAAAGTATGAGTGAAAGTATGGCCTTTCTATGAGTTAAAGTTAGCAAAATGTCAAAAATGACTAATTGTTATTGCATATGTGTGGGTATTTTGTTGAAAAGCTGGAGATGTTTAAATGAGTAACAAAATAGACATACATAATTCATGAACTATTATAGATTCATTCCATAAAATTTATTTTTTCCTTCATTTCAATGAAATCACTACTTAAGATATTATATTCAACATTTTTCATACAATTTGTGCTCTATTGAGACTAATGTCTAAAGAGTTAAAATATTAAGATACAATTATATTCAAATACATATATACAAAATTTGAATTTATTTTCATCAAAATGTAAATTAATGCTTAAAAATAAATTAAAAGTGTCATATGTTTTCTAAACCAATTTTCTTTAACAGAAAGTAGAATGTGGTTGCCAGGAGCGTGGGGGAGGGAGAGGAGTTGTTGTTCGAGGGGTATAGAGTTTCAGTTTTGTGAGATGAAAAAGTTCTAGAGATCTGTTGTATAGCAAGGTGCATATAGTTACCACTATACCTTAAAAAGTACTATATGCTTAAAAATGATTAAGATGGTAAATTTTATGCTATGTGTTTTTTACCACAATATGAAAAATTTTCTTTTGAAATATTCAAAATGATCTCTTAAAATTAAAAGGCAAAATATAAATTATAATTAATAAATGTCAATTTTTAAAATAAAGAATATTCTAATAAAGTCCAGATATTTAGTTTTGTAAACATGTACATTTTTATTTTAAAAAGCCCTGCAGCTCTAGCATTGAATGTCTATCTAGCTGTCTGTAAAGAATCAGTATCATGCTTCACTCACGTTGCATACAGACCTATGTATAGATACACACTTCAGAGTGATTTCCATTAGCAGCTATGTGTAACTGTTGGGACTGTCATGTTAATATGTTGTGTACCTTTGGGACCCCCAATTGGAGAAAGAAGAGAAGCAAGCAAATGGACATTTGGCACCACAGGGAAACGGTGCTTTGTTATGCAAGAATCCACAGCATTCATGCTTTGTGAGAGGAAGAATATGACAAGTTAATTAATTTGTCCTTGTTCTTACCTAAGCACTTCTGCTGATGAAATCCTCCCTGTATTCTGAGGCGGAGTCCATCCCCTCCATCTCCCACCTTAGCAGATGACACCCCATATAGCTTCATGGCATTTGGATGTAGTCACCATTTGTTTTGAGGACCTAGGGCAAGAGATGTGAACAAGTGTTTCCCTGGGGTTTAAGGGCGTTGTTCAGGAGAATGGATGTTTAGAATTACAGATAGCCATGTGCTCCCATTGAACTTAGGATCTAGAGTGATCGAGGGGTCCACAGAATTGCCAGGTAAATAAAACAGAGCATCTCCTGGGCTTCCCCACCTCCATCTCTGGAGCTCCTTCCTTTCCTTTCACAGCACTGGGAATCCAAAACTTTCCATTGACAGCTCACTGTGGCACGCCTCTTATTAAGGCCACGTGCCTTCTTCCTTTCCCTTTACTTTCCCCTCATTCTTACCCCACAGCAGAATTTCTACTACTTTTGGTGCCAAGTTTGGAGTTCACCTACAACTTGCTCTCTCTATAGTAAATATCCCTTTCCTAAGAGTAGACCACTTAAGCAGGTTCCTTTCCAGATTATATTCTTGAGTTTGATCAGTGCCTTCTGGATCCAACACCTTTTCCCAGAAGATCAACTTCAGTAATCAGAATTCAGGTCACAATAGCCTGAACATATGGGACTGGTGGGTGGACCTTAGCATCGCCAAAACCTTTTTATTAAAATGTCACAATTGTGAACTCATTTTTCCCCAAATATTTTTCATTCAGTAACCACTTTTCCATTATTTTTGGTCTTATTCTAATCTCATTTTCAAGGGTCAGAGTGATGTTTGCTTTTAACGTACCACCAGAAATCTCCCTGTGTTTGGTGTTCATTCCTGCTTAACGGTTGATTCTTCAGAGATGTAAAGAAAATTAAGAAACTGGTTGGTTCTTTGATTAGCCCCTGAATTCTAATTCATTAATTTGATAAATTACACTTTAAAGTAGTCTAGAGCATGATACGTCACATGTTCTTTAAAGTCAGGCTTTGCAAGAAACCCTACCTCACATGCCAGTGACCTTACGTGACAGCAATAGCCATATTAGTGATTGTTGAAAATGCCATTTAAGGATGGCAAGAAAACTAAAATCCTTATGAAAGGCAGTGAAAGTTAATTTCCATAGACACTTTTCAAAATTAAATAGTTGAGACACCTTACATTTTTCTCATAATTCTAAAAATAATTAGATCACAATGTGGATTAATTTCTTGTCACATTTAATTTTTTAGACAAAAGCTGTTGTTCGATTATGAGCATCACAAAGAAAAAAAATCCCCAAATGATACCATTCAGACAGTGTTACTTCCCATTTTTGCCCTTGCATTTTGCTCTAAGAACTAAAGTTGAGGCATCCTAGAATTAGTATTGCAGACCAAGATGAGATATGTAGTCTGAGTCTTATTTTCTAAAAAAATAATAAGGCCATTAAACAATCAAATTGTTGATTAAGAAAGAAATCTTCACATTAACTCCTCACGACATTTCAGGTGATAGATTTGACTGTTCAAAAATCTTATTCTCAATGCCAAAAATATAAAAAATTATACATATAGTATCCTGGCAGCCATAATGGGCTATTACCCCAGGATACGCTGGTTGCCAGGATCTTTGACTCTACATTAAGAAAGATCTAGACTCTCACTCCAGCTTCACCATTCACTCCCTGAGTGACATTGAGTAAGCGCCTTCGCCCCTCTGAGGCTTGGTTGATTTGTCTGTAAAACCGTGAGGATGAAATGAATGCATGTAGAGTGCTTAGCACAGGTTGAAGTTCAGTTCATTTTAGAAAGCTACACCGAGGAAGCCATTCCGACTTTCAGAACATCACAAATTACTGTCCATGTGGTGTCAAAGTAAGACTTAAGGGTAACAGAATAGCTTTGAGATGGAGAAAGAATCAGACTTGCTGGGGACCATTTGAATTCCCAGGCCCCCAGGTTTTGGGACACTTCTGACTTAAGCTTGTGGAGACAGCCTTAGTTAATGTCATCACCTCAATGTCCTAGGAACTAGCCCAGCACCTGGCCTCTCGCCTGTCGTGGAGAAGCTCCTGAGAACAGGACCTAGGTCAAGGCAGCACCCAGGAAGCCTGCGGGTTTGCTGGAAGGCCCTGCTGTGGAGGGGATGCCTGAGGAAACGTTCAACAGCTTCAGCTCAGCAGTGAGCGGCTGGAAGACCAGTCCACGTGGGCGGGCAGCATCTGTTAAGGATGTCCAGACTCATTCACTCGCTAAAATACTCCCTGAACAGCTGAAGCAGAGGCGATCTAGCAGTGATGCCAGAAATCTGGGTCCCGTAAGCTTAAATGGGAGAAAGGATCTCCCCACATCCCTGCCCCCAGAGCCACCACTTTCTCTGCCTTCCTTATTCTGGGCCACTCTGGTTCCTCTTCTGCCACCAGACCTGCCACATGGCCTCTCCCAGACTCAACAGTCAGACTACCAGAGTTCAAGCCCCACTCCACCACTCATTAGCATTTGGCAAGTCACTTAATCCTTTGAGTCTCCGTTTACTCATCTGTAAAATGGGATTAATTAATATTACTTATTTCACAAGTGGTTGTTGAGGATTAAATGGTAGAATACAAAATTCTCAATAAACATTAGCTCTGATAATCCTTCAAGAAACAGTTACTTCCTGAGTGTCTAGTGCGTGCCCAGCAGGGTGCTGGAAACAGGGGATTCAACAGAGAGCAAAGCCAATCTGCGGATTGTGCTCTAGGAGAAGAGAACAGATGTCAATTAACAACCATACAGTGACAATGGTAGTATGCAGAAAAGGTTCACAGTTCCATCAGAATATGTAATAAAGGGCTGGGGAAGGTGTCCCTGAGAGTGTGATGATTTGGCTGACCTCAGAAGAAAGCATACTCAGCTTCTGTCCAGCCCTGTCTGCCAAATCCCTGCTGGGCCCCACTAAATCCTCAAAGACTGAGGCTGCCCCTCCCCAGCCTCAGGACTCAAGCCCTGATCTTTCCCAAAGGAAACCACTAACTATCTCTGGTGGTCTGTGTCCTCCATGCCCTCTGGCTTCAGCACTGCCGGTGAAATATCCAGATGGTGGTGTTAACCCTGGAGGGGGTCCAGGTCCAGCACTGCCAGGGCAGAACTTTGGAACACTTTGTGCAGGGTCCCTCAGTGGCAGCTACAACTATGCACTTCCTGTGAAATGTGCGGGCATGTTGGGAAATGCTTGAGGGGTCCATGGTTCAAGGATGACTCTTTGATAGGAGATTTAAACTATGATCTATTTGAACATTCGGATTAGGCCGCGTGTGGTGGGTCATGCCTAATTCCAACACTTTGGGAGGCTGAGGTGGGTGGATCACTTGAGACCAGGAGTTCGAGACCAGCCTGGTCAACATGGAGAAACCCCTTCTCTACTAAAAATACAAAAATTAGCCAGGCTTGACGGCAGGTGCCTATTGTCCCAACTACATGGGAGGCTGAGGCACAAGAATCGCTTGAACCTGGGAGGCAGAGGTTGCAGTGAGCCAACATAGTGCACTGCACTCCAGCCTGGTGATGGAGTGAGACTCTGTCTCAATAAATAAATAAAAATAAACTTTCAGAATAGCCTATGTGAGGAGAACCAAGAAGGGGTGAGTTCTTTAGGTGACAACTGAGATCTGAAATTTCAGCATTAGCTTGTGGTTACTGCACACTTTGTTCAATGGTTTCATTTTCTCATGTCTAAGTCCTCTTCCCCAAGCCGCATGCCCACTCCAGCATGCTTGAGCAGGTCCCCGCCTCCCACACTATACCTGCTATGCCAGGGGGACCTGTCCACTGTTTCTTAGACCTGTGGGAACGTGGGCATCTTCTTGCCTGAACTCCTGCTATTCCTACAGCCTAGATTGTCCTGTGTCCTCTCTGTAGACTTCCACGACTCTCTACCCCAAAAGCAAAATTGACCTTTCCACCTTCTATAACATCTACTGGCCTTCTACTTGTCTGGGCTGATCAAGGCTGGGGATAACTCTGCATTCCCTGTGCCTAGCACATAGTGGGCACTCAATAAGTTCCTGTGAAATTGACTTGACTCTCTCTGCCCATACCTGCAGCTATAATACCCTATCAGCTAGAGCTTCTTCTTTCATGAAAACCAACAATATTTAGAAACAAAGCACCATTTCTGTTTTGTTATCTTCTTATCATGTATTGGCTTCCAAATCTTTAATTGTTTCCTGTATTTTCTTTATCCTAAATCCTACCCTCATTTGAACTCTGAACACATTGTTGGAACTTTGTAAAAGTTAATAATAATACATTTCATCCTATATTTATTTGTCCAAAACTATTTTCGAATATGTACATATATAGTTAGAAGCATCACGGAGTCCCACAGATATTTATAATGTTTGACTCACTCCAGAAAGATTCCTGGGATTTTTGCTGGGTCAGCCATCTGGCCGCTGTACTGTGGGCTGCCTGGTGTCTCACTGTGGTGTCTCCCAACCTTCCATTCCCCTGTTTACTTGGGTGACAGTTTGCTTCAGTGGTCAGATCCAGCCCTCAGCCTGCTTGATCCCTTCTCCCATGGAAGTCAGTCCCTGGCTGGTTTCAGTGGGCATTGTTGAGGTGGCGGCCATATGTCAGAGGTAGGGAGTGGAGAGGAGAGAAGAAGAGAAAAGGGGAGCTCCCAGCTGCATGACTGTCAGGGGCTTCTAGTGGGGGATTCTGACAGAGTCAGGAGGTGAGAGGAGGACCAGCTGCTTAGCAGCTATTTATAAGACTGTCATATGGGGAAGTGTGTCTGGCCGGCAGAAGCGAAGGGGGGTGGCGGACTGAACTGGCTCCTTATTTAGCTTTATGACACACACGCAGCCCAACTGTGAGAACCCACTCTGTGTGGAGACACCTGGTCAAATCTGCCTCCGCCAGACGGTGGGAAAGAACATTGACATTTCTCAATGGAATTGAAAAATGGCAGTGCAATTGGGTTTTCAGTAAGAACAATAAACTTTTTTCCATCTTGCTTTCCTTCCTTGCTGAAACTCTTAGGCCTCCCATCAAATAGACTAGTGTTACCTGCAGCCACTGCCCCAGGGGTGCAGGCTTCCACCAGAGAGCCCTGCAGTGTTAACCAGGAAAGAGCAGAAGTGGAGTTAGACCCTTCTTTCAGCTGGGCAGGAGCAGTCAAAGGCTGGAGATTTCTACAAAACCAGCTAAGCCGTGGGAGACAGAGTGACTGCTGGTTTCCTGGAGTGGAGAGAGGTTAATAGTGTGGTGCATTTGGGGTCTGTATGGGGACCAATGTTATTTAATGTGTTTATTATTGATTTGGAAGAGCGAATGGATACTAAGTTAGTGAAGGCTGTGGAGGGCACTAAGTTATTTCACTTAGTAAACACCACAGAGAGTTGCGGAGAATTCAGGAAGGATTTTCCATGGAGTTAAAGAAATTAGAAATAAAAATGTCTCGTTAGATGATGTACTCTGTCCCACTGGGCCAGCAGAGAATTGTTGCCGACAAGAGAAAATATTTCCTAGAGTTTAATTCAACCTCAGTTTTTAAATGCCTTCAATGTGCTCACCTTCTTTCTGGGAATATGGAAGTTCTGTCTGTTTCCTAATGCCTGTCTCAAGTTTTTCTTTTTAAATTCCTCCTATTATGCCTCACAGTTATACCACAGGGATGGGCTCTCTTTGTGGCTTCTCAGTATTTCATTTTCTGTACAACACCATGAAGGCAGGCCATTAACATTTCTTCTAGCCAATTCTGCTCCAAAGTAGTTCTTTCATCTTTTCTTAAACTGTTTTGTCATTATTCGTTCTTCCTAGTTCCCAAATCCTGGTAGCTGCCATCAGCCCCCTTTCAGATTCAGAAAGTAGTCTGATTCCTAGACCTGGTAGATTGTCCTGATGGCCCCAAAGGGAAGAATATTATAGAAATACAGAAATAGTAGTTAGACATTTACCTATTCACATGTCTGTCCAATAACATGGCCTGTGGTTGAAGCTCAAAGTCGTAAAAATCATGTTTGTCAAGTGATCGTATTGAAAACCCATTTCCAACTTGCCATCAGGCTCATTACCAGCATTCTTGAGTTCCAAGTATTGACCCCTAGCTCTAACTATTTGTGTTTCAGCCCTACTATCCCCCAGCAAACTGTTTTGCTGCTTTCAATTTCCAGAACAGGGAGTTACAGGCTCCAGTGAAGCTGTATGGAGCATTTCTTGTTGTTTAAAATATTCTTGAACATGCCGAGAGATGGAGCAGCTTGATGAGAGATGGCTCTTTACATAAATGTAAAATGAAAAACTTAATTGGCGCTTCTCATCCCGATTGTTTAACAAAATCAGGAACATGGATGAACATGATTTAAGGATGAAGTGTAATTTGTATACAGCCAAGACAATGGAGGAGGACCCCAATATTTTACCCAATTTTCAATAACGTTTTTCTTCCCCATGGTAGTATCTTCTCACTTGCACTCCTTTTGCTGTTGTTTAAAAACCACCTATTTATTCCCTACTCCAATGAGTTTGGATGAGGAAGAGATAACATAGCTCCAGCAACTCACCCTTGAGTAGGACAGTCAAAAAAATACTGAACAAATGTAAATAAAAGAACTACCACATTCTTAGTAGTTGCAGTTCGATGACAAGTGGAACCTGCCAACTTGTTTAAAATGTGTAGTAGGAGAGCTAGCCTCACTTACGTCTCTTATCAAAAATCAGATATCCTCTCCCTGGCAATGTGCCCTCTCGGCTCAAGTGTGCAGGCTTGGGAGGTGACATACAAGTAGCTTTGGGGCAAAAATAGGGTTCTAGCCCAGCCAGCAAGCTGAGCTCAATCAATGCTGGTAAGCATGGAGTGACAGACGTTGCAGCCAGATTATTCTTACATCAAATATGAATAAAGAAAACCATTGTCATGAGCAAATTTATTTATGGGTTAATAATAGAAAACAAGTGACTTCTTATCTTTTTCAGTACTTCCCGATGTGAATTCTTATGTCTATTTCTGCAGGATGCTCTGGTGGTGCTGTGACATGCCACCTGCACCCTCCTCCTTCAGGACAGACGTTCTCATTCCCATCCTCATTCCTCAGCTTCTGGGAGTTGGGTGAAGGTGGTGACTGGCAGCTATCAGCTGACCCACTCTCCAGGAATTGGCCTAAGGTTGGTCACTACTACTTGCCCCAAGACACATCTTCTCCTGGGGGCAGCCAATGACTGGCCCATTTCACCCCAACAATGGTTTATCTGAGAGCACTCCCTAGCAAATTTCCTATACTCTCCTTTTCAGAATCTGTGACCTAAGATAGATATACAGGACAGGAATTATTGCCTCCTTTACAAAAATAGAGAAATGGAAGCTCAGAGCAGTCACATCTTCCCTTTAATAGCACTTACCGTATTTTATTGTTTATTTATAACTCCCTCCCACTACAATGAGAAACCGCCAGAATCACTGAAACACTTTCTCAAAATTCACATGCTCGAGTGGTGCCCTGAAGATGCTATGCAGCTCTACTAAGGCCTGGCTGGGGTCTCAGTGAGAGCATTTTGAAAAGCTTCCCAGGTGATCATGAGGAATGTCCTGGTTTGAGAACATATGGGAAGAAGGGCCCAGTGCTCCTTGCACATCATTTTATCCCCAGCACCTAGGACAATGCCTGGCATATGGTAGCACTCAATAAATGTTGAATTAGTGAATGAATTCCCTAAGATCACACGCTGGTTCATAACAAAGCCCTGGAACTCCTGGCTCATTGCTTTCACTGCTGGAGGTATTAAAAGAAACAAAACTTTCTTAGCAATATCTTAATCATCACTCCTTTGGCAATTGTTTATTTAACTTCTTAAAATTCCTCCCAGCAATGGCAACAAAAATAAAACCACACACAAAAAAAGCTGCATACAAATGGGCTCTCTTAATGATTTTACCACCAAAGTATATCGTACAATCTTCACTGCCATCCCCCACTTTGGAGTCATCTGTGCTAGAAAGATGATGGATACACATATTAGTCTCTGGTTGTAATGAACACATCCATTATAAAAGCAATAGTAACTGCAACAGGGATTATGTGCTTGGTGAAAACATCTCCAGTGCCTTGTAAACACCTCAGCCTTCTGGCAGCCCCCCTGTGGGCCTATTTACTGCCTCTACGTTGCAAGGTAGCTACTGTCTAATTATACACAACTGGCTTGGTTAATCCTGCATAATAATAATTAAAAACAATTCATATTTTTTTCTTTTACTCTCTTTATTAACTTTAAACTTTTAAAGCCTCAGAGGTCCCTGTAGAATCAAAAGCTTATTAAAATATCAAGACATGCGAGCCTTTTCAAGTGCATATTATTACATTTGTTTTTGTTAACATGACAAGGCCCAAAAGAAACTCAGCAGATTTTTGTAGATCAAAGCAAAGGCACTGTGAGAGAAACTGGACCACCTGTGCCGTGTCACCCATAGTCATGAAGAAAACAGCAGGCCCCGAGGAGCCTCCCTCAGCAGCAGCCCAGATGGGCGGGGCAATGTCGGGGGAGAGAGGACACAGCAGGGAGAGCTGCTCCACCTGACTGCATGGAGCCTGTGGCATTTGGGCGGTCCTTAGGGAGGCCCCCTGGACTCCAGGGCTTTTGGTTACCTTGGTTACCCGGCTCTGTAGCTCTGGTGTCAGACCTAGCCTGTAGACAGGAGGATTGGAGAAAAAGTGGGGAAGGGAGGAGGAGGCGGCACTGTTCCAAGCCCTGGGCTGCTGGAAGACTCAAAGTGAACCAGGTGAAGGAGGTGTCTGGTTGGCTTGTGGGAAAATAAAACAGTAAGTCTTACCTACTTACATAAACCCATGTGCACACTCTGGGAGCACACATGCAATGAACACTAAATCCTGTCCATGGGCCACAGGGAAAGCAGTGGGCCTGGCCTCCAGGCTGCACACTTGAGGCTGCCCTTCCTTGATTTCTTTCCCCTTCTGGAAACTGCTCTTTGCCTTATTTCACCTCAACGCTGGGAGAGTTGGGACAGTTGTGTATGTGGTGTGATTGGGCTGCTGGCTTCCCCAGGGTGGCCTCAGGCCCTGAAGGCTCTCAGATTAGACCAGGTAAGCCTCGTTACTAAGTTCCCAAGTGGACCCTTCATATTCCCTAACCAAGGAAGAAATCCACACATTCTATGGAGCAACAGAGCATTAGCATGAAATGGTTGGAGTGGTGGGGAAAGGAAAGATTCCCTTGCTTATCCATTCCAACTAATGAGCACTAAATATTTTAATTGGTCTCAAGAAGCAGAGGAGAGTGTGGATCTATACAGGCCACACAGAGGCAATTATTTATTCTAGCAAAAAAGTATCTATTGAGCCCCTTCTGGGGTCAGGCACTGGGCTTAGATGTTTTGCAAATTTGTAACCTCCTATTTAAGGTAGAGAATTGTATGCTACTCAAATTCAAGTACCTAGTACAATCACTACACTTAGTATGTATTTATTAAATGGGTTAACTCATTTATAATCCTCACAGCAACCTCACATGAAGAATTAATATTCCCATTTAGCTGATGCAGAAAGTGAAGCTAGGGAATTCACCTGAATCCCTGCTTCACACACATTCTTCTCTTGGCTATCAGGGCACCACACTTCCTTGGTTTCCATCCTACCTTCCCCTCGCTGGTTCTTCCTTTTCTCCCTGATCTCTTCATTTTAGCGTGCCCTCTTCTCTAAATTTACTCCCTTGGTGATCTCACTGAATCCTATGGCTTTAAATACTGACAACAGTCTCATTTATATTTCCAGCCCAGACGTCTCTCCCACACTCCAGACTTGTATATCCAACTGCCGCTCTGCATCTATCATCTCTGTTTGGAGGTCTATTGGATATTTCAATCTCACTGTGTCAAAAATTAAACTCCTCATATTCCCTCACGTGCTGCATTCCCCAGCTCAGCACTGACAACTCCACCCTTTTTGTTGCTCAGGCCAAAACCATGGCACTATCCCTGACTGCTCTCTTTCTCTTAAACCCTATCCATCCTCTATCTTCAAAATAGACCCGGTTTGGGACCTCTTGTACATCCTCCAGCATTGATATCCTGGCCTGAACCTCTCTTATCTCTTGCCCAAATGACTGCAGCAGCTGATGGGTCTCCCTGCCTCTATCCTTGGCCCCCTAATGCTGTAACTAGATCCTGCCACTCTGCTCAAAACCCTACAATGCACCCCATTTTACTCAGAGGGAAAAAACGGCAAAATCTTTAACAGTCTTACAGGGCCCAACATGACTTACTGCCCTCTCTTACGGGTGAGATTTTATCTTTAATTATCCCCTCACTCCCTGAGATCCAGCCACCCTGGCTCTTGCCCTTGTTCTAGCTGTTTCCTCTGCCTAAAATACTTTTCCTCCAAAAATTCACAAGGTTCACATACCTTAAATCTTTGTGCTAATCACACTTTCTCAATGAGCCTCTGGGACAGTGCTACTTAGTCAATTGAGATAAATACAAAAATAAAAATGTGTAAAACTTTTCCAGTAACTTGACATTCCCCTGACATCCACGCATGTGGCTCTGGAGCAAGGGGTAGGCCAATCCAGGTATTGTTGCACTTGAGGGTGAGTCATATGTGGTGTGAGTTTACACACTAGTCATCCAGAGTAGAACTGTAAACTAAGTCCACAACAGATTGGAATTTAAAAAACTAGTTCTCTGCCATCATGAGTCTGAGAAGAATTAACTTCTAGAGAGCACATGGCTGTTGAGGAGGTTGTTTAATGTTAAATTGGGACTTGGAGATTGGGGAAGAATTTTCTCCATTGTCTCCAGTCCACCTGACACTTTCATGCTCATACAAATTCATTCCTCCTTTCTTCTCTCAATCTATCGAGGACGTTTATTGTCTTTCTCCCCTAGAAAGTTGTGTGCGATCCACTCTGTTAACTTGGTGAGGGAAGGGGGGAGAGGTAGAACTATAGAGACAAAGAACACAGCTGCTGATCGTGACAGCTGCTGCTTCTGTTACTGAAACTGGGAATTAACTGAATTGGAGAGATTGGATAGAATTAGCAAGCTGTTGGATGGATCCTCTGGGAATAGGTTCCCAGAGAGCTGGTAGGGATGGAGGTTTGGGGAGGAGGGATGAGGTGGGAAGCTCCCTGAAGAGCCTGTGGGTGAGCATTCGCCCTGGTGCAGCTGGAGCTGCAATGAGCTCTCTCTTGAGCTGAGGGGGCTCAGTTTCCCCAGCTTTGCCCCTTATCAGAATCATTACCTACCCCCCACCCCCGAGAGCACACATTTTCCTCCTTTTCTTTCTATCACCTGTGGCAAAGTAGTTATCTTGATCAGGGAAGCATGAAGGGCTCTGACATTTTAATTATCATCTGTCTCCTTGAACAACAAGAATAAGAGGAAAAACAAATCCCCTAAGAATTACCTGCTGGAGGGTTTTGCCAGGTCTCATTTTACCCTAACTCTCTTTATCTAGTTAAGCAGGATCTGGACTGAGAGTTACAGAAAAGAGGACCTATGAAAATGCAACACCATGGCAGCCAGCAGAGTGGAGTTCAGATGGGCTCCAGGAGGCGGGGCCAGGCAGTATGAAGAGGACTGCACCGTCCTGGATCTGTTACTTAGCACTTCTATGAATCGTAAGCAAGTTACATAATTTCTCTTTGCCTCTGCTAATCTGAAAATGGGGCTAATACTAATGCTACTAGATTGATGTGTGGATTATATACCCAAAAGCTATATAAGGCCCTGAACACAGACTCAGATCTCTCATAGTGCTCAAATAGTAGGTAGTGGTGGCAGGTGCTTTTGGTGAATAATGTTAATGTGAATTTTACAAATTTCTGTGTCCCTTTTTTCACTTTTACTCTCTGTTTCACTGTGGAAGACAAAATAAGCCCCTCCCCCCAAGGTGTCCTCTTACTAATCCCTGAAACCTGTTCATATAATTTGGATATTTGTTCCCTTCAATTCTCATGTTGAAATGTGACCCCCAATGTTGGAGGTGGGCCTAGTGGGATGCATTTGTGTCGTGGGGAAGGATACCTCATGAATGGCGTGCTGCCCTCCCCGAGGTAATCAGTGAGTTCTTGCTCTATTAGTTCACACAATGGCTGATTGTTAAAAAGAGCCAGGCACCTCCCCCTTTCTCTTGCTCCCGCTCTTGCCATGTGATATGCCAACTCCTCCTTCCTATTCTGCGTAATTGTAAGCTTCCTAAGGTCCTGCCAGAAGCAGATGTTGACACTATGCTTCTTGTACAGCCCACAGAACTGTGAGCCAAATGAACCTCTTTTCTTTATAAATGACCTAGTCTCAGGCATTCCTTTCTAGCAATGCAAGTGGACGAAGACACCTGGAGATCTGTTATGTTACATAGTAAAGAGGAGTGAAGGTTGCAGATGTAATTAAGATTGCTCAAGGCAGAGGTTGCAGTGAGCTGAGATTGCGCCACTGCACTCCAGCCTTGGAGACAGAGCGAGACCCCATCTCAAAAAAAAAAAAAAAAAAAGATTGCTAATCAGCTGAATTTATCGTGGATTATCCAGGTAGGCCCAATGTAATCACAGGGTCATTAAAAGCAAAAGAAAAAGGCAGAAGAGAAGGTCAGAGTGATGCAATGTCAAGTCTCACCCTCTGTTGCTGGCTTTGAAGATGGAGGAAGGAGGCTACAAAGCAGAGGATGTGGGCAGCCTCTAGAAGCTAGAAAAGGAAAAGAAAGGTATTATTCCCTAGAGCCTCCATAAGGAATGTAATCCTGCCAATGTCTTGATTTTAGTCCCATGAAACCCTTTCAGACTCTGACCTCCAGAACTGTAGAATAAATTTGTGTTGTTTTAAGCCAGTAATTTTGTGGTCACTTGTTACAGCAATAGGAAACTAAAATTTATCTCACTCTATTTGGTATGTATAGATCTCCAAGAAGGCAAAGTTCTTATTTAATAGTCTTTTAATGTTGAGCGCATGCTCACTGTGTTCCTGGTATTTATAAAGTGTTGTTCTAAGGTTTTGGGGAGAGTGGAAGGAATGTAAAACTGTCTGTGAGGACTTACCATCTAATTGGAGAAAATAGACACGTACATATGAAATCCATGACACAAAGTAGTTTAAGAAGGGGGCATTCACTGTGGGGCTGTGAGTTGGAAGGGATGGCTAGGATTGGGTTTGGCACTCATATGAAATAATCATGTATGTTTCATCATGTATGTATGAAAGGATGCAGCCAGACTTTGTGCCTTTGTGATTGGTAAAGACAGACAGCAGTGCAGAAGTGAGGATGTGTCCTAACTCAATTGCTTCTCAGATGGCAACCCTAGGACACATCACTGTAACTTCTTCATTGGTAAAATGTAGAAAGGACTCAGAGGATTTTTATAAGGATTAAGTGAGACATGACCTATGAAAGTACTTTGTAGAGTATAAAGAATACATTAAAATAAGCTTTTCTTCCCTAATCTCTTTTGTAAAAGTTGATAGTCTATATCCAACTGGCATCCTCAATTCTTAAGCATAAAAGCTGATGCAAGCAACCTCTGGCTTAATCCAGAGACTGCCAGATAAAAACCAGGGGTGCTTTTGGGAAATTGCTAATTACAAACAGACAACTCTTCTTGTATAGACAGGCATCTCTATAAACACCAGAACAGAGCAACTTCTAGAAAACCAATTCTAGGAAATAGAAACCTTTGCTTAGGATCATAGGATAAGCAAGGTGGCAGGAAATGACAGGTCTTTCATAATTCTTTCATGATTCTGTCTAGATAGAAGGGATTGATTTCAGATGTTGGAGCATCAGGGTAGGGTTCACTCTGCATAAAACTCTCTGTGGGTACAAGGATAGGTGGAGAATTAGAGCCTTGGGGTGGTATTGACAAAGAAGTACAGATAAATTCCCAGAGAATGGATCCCAAAGCAGCATCTTGTCTGACACCCATTTCTACTTCTTCCCTGGTCTGAGACCATACAGCTCCATGGGCCAGCAGTCGCTCTCAGACCTTCCCAGTCCCAGCCCACCCCGTAAGCTGCAAATGGGTTGAGGCCTGCAGAAGTTCTTTGCAAACTGGAAAGCAGTGGCTCTCAAAGTTTGATTCTGGACTTGGCAGTGCCAGTAGCACCTGTTAGAAATGAAAATTATTGGCTCCCACCCCGTACCTACTGAGTCAGAAACTCGGGCTGTGGTCCCAGCACTCTGTTTCAATAAGCTCTCCAGGGGATTCTGGTGGCTGCTATAGTTTTAGGACCACTGCCACCCAGTTACAGCATTATTCCTTTCCTGAAGGGTTTTCCAGCATTTCTCCTTCCCTACCTTGGGATGTGTGACACTTTCCTCTGGGCTCCTAGTTAAGGGGACAAACAATCTCAGTATTACCACTAAGAGGCTGTGATCCCAGAAACTCCTTAGTCTGAGGCAAATTTAGATAGTTGATCACTCGAGACAGGATTTCATTCATTAAGAGAGAGC
This sequence comes from Homo sapiens, assembly GCF_000001405.40. NCBI lineage: Eukaryota > Metazoa > Chordata > Mammalia > Primates > Hominidae > Homo > Homo sapiens. The sequence continues at coordinate 107,803,065 of NC_000005.10, read as the reverse complement.
ACATCAACCGATGCCCATGGGTCCAGCTGAGCCCATATTTGCAATCTGCAATTTTTAAAAAGGTAATTAAGGGATAAGCATTTAAAAATCAGTAGATTTTACCTAAAAATCAGAATTCCTGGCTCCTCTTACAAAATTGGGCATTCTGGTCACACAGGGCACACATTCCCATATGGAAACGCTAGGGTGGAACAAAAGAGCCCTTCCTCCTTTAGAGATGAGCAGTGCAAGATCTTTAGTCTATGGTCTCTCTCTCTCTCTAGCATCTTTCTTGCTGGCCCCTCTGTCCACTCTCAGTACCACAGCCCCAGTTTAGGCCTTTACTGAGCCTGTTCTGGCCTATTGAAACATCTTCCAATCAGCAGAAGGCTAAGAACATGAGTTTAGCATCAGGCAGAGCTGATTCAACACTGCTTCCATCCATCCATCCACCAATCCATTCATTCATTCATCTATTTGTTCATCTTTGTCTATACCCTACAACAAACCCTTATTAGGCAAAATGTGACAGATACAGATATAGAAAGCATAGCAATTTACGTAACCAACTGTGTCTGATCTTTCTCCTCTGTAACTTAAATGAGAATCCTAGCAACCTGTTCATAGAGCTGTGAAGATAAGATGAAATCATAGATTAAAAGCCATACCAAAGGCCTGACACACCAGGAAATGCTGGTTCCTTTTCACATTATGTCTCACCTCTCCAATTCCTCCTGCCACATGTGCCACCATAGCCAGCACTGATCAAGTCACTCTGCAGTTCAAAGACCTCCACAGGGCTCCTGCCATTTATTCAACCAAGTGTCCACTCCTCAGCCTTGTATTGATGGTCTTCCCCTGTGCTTTAGACACACCCTATAAACTCATTGATCCCTACATGCTCTTCCAGTGTTTGTCTCTTCCTCCTGGAACAAATCCCAGGCTCATCTTTCCTGTAAAAACCTTCACAAAATATTTCAGATGTCGATTTCTCCAATAAGTCCTTCTTAATCTTCTTAATTAAACTTGAAAATGGCTCTTTTCATTTTTCATCTATTATATTTTAATGTCTTTTGGAAATATATTATATGTATCCTAGCATCCTTGTAGGACCTGGCACAGGGTAAGAGATATATACGAACCTGTGGGTGGCAAGCACATTCAGAGATTATTGTATTGTGACATGACAAGCACAATGATAAAGAATCATATAGGGCCCTAGGGGTATGAGGACACCAGACTTGTCTTCAGAGGGGCAGGGAAGCCTTCTGGGAGATGAGGACACCTAAGGCTGGGTAGAGTTTTTCCAGCTGAAGGACATTGAGGTACATCCTAGTTTCTATCATCAGGTAGTTCGTTAGGCTATTTCATATATTCATGCCCAAATTAGTGGTTTGGGCTGTGCACTTTCTGAGGATGGAGACAATTCAAATGTCTACCATTGTCAGGAAGGTAACACAAGTGAGTGAGACAGGAAAGATGTGAGGGACGTACACTATAGACTGAAGACTGCTCCTCTCTAAAGGGGCAGGGCTCCTCTGTTGCAGCCTAGCATTTCTGGGCAAGAATGCATGCCCTGTGTGATCAGGTTGTCCAATTTTGTAAGAGGAGCCAGAACTTCTGATTTTTAGGTAAATATCTACTGATTTTTAAATGCTGATCCCTTATTCATCTTTTTAAATAATCCAGATCCCAAATATGGGCTCCGTTGATGAGCTGTCTCTTAACTTCCCATTGGTCTTTTCAGGCCAGTGCTTAATGGGATCCTTCACTACCAGCACTCAGGCTCCCATTGCTCCAGCACCCACTCCACTGAGGCTCTTTCTAGGAATTGATGTGGTTATTTACTGAGCCTCGAGAGGGCTTACTCTGATACCACAAGGATTTGGGAAAGTACAACAGATTTTAGAGCCAAGAGACTATGAGTGGTCTAATTCTCCTTACCACTGATGATAATGATATATTTTTTTCTTGATTGTGACTAATTATATGATTTTTTGTGCATACCTGATAAATGTGTAAGTAATAGGTAACTTAATTTTGATAACATACATTTTAAGAAGAAAGCTATGTTAGAATCATGTTGTAGCAAGAAACACTGTATGAAAAGGTAGTGCTATTACTGAACTTAAAGGTAGAGATATTACTAAGATAAAATTACTCAAATTTTCACCTTTAATCACATTTTGTTTTCAAAGTGACATTATGAGACAATTAAAACTTGCTCTGAAATGTACCCTGCTCTCACCAGATATCTGTGCACAAATATACATACACTCATAAACTTGCACTTGTGCATGAAGAGATCGTGGGTTCTGTTTGCCTGAGATTATTTTCTGCTCTGTGCTACTCTGATTGGCTTTCCTTGAGATCAAAGAAAGCACTCAATACCTCATGTATCTTAAGTGATTAAAATTATCTCATAACAGAAATAGTGCAATTTTCACATTGGTAGCTGTGAATATGAATTAATATCTTTGCAAAGGAGTACAAAAATTTTTATTTAAACAATGTTACATGAGGATGTTTATCCCTATACAATTTTAGATTATGTTTATTGAAATATCAGTCAAAAACTATGTGAGGCTTATGAAAATAAGAGTTGCTTTAAATTCTGGTCTGTTTATTTTTGTCAGAGAAGTTGCTTCTCTACAGAGAATGCTACTGAAAAAAGGGGTGAAAATAGGCCAAGAAGCACCATGAAAATTAACAAAAGCCCAGAATGTTCTTGTTAATAGACATTATCTTCTGTGTTTCCAGAATGTTCTCAAATTAATGTACCTAGTGTTCTATAAAATGCTGTCATTCACTATTTCACTTCATGAAGATTTCTACACAGCAAATATATTCTCATTATTTTAGTGAAATTGTTACTCATGTAACTGATTTGAACTAGTTAAATTCTGTATAGAATAAACATGCAGCTTACTTCGAAGAACAGGGGAAAAACATAGTTCTAAGCCACATTTACTTTCCTCTAGTTTTGAAAGATTTTCCAGCTTTTAAAAAATGAGAATTAGCATAAAGTATTTCCTGGGCATTTCTTAAGGCTGAAAACTAAAGAAAATTGAAATAATGGCCCCTGAGTTTGGCTTCCTTCCTCCATAACCGAAAGCTCTTCCATATGTTTGCTGTCTTACCCCTCCTCACCCTCCACTCAATAACTTTTTGATTTCTAAAGTGACTGATCTTGTCTTCCTGTTTCTCTGTTTTGGCTGTTATTGTCTGAGAACGGTAGGAGATCCAAAGAAATCGCTCTCTGATAGAAGCAAAATATCCCTCCTTGTTGAGATATTGTGCTTTGTGTCAATGAATTAGATCTCTCAGAAGTTGGAGCCTCAAAACATTTACATGGGTAAAGAGTGCATTTTATCATTTGCACCCTGAGGTTTTTAACGCTCCTCAGATTTCCAAAAAGTCAAGGAAAAGATCAGGTTTTTTTGGCTGTGGGCTGCCACAAATGTGGCTCCATGCAAGAGCGATGAGCTAGCACTAGAGCCATTCACGGCCAGACCTCTGCAGGGCTGCTATTATCATTGACAGTAATGCATTGACTGCTTCCTCTTTGCGCTTAGAACAGTGGACGTGTCACTGGGGCAACAGCTCAGACTAAGTCAAGGACAGTGAGTTGATCACGCCCAGGCACCTGGCTCAAATTAGAGCTTGTTGAGGGGCATCTGGGAACCATATTGACTGGACTCACCTCACACCAGAGATGATTTAATCCTGAGAGCCATTTGAGCTCGTTATTTCACCCAGAATCAGGATATGCATTAGATTTTAAAACTCATAGGCTAGCGTGGTGGGTCAAGCCTGTAATCCTAGCTCTTTGGGAGGCCAAGATGGGAGAATCACTTAAGGCCAGAAGTTCAAGACCAGCCTGGGCAACACAGAAAGACCCTGTCTCTAAAATAAATAAACAAATGAATAAAAGCTAAAATAAATAAATAAAATCTAAAATAAATAAATAAATCTCTATCAACTCACTGTGTAAGCTCCTTTGTGAGGGCAAAGACCATCTTTAAAATCTCCATTTCAAGTTTAATTCATACGTCCAAAAGCAAACTATTTAAATCCATTCTGTGGCGTTTTCTGTACCTATTGCTTACTAACTTTTCTAGTCGGTTGATTTTCTTTTCTCCATAGTGTTTATCTGTTGTCCCCCCCTTCCTTTATTTAAAACTGTCCTCAGGAGTGATCTGGAGTCAGTCATTTCTACCTTAGTGAGAATTGGAGTATGTATGTCATTTCTCCCAGATGAATCTATTTATCTATAACAATAAGCACTCCAGGAAAAATTTTAATGATAAGAAGTTCTAACATTCAAACAGGTTGGGAGTGACCTCAGATGTGTGGTAAACATTTCCCCATGCTGTCTTAGTTGGGAGCCTGACATCTTCTTCCCTTGGTGAAATAGATTTAAATGATCAGCCATTAGCATGATTACTCTCCTGCTACATCTGGATAACCTTTTAGAAGTTCTCTGGTATTTCCCACATTCCTCCCTAGGAATCCTCTCCCCTGCAATATACAAGTTAGGTAACTTATGTTCTTGAAAAGTACTGAGAAAAACTTAATGTTAAAGAGGTCTGAAAGTCAAGGAGCTAAGATTCACAAATCTTGTCTCCTGCCTTTATAAAATGTGGGTTGCCATGGTGATAGAAGGATGGGAAGTAGGAAGAGATGAGGATATGTTATAAAACTTTTGTGAACATTTTCTCCTATGAATCCGGCCTGACAATGATATTGCTTGCTTCTCATTGTGTGAGGAAAGATGGTCAGAAACTCACCTGGATACTTTGTCTCATGATCTCTGCCTTCTCTGCTATCCTGGGACATTCATAGGACCAGTGCTGCCAAAGGGCTTGTTTTCTACAGTTGGCATTTGAAGTCTTCTTTCTCATTTTGGAATGGAAGAGTTGGAATTTCAAATCTCATCACGTGTGGGATGATTTTGGTAAGGGCCAAGGAAAAGAGCATACAGTTGAGGTTGAACTGTACACTTGAGTGAGGTAGACCCTGTTGTTGCATCCTCAAGATTCATAGCAAGAGAGGAGAAGAGCACGGTGAGTCTTCCCTTGTCTTTTCCTAAGGAGTTCAGGAATTATGACTTTCAAAATATGTCTCATTTACTAAGCACTCTTAGTTGAGGTCCATGAGGCTCTTATGTAGAGAGATGACCCTTGGTCACCAACTCTTTGACTCTTTCTTTATAGATACTACAGGTTCACAAAAGAAATTCTAAACAAACGGACATTTCCTGACTTGAGAAATTTGGGCCCAGAGACCTCCTTAAGGTCCCTGGCTTCGGAGAGCTGGACTGGATCTCAAGTGGCTTTTGTCCCTTAGGCTCAAGGTCTATGGCTTAAGTCTGTTACACACAAGCTCATACTAGTGTTGGCCCCACAAGCTGTACCAGTCAGAAGGCAATAAAGGGCAGAAAATAATAAACACAAGAGCAAGAGAGAGTGAAATTCTCCCTAAAGTCTAGAGCATGTGGGGTCTGCCACCCACTCCCTATGTCCTGATACCTGGACCCCGTGTTGGACCCACTGGGCTCTCTACAGGGAGAATGAGAGAGAAGCAATTGTCTTCACACATTGGAAGAGGTCTGGCTACTCTCATCATACCAGTTTTGTGAGAGGGGACAAGAGGGACTGAGGGAGAGAGACAGGTGCCTACAGAGAAAATCCAAAGAGACTATTTGTGTAGACAGATGAGCTTTGAACTTTGTTGTCTGCTTATGTCCCAGTGGTACTTGGGACCTAAGGGACTATCAGTACCTGTGGTCTCAATCAACATCGCTACTTGTCTTCTTCCTCCTCGAAGCTCCTCCTGGACTTGGGCAGTTTATAAACCCTAATGCCTATGTGATCCAGGGCAGTAACCTCAATGTGTGAAGGGGGCCAAATAGGGACAATGGGGATAGCTACTGAAATACAGCTGATGACTGCCATGAGAAAATGCATTATCAGATATTCCTTTTTTTTTTTTCAAGTGAAGCTAGGAATTCAGAGTTTATGTGAATCACTTGTTCTTAGAATGCTGGCTCAGTTAAAACAAAACAAAACAAAACCCCACTTTATACCAGATATAGCCAGTAGATGGCCAGTTACCAGTTTTTGCCTTAAGGCTTAGACATTGAAACGTTTTCCAAGGTTTATTTTTTATTTTATTTATTTATTTTTTTGAGACAGAGTCTTACTCTGTCACTGAGGCTGGAGTGCAGTGGTGCAACCTCTGCTTCCCGGGTTCAAGCGATTCTCCTGCCTCAGCCTCCCATGTAGTTGGGATTACAGGCATGTGCCACCATGCCCAGCTAATTTTTGTATTTTTAGTAGAGACAGGGTTTCACCATGTTGGCCAGGCTGGTCTTAAACTCCTGACCTCAGGTGATCCACCTGCCTTGGCCTCCCAAAGTGCTGAGATTACAGATGTGAGCCACAGTGCCTGGCCTCCAAGGTTTATTTTCATGAGTGTTACATGAAAACATATGGTTGGGAAATTCAAGATAGAGAGAGAAACTAATACACAGCAAAGGGAATGCAGTAACTTATACTCTGGGAAACTCAAATATAAATAAAGAAGAGTCTCGAAAGAATATATCCAGACTTCAATTGCTTCTTCGACTTTCATTGCTTATGCCCTGATCTAAGCCACCATCATCTCTTGCTTGGATTACTGCAATGTACTCCTAACTCATCTTCCCGTGTCTATAATTGTCCCCTACAGTTTATTCTCAACATTGCAGCTGGAGGGATCCTTTTGAAACATGTCACATCGTGGCTCTCCTCTGCTCAAAATCCTGCAATGGCTCCCATTTCACTCAGAGCCAAAGGCCAGGGCCTTACAATGGCCTTTAAGGCCCTCCGTACTGTGGCCCTGTTCCCCTTTGACCTCATTTCCTACTCGTTTCTCCCCTGCTCACTCTGCTCATGCCCTCCCAGCTTTGGGCTTCTGCACTGGCTGCTCCCATGGCCTGGACTACTCTTCCCCCAGATATCAATGTGTGCTTGACTCGCTTGAATGAAATAGCCACTCTAGCGATATAGTTTGGATGTCCTCTCCAAATCTCATGTTGAGATGTAATCCCCACCATTGGAGGTGGAGCCTGGTGGGAGATGTTTGAATCATGGGGCAGATCCCTCATGAATGGCTTGGGTCATCTCCTTGGTGGTAAGCTCTCACTGTGAGTTCACGAGACCTGGTCATTTAAAAATGTATAGCACCTCCCTCCACCCCACTCTCTCTCTCTTACTCCTGCATTCACCGTGTGAAGTGCCTGCTTCTGCTCTGCCTTCTGACATGAGTGAAAGCTCCCTGAGGCCTCCCCAGAAGCCTAATAGATGCTGGCGCCATGTTTGCACAGCCTGCAGAACCATGAGCCAATTAAACCTCTTTTCTTTATAAATTACCCAGTCTCAGGTATTTCTTTATAGCAATGCAAGAATGGCCTAATACACCTAGCATTCTATTCAACGTTGTCATTGGTGTTTGCCCCTGGCACTATCCTATCCCCTTTACCTTGCTTTACTTTTTCCTGTCATCCATAGTACAACATATCCCCTTCAACAAAAAATGTAACGTACTCATTATAGTTATTGTTTATGGATTTCTCCTCCCATTGGAATGTATGCTCTGTGAGGATGAGAACATTTGTCTGTCTCGTTTACCGACCTATCTCAATGCTTATGCTAGTGCTCGCACAAAGCACAATGGGAGTGCTCACCATGTCTTTGCAGTGAATGAATGAATGAATGGCATTATGCATGGAAACCCATCTCTGCAGAAGCCCCATGCCCTAACAGTTCTTAATGCTGCGGAGGACAAGGCCTGCCGCTTGTGGCCTGTGGTGTGGCTGGATTGAGTCTGGAGATGGAGTGGCAACTTAATGTCTCAGGCACTGCACACAGTGTGTGCGATAGAAAACAATGGGCTCCTTCGGTTTTGCCTCTGAAGCTGCTACAGGAGCTCATGAGCCTGGAAGGGGTGGGTCTGACAGAGCACACAAAGAGCAGAGCCCCTGGCTCCCACTGCCTTTTCGAAATCTGGTCTAGAATGACATCTCTTTGGCAAAAGCTTAGTCCCCATAGCCCTGACTAATGTTCCATTAAGACCTTGAGGTAGCAAAACAGTTTCTCCTAGGAGCTCGAGTGAGCCCTGGCAGAAAGACAGGCAATCCATCTCTGTGTGCTGGCAATTGGCCTTGGCTCAACATCTGTTCCTTCATTTTTCCTGTTACCACACACACGCCAATTAATTTTCAATTCCATTAATGCAGATTTCCTACCACAGCACCCACTATCCTCACCCCTTCTCAGAGAGCTTTCTGCAGGCCCACTCTCAGCAGAGGAGACATTCCCAGGGGCGTGATCCTAAGTGAACTTTAATGAGGGAGTTGATGTATCAGTGCGATATTATTTCAACCTTGGCCCATTGCACACTTTTTTTCTCTTCAATGCTTTACAAATATATTTTTAAGTATTTTATTCCACAACATTACGTATTTTCAGCAGGAGGGTTGGGTAAGGTAACCTAGCCTACCATTACTGGAAAACGGAAACTGAAGTTCAAGTTTTTTTTTTTTTTTAACTTTTATTTTAAATTCATGAGTACATGTGCAGGTTTGTTACATAGGTGAACTTGTTTCATGGGGGTTTGTTGTACAGATTATTTTTATCACCCAGGTATTAAGCCTAGTACCCATTAGTTATTTTTTCTAATCCTCTCTCTCCTCCTATGCTCCATCCTCTGATAGTTCTGTGTCTGTTGTTCCCCTTTGTGTCCATGTGTTCTCAACATTTAGCTCCCACTTTTAAGTGAGAACATGTGGTATTTGGTTTTCTCTTCCTGCATTAGTTTGCTAAGGATGATGGCCTCCAGTTCCATCCATGTTTTGCAAAGGACATGATTTTATTCTTCTTTATGGCTGCATAGTATTCCGTGGTATATATGTACCACATTTTCTTTATCCAGTCTACCATTGGTGGGCATTTAGGTTTATTCCATTTCTTTGCTATTGTACATAGTGCCAAAATGAACACATGTATACATGTGTCTTTATGATAGAACAATTTATATTCCTACAGGTATATACCCGGTAATGGGATTGCTGAATCGAATGGTAGTTCTGTTTTTAGGTCTTTGAAGAATCACCAAGCTACTTTCCACAATGGCTGAACTAATTTACATTCCCACCAACAGTGTATAACTGTTCCTTTTTCTCCACAACTTCACCAGCACCTGTTATTGGTATGAGATGATATCACATTGTGGTTTTGATTTGCATTTCTTTAATGATTAGTGATGTTGAGCTTTTTTTCATATGCTTGTCAGCCACATGTGTATTTTCTTTGAAAAGTATCTGTTCATGCCCTTTACCCACTTTTTAATGGGGTTGTTCATTTTTTCTTTGTAAATTTGTTTAAGTTCCTTATAGATGCTGGATATTACACCTTTGTCAGACCCATAGTTTGCAAAAATTTTCTCCCATTCCTTAGGTTGTCTGTTTACTCTGTTGACAGTTCAACAAAACTATCTTTTTCTGCATTGCACACTATTTAAAGGAAAGCTGAACCTAGTACATCACTATATGGGCAAAACTTTGAGGTTGGGTGCATGAATTACTTACCGTAGCAAAAAGGCTCTAACCCTGACTAAAACTCCCCACCCATCATCTGCCCAACCCTGTCCCGCTTAGAGGAAGCTTAGTTATTATGACTACCTGGGGAAGGGCCTGAAAGCCAGCCAGAGGCTAAAAATCCAGGGGAAGGAGTTTGCAGAGAGCTATCCTGTGAGAACTATGGACATTCCTTAGTTACCTTGACAGATGAGGCCTGAGAGGACAGCTGTCAGCCTCTGGAGCTCCTGAGAGTTAGGAAAGGAACCAGATTGAATTACTTTAGTAGCCCACTGGGAGAAGAAGTCAAGAGCTTTGAGGTTGGACTGGGTTGGGCTTTTTAGTTGGGCTGGTCTACACTTGCCCCAGTTTGGGTCACATTTAATCCTTCCTTCAGGCCTTGGCTCACCTTATACTTTTACCTTCCAACCCAATCCCATCCATCTTAAAGGCCAACCATATAGCTCCCTCTTTTATGGGCCCTTCCTAATGACCCTCATCCAGTAAATCCAGCATCTGGAGAGTGCCTTGAATCCCCAGTTCCCTTACCACACAGTTCACATTCCATTGCTTTGCGTTATTTCAGACATATTGATTCTTTTATCCTACTGCTTTATCAAATCATATCCTCTGGACCACAATGCTGTTACAATAAGGTTATAACAGTGAGGGCCTCAGGGTAGATGGCATGAATTCTAGGTCAGCAGGATAGTATGACATTAAGGGACTGGGATGTGGTTTCAATGTGAAGAACAATCATATCCACACTGGAGGTGTGTACCCCAAGGGGTTTACAAGATGATCCCCTCAATTAAGAGAAGATAGTGTTAGAATTCCCATTTAGATTTACTTTTAAATTTTACCCTCTGAAGATTTCTATTGAGAATGTGATTTGTTATATATACATTATATTAGTACAGCAGTATACATGTGCACATTTTATAAATTTATATATACGTATATGTACATACAGTCATGCATTGCATAACGATGTTTTGTTCAACAACAGACAACATATATGACAGCATCCCCATAAGATTATAATGGAGCTGGGAAATTCCTATCACCTAGTGATGTCATAGCCATTATAACATCATAGTGCAATTACTTTATTTTTTATAAATTTAGCCTAAGTGTACAGTGTTTATACACTCTACAGTAGTGCACAGTAATGTCCTAGGTTTTTACATTTACTCACCACTCACTCCCTGATTCATCCAGAGCAACTTCTAGTCCCGCAAGCTCCATTCATGGTAAGTGCACTATATAGGTGTACTGTTTTTTATCTTTCATGTTGTATTTTTACTGTACCTTTTCTATGTTTAGATGCACAAATACCATTGTGTTATGATTACCTGCAGTATTCAGTACAGTAACATGCTGTACAGGTTTGTAGCCTAGGAGTAACAGGTTTTACCATGTAACCTCGCTGTATAGTAGGCTATATCATCTAGGTCTGTGTAAGTACACTCTATGATGTTCACATGACGATGAAATTGCTTAATGATGCATTTCTCAGAAATGTTTTAAATGACGCATGACTATATTGGAGAGGCTAAGTCAAAATTATTTCAGAGATGGAGTAGGCAATTTAAAAAGCTTTGAGATTATTGGAATAGACTTCCAAACAGAAAGTAAACATCTTGATCTGTCTACATATGCATGAATAAAATGAAAAGTGATCATCTGATTTTTAGAGGAAACAGTTTGATACATTTATCATAAAGAGTATAACCCCAAACCACTGACATTTTTTTGCTATGGATAAATTCTATGACTTTTGAGGAATCTTCCCTTTTAAAAGTGTTTGGTTCTGAGATTCCAAAATAAAAACGAGCAGTTTATTGGTATTTACTAATTGTGGGACCAGGGATAGTGAGAATTAGATGCTAGGTAAAGGTACTCAATGAGTTGAAGCTGGAGGGATTCTCTCAAGTCCTTGATTGCTAAGTGTAGCTTTGTGTCTATGAGGGTAGGGGTGAAGAAGAGAAAAGTAAGTGCCTAGATGAGATAGGCCCAATGTTTAGATTCAAGTGATGGTACCAATTTCATCAAATCTGATTGTACAGTAAAGGGTTAACCAGCATGCCTGGGTCATTCAAACCATTTATATTCCAAAGAAAGGATTGGTCCTTGACTGTCTCCCAGAAGATGACATCTAAGTTCTTGAAAGATCCTGCCTGATAAGAGTATCTTTGTATACCTGGGATCTAGGGCCTGGCTGTATTAGTTTGATCCTGGGAGGGATTAAAGACCAAATAACTACAGTCAGCCATGTGGGTACTCTATGTCTACATGAAAAACCCCCAATAAGAATCCCCAGTAAAACCCCTTACCACCAAGAGGTGAGGGGTCACCAAGGCTCAGGTGAGCTTCCCCAGTTGGCAATATTCTATACATATCGTCACATGTTGTTGCTGGGAAAATGAAGCATTGTTCATAAACTCCACTGCGACAGGATAACCAGAAGCTTGTGCCTGGTCTTCCCTGGACTTCGCTCTATGCTCCTTTTCCCTTCACTGATTTTAATGTGTGTCCATTCATGGTATTAAATCAAACCACAAGGAACACAGTTTTTCTGAGTACCGAGTCCTTTTAGTGAATCATTGAACCTGAGGGTAGTCTTAGGGAACTCCAGCACAGTGATGAGTATATCTGTGATGTAAATCAGACCCTATCAGATGATCCTATTGCATGGAACATGAAGCTCAGAGAGGTGAAGTGACTTGCCCAAGATTGCAGAGCTGGAAAACAACAGAGCCAAGCATCCAAACTAGGACTGCTGGATACTAAAACTTGTACTCAGATTTTCTGAAATCAACTATCAGCTCTTTCACTTACTAGCTGTGTGACCTTGTCCAAATTATTTAACATTTCTGTGTCTTTAGTTGCTTCCTCTGTAAAGCAGGGATGATAAAATGGTTGCTTTCTGTGTAAAGCAGAGATGATAAAAACAGCCTCAAAGGGCTATTGTAGTTATGAGGATTTAATGAGATAGTGCATGTAAAGATACGTAGAAGAATGTCTGGCATACGGTAAGCACGTAGCAATTATTAGTTTGTGTAATTACAGTGATGAAAGCAGTACTTAAGACCAGATTTATTCTAAACTTGAAGAAACAGAAGGCTAGCTATATTACTGTGTGTGTATGTGTATGCATGCACACATACACATACATATACATATCAGCGATTCTCAAATCTCATCCCTGCTTCCCGTTCACACAGCCATTTACTTCATGTGCTGTTGGCTCAGACGGACCATATTATACTGAAGACAAAGGCCTGGATTCTGTGTTCCTTCTCTCTTCCGTTGGATGTAGCTCCATTGTCAATGGCATCCATCTTTGCTTTAGGTTATCCTGATGCTGATGATAGAGTAGAGAGAAAGAAAGAACTTCAGTGCTTGATGATATTCTTCAGCTGCTCAAGTCTTGGAGTTTGCTTTTCTTTGGCACTTCTGGTTATAAGAGATAATATGTTTGATTACTGTTTAAGTCACTTTGAGTTAGGGTATGTTTTGTAACTTTTTGTAACAACCAAATGTATTTTAACTGATACACACTGATACTTGGTTGATTTTTCACTTTGCTACCCTGTCTTGGAAAGTCTAAAGGCAAGGAAACTCTTCTTCCCTTCTATCAGTTGAAGTCCTTCAGTTACAGGAAAGAGAAAACCAACTCAAACTGACTTGGTCAGAAAAGGGGTTATATTTATTCACATAATAAGAAATTCGGGACCTTCAGGTGAGCTTCAGGTGTGCTTTGATTGGGGCTCTAGTTCCATGTCTCTATGTTTTTAGAGCTCTATCTTTCTGTCTGTGCCAGCTTCATCCTTAGGCTGTCCTTGTAAGACAACTAAGAGGCATATTCTGTCTGTTCCCCTTCCAAAAATGATTTCCTACCTCCTGGTACCTCCATGCTAGGTGGAGGCCTACTTTTGTTTAGTGTGTGTCTTAGTCTGTTTGGGCTACTATAACAAAATACCATAGATGGGGTGGCTTGTAAACAACAGAAATGTATTTCTCACAGTTCTCGAGGCCGGGAAGTTCAAGATCAAGGCACTGGCAGATTAATGTCTAGTGGGGGGCCTGCTGCCTGCTCATAGACAGCAACCTCTTTCTTGCTGCATCCTCACATGGTGGAAGGGACAAGGGAGGTCTCTAGCAACTCTTTCATAAAAGTACTAATCCCATTCATAAGGACTCTACTCTTATGACATAATCAGCTCCCAAAGATCCCACCTCCTAATATCACCTTGGGTGTTAGGATTTCAACATATGAATTTAGAGGGGGTGGACACAAATGTTCAGTCCATAGCATTCTGCCCTTGGCCCCTAAAACGTCTGTCATTCTGAAATGCAAAACACATTCATTCCATCCGAATAGCCCCAAAAGTCTTAACTCATTCCAGTATCAACTCAAAGTCTAAAGTCCAAAGTCTCATCTAAATACCATCTAAATCAGATAAGAGTGAGACTTAAGATTTGATTCATTCTGAGGCCAATTGTTCTCCAGCTGTGAACCTGTGACATCAAACATGTAATATGCTTCCAAAATACGATGGTGAGACAGGTATAGGATTAACATTCCTATTACAAAAGGGAGAAATAAGGTCTTGAGCAAGGCTGAAACCCAAAAGGGCAAATCCTTTAGATCTTAAAGCTCAAGAATAATCCTCTTTGGCTCAATGCTGTGCCCTCCAGGCCCACAGTGGCAGAGGTCCCGCCTTTTGAACCCACTGGGATGATAGTTCTGCCCCCTAAAACTTTGCTGGGCAAGAATTGGGCCCTCGCAGCTCCAGGCAGCCCTGTCCCCAAAGCTATGCTGGGTGCTGACCATGCTGCGCTGAGGCCACTGGTTCTGCACCTGGGGCAGCCAAGGAGCATGGTGCTGGAGTGTAGGGAACAGAGCCTGTGATGTGAGACAGCATGGACAGCACTCATAGAGGTCCTGTGGGTTCAGGGGGCCTCTCCTTTGCAGGTGGCCCCTCTTAGACAATAGCTTCTGCCTTTTTTTTGAGATGGTTGACTAATCTTATCAGTAGTTTTTTTTTATTTTTTATTTTATTTTATTTTATTTTATACCACATCCTTAGAATACTCACCTAAACAGTCTTTCTTTTCAATATGGATAGGCTGAGAATTTTCCAAATTGATAAAGTCCACCTTTCTTTTGATGAAAAACTCCATCTTTAAGTCATCTTTCTCTTCTTTCATTTTATTACAAGCAGTCAAAGAAGCCAAGGGGCACCTTCAACCCTTTGCTTAGAAATTGCCTCAGTCAATTTTGCCACTCACAAGTTCTACTTTCCACAAAAGCCTAGAACATGAGCAAAATTCAGCCAAGTGCTTCACTTCTTTATAACAAGGATCACCTTTTCTTCAGTTTTCAGTAACGTGTTCCTCATTTCTGCCTGAGACCTCATCAGAATGGCCTTTACCATCCAGATTCCTACCGACATTCTGTTCAAGATTCCTTAGGTATTCTCTAGGAAGATTGAGGCTTCTTAGTGCTCTTTTCTTTCTGGGCCCTCACCATAATTACCCTTAAAGATCAGTTCATAACAATGGGGACTTTCCTAGTATGCACCTCAAAATTCTTTCAGCCTGTATCCATTACCCAGTTCCAAAACCACTTCCACATTTTTAGGTATTTATCACAGGAGCACCCCCTTGTCAGACCAGTTTTCTGTCTTAGTTTATTTGGGCTGCTTCAACAAAGTACCACAGGCAAGGTAGCTTATAAACAACAGAAATTTATTTCTCTCAGTTCTAGAGGCTGAAAAGTCTAAGATCAAGGCAGTAGCAAATTTGGTGTCTGGTGAGGGCTCACTTCCTGATTCATAGACGCTGTCTTCTTGTTGCATCCTCACATGGCGAAAGGGGCAAGGGGCCTCTCTGAGGCATTTTTTATAAAGGCATTAATTCAATTCATGAGGGCTCCACGCTTATGACATAACCACCTCCCAAAGACCCCACCTTCTAATACAATCATCTAGCAGGTTAGGGTTTCAACATAGGAATCTGGAGGAATGCAGACACAGATATTCAATTCATAGTAGTGTTTAACAGAGATGCCCCCATCTCAGAGAAGGTGGGCTCTCGGTCTGGTTTAAAGGTGAGTATGCAAATCAGTTCTGGACAAGCAAATAGCTTTAGGAGTGTCTATGAATGACACGTTTCCATTGTTAATGGGAGGAATATATGTGAGGAAAAATGGTGCCTTGTGCCTTTTGTCATCTCTGCCTATTGCCACTGAATACACATGTGTGAGGATGGAGCTGCTGCAACAAAAAGACCAAGCAAATCATGGAGACATTGCCTCAAAACCACTGAATCAATGTCAGTAAACTCTCATTCTCCACCCTCTTGTTCTTTCACAATAACAAATCACATTAAGGAGGGGTCTTTTTGTTTCTTTTGGCTAAAAGCATTCTTGACTAATACAGAATACTAGCAGTAGACAGGGTTACATGCTTCCTCATTCACACTCAAGGAGAGAGAAGCTACCATTAACAGTAACCACTGACTAAATGTCCTAAACTTCACTCTTCTTCAACCATCGCTGCAACAATCACTATGGCACTAGGGATGACCTAACTCTGATTGCCTAAGTCCAAAACAGGGCCTATCTCTTTCAAACTAGAAAGGGAATGTAGGATGGTGCCTTAGTCATTTTGGGCTGGTGTTACAAAGCACCATAGACTGGGCAGCACATAAACAACAGAAATTAATTTCTCACCATTCTGGAGGCTGGAAGTCAGAGATCAGTTGCCACTATGGTTGGGTCCTGATGAGGGCTCACTTTCGGTTGCAGACTGCCTTCTTCTTATTATATGCTTACATGGCAGAAAGAGGGCAAGAGAGCTCCCTGGGTCCTTTTATAAGGGCACTAATCTCAATGATGAGGGCTTCACCCTTATGACCCAATCACCTCCCAAAGGCTCCATTTCCTTATAATCACTTCAGGGTTTTGGATTTCAATATATACATTTTGGAGAGATGCAAACATGCAAACATTCAATCCATTGCAGGTGGTTTGGGAGGAAATAAACACAATGTCCACTATACACCTTAAATCACATGGGCAAATGTTAATAAGCACTGTGGTGGCCATGGAGGTGTACTGTGTGGATGTCTCTTTAAAAGAGCTTTCTGTTGTGTGCATATTCAGCTGACAGCCTCCAGCAGTGACATCCGTGGACCCACCGTGGTGTTCAAGGCAGGGTTATTAGATCCAGGCCATTCCTGCTTACTGCAGGATTCCTCTCCTTCCAGTCTTGTTCTTGGGCTTCCCATTGGCTTGGCTGAGACTTTCCCAGAAAGCACCGTGCTCTGAAGCTGCTCCTAACCAAACTTTGTCACTCACTCTATTCACAAGGGTTGAACCTGTCTATTGGTCTGATGCCCCTTGGCACCCCCCATACACAACTCCTCCTGCTCCTTCTCTGCCTTATCTTCATAGGCATTTCCTCCAATACGTCTCTAGCACAACTAATTTTTTCATTGTGTCTGCTCCTCAGAGGCCCAAACGGACACCAGCATCTCCTGCACAGTTCAGTGCTTCACATGTTTGAACACAATTACCCTGAAAGGGAATTCCTCTTTAAATTTTGCACCCTGGGAGCCTCACAAAGCATTTCAGGCTTTGTGGACTATTTGATCTCTGTTATAATCGAACTACTCAACTCTGTCATTGTGAAGCAGAAGCAGTATTAGAAAATACGTAAATAAGTGGACATGTTTGTATTTCAACAAAACGTTATTTATGAAGACAGACAGTGTGCCAATAGGGCCTGTGGCTACAGTTTGCCGACCACTTATGGAAAGGATTGATTCGAGATAAAGGGAAAGTAAAGAGGCAAATAAGTAGTTGAGATGAGAAATAATGATAGGCTGATTGTAACAGAAAATGAAAAAAGAGAAACTTTTAACTTTCTTCATATCATAAAAGTAATATATGTTATTTGTTAAGAAGTGACATTTGTAGGAAGAAATGCAAGGAAGAAAAAAATTGACCATAACTCCTCAACCTAGAAAAAATCATGGCCACTTTTTCTTCTGTGTATATTCCTTTCAGTTATTTTCTATGTACATGATGACAAATTCTCTATAGTTATGTATTATTTTTACTCAATATCATTAGATCATTAGCAGGTCCCTATACCATTCAAAATTATTGTAAAAACTATGTTTGATGGCTGTACAATATTCTACTGTATAGCTATTGTGCAATTTATTTAATTAGTCCCTCACTGATGTGTTTAAGATTGATTCCAATACCTAGATAGAAAGGGAACTTGAAGATTAACCTGTTAAGATCTGTTTTCAGAAAGTCACAAAACATATTAGCATATCAAAAGTCATGAGAATTCTGTGGTAAAGAATAAAGGCCTTGTTTTAACAGAACATTTTCCAAATACATTTTCTCATGAAATTCTACCTCTTCTTTTTATTTTGGCTAAAGACCTATTATATTCTGTCTGCAGCATTCTAATACTTCAAGGAACCCAGCTGGAAAAAGGCTGCTATTGGGTTTTCCCATTGCAATTTGAATCTTAGAAGCAAAGCAGTGTCAGGAGAATATAGCTTTGTTAGAAGTACAAGTAACTTGGTGGCTATAATGGGTAATCCTTCAGTAATACAATCAATGACTGTAAATATAATATTTATAATATTTATAAAAACCTAGTTGTTTTTATTATTTCTGAAGAATCTTTTTATTGTAATTAGGGAGCGGATCAAGAATATGTCAAATAAAGATTGTAGATGACCACTGAACTGAGGCAAGAAACTAATTTATTAATCCTGCTACAATTGCAGTCTCAAAGAAGATGAAAGAGTTAGAACTCGTTGGGTTAAGAGTTATAGATTTCTATAGTTAGAAAGGAATGATAAATGATGAGAATAGGTAGGATAATTTCAGAATGGAATATAACTGCTGAATATTATTTATGTTTTATTATATGTCAAGAGCATTGCAGTGTTAAAATTTCATCTTGAAATATAAATCTAAAGATATATTAATCTGCACCCGCGTTTCTGAAATAGTGGAATCCTCAGATGAAATTGGCACTCTGTGCATTTGTCAGTTCATTGATACTCTTGTCATTTTGTGGAAACAGAGAAAAGGAAATGAACATTTTCTATTTTCCAAAGAGTTCTGCTTCTTTTTTTTCCCATGAACTTACATTAGCAAAAATCAGTTGAATATTATTTTGTTGGGTACAGTGATGTCAGTAGCTGTCTGTGAAAGGAAATAACAATTTTGTAGCCAAGGACAAAAATTAAGTTTTCATGCCTAAATACATGAAGGCCATATAAAACACCTTAACTCCAGACTATATCCTATTTAAACAACTTCCAGACTGTCATACTAAGAGAATGAGGGAGGCTTTATACAGTCTGAATTAAATATCATCAGCCTTATAAGTGGGATCAAAAACTCATAAAATATTTCTAATTTCAAAACTAGTCATCCTTATCATTAAAAAAATGAAAGAATTGCTTAGTCTTAACTCGTATAGTGTACTTGCCTTAGATTGTTAGACAGGAAATAATGAACAGGAAAACTATATGCATGTTTTACAAATAACACATTCATATTTATAAACATGCATATATGCACTGGTTTGGTTGATACCTCAGCAAAAGGGTCTGTGCAAAAGATTTTTCCCAGTAATACTTTCCTATTCCTTCTCACAGCAGTAAATGCTTAGTCATGATCTCAACTCTGTCTGGAAGACTCAGTAATAGTTAAATCCACTGTAACACACATTCCTTCTGCCATTCTTACTAACTTACTGCTTAATCTCTTTCAAGACAAATTCTGAACCCACTCACGTTTCTATTAGTGGTAAGTTGGGCTAGGCTGCAACATAATTATATTTAAGACTTCAATTTACCTATCTTTTTCTAGATCATTTTTACCAAATGTCTCTTTTCTATACAAAATGCATTCAGTTCTCCTTCCTCCAAATGGACCAGACCAGTATTTGTAAGTCACCAGGTCCATGATAGGAAGTTCCGAGATTATTATAGACATGGAAACTACAAGTTTTCTAATTATTTTTAAGAAAAAAAGGAAACACCTAGATTGAAAATCTTATTATGGCCTTTTTTGTCCTGTTTCTTCCCTTGTTCCTCCTTACCCAAATGCCATCTGTCAATATTTGAGCGTGGGCCATTGGGTCTCTATTTCCACATTTCCTTTGTCAAATGCACATGTCATTATTCTCCTCGTCAGAAGAAGAAGTGAGGTGTTTCTTTCAATATTATACACTCATCTTATCTGGGGCTGATACTACAATCTCCTTGAGTAAAGTTTACTTTCAAGTGAGCTATAAAGGAGAAAAAAACTAATGCTTCTTAGTAATAGAACAGATTCCAAATATATGAAGTTGATGGGATATTGGGATTGGTTTTCTAAATTAAAATTATATTGCCGTAGATTCCTGTAAGAACAGGATATCATATGTCAGCATTTTCTCTCCTTTCCTCTATGTAAAAGCACAAAGTAAATAAAGAAAACTTCTGTAAACATTATTTTCAGTGAGAAGATAGGAGACAGATATAATCAACGAATTCTAAAGTACATACAAAGGCCATAAAGCTTCTAGGGAAAACATGTCAAAATATTTTTATGACACCAGAGCAAGAAAAGATTTTTTAGGCAGGACACAGAAAGCACTATCCACAAAAGAAAAAAATAATGAATTAGATGTCCTCAGAGTTGAAACTTCTGCTTATCAGAAGACGCTTAAAAAATAAATAGGCAAACCGCACAGGGAGAAAATGTTTGTCTTATATATATCTGGCAAAGTGCCTATATTCAGAATATGTAAAAAAATCAATTATTTAATTTTAAAAAGAAAAAAATCTCTTTTAAAATGGGCATTCCCAGAGTTAGCCAAATTGCAAGGTCTGAGGGCATAGTCTTCCACATAACCACCTTCACTTCTGATACCAACTTCAAGTTTAAGGAAGCCCAAAATCACCATCAGTCTTGATAATTGATTGGAAGTTCTCCCAGAACTCACTTAAAACTATTATTCTCATAATATGGTTAATTATAGAGAAAGAATACAAAAAAACAGCCAGCAAAAGAGACACTCAGGGCAGAATCTGGTCGAGTTCCCAACATGAAGCTTCCATTGCGCTCAGGACACATTACCTTCTCAATGTCAATGTGTGACAATAGACATGAAGTCTTGTCAACCTGGGGAGCACAGCAAGGCTAACGGGTCAAGTCTCCTAGAAAGGCAAAAATTAGGCTGGCTTCAAATCTCTCCAAAGAAGTTTTCAGCACCTCAACAATTTAACATGCTTAAGGAAAGAATAGTGTAAGCCAATCATTTTATATTCAGCCAAACTTTTATTTCCAGCAAGTGTAAAGATGACAGACAAAAGTTTTGAACGTGTAAAACTTGCAGAATAGAGGAAGCACTTCTAAACTGGCAGAGTAAGAACCTGACAAAATCTGTTGTATATAAAAGCAATTTAAAAACTGGCCCCAAATGGCCAAAATTAACCTTTTCAGAACTTTGGAAATTAACCAAAGACTTGCAACAATTAGAGAAGCATTTATTCAAAAAAAAGGGCTAAACTTTGATAAGAATAGTACATTTTGTGGTGTTTTAACTTGCTCCATTCCTGTTTTCCTCTCTCCAACTATGTGGTAGCTTTGAAATCTGGGAGCCTCACAGTCATGGTGGCTGTGAAAACCAAAATCCTGGCAGCCACTGAACAGGGCTGGGTTTGGATCTCCTCCAAAAGCCTTACACGGAGAGAATTACCACTGTTTGATCTGTCAGCTCCCTTAAAAAAAATTAGAAAGATTTTCTTTATTTGACCTGACTCAGAGTTCACTCCATGAGAAAAGCTCAATACCCAAACCATTTGTTGAAAACAGTCAGTGGCAATTGTTTATTATTGCAGCTGCATGAAGCAGTACTCCAAGCTGGGGCAAACAAGAGGCTAACCAAAATAATTAAATGGTAAGTGTGGGTCATTAGAGGTCTGTAGGAGATTTTGAAAAGTTTTGACATACTCCTGGGAATCTAGATAGCCATGTGCATTTGCAGGACTGTGTGTATGATCAGGAAAGACCTGAAGAGGCCCTAATCTCTCAACTCTAGCTGAGAGTTAGTTCTGTACAAGCAAGAAGTGAAGACTAAGGCAGAGTTGTGAACTTCCCTAGAATTGAAGGTGTGTCCCAACACATACACACACACACACACACACACACACACACACACACAGCCTCTCAGCAAAGTGTGGGAGGGAGATTTATTGGTCCTGGAATTTAAGCAAATGTCTGTTCAATCATTAGCTGACCACTAAACTAACCAAGTAGAGACTACATGGGCAGCACACAACAAAGAGTACAACTGTATGAATTACTTCAAGAAAGTCATTAAACAAACAAATAGCCACAACAACAAACCCTGGGAAAGGGATATACTAGAGTTCTACAGAGAAACAGAACAAATAATATATACCTACAGAGAGAGAGGGAGAGAGAGATTTATTATACCAAATTGGCTCAATAAATTATGGAGGCTGACAAGTCCCAAGTCCAAAGATTCACAGTCAGCAAGCTGGAGACACAGGAAAGCTGATAGTGTAGTTCCAATCTGAAGACCAGCAGGCTCATGACCCAGGAAGAGCTGTGTTTCAGTGTGAATCTGAAGGCAGGAAAAAAAACAATGTTCCAACTTAAAGGTAGTCAGGCAGGAGTTCCCTCTAACTTGCTTTTTATTTCCTATTCAGACACAGAATATTAATACTGTGTCTATTTTTATTTTTATAAAAGTAATTGAGCTTTTTATTTTTTTAAAGTAAATTTTACAGTTGACTTTATCTTTTAAAGTTTTCTTGGAATTTTGATATTCTGGTAATTGTCACTTATTATAATTTGCCTTTTCATTTTAATATATAACTTTTGACATTTTAGAATAAAAATAACTTTTGAAAAATATACAAAAACTAATATTAATTTTTTGTTGGATTTAAATTTTGACTTAAAATTATATTCAAATGTCATATACTTTTCTGTTACCCTTTACGTTTAACACTTTATTCTTGGAAATAGAACAAAAGTTATGTGAAACTCTTAATTATTACAATAGAATTTTGCACGTGACTATGAGGGCTTGGGGAGAGGGAGAAATGGAAAGTAAGTGCTTAACAGGTTGGGGTATGAAAATGTTTTGTAAGTAGATAGGGATAGTAATTGCACAACACTGTGAATATCCCAAATGATGCTGAATTGTTCATTTTAAAATGATCAATTTTATGTTATGTGAATTTCACCTAAATAAAAAGGCAAGGCAAGACAAAATTTTAAGGGGCAAAGGAAAGGAAGGCAAGACACAATTTTGAGGGATAAATATATAATAATTTATGAATTATATGTGTCTTTTTTTGTTATTTATCCAAACATCAGCAGCACATCAACAAAAATCAAAAAATAATTAAATTTTGTCATCTTTTGTATTTTGCTGACATTCAGTCATATAAAAACATATTATTTTATAATATACATATTATTCTTTATATGTATTCTTTATACATATTACTCCATTTTGTTGTTATGAACCTATATTTATCAAGGTAGATGAAGAAAGTATATTTTATTGGCAGCTAGCTTCAATGTATAACTTTTATATTTGTAGATATAATGTCTACCTTTTACATATTACGACATATGATATACTAACCTACATCTGTACTCCTGCTTCAAGCCCCGCCAGTGTTAAGGATAGGCCTGGTCTGCAGTGTGTGATGCAGCAAAAGACAGTGAAAAAGATAAAGCTCTGGATAGTTCTTGCAGCTGTTCATCCAGTAATGCATGGAGAATGTTAAATAACAGGAGATACTTACTAAGTGCTATTTCAGGGTAAATGATGAAATTCTCAATTAGGAATTAAGTGTTCAATCTGATTTCCATATGTTTAATCTGTATGATTCATTTAGTGATATTTAAAAAGACAGTTTACAGAGAAAAGGAGACTTTAGAAGTTTATTACATTAGCAATATCATTCCAAAGGACTTTGCCAATCTCTTAAAAATATACATTAACATATATTATGAAAAGCATTGATCTGAATATCAGTACTTAAAATAGATGATTTTTTATCCATCGAAGGTTTGTAAAGGTTTACCTACCCACTGACCTCTTAGATATATCCAATAAGATATAGTTGGAGAAAAATATGAGGAAAACACCAAATAGGAGTTTATTTACAAGGCAAGTATGTCCCTTAAATTAATATATATGGCACAACAAAGACCTACACACTATACAGCTGCCAGTGAAAAGCTAAATGATCACTGAGCAAATTTCATCTAGAGGGGTTGGTGTTATGTAGAACTCCATCTAGAAATGGCCTTGGCCAAAATAATATTTTTTCTTGTGTAGTCATTATACCCGGTCTTACCTTCATGAAATAATCTTAAGCCCATGACAAATATCCTCTGGTAGCCCCATCTGCAAAATAATTTTTATTCTCAGTCCTTCACAGAAAGTTAAAGGCTTCAGACATTATGAAGGTCAGGAAAGTGATCTGCATTTCTTTTGTAGCTAACCTTCAGCACTCATGACTGCAGCTGTTCTGAGAGCTGATGTCACACGACAATTCTAGGAGGGTTTGATTGACAATGCTGCATGATAGCCCAACCAAAAAATTAATCCGTGTTGAAAGCATTGAAGCACCCTAAAGACAGTCAGTTGGGTCTTTTTCACTTTTTCTTAGAGATAGTAAGGATTATAGTGATTCTTCTATCCTTGAGGAAAGGTAACAAGCAGACATCTGCACAGCATCTTAACGTGTGTATTTTCAGCAGGTCAGCCATCTAATCTGGGAGCTTTAGTCTTCTTCACAATCATACTGAAATGTCAGTTTGTCAGAAGATAGTATCACATCAATGCCAAATATCTGAGTGGTGGGGCCGCATTGGGCCATGGCAACACTATCTATGATGATGGAAGAGCTTGAAAGGTGATCACAGAGGCATTGTTGTTATGTCCAAAGGGTCCTCCCTTGTCAGCTCTTCAGAAACTCCTTCGTAACCATGGAGTTCAAAATAATCTTTCATGTGAAACACTTCAAAATGTCACATTACAATTGTTATTCTTCCAGCTAGCATTGAGTTTTCATGGTGCAAAAAGAGCAAAGAGAAGAAGTGCTTTTGAATGTAAACCCTGAGAAGGCAGGGAGCAATCCTTCTTCATAATCTGATAGCTATTTTCATCTCAAAGATGCATAGAAAGATCTGAGTTTAGGCAAGACATAACTTCGAAGTTCCCATAGCCTAAAAAATTGGAATGTCCTCAAAGATGAAATTTTACCCCAAATCATCATGCCTGCTATTTATTTTCCCCATTCCCTTCAACCTGCAACTGCATCCACAGTCTCCAACTTAATCAGTGACCTTTATAATCAAAGGATAAATTGGGTCTTCCATAAAACCAAAGTCACAACTCAGTGGTTCTACTTCCATTCCTCTTCCTGACTCTGATACCTCTGTGAATGGAAGACTTGCCTTAGCTCATCTCTTGCAAAATACAAAGGAAAATATCTTTGAGAAGAGGGAAAAAAAATATATATATATATATATATGTGTGTGTGTGTGTGTGTGTATGCATATATGTGTGTGGTATATATATATAAATAGAGAGAGAGAGAGAAATAGTTTCAAAAGGCCATGTAACAGAAAGGGGTTTGTTCCTTTCTCCCCTGAACTATCAGAGAAATGATAAGAGAACAGATCTTGAACACAATGCCTTTAGGTTGTCAGGCCAACCATGCACTCTGCCACTGGAGTTGTGAAAGTCTTGAAGGGAAAGATCACAGCTATTTTACTTACCAAGAGATAAAACTACCATGTGTAGAAGAGCTAGGCCTGAGAGCTGTCATTTCCCCTCTGACTTCTGCTTGCTGCAGTCTGCTGAAAGATGTTATGGCTGACCGACCCTCAAAAATAGACACTGTGATGGTGATATATTGTGGCCCTTGAAGAATTTAATTGTCAAATTGACATTTATCAAAAGGCTTAGTGCATTTAAAAGATAAATTGTGCAAGTTTGGTTCAGATCAAAGAGCCCCTGCCCTTCTCCATTCATAGCACAGGCCGGCTTCAGCAGGCAAGTCGTGTGTGAAAAATGATCCCCTTCCACTCCCAGCTCCTTTAAGCACTGCACTGGTGACAGATAATCAGAAATTTAAGTGTTAGCCTCCTCTTCAGAAAGTTCTTAAAATAATGGAGGACCCATTGAGACCATTTGTATTTGAAAGGAATGCTAAATAATTTAGTGTGCACGAGCAGGATGCACTGTGCTGGGCAGATAAATGATGAAACCCCAGCACAGCCTCTCTTCAGCAGTTGCCACACTAATTACAGATCAATTACTTCCCAGTTGTTTTCAACCTTATCAAAGAATGGTAAATTTACTGAGAGCAAAGTGTGATAAGATGACTTTTCATTATTACAGTAGATTTGTTGAAACAGCTCCGACACTGAGATTAATAAGAGCTCGCCCAGGGGTAATAGGATCCGTGCATATATAGGGAGAATTTAAGAGCTGAAAACAGGATGCTGGGCACTATCATAAAAACCCTTCCTCTCATTAATTGTTATCACTAGTGTGTTTATAATGCAGAAGTAAGGCGGAGAAATGACCCATTCACTGAAACTGGCCTAAAACAATGTAGCTCTTTACTTTCAAAAAGGCACGTG
Source organism: Homo sapiens (assembly GCF_000001405.40). Taxonomy (NCBI): domain Eukaryota; kingdom Metazoa; phylum Chordata; class Mammalia; order Primates; family Hominidae; genus Homo; species Homo sapiens. The sequence continues at coordinate 107,776,726 of NC_000005.10, read as the reverse complement.
GAAAATCAAAGGAAAGTAAAGGCATTTTGGTTTGGAAGCAAGGGAATTTGTGTGTGGGGGCGTGGAGAAAGGGTATGTGCATTTGTATGTTCTAGCTGAGGTCCATTTTCATTAAGACAGTCACAAAGAGATGGTCTGTTCAGTGTCACTATAAAAAGAACTCTCATGGTTTTTGAAGAGCTAAGACCAAGTTTGAGGGTAGCTGCTAGGGCCACACATAGCAAGATCCCTCTTGTAGAGCAGAGGCCTGGGAGGAAAACTAAGGGTTCACAGTGGCTGGGAAATCTTTCAGGTAGGAATAAGTAATGTGCGATGTTCTTAATACAACATATATAACTATGGGACCCTATTTTAATTTTTTTAAATTGAGAAATAACTCATTGAAAAATACTTACATTGGGTGAATTTTAAGACCCGTATACCAGTCTACTAGCCTTCGTAGGCCATTTCCACATACATCTCTCCTAATAACCGCAAGTCTTAATGGGTACTTGGAATGCCTGTGGAATTGTTTATTCCAATTTGCAAGCTCTTGCTATTTTACAATTTCTGGACGCCGGGTGCAGTGGTTCACACCTGTAATCCCAGCACTTTGGGAGGCCAGGGTGGTAGGATCACTTGAGCCCAGATATTCAACACCAGCCTGGGCAACATGGCAAAACCCTGTTTCTACAAAAAATACAAAAAATTAGTTGGGTGTGGTGGCACACACCTGTGGTCCCAGCTAGTCAGGAGGCTGAGGTGGGAGGATCACCTGAACCCAGGGAGGTCGAGGCCGCAGTGAGCCATGATCTAGCCACTGCACTCCAGCCTGGGTGACAGATAGAGACCCTGTCTCAAAAATAAGATAAAATAAAATTTTGATCTGGTCAGAGGAATATGTGAGAAATGAAGAGAAAATTCTACCAAGACTTGGGTAACCAGAGTCATGTTTAAAATCCCAGTGAAAATGGGGGAAGAGAGAAGCTGGGAGGCAGGAGCCAGCTTTTGAGGAATATGCCATCTTTTCTAAGACATTTTAATAAAGTCTCTCATTTTTCCTGACTTTTAAAGGAAATAAGTAACCATACGGTAAAGATCAGATCTCTTCATGAATTGAAAACCAGCTAGGAAAGGAAAGGACTTGTGGGCTTGCGAGGCAGCGTTTAGTAGCAGCACATCAACCCCCACCCTTGTTGAGTGCTGCTTATGGGAGTAGGAACTGAATATGCTTTTCCATAAATTACGTTTAACTTCCTAGGAAATCTATTCCATTAAACTCTATGTGAGTATCCTTATTTTTTGAACATCCTCAAATAAGTAACCTGAAGCCCAAATACAGATAATAGTGTCTACCAGATTTCTTTCTGAACCAAATTTGAAGCCTGGTTATGGATGTTCAATGCCAGTAATTCTCTTCCTTCAAGGATAAGCAATGGCAAATTTGAAGACATTTTAGACGCAACCAAGCAAATTGGGAAAGAGGGCAGACAAAAGGCATGTAGTATTTAATTTAGACAAATGAAAGGAAAGATGCTAATGACTGGGGAAAGGCAATATGAAGTTTGCCTTCTTCAAACTTGTTACATATACACACAAACTTAATTCATACACATCCCTGTGGAAGGGTCTTCAAAATAGTTGTTAACCAATCAGTACCTTTTTCTAGCAACATGAGCCACAGACACCAAGAAAACAATGTGAAAAAGTAACTCAATGTGACATCAATAGTAATGGTTATTTTTGTGTGTTCACTTCATGCCTTTTTGCTACTATGAAGAAACATAAGCAAAAGCTGTTTGAGAATAATAAAATATCTTCTTTAAAAACTTCCTCCATTAAGTCCAGAAGAAGGTAGTAAAGCCATAAAAACAAATATTTGTATCCATTTCTTCTCAATGGGCATATGTTAGGCTATTTGTAAGGTGATAATAGAGAAAAGAACGCTCAGAAAAATCCTTTGAAAATCACACAATGAAGTCTCAGGCTTAAATTTCTTTCCTCTTCCCTCAGTTTAATTCACTTTTGATGGTTATTTGGACATAGCAGCATACCACTTTGCACATTCTTGTTGCAAATTTGTTTTCCTTCATTTAAAAAATCAGTCTGGGAAAGCTACAGTGTGTGTATATCGTGAGCTGCTATTACCTAAAGGGGAGAAGAGAGGAAGGGAACTCGTGTTGTATATGAATTACACATGTTGAGAATATTTAGCATGGACTATCTTGAAGCAGATGTGTTTGATGTATTCAAACATGTGCATATTCAAAAGTCATGAGAGGTGTTAGGAAAGTTGATCAGTTGTCACCATACTTCCTGCCCAGAATGTCAGAACAAAGAATTGCTTGATGAAATTGAAGGACAAAGATTTATGAGGGGAGGGGGTACAAAATGAAAGGAAATTCCACTTTGCATTACATTCATTCAACCTTCTGAATCTGCTTCCATGGAAATCCCTGATTTAATAATGTATCAGATTTTAATAAAGTTAATTTTCTGACTGATTGTACCACTTTTACAAGGTTTAGCTGAGATTATGATAAAAATAATAAAATCTCATCTTTGGGTTGTAAACCATCCCTGGAATGATTAACTTGATTCTGTGCAGAGTGTGGGCAAAGCTATTCAAGGGAAGAGTTGGATTTATTTTTCTTCCTTAGAAGCTGAGTTTTTGGATCATTATGGAGCTAAATGAACCTTTTTGCTTTAGAAAAGCTTGTTCATGACAACCTGAAATGCACTTTGTTGAAGAGGCTGCTTCATTTTGGTGTTAGCTGTCATTTTCTAAAACATATTTAAGTTTCATTTTAAGAATTTATACTTTTTTCATTATAAAAGTAAAACATGCTCATTTAAGAAAATGCAGAAAATTAAGGAAAAAAGGAAAAAGCTGGTAGCATCCAGACAGAGCTACCATTAACTTTTCAGTGAATTTTCCCCTAATCTTATATTTCCTATACAAAAGATTTTTTACTTGCTGGCTGGCTGGCTTGCATAATATATAATCATGCTTATTTGGAAATTTGTGTCTTGCTTTTCTGACATTTTAGCATAAGTATTTTCTCTGTTATTGCACAATCTTTATAATCATTGCAATGGTTCTATAACATTTCACTGAGATCATAAACTGTGCTTTACTTAAGCATTTCACCATTATTGGATATTTAACTTGTTTTCCATTTTTTGCTATTGTTTAGAATTTTTTCCTTGGAATAAATTCCTGTAAGTGGTGTTACCAAGTCGAAGAATATTAATATTTAAAAAGATCCCATTAATTTGAAATGCAAATATCTAGGAAAAATAGATCTACAGCTTTGAGTCCATATTTTACTATTCAAATAATAGGGCACCCCTTTATGTAGGAGGATAGCAAAGACATGAGTTGTAAGCCTTTTGGGTAAACTGATGTCTGCTCCATCATAAAGACAGGACCTGCAGTCCTCGCTGGGGTCCAGCGCCCTTTAGTCCCACCCATACCATGCCAAGTGGCCATCATTTTTGTGGTACACCAGCTTCTAAGCTGGTTTGTTGACTCTTTCTAGCAACCTTTTGTCATTTTTACATAGCACAGTCTCAAATTCCCCTTGTGAAAAACATCTACAATTGCCCCCCTGGAGCTTCTTGATGGTATTTGCCTTTCACTACTTATGTAAAATTAAATCTGCTTTCTTTCTGCCTCTTAAGAAACTAAGTAAACTCACCCAGGGACACTCAAAGGCAGATCTGCTAACACAAATAAAGGGAGTTGGACTGGATTACAGAAAGAATATCTTAGAGTGGGGAAAAATGTTTTAGATCGCATTAAGTGTATTTTTAAGAACGGACAATGGTACCATATTCAGATCTCTTACCTGTAACTTCTACCCTAAGTGCTCTCCTGTTATAGACACAAGCATTGCACTGAAAAGCTCCTGGGTAGGGGCTGCAGCAATGGGTCCTGTTCATCCCTGCAGTCCTGGGAGACCCACGACGTTATCACAGCAACAGGACGAGGAGGTCAAAGCACCACTTTCTGTCTACGGCAAGAGCAGGATTGTCCCCGTTCTACCCCTGCTCCAAGCACCTGCTCATCTTTGCTCTGGATATGCTGAAACTTGTGATGTGATGTAATGTCAGCATCTGTGCCAGCCAGCTCTGTCACACAGGCTTCCTACGGGGAAGGAGATAAGTAGAGGGAGGTATGTTGCAGAGCTCAGTGAGGCCAGGGCTTGCAGGAAAAGTTAAGGAAATGGTTGCCCTTGATAAGGGGGCCTTTTGGTAGGAAAATAAGGTCATGCTCTAAGGCAGCCTCTAGACAAGTTTTTTCAGTTCAGCGTTGTTAAATTTTTAAATAAATAGCGGATCTCTAAAAATTGGCAAAATTCATAGAAAAATTTAGGTCTTTTCTTTCTTTTTAACAAATCAGAAGGATAATACTGGACTGCATTTCCATAATGTACCAGTCTGAGTAGCAACTTCCCCCTTGCCCTATTACACATTCTTTCCTGTTCACCATGGTTCCTACCATCCCCTATTCATTTCTCACACCTTCCCACTTCAGTCACTTGCTTCTCCTAGCCAGGTAGGCACCTGAATTTGCAACCTTCAAGATGCAAGAGCATACCTGGGGAAAATTGTGGAGTGCAATATCCTCTATTAAGCATGACAATACCTTGCCTTTCTCATGGATGCTACAGTCTTTGTTAGAGGCCAGTGTCACTGGCTATTCTAACTCCTTTGACTTTAGTGACACTGTGAAGAGCTGTTTGCATTTACCTGTACAGATCCTTGGTTGTTCACCTGCACAATCACATAAACAATACTGTTCACATTAACAGTGAACTTTCACATTTTCTTAAACGAACAGCATGGGAACTTTTCCTTTTTCATTCACAAAAATTCTGTGGGATGTTTCGCTCACTGCAATAGTATGATATGACTTCAATGAAAACTGTTGTCTATAAGAAACTGTTGGCCATGGTTATTCAATCCCAGGAAATAAAACTGAGGTCTGCAATAAGAGAAGAGAGAATTCCTTTCCATCACATCACATTTCACAGTGTATTGATTTTTTTTTCAACACATCAACATGTAATTTTCATTTACAAGAAGCTAATGTTTATTTTTAAATAACATAAGATGACATGGGAGAATAAACTTAACTTTAAATAAAAAGTCAGGGTACAATATTATGTATACAGCAGGATCTCAGTTTTGCAAAAAGTGGTATTTTATGTGCATATTAAAAGTCTGAAAAGGAATCATTCACAATGTTTGTGATGATCTCTAAGTGGGGAGATACAAGCAAATTTTTTTCTTTATATATTTATGGGTTATTAAATTCAGAAACAGTTATATTTTAAAATTATGTTAAAATGTCTAATTTCAGAATGAGAATAGATTGGCTTGTTTGAGCCTTCCTTTCCTTGACTGCTCTATAATGTCCAGCCCCCTTAAAGTACATTATGTTTATTATCTTTGGGTCAGTGCTATTTTATGGGAGAATGCTGTTCTGGAACTTCTTACTCATAATTATACAGATTAAAATAGCATATCAAAATCTTTTTACAAAAAGATATCAGTTGTTGTTATGAGACTATGTTGTACATTAATAATATATGTTCAGATCAAATAATTAAATGTCCATTTATTTCTCTCTTTATAATAAAAGGAATCATACTTATTTTTATATCTCCGAGTCTGATCTGAGGCCAGCCAATTTCTCAGACAACACAACTGAGGAGATGCCAGGAAACGGGGACCAGAGCAGGTAGACAGTATGTCTGATATTTACTAGCCTGGGATACTTTTCAGCTAAATGGTAATTCTACCTCATTCTTTTCTTTCTGGATTCTATGGTAGAGGAATGCATAAAAATGACACACACAAAATGTTGAACATAAGTCATTCACTGGTATGGAAGGTGAACACTGTCCCTTCTATTGCTTTTGCCATGTGATCAAGTATTTCTGACAAGAAAGTGAGAATCTGGGATGCAGATTATGATGAGAACATTGTCCAAGTGTGGATATTCTCATATGGAACATTTTTCATGTTTTGTTTTATGAGGAAACAATAGGCATTGCATTAATTACACAGTTTTTCACTTGGAACTCTTATAAATAGATGTTAAATAGTATTTATTAACAGGACAACCAGACATCAGATTTTTTAAAAAGTGAACATCAAACTAACCATATTCATAGAAATAACTGAGTTTTATATTAATAGGCAGAGATCTCAAAAGGGAGAGTGTTCCAGAACTTTTCACTGATTTATTTATGTTACTAAGAGAAAGAACTGCATTGGATCAAAGTTAAGCTAATTACCAGAATGTATTTAGACATCCCTAAACAGAGGCTGGGATCTTTATAAACATCGCTTGAATTCTTGTCTGGAGATGAAACAGGGATATACCATTTAGAATACCATGTAAATTACTCTTACCAAATAACTAAGCAAGTTTGAAATGGCTTTATAGAAAAGTTTTTCCCTCAGGCGTCTCTCGTATCTTGGTGCCCATAGAGCCTGATCGGCCTTTCGGTTTTCTCCCGGACTTCATTTTTTCTCAACCCCTACTTCAAACGCAGATGATAAAGGCCATTCTCCCAGGCATATTTTCTAGCTGCAACTATTAGCATTTTTGTCTCATTCTTTTTTGCAATTAAAAAAAAATAGTACTCTTTTTTCAAAATTCTTGCATTCCTTTCAGCTGCAGAGAGGGCCACCTGCAAGTCACTCTGCTCACCCTCCATTTCCACACAGGGAAAAAAGGGAGGCATTGTGTTCTCTGCCCCATGCCTTCTCATCCTTATATCTATTGAAGGACACCCCAGAAACATAATTGACACATTTCAAGCAAGTGGATAGAAAGTGAGAATTAGAAATTTCCAACCTTTTATTCTAATAAAGGAGCATTCTGTTGTTCAAAAGTGTCTGGGTCTGACAAATATGTCTCCCTTTGTGGCAGGGAGGCCCAGGGTGACGTGAAGACAGACAGAGATGGGCCGGAGCTGGCTTGTTCCTTCGTTAATTCAATGACCATGAAAAGTAAACTTTCCTGACATAGTTTTGTGGTTCGCTGCTTTTATTTCCCCTGTCCTCTCTGAGCACCGAACAACTTTTAACTCTACCTCAATAATTAGTCAAGCTCAGACAGCTGAAATTTAAGTCCCTCTGAGAGGTGGTAAAGACATTTTAAAGAGCTATGACTAAAACCATTAGCCTATACCACATTTTTTAGAAGCCCCTGAAATCCCTTTTTTCTTTCAAAATTTACTTTGACTCTGAAGAAACCAGAGTAATAAATTCTTAATTCTTGATACCTTAATTTTCTCAGCATAACCTGTAAATAATCCAGCCTACAAAAAAGATGAACCACTTGATCCATTTACTTTGCCTGTTAAAAATGTAATTCTTAAAAACATTAGATGTTCAATATTTTCCCTAAGATGACTCTATTCCTCTCAAGCAAAATGCCAGTCATTGTATTTAAAATCCTGAAAAACAGATTGGTGATCAAGACCAAAACAATGGCTAGCATCTGACGTTGCACTTGCCCCACAGGTGAAGGCTGGCTTCTCATGCAATCTGTCAACTATGCTTTAAGTGAACTGTTATAACACTGGTGAATTTCAAAATCAATAACAAAGACAACTTTGGGGAGAACCTATGAAGTAATAAACCCCTGTAGATTTCACCCCTACTCTATTTTCCTTTTTCAAAAGCTCATCTCCTGGGTCTTTTTCCCTAAGACAGCACCAAGCACCCAGGACCCAGCACCCCCAGGCTCCCTGGCAATTCTTCATCTGGTTTTATAACCCCTGCTCCAGACCTACTGCTTCTGCCTCTCTATTGCTGCTGAACTCTCGGCTTCCCCCACCTCTCTTGAAACATGCCCAAGAGTCCTGAGAATCTCCAGGTGAGGTTCTTGGTACAGATTATTAATCTAAGATGCTAATCCTAGTGCAAATTCAAGAAGAATGTCTGAGAGAATCTATTGGTTTTTAAAACTCTCTTAGAGATAAAAATCCTGGGGCCCTTAAGAATAATGCTAAATCTACTCTGCCTGTTTTCTATAAATGGAATAACAAAGCCTGGATGACAGCATACCTGTTTATAGCAATTTACTGAATATTTTAAGCCCACTGGTAAGACCTACTGCTTGGAAAAAAGATTCCTTTCAAAATATTACAGCTCATCGAAAATGTACCTAGTTGCCCAAGAGCTTTGATGAAGTTATATAAAGAGGTTGTTATTTTCATGCCTGCTAACACAACATTCATTCTGTACCCATGGATCAAGGAGTAGTTTCAACTTTCGAGTCTTATTGTTTAAAAAATACATTTGGTAAGGCTATAGCTGCCATAGATGGTGATTTCTTTGATCCGGGCAAAGTAAATTGAAAACCTCTGGAAAGGATTAACTGTTCTAGATGCCATTAAGCATATTTGTGATTCAAGGGGAAAAGTCTAAATATTAACATTAATATTTAGAAGTTGATTCCAACCCTCATGAATAACTTCGAGGGGTTCAATACTTTGGTGGAGGAAGTAACTGCAGATATGGTGGAAATAGCAAGAGAACTACAATTAGAAGTGGAGCCTGAAGATGGGACTGAATTGCTGCAATTTCATTATAAAATGTCAACACATGAGGAGTTGCTTCTTACAGATGAGTAAAGAAAGTGGTTTCTTGAGATGGAATCTACTCCTGGTGAAGATGCTGTAAACATTGTTGAAAGGACAGCTAAGGACTTAGAATATTACACAAACAGTTGATAAAGCAGTGGTAGTGTTTGACAGAACTGACTCCAATTTTGAAAGAAGTTTTACTGTGGGTAAAATGCTATCAATTGGCATCACATGCTGCAGAGAAATCTTTCATGAACAGAAGAGTCAATGTGGTAAACTTCATCGCTGTCTTATTTTAAGAAATTGCCACAGCCACCCCCAACCTTCAGGAACCACCTCCCTGATCTATCAGCAGCCATCAATATTGAGGCAAGATCCTCCAGTAACAAAAAGATTACATATTGCCAAAGGCTCAGATAATTGCTAGCAATTTTAGCGGTATTTTTAAAATTAAGGTATGTACATTTTTAAAAGACATAATGCTATTGCACACTTAATAGACTACAGTACAGTGTAAATGTAACTTTCACATGCACTGAGAAACCAAAAAATTTGTGTGACTCACTTTATTGCGATATTCATTTTATTTTGGTGGTCTGGAACTGAACTCACGATATCTCTGAGGTATACCTGTATGTGCGTAGAAAATCGAATTGAAGTTAGTAAACCTAGTATTTACCCTGACCTAAAATTATTCACTTGGAGGTCCTATTGATGCTTCTTTCCTGTCATGCTTTAGAAACACAATTCTCTAAACTTATTTATGCTTTTCCTTTTTCAGCTACAAGAACCGTTCTCAACTGCACTCACTCCGCATATGTGTCATGATCAGTTGTGAGATGTCACAAGAAATTTGTTACCAGTAATAGTTTCTCTGAAGCCTGCAAAGTATTTGCTTTCCTTTTTCTAAGAGAGAGTTTTGTTGGCTATAGCAACCATCTCACTGTCTGGTTACAGCTAGAATAACCCTGACAGAACCCTTGGGAGTGGTTGCATATGTGAAAGCCATCTACCATGGATGATAAGACAGAAAAAATGTTGACAAACTCTGTGCTACAGCAAGGGATCTAGTAATTGAATGTTAGGGAAATTATTGGATCATATACGCTAATGGACTCCTATTCAATTAAGCCAAATACCTAGAGGAGCAAGGTAGATGATCACAAGAAGGAATAGGGCACGATGTTGATTCTGTGACCCGAAGAACACACCAGGTAAAAAGAGGCAGCAGATACCCTCCTCTGATTGATTGCTATCATGAGAGAAAGCAAGCCTAGTATTGCCAGCACTTCCAATTTTTCCAAAGAAAGTAGAAATGCAGATTTTTCACGTGGAATCTCTTCATTTGTAAACATGAGTATGTATGCAAAACAAAAAACCCAATTCACAATTTGTTAAACTGTCTTTGGGACAATGATACGCGACCAGCCAGATCAGTCTGTAGGCCACAGTTTGCAATCTCTGAATTAGATAAAACATTAACTAGCAAGACTCAGCTGGATGAGGTTTAGCATTCAAAGATGAGTGGGACCCAGTCCCTGGCTGCAAGGGACTGATAAGGGAGAAAAGGAAAGCACCAAAGTTAGGTAACATTAGGCAAAAAAAAAAAAAAAAAAAGTAAACTGCCTTTGGAGAAGCAAAAAATACTATTTAGCTAGGAAGAAGAACAAACAGACTCGAGAGCTCGTATCTTAACATTTCTCGGCAACTTAGCTAGGCTTTAGGAAAGTCTGGCACCTGAGCTGTGTCTCAACAGATAAGCATTCTTCAACAGATCCACCTCCACCTGGGATTCAAGAGCAGATGGAAGACTTCTTAATCAGAGTCACCGTTACATCAGGAGACTTGTGGATGCAGCCCCACACGCACAAGGGTTGCAAGTGGATGACATATTCACACAGAATAGGGAAAAAGACCTCTTTCTCTAGGCACTTGCAAACCCCACGACAGGATGCATCGCTTGGCCAGAAGATTGGCATGGATTTCATCCCCCAGTTATGCCCTCAGCTGGGCCCCCTTTTGCAAGATACAAAATGCTGGGCATACTTAGCAAGCTTCCCAGCTCCTTCCCAACGAAGGTATGCATCTCCAGATGTGCTTTTTTTGAGCCTAGTAAAATGTAAACTGTGTTGAAAATTATTTTTCTGCCGTCTTCCTACCTGTCGTGTGGATGGAAATCAGGAGCCCTTGGGATGTAGAGCTATTTAAAAATAAATGTGGCATATGTAACCATAGCAAGTGATTATATCAATTCTAAATGGACTTTGCCCTAAGAAAAATAAAAAGCCAAGCTTTGGGGTTTCATTTCACTTACCAGAACCCAAGTGAATTGAGCGTGATTGAAGTGCCTGTGTTTGGCTGGGCTCCTCTATGTAATGCTGGCTTGTCGGACTGGTTTGAGTGGACCCAGCTGTAAAACTAAGAAGCCCCTCTGGACACAACCTCTTCCCAGATGCAAAAAAATACCTCCTCTTTGAGAAGCTGGGGGAATAATTCTGCTCCAACAATAGGACATTCTTTCTTCTTGAAAGTTTTATTTTTTCAGGGAATAGGAATGGAACAGGAGGTTATTCTCTGCCACAAGGCAATGCCCAGAGCAGGGACAAAGTCCTAACCTAGTTAGGAGAACTGGAATTTGATCCAGCATCCCAAAGAGAAAATTGTCCTATGTTTCTTGTTAGATACAGCACCTGTGTTTCTATGGCTCATCTGCTGTGTATGTGTGTGCACGTGCGCACTCATGCACATGTGTCAGTGTTGCCAGATGGGAACAAGAATCACTAAGATTCTTGGAACCTGACTTTGTTTTTATTTCAGAGGGCATCTCACTCACAGAGTTCTTTCAAAAACCCCAGCGCTAAAATATTTCACCAAGCCATATTACAACAACGTGGATTATGCTGTGTAGGAGGTGTGTACATTCTCTTCCTACACATTGCTTTGTGGATCGTTGTGAAGCCATAACCTCTTGTAGAAAGGTTACCCCTCCTTTATTTTTCTCTCAGGGTGTACTCAGCAGTTCTCCCATACAACCTTGTAAAACGGATGTCTCCCAGTTTTATTTTAGTTCACTACTTAGTTTGAAACTCTCGCTTCTTGATTCAATTTGAACAACTGTGAGAGTTCAGATTGAAACAAAACAAAAAAGCATTACCTCTCTGTCTGATGTTGACTTTCAAATTGGCTAGAGGGCTCCTGGGATTGAACAGAAGATATTTGGTATCTTCTTGTAAGGAGCATTTTTTTTCCCCTTTCTTTTTAATAGAAAATTTCTGACTGAGACAAAGAGGCCAAGAGAGTGTGTTGAAAAATCAGAACACCTCATGTGGCTATTCCAATGGAAAACCAAAAAGAAACATAAGCCTTGTACAGCACCTCAGTCCCTAGGCAGGAACCATGAACTCATGAAGTCAGGAATGGTAATTCACCTCACTGGAATTCTAAAATAGTTAAATGGGCATTGGAAAGCCTAACTCTGAATGGATTTAAGCTGTCGCTGGGGATGTGCCATCCCTTCCTTGGGAAGAAGGTGAAAATATGCATTGCAACGGCAAACAAGAAAGCTTTAAATTTGATTCTGTACTTCTTTATAGCATTTGCTACTTTCTGTCTGTCATATTTGAGTTTATCTTCCTTTCTCTAGCAATAAGGAAGCAGTGTTATAGCTTGTTATGTTGAAGTTGTGAAGGAAGTATGTACCTAGCTGAAGAAAGCATGTCATTATTTTTCTTAATTATTTCAGAAATGTCACCTTCGATACCATCCAGTCTTTTGTAACTGTGAGGAGAAAATTGAATAACCACCCATTTCCCAAGAACCGCTTTAAAAAGTTTGCAGTCAATTTTTTCGGATGGCTGTGAAACAATTCAGTGATATGGGTAAGCTTGCAGGATGATAGGAGACCCATTCCATGTAATCAGGAAAAAATATTATGGTGTATACAGGCAGACGGTTTCACATAGTTCAGTTAGTTTAGATTAAGAAATGTTTTCTCTCAGGAAATGCCTTTAAACCAGGGCTACATTTTATTTAATGATGTGGAAAAATTCCGCAAAATATCCTTATGAGAAATGTATTTAATTTTCTCTTTTTAAGCCAGTCAGCAAGTAAAGTGAGCTGCATATTGCTCGCATTCCTAACACCACCTGGCAGAGCATATTGAAATATGCCTGGTCATGCACATTCAGAGGTAATGTTAGTTGGGAGCCCTTGGTATGGTTGCTTAGCACTTTCCAGAAACTGATTGACTTCAGCTGCTGAAAATTTTTGCCTCGATTTTGACATATGTTGAAATCCAGAGTAAACTCCCCTTGCCTTTTTTTGTCCCCAAGTACAAAGAAATAAACAGAAGTACATCCTGGCATCACTAAACAGGATCCTCACCTTCTTCCATCTTTAATGACTGCATTGAAGAAAGAGCATTTATGCCTTGATGTAAAAGAGCAGCTATTAATTGTGGCGTCCTCTGGGTAGGTGGGGGGATTAAAAGGTTCAGGAAATATGACTGAACTCTAAGTGTGCACCTTATTTCCTCCACTCTGGCCACTATCCTAACTCAATTATCTTTTTTGGGGTTTAATCACAAACAGGTCACTCTCTGTTTGTGAGAGTCCTTCCCTGGGTCATTCTGTTTCTTTCTCTGACCTCTGGTGGAGGCAGGCTTGCTCCACTCTGCTCTATAAACACTGCCAGGCAATAATGACTTTCTCGAAATATGTGGAATTCGGTTTTGAAAACCACTGGGTTGACAGTGATAAAACAATGTGCTAAATTATCTTGGCCCCCTCTATTTACAATTTGCAAACTCTAATTTTTACTCCAAGTAAAAAGTAAACTATAAAGATAGGCAGATTTTTGATAGAGGTAAGTATGACAGAAAAATTCTTGGTGCAAAATGAAATGTATCTGATTTATTTAAGATTTCCTCTCTTATTTAACCTTCACTCTTGCTTCCAGCTCAAGGATACTGCTTGAACACTACAAAGAGAAAGTATGTTTTTCAGAAGTCAGATACACAAAGAAAGATTGTATGGGGAGGGCTGCTTAGGCCTTTTAATTCTATTAAAGCAGTCACAGGACATTGTGTCTTTATAGAATCAATTTCTACAAATTTTAAATATATACACTGAACCTAAAGTCCCTACATGATCAGCAAATTAATAGAAAATCAACATACTAAGGTTATGAGCACAATAAAACGGTAGTCCTAGTAGTCCTTGCCCTTGGTAAAGATGCTGATTATGTTTACTCCATCCCCTATGGTTAAATATTGAGAGTTTTTGATGTGATAATAGCCTTTAAGGAGGACGTCAGCTATGAGTTAAAAATGAAGCATCATTGTTACGTGGAAAGAGTTTTTGCCCTCCAGACTGCTGATTGACACTAGGCCATGTACAAACTTTGGGGTATGTGACTTGTGCAGCAGTTGCTTGAAGCCAAGTGTCTGACCTTATCTTAATCCAATGGGAACAAAAAGGAACTAGTGTCCTGCAACACAGTATATCCTCTCTTTGACCTGGAGACAGATGTTATCTCGTGCTGAGTAGAGGTTATTTTACACACAGCTTTCAGTTCCCTGGGAAGTATACTGGTCTTCCCGACTGAGGGTTAGAAGTGTCTCTTAAAGAAAAATATTACAAGACAAAGATCTCCCATGAATGGCCAAATCTTTGGTCTCCCTCACCAGGTGTCTTGTTTAATTAGTTGCCAGTAGCTGATAATTCCAAAATAAATTGGCCATGGGCTCCATATAATGCAATAACCAATGGGTATGCATTCCAAGGTGACATTATTGAGTAAGGGAAATTCTCTATTGTAGATAATTAATATGCTATTGCTTTTGATAGCTTCAGATTACCTATAAGAGAGATTTATAGAATAATTTTTTATGCTTATGGGAAAAATATAATTAATAATCATAAAATGTATACTTCTGTTATTTTTCTACTATAATATTTGACCCTCTATTCCATACATTAGCTCTATACAGGATAAAAATATTAATTCATATCTTTTGCTAATTTTCCTAATTAATTCCATACAGTGTCCCTTTTTACTCCTTAGGACAATTAGGTAAAAATGTCTAGTTACTCAGATTTCACTGAGGGTTTGAATAGCTCAATAAAGGCTCTAATAATTTTTCTCTATTTCAGAATAACATAATGCAAGACTGTTCAATTTCATGCCATGTATTTTTTTTTTTTTTTTTTTTTTTTGAGACAGAGTCTTACTCTATCACCCAGGCTGGAGTGCAGCAGCATGATCTTGGCTCACTGCCACCTCTGCCTCCTGGGTTCAAGTGATTCTCCTTCCTCGGTCTCCTGAGTAGCTGGGACTACAGGTGCCTGCCACCATGCCCAGCTAATTTTTGTATTTTTAGTAGAGACGGGGTTTCACCATATTGGCCAAGCTAGTCTCGAACTCCTGACCTTGTGGTCCGCCTGCCTCGGCCTCCCAAAGTGCTGGGATTACAGGCATGAGCCACTGTGCCCAGCCTGGACGTTCCATCTTACGGTGTCTGTTTGGAGTCCCAGCCAAGAGTGGTTGTCTTAACTCTTACTATGCAGAGTTGTCCTAGATCTTTTTGAGTAAAGTCACCACAATTAATTATACTCTTTTAGGTAAATATTTCAGGACACATTTTAATATTGGTATCTTGCAGTTATTTATTTCAACCAACTTTCCTGACTATAGACATAATACATACGCATGATAGGAAATTTAGAAAAAAACCCAGAAAACTATAAATTAATTTCAGAAAGTAATGTTAGTTATTTTCTCCCCATTTTATTGTCCTTCCCCCAAAACAATTTAAATTGAATATTGATTTTATTTCTCAATTGAGAATATATCAAGATTATAACTGCATATTGATTCAATTGGTCTTTGAAGCAAGTGTTTTTAGAATTTAAGAGGCACAGAGGTTTTTAATTTCTTGTATCTCCTGAGGACAGAACACCTTTCTAATTTCCCAAAATAATTTGTCTGAACTAATAGATGATGGGACCCAATTCTCCAACCTTTATGTGAGGAAAAATTCCCAGTGGAGCCGGATCTTAAGAATGTGGCAGTGAGAGTGTATTTCATGTCCTGACCAGTCCGATGGCCATTCACATGTGAGTCCTTCTGGGATCTTACAATGCATACCATCTGGCTTTGGAGATTTGAAACACTTACATGTCTTCAGTGCTATGTAACGACTTCCTGGAAGACTTTATTCTCCATCAACGTTGTACTAAAAATGATTGCAGGAGAAATTTTTGTTTTACTTTAAACTTCTTTTGTTGAAACTGCATCTCTTAAATTCTCGGCTTGGTGTCAAATTCTTTGTGAAATCTATCTTTGGCAACAGAGTTTTTCATCCAGCTTCTGAACTACCATATGTAGTTTTCATAAAGGTTTTCAACAATTTATTTTGTGTACCCTCTGTTTATCTACCCCATCCCATCTGAATTTAATATACACATTTGGTAGTTCAGTGGCTATAATTATGTCCAGGTAGATTTTCCTTTGCTACAGGATATTTTATTTTAAAGAATTTCTGTTTTCTCTCTGAAGAAGTAATTTCTCTGCTTCATCACACAGGGATTGCTCTTTCTTGCCCTTGTACTTTACTTTTCAAAAGTGTAGTGACCTTCAGTGCCTTTAACTCACAGGCTTATACAACCTCAAGGCTGATTCTAGGCTGCTGGGGCGCTTTTCGTGTTTGTTTGTTTGTCTCTCCTCTGTATGAAATTTGTCCACTGGGTTGCTGCTGCTGCTCACTTGTCGAGAATGATAAAATTGTAGACTCTCACTCACTGTTGAACGGCTTTGCTAAGATTCATCTAACTTAGTAGTGCTTAACCTTTTGTATTTTATGTCCAACCAATGTGACTAAATTGTAAACTTATTGAAGGCAGGGGCTATGGCTTATTAATATTAATCTAAACATCCCCAGTGTCTAGCACAGTGTCTAACATATGTGAAGTACTCTGTAAGTATTGGATCAAAGAAGATTGAGCATCCCTGAACCTCACCATGATTTAAAATGCTTACTTTTTCTCAAGGCTGACTCTGACTTTTATTAGTCTACATAAAATATGTATCATCTATGGACAGGTCTAAAGATATTAAAACGGCGGAAGTACTTTTGGGAGTGAGTTTTGATGTTTTTGCTAAAACAAAAATATCTCTAGAACATAAAAGTAGTCATGATACTGTTGCCATTAGAAATACAGATGGCAGAGAATAAATATATAATTGTTCTGACATCCTGTGTCTACGTGTACTACTGCTCCAGCCCATGGGTGGCATGCAGCCTATCAGCTGAAAACCATCACTCTGGTGCCATCAGCGAGCTAGACCTTCTTCCTCTCACCAGAACTTCCGCCTGGTGTATCCAGGCATCTGCTGGGACAGCTCCTCAGAGGGTACAGACCATCAATCAAGGCTGTCCCTCCATCGCCAGCTCTATCAATAACAATAATAACAACAACTACAGCTGCTGGGATTTATTGCATGCTTAGCACATGCCAGACGATGTTCTAACCATTTCAAAATGTCTAGTTCATTTAATCTTATGATACAATTAGAAGATACTACTGTTAATGCCATTTTTCTGATTAGAAAACTGAGGCACCAAGAAGGTAAATAATTTGTCTAACATCAAACAGGACTGGGATTCGAACCCAAGCAGCCTTATTTTAAACACTATGCTCTTATTCCTCATGCTGTTTTACTTTCTGGAAAATTCCTTCTTATATTGCTTGCTCTGAAATCTACTTCTTCTAACATTCACCCACAGTGCCTACTGTATATCCACAGAAGTGTAATTCTTTTTCACATGATAGACTCTTAAATATTCAATGATGAATATCACTTCTCCCTGAATTGCCTCTTCCCATGGTTCAGTATCATCACTTTTTTCCTATCAGATCACAGATGGCATGAGATTGGGCCTTTTCATCCTCTGAGTTACTCTACCCCACTTTGTAAATGTCTTTATCATAAATGGAACCTAGTTTGACAGACGAATGGGATGGACTATAGGAGTCTCATATTTTAGTGATTATGTTTCTCTTTGTATATCCTGAAACTAGATAACTTCATCTCTCTGTTGGCTGGGTTTGAATTGAATGAATGCCTTCCACAGCTCTGAGGTATCTTGCAAGTAAATTTTAGTTTGTCTAAACCTGTCTCTACCATTGCTTTTAAGTCTCCCTATTCAAACTTTCTTAGCTGGTGTAAACACCTCTCTGCATTATGATCTGCCTTCCGCAAACTAAATAACCTCCTTTCATGGCCTTTGTCGTGAGGCCCCACAGTTCATACTATGTCCTCCTCGCTGTGGACTAGTTTGATCCTCACTCATCCCTTCTGTGTTCCTCTTGTGCACTCAGGGAAAGCCCAGCTACTCCCCTGCACCAATCTCAGAGAGACTCAGGGCACTCAGTTGGCATTCACCTTGCAGACATGTTAATTATACTATTCCCATGCCATGGTGGTATGAAAAACATCCACAAGACCCCCACAATCCCAAGATTGGGGGAAAAAGAGGAGAATAAAAAACAGCTCCTTCTTATAAAGTGATAGAAACCTGTTACTCATTTTCTAGGAGATGTCAGGGTGTCACTGGGGTCACCACAGACCAGGACCTGTGTGGAAAATGACATGTCATCCTCTCCTATTGCTTATTTTATTGATCAGTAATAGTAGTGCTGGCTTATAAGGAAATTAAAATGCTGAATTGATGTAAATGTACTTTAAAATGTACAAAACGTTCAACAACTACTATATTAGGTACATCTCATCCAGCTATCAGTCCCCATGAGGCAGCCAAGGATGCAGAGAATTGCACAGCAGTTGTTTCCTGTATGTCACCAGGGTGTGTGAACAGAGGAGTCCTTGAGATGCAACATGAGTATGAGCCTATTTTATTGAAGAGACCTCAGCCTCAAAAATTCTCCAACATTTCTGTAAGTTGAAGTTTAATTAAGAAGGTTCTGTTTACCAAGGAAGTGAGAGGATGTAAACTATATGGTGGGAACTGTGCCTTATCCACAGTATAACTAGCACCTTCCGGTAAGAAAGGCCTTCCCTGAGAAGCTGATTCTGGGCATTGTACAGCACCCCTTCCTCCCAGCATCCTCAGTGGTTCTCCAAGTGTGGGCCCCAGACCCACAGCACTGGCATCATCTGGGATCTCATTAGAAATTCTAATTATCAGGCCCCACCCAGATTTACCCAGTTCAGTCTCTCATCTGTCCACCTATTATGCCAGAAACTCTGGAGGTAGGACCCAGCAATCTGTAGTTTAACAAGCCTTGCAGGTGATTCTGGTGCAGAACTAGTAGTTTACATCAGGGAGAATTACAGAGGCTGCCCTTCCACAACCCCATGACTATATTTCAACGGTTTCATATTGAGTGAAAATGCTACACAACATTCCCCAACCTAGTGTCAAAAAGGCATAGCCTGAAGTTTCCTGAACACTCCTAGAATTTCTAGCCTCTTATGTTGTTCTTTCTGTCTTTCTTTTGTCTCCCTTGTTTGCCTGGACAATTCCTACTTGCCCTATATAGTCCTGTTCAAGTATCATTTTCCTTGTGAAAACTTTCCTGACCTCTTCCTCCTCACACCAATATCCCTGACAAAGTTATTTACACCCTCCTCTGTACAAATTTTATTCTTTGTCTTTTTCAGAACTATAGACATTGCTCTAAGTTGTTCATCAAAGGCCTCTTTGGGTTTCTTTTCTTCCTCAGTCAACCCCTAATTTGTTGGTAACCTCAGGGCTGTCTCACTTGTGTTCTCTTCTTGGATGATCTCATCCATTAGCATGGTTTCAACTACCATCTTTTAGCTGATACTGCTAAAATCCATATATCTAACTGCTATTGTTTGAATGTATTTGCCCCCTTCAAAATTCATGTGTTGAAACTGAATCCCCAATGCAACAGTGTTGGGAGGCAGGACCTTTTGGGAGGTGTTTAGGTCATGAGAACTCTGCTAATTCCCTATAATAATTCTATAAAAGAGCTTGCAGGAGTTATTTGTCTCTCTTCTGCTCTTCTGATATGTGAGGATATGGCATTTCTGTCTTCTGGAGGACATAGCACTCAAGGCACCATTCTGAAAGCAGAGAAACTGGGCCCTATCCTGCCAGCACCTTGATCTTGGACTTTTCAGCCTCCAGAACTGTGAGAGAATACATTTTCTTCTTTATAAATTACCTAGTCTTAGGTAGTCTGTTATAGCAGCACAAAATGGACTATGCCACCAACCTAGACCTCCTCTCCGAGTTCTAGACCCATATTGCTAATGCCATCTGTACATCTTCACCTCAGGGAATTACAATGACCCTCATATTCAACATGTCTAATATAGAATGAAACATCTTATCTCACCCTTTCCTCTCCCAGTCTCTCATTTGCTTCATCTCCTCTATTTCCTCTCAAAAGTGGTCACTGCCATTTACCCAGGGAACATGGCTGGAAACCTGGAAGCCATCCTGGACTCCTTCCTCACCCTTCCCCAATATCTAACCATCACCAACCAATGGCGATTCTATAGATCTTAACCTGTTAAGTCTCTCACGCGGACGACTGAAATCTTTTCTTACTGGTTTTCAAGACTGAAGTTAGTTCCTATACCCATGCCTACTATTCACCCTGTATACTTCAGGCAAAGAGACATTCTAGAGTGTAAATCTGATGATAGCATGCCCTTCTGAAAACCTTCATAGCTCCCCATTCTATACTCAACGGTAGGACCAAACTCTCATCAGGGTTTTGGCTACCCATTTAGCCTTAACTTCTTTTTCCAGCAATTTGTTATAAAATGCTCAAACACACAGAAAAGTTGAAACAATTTTACAGTGAACACCTACAGACGCTTTATTTAGATAATGCAATTAAAAATTTCCTATATGTGCTTTATCATGCAACAATCCACCTATCCATCCCTTCATGCACCCATCAATCTAGTTTATCTTTTGATATATTTCAAAACCACTTTTAAACATCAGTACACTTCTCCCCAAATATTTCAGCATGCATATTATTTACCAGGGTTCAATATTTGTTTACAGGGTTGCTTTTACATGAGGTAAAAGTTACTTATAATGAAATGCAGAAATCTTAAGTAAACATTGGCTGAGCTTTGCCAAATATATACACTTGTGTAACTCAAACCCCTATCCAGATACAGATCATCACTAACACTCCAAAGAAGTTTCCTCATACCCCTTTCCAATCAACTGCTGTCCCCCTTAGCCAGTCACTATTCTGACATTTTCACCATAAATTAGTTTGGCCTGTTTTAGAACCACTCTATCTGGAATCTTTGTGTAAGGATTCTTTCACTCAATATTTAGTTTTTGTGTTTCATCAGTGCTCCTGTAATTGGCAAGTTTTTTCCCTTGTATTGCTGAGTAATATTCCATTATATGAATACAGCACAGTTTATTTTTATGTTATTAATAGACTCTTTCTGGTTTTTAGGTATTATGAATAAAGCTGTTATGAACATGATTGTACAAGGTTTTGTGAACACATATTGCAATTTCTTTTGGGTAAATACCTAGAAGTAGCGTTTTCGGGTCATAAAATAGCTTGCACATCCTCCAGGTTGTACCATTTTTTTTACCTCTACCAATAGTGTTGGAGATTTCTAATCACTCCATATTCTTGCCAATTTTGGGTGCTGCCGAGTCTTTTTCATTTTAGCCTTCCTATGGATACATGTTGCTATTTCTTTATGGTTTTAATTTTTATTTCCCCAATGACTAATGATGTTAAGCATCTTTTCATGTAGTTATTGGCCACACATGCATCTACTTTTGTAAAGTGTCTGTTTAAATTTTTGCCTCCTTTATTGATGGATGATTTGACTTTATATTACTGAGTTGTGGAAGTTCTTTATATTCTGGATACGAGTCTTTTTTCAGGTGTATGCTCTGCAAATAGTTTCTCCCAGTCTGCAGTTTGCTTATTTATCTTGTCAGCACTGTCTTTTGATGAGAGAAGCATTCATTTTATGAAGTCTAATTTATCAATGTTTTTCTTTGATGGTTAGTGCTTCTTTGTTGTACCTAAAGAAACTTAACTTATCCCCAAATCATAAAGATATTCTCTTGTGTTTTTTTCTGAAAGCCTACAGTTTTAGCTTTTTTGTTTTGGTCTATTATTCATACCAAATTAATTTATGTGTATAATGTATGGTAGGTGTATTAGTCTGCTCTCACGCTGCTATAAAGGACTGCCCAAGATGGGGTAATTTATAAAGGAAAGAGGTTTAGTTTGACTCACAGTTCCACATGGCTGAGGAGGCCTCAGGAAACTTACAGTCATGGCAGAAGGGGAAACAAATGCACCCTTCTTCACATGATAACAGGAAGGAGATGGGAGGAAGGAGAAGCGCTGAGCAAAAGGTGAAAATCCCCTTATGAAACCATCAGATCTCATGAAAACTCGCTTACTCACTGTCATGAGAACAGCAGCATGGTGGTACCGCCCCCATGATTCAATTACCTCCCACTAGGTCCCTTCTACGACATGTGGGGATTATGGGAACTACAATTCAAGATGAGATTTCGGTGGGGAACAAAGCCTAACCATACCTTTCTGCTCCTGGCTCCTCCCAAATATCATGTCCTCACATTTTAAAACACAAGCATGCCCTTCCAACAATCCCCCAAAGTCTTAACTCATTCCAGCTTTAACTCAAAAGTCCAAATCAAAAGTTTCATCTGAGACAAGGCAAGTTTCTTCTATGAGTCTGTAAAATCAAAAGCAAGTTAGTTACTTCCTAGAGACAATGGGGCCACAGACATTGGGTAAATAGACCTGTTTCAAATGGTAGAAATTGGCCAAAAGAAAGGGGCTACAGGCCCCATGCAACTCTGACATCCAGCAGGGCAGTCAAACCTTAAAGTTCTGAAATGATCTCCTTTGACTGCATTTCTCACATTCAGGTCACACTGATGCAAGAGGTGGGCTCCCATGGCCTTGGGCAGCTCTACCCCTAGTTTTGCATGGTACAACCCCCCTCCCAGCTTCCTTCACAGGCTGGTGTTGAGTGTCTGAGACTTTTCCAGGTGCACGGTGCAAGCTGTCAGTGGATTTACCATTCTGAGGTCTGGAGAACAGTGGCTGTCTTCTCACAGTTCCACCAGGCAGTACCCCTGTGGGGACTCTGTGTGGGAGCTCCAATCCCACATTTCCCTTCTGCACTGCCCTAGCAGAGGTTCTCCATGAGGGCTCTGCCTCTGCAGCAAACTTCTCCCTAGACATCCAGGCATTTCCATACAACCTCTGGAATCTAGGTGGAGGTTCCCAAACCTCAATTCTTGACTTCTGTGCACCCACAGACTCAACGCCACATGGAAGCTGCCAAGACTTGGGGCTTGCACCCTCTGAAGCCACAGCCTGAGCTGTATCTTGGCCAATTTTAGCCATGGCTGGAGTGGCTAGCATGCGGGGCACCTAATCCCTAGGCTGCACACAGTAGCAGGGCTCTGGGCCCAGCCCAGGAAACCACTTTTTTTCTCCTAGGCCTCCAGGCCTGTGATGGGAGGGGCTGCTGTGAAGTTCTCTGACATGCTCTGGAAACATTTTCCCCATTATCTTGGTGATTAACATTCAACTCCTCAATTTACTTATGCAAATTTCTGCAGCAGGCTTGAATTTCTCCTCGGAAAATGAATTTTTCTTTTCTGTTTCATTGTCGGGCTGCAAATTTTCCAAACTTTTTTGCTCTGCTTCCTCTTGAATGCTTTGCTGCTTAGCAATTTCTTCTACCAGATACCCTAAATCATCTCTCTCAAGTTCAAAGTTCCACAGAACTCTAGAGCAGGGGCAAAATGCTGCCAGTCTCTTTGCTGAAACATAGCAAGAGTCACCTTATTCCAGTTCCCAACAGGTTCTTCATCTCTATCTGAGACCACATCAGCCATCACTATCAGCATTTTGGTCAAAGCCATTCAGGAAGTCTCTAGGAAATTCCAAATTTTCCCACCTCTTCCTGTCCTCTGAGCCCTCCAAGTCTCTAGGAAGTTCCAAACTTGACCACTTTTTCTGTCTTCTTCTGATCCCTCCAAACTGTTCCAACCTCTGCCTGTTACCTTTTTGGGTATCTTTATAGCATTACCCTACCCTCGGTACCAATTTACTGTATTAGTTAATTCTCACACTACTATAAAGGACTGCCTGAGATTGGTAATTTATAAAGGAAAGAGGTTTAATTGACTCAAGTTCCACGTGGCTGGGGAGGCCTCAAGAAACTTACAATAATGGTGGAAGGGGAAACAAACATGTCCTTTTTCACATGATGGCAGGAAGGAGATGTCAGGAAGGAGAAGTGCTGAGCAAAAAGGGGGAAAGTTCTTTATAAAACCATCAGATCTCATGAGAACTCACTCACTATCACAAGGACAGCAGTATGGGGGTAACAACCCTTATGATTCAATTACCTCCCACCAGGTCCCTCCCATTACATGTGGGAATTATGGGAACTACAATTCAAGATGATATTTGAGTGGGGACACAGTCAAACCACATCAGTAGGGGTCACAGGTCACTTTTTTATGTGGATATTCAATTTATTAATATTTATTTAGTTTATTGTATGCAATAAGAATTTTCTTTTCCTATTGGATTGCTTTGGCACCTTTGTCAAAAGTCAAATGATCACATAAGTGTGGGTCTATTCTGGTGCTCTTAGTTCTGTTCCATTGTTCTGTCATCTTTATGCCAGTGCCACACTGTCTTGATTACTATAACATCATAGAATATTGAAATCAGGTAGTGTAAGTCTTCTACCTTTTTTTTCTTTTACAAGATTGTTTGAATGTTCAAGGTCTTTTGCCCTTTTGTATAAATGTGAGAGTCAGCTCACCAATTTCAAACAAAAAGCCTCCTCATCCAGCCTCAATTTTTGGTGTGTCACATTCTATCTCCATTGTCTCTGCAAAATAGAGACAGTGAAGAAACTGCTCTTTTTAATAAACTCTTAGCCATATAGGGTTTTAGCCAAGGGCAGAATTTATTTTTAAATGGCAGATTTGAAATGTGTTCTTAATTCTTGGCTAAAAGGATCATTTTTTTACTCTGACAAAAGGTATACAACCTTTTAATTTTGCAATGAATAATTTTCTGCAAAGACAAGTAAAAAACGCACCTAAATGCTTCACTATAGAATATTTTGTCCTCGGAAGGAGTGAGAAGATTTTTCTCATTTTATCATCAGACAATTGTTTCCTCTATTGAGTGCTTTTTACAAATAATATAGATGCAGAGTCTACCTGATGTTTTTCTTCTTTATTCCCTTCCTCCTCCTCTGCATCACCTCCACCCTCAGCATTGTCAACACCGTAGCTGACATTTATTGAGCACTTATTCTATTCCCCTGATCCTATGCTAAGGGCTTTATTTTATGTCACTGAAATCCTCACATCCCCATGTGATTGGCCTTGTTATTGTCCTCACTTTGCAGATGAAGAAATTAAGCTTAGTGAATTGAAGGACTTTCCCACAGTCCAATAGCGAGAAAGTGGTGGTGCTGGGGCTCAAACCCAAGTTTTTCTTCTTCTGCCAAATGTTGATGTTTTAAACATCTTCTATAAAAGAATGCTTTACTGAATCTAATGCAATAGTACTTCCTTTGTCCATTCTAGGATCATTTAAAAATTTATCATTATTGTTGCTCTTTCTGACGCAAAGTATCAGGCACATCCTGAAACCATCTTCATATACTTCTCAAAATTCTGCAATTATGCAGTTCTGAAGACATCTGGAAAACAAAGTTGGTTCAGTGGGTTTTTGCATTACATGTGGTTTTATAGCCAAAGTAATTTAACCTTCCCTTTTTCTCTTCACAGTGGTAAACTATTTTCACAGTGTCTCAGGATTTCTTTATACACTATGCATGTCTTATTCAAGTCCTAAGATACCTTTATGTATAACTCAAAGTAAAGATTGTCATGCCCCACTGATTTCTATCATCCAAACATGTTGCTGAAATTCCAATTATGATGGCTTTTTCTGATTTAGCCATATAAATTCAACCCTATGGTTTGGATTTTTAAATCTCACTATTAGCATAGAGAGAGTTATTAATATATTTTACATTAAGCTATATCTAACACTTGGTACTGAGCTTGTTGTTTTGCTAGGAATAGAGCATATGCCTCATTATCCTTGCTCCTGGGAATACAAACTTTTCTTTAAAAAGGATACACAAATGCGTGCACACGTGCGCGTGCACACACACATGTAAACTCTGATACAAGTACATATGTAATTTTAGCATCCTGCACATTTAACTGACTCTCAAAATGGCTTTTGTGAAAATGGCTTTTTTTCTGAAGGTAAATTGTAGAAGAAGAAAGGAAGGGGCAATGACCCAGAGGAAAATACACTCTGTATTAACCACTGGCTACAAACAGACCCTCTGTCACAAGTTCATCAGGTGATGAGAAATATATTATAGCTCAAATAGAACATGAATATATTAGTTGATATAAATATTGTCTTGAAGATATGAAATTAAATACCAGAATTTTCTTTCCTGTATCAATTCATTTTATTAAACAGACACCATATTTGTGAGCTTGGTGGCTTTGGTTGGAAGCATAATGAAAAAAGATTAGTACATTCTCAGTTTAATTTGATAAAGATCACATAATAATGGTGACAGGTGGAGCCACGTGGGGGTGGAGGCAAATTGGTCTTCTGTCCCAGATGTCAAAGACGTGCTGCAGATATCAGGGAAATGTCTCATGGTTGGGAAAGGTCAGGGAACTCAGCAGGCTGGTCTTTGATACCTAGGGCTTTCATTTTTAATTAAAGAACATAACTCTGGTGAAAAGTCATCATATCATCCTATTTTATAGAAGCCTTGGATGACTGCTCTGTGAAGGAAATAATGATTGGGAAAATGCCTAACATAGTGCCTAGAAGGTGCTATATGTCTAATAAAATAATAAAAGTTGACATTTATCGAGTATCATCTCCGTGACTACTCACATCTCTATTATCACCAGTTTGCAGAGGAGGAAACTGATTCTTAGAGCAGTTTAAAATCTTTCCAGGGTCACAAAGCTAGGATGTGATGATCCTGGAGAAGCAACCAAACTGTCTGGTTTCAGACTGTGCATCTATCCACTCACAATGCCATGTTCTCAGAACCTTCCTTTCTTCTTTAGGTGCAGATCAGATAATTAACTTACATTTTCTGAAAAAGCTGTCTCAATACTGTGTGATAGAATGAATCACTTCTTTCCCTACATGTAGGATCTCATTGGAATAGATAAAAAGCTTGAATAAGCCTCATCTACAGCATCTTTTCTTCCATACAGGATACCACCCTGACCCCCAGTGCAGAAAGATGTCTTTTTCCCTGCATTGACAACCTGTTATCATACACCACAATTTTACCAACTTTAGAGTCTGAAGACTTCTCCTAATGCCTTTTTGGATTTTTTGTTGCAGTAGCCCAAAAGCATTTGTCCTACTCTTAAGTAGGAACATGAAACAGCTTCTCACTGTCACTCACTCATATAATAGTTTTTTTTAAGATACTCAGAAACTAATTGCTAATATTTTCTGCCCCTGCATTTTCTTTTCTACATCAAATAATTCCAGTTCCAGCTCCTCTTCCTCCTCCCTCTTCTTCTTCCTCCTCCCTCTTAATATATAAATTACTTCCACAAAGGGCCTACTTCCAAAAGTGCTAATCATTCTAATTCCCATCCTCCAGATTTTTCAACATCTGAATATTCAGTGGGTGTCATGAAGGCATCATCATAGAGTACTGAAATTACGGCATCTGGGAAAAATTTTAAACAGGTCCACAGGAATGTTTTCTGTTGTTTTACAAATTACAGGCAAAAACCTAAAGAAAATTATAGTTTTCCCAATTCTCAGATGGTATTTTGTCTAATCTAATGCAAGACAAAAAGTGGAGTAGTTTATATTGTTTATCTTGTATTGGAAAGATGTAGTTATTTTGGAAAAAATATTACACTCTCTAAATTTAGTAATTATTCACACTTGTGTATTTGAATGTATAACATAAGGCCATGTCAATGGACTATAGGAATTCAGAAGAAAGAAGTTGCCCTCATTTAAAGGAACGTGGTAAAGCTTTGAAGAAAGGTAACATTTGTGAGGGATATAAAAGAATAAGTAGTATTGTGACATAAACAACTTGGAAGGAAGGAAATTCTAAATGAAAAAGTAGCATAATCCAATGCTTGAAGAAATGAAAACACCTTGGAGAAGAGGAAATGGTTCCTTGTTGTGTCATTCACTAGTTGGTGTGTCAAAAAAAAAAATTAGACAGTAGGTAATAAGGCTGGAAATAAATATTGGAGTTAGATTATTTAAGATTTTTCAGCAAAGGTTGAATTTCTTTTAGGAAAGTAATTCCAGCAACAGAGTTTAAAATAAACAAAGAAACTAGCAGTAGGGAGGTCAGTTTTAAAATTGATGAAATTGTAATCACTGGGATTGAAATACATTGAGTACTTTTTGCATGCCCAGGGGAGAGTCAGGAGTATACATTTTAACATAAAAAGGACATGGTTCCATAAGGATGAAAAAATAAGAAAAGATCTTGGAATCTGTGATTAGATCATCGACTGGCTTTGAAGAAACTTTATTAGAAGAATGGAGGAAAGTGAGCAGAGGTGGATCAACAGAAGTGGGACATGGGAAAAGGACATGATGGTCACAGCATGTTTTCTTGTTGGTTGGTTTTTGGGATATGAGACTTATATAGCTAATGCAGAGAGACAGATTAAAGAGAAAAATAAATGGGATCCCCAAGTGGGGTGGGAAAAAATGACAAAGATGGAGACATGGTCTTAGAGGAAAGAGTAACAAAGTCAAATTACAGAGAGATTTTTGAGGTAGAGAGGAGGAAAGTTCAGGGATCTCATATTGTCTGACAATTCTTTTAGTCCACTGGATGTGGAATCATTTATGGGGAGTGAGGGGAACAAATGGTGCCTGAACTTATAGGAATGAAGAAGATTTGGCATAATCTTCATGGAGAGAGGAATAAAGGGTTAAGAAATAAATTGCTGAGCAGCAGTGAATGTCCAACCAGGAAGGGTAGATAGCACAGATGTGTAATAAGCATCTGCAGGATGTTTGATGTAATGACAGCAAAACTTCTGATAAATTCTTCATTTGCCTTGATGATAATTTCGTTTTTCAGATGTAGAGGAATGGATCAGGGGATTAGTAATCTCTTCTTAATTCTGATCAACAAGAAGGGGAAAATATTGCCAATAATGGGAACTGTGATCATTTTACCTGAATGTGTGTAACACAGATAATCTGGATATTAGAAAAGTCAGTGCTGGAAAGTTCTATGAGCTCCACAACGTATGCACACAAGAAGGCAAGAAGGGGCCATAACCATGGTAAATATGAAAGAGAAGCAAAAATGTATTTAAAAAGTAACACAAAGACCCAGCTAAGAATAAATTTGGGCAGACATGACAACAGGAGCATAAGGGAAAATAATTTAAGGAAATTGACAGTATATCTCTTATATCAGTGATATGATGTGGTCAATGTGAACTTTGACTGCATACCTAAAAGGAGTGTGTACGACAAAGAAGAGCCATCTTATTGGATTGAGTTTTGGTTGCCATGTCCAAGAAGATGTTAAATGTGACTTCTGTGCTTCTCAGATTTTTGCAACAGACCCCAAACGCCATGAATAATACAAGAGGTATCAAGTCCTTCTACATCCCAAATGGAAATGCTAGATCACTTTTGTGGAACAGCTAATGGACAGTAAATCTGGTTTTGTTTGCATGGGCCTATCACTCACTTCAATGGGAGAGAAAAAAGAGGAACATTCTCCACTCCTTAAATCAAGAGAGGGACGCTTAGAACTCCCTGAGAGCTTTGTTCTTATCTCCTGGAGTTTGGAGCAGAGACGCTTAACACCTGCCTCATCCCAGAAGTGTAAGATGGACAACTGGGTTCAGGGACCTCTGAGAAGTACAGCAGAGAGGAAAGGATAATGTTGGGAGGAAACTGGGAAAAAGCTGTCGTGTCCTGCAGTTCACCTGTGGGCTCAGCTCACAGGAAAACACAGGCCTAGAGGTGCAATGTGCCCCCAAACCCAGGCCTTGTAAGTGACCAGCCAGAGGATAAACCACTATCTAGATCAATGCTTCTCAAACTTTAGCCTGCATTAGAATTACCCTGGGAACCTGTTAAAACAAATTTCCTCAGCCACACCTCCTAGAAATTCTGATTCCTTAGGACTGAGGTGAGACTCAAAAATGTGTATTTCTAACAAGCTCCTAGGTGATAATAATTGTGTAATTTACGGACTATACTTTGAGAAGAACTGGTTTAGATGTCATCAGCAAAGCACCTCAAAGAACATATAATGGTGTCATGTAAAGGAGAGAATCAGCTTTGTATATCCATTATACTTCGAAGGCATCAGCACTTTTAACTGTGTCAGCCACGTTCCCATAGTCTCTTCTTCCTCAGCCCAGCACTAAGTCATGGGAAACAGCAGCCAGTGAGAAAAGGAGAAACAGCTATGAAACAATAAATATACAGTCATACTCTGTCCCCCAACTCCAGGCTTCTGAGACTGGGTCAGATCTTGGCAGGAGGGGATAAGCCCTAAACTGGACATATATTTGGAATGTTGAGCAAATTGGGATGGACCGAACTGGAGTTACAGAGTTATTAGTTTTTAAATGTCTAAAAGGACTACTCTTATTTCCCACAATAGAAAAGCTATGGGGTCTCTTTCAAATTTTGGACAAAGGTAGAAACAGAACTGGTTTGAAAACAATGGATAAACTAATAATGTTGATTAATCAGCTTATTGAATCAACCAATCGCAAATGTCTTAATAATGGTAGACTCTTGGCAGGTCCACAGAAGTGCAGCCAGTATGATAACACACTGGAAACCTCAGCAGAGAAGCACCCATGCCAAGAAATAAGGAGCTCCAGCCTGCAGAAAATCTAGGGGACATAATGACACACTGAAAGTACTAAAGGGTTTTATTGTCAACAAAGGATTAGCCTGCATGGCTGCAGAGGCTGCAATTAGCTTAAGTTAGTGGAAATTAAGGGAGGGGTCTGCTTGGAGTCAACATAAGAAGACAACAGCTAAAGGCATATTATTAACACCTGGTCATGGCCACTTGCCTGCGATGGTGAAGAGAGCTTTCAACGTGGCAGAGGGTACATTTTGGATGCCATCTAAGAGCACATTAGTTTCTACAGCAATGTTTTGCAACTTGGAGGCAGGTATACATATATTGAGAGGTGGGTTTCCCAGGCTGGAGTCATCAGAACCTAACTAGCTCCCTGTCCCCATATTCTACCACGTACCCCAGCTAAGATGTCCAGCTCTCTACTCCATCTCAGCCCTGCTTGGGCTCCAGGACTACTAACATGACAATGGGGACTCGGGGTTCTGATGAGGGCAATACACATGGTTTTAGTCCTGGTTAGTTGAGGTTTGATAAATAGGCCTTTGCAATCTGTCCTTTCCAAGACAAGGTTACAAGCTAGTCAGAGATGGCTGGCTCCTGCCTGGCTCCTGCCAGTTCCTCTCCCTGTCCTCCTCAGTCTGGCACTACAGCAACAGCTCTGTTGAAATAACTGACTGGGAGTCTAGGTATGATGGGGAACCAGGGAAGTTAGAGATGGGTAAAAAGCATGGAGAGTAAAAGTGCAGATAGGGAAGGTAGAAGGGTGATGAGTAAGTACAATACAAAGAAGGAAGGAGAAGAGGAGGAATCTGCTGCTCTCCCTGACTCTGAAATGCAAACATGTGCTTGTTAGGCCTTGTTTGGACTGTCACCAACAGGAACAGTGATTAGTTGTACCAATCAAAATTTTGAGCAGACAGAAAAACATTGTGTCTCTAGCTCAAAGGTTGACATATAATAATCTGGAATCAAGAAATTCTTAATTCTTCACTGCAAATAGCTTCCAAATGTCCTCAGGGGCAGAGAAAAATATTACTGGGGTCAGGTGACCACACGATAGTGATTGTGACAGCTGCAGGCCTTCGCATTTACTTAGTGCAACAATTGGCTTTTAAACAATGTCTTTCCAATTTGTTTTCAACATTGCAGCCAGGGTGCTCTTTTCAAAACACAAATCTGATCATGTCACCAACCTGCTTAAAATCCTTGAATGGCCTCCCACTGATGTTGGAATAAAGACCAAATATTTAACAAGGAGCTGCCCTGCTTGGCCCCTGTGGAGGTTGGGAGTGGGGGTGGGGTTCACCCTTGTGCAAGCTCTTCTCAGGATCTGGGATGCTCCCCCCGCCACCCACCTGCTTCTTGGTTAGCTTTTACTCAGCCTTGTTCTTTAGATCTAAGCTCAAATAGCCCATTCTCCAGGAAGCCTTCCCAGGTCTATGCCCCCCACTCGGAGTCCTTTGTTGTTGCTTCTTAGAAGTCTCCATTCTTTTCCATTAAAGCACTTATCTCAGTTTGTAATTATACAATCATCAGTGCCATTATTTGTTTACTTCTTTTCCCCTACCCCCACTAACCTCTCAGCTCCATGCAAGTGAGAAAGACCTTTCTGTTCACCATCTTGTCCTAGAGCCTAACACTGTGCCTGGCTCATGGGAGGCCCCCCAATGCCTTCTGGTTGAATGAGTGACGGACTGCCTAAATTGTGTTTTCCTACTGCAATTTTGAATTCTGTAAAGGGAGGAAAGTGTTAACTTGACATGAGAACAAAATTCTTAGTTCTATTTCCTATGCTTCTATGCAATGATTTATTTTAAAATATAAAACCCTGTGAGCTGTAATCTTCCTTCATATTATATAGAAATCAGTTCACCAAAATAACTTTCTAACTCTACCTGGTATGCTCATTTATTCCCTATTTTCTCTGGGATGAATTTAAGTAGTCCTTCTTAGGGTTCATCTTCTTTTGGGGACTTGTATACAGAACATTTCATTTTAGGTTAATTCAGTTGAGATTTTTATTTAAAGGCACCCTAAGTTACATTGACAGGTAAATGTTTATGAATATATATACAGATACATATATCTGTATATCTGTATATGTATATCTGTATATATATATATATATATCTGTACGTGTGTCTCTCAATACATCTAAAAAATATGTATTTTCATGACTTGAAATAGAAAAGATTGGATTTAGGCAAGGAAAGCATTGCAGTGCAAAGTTTCCACCCCCAGACTCTTACCCTCTCCAGCTAACTTCTGCAGGATTTGGTGGAATAAGCAGGCAGTCATAATTTCCTGATGACTGACTGAAGGATATGTACTTCTCCTCCTAATGAAATCCTCAGTAGTGAGTCATGGTGCCAGAGGCACTGTTCTCAAGGCTCCATTCTGCTTATTCCTAATCCAAATTCTGAAAAGAGCACACATCTAAATCCAACCCTTTAGATCTCTGTGTGGGACTGGAGTATATATTTCTTTTCCAACTTCTCTCTCTCTTCCTTGTATCCTCTGCAGCAGAACTGACAGCCACTGGGCAGGAGTGGTCAGCTTTAGTAACCATGATGGCAACAGAGAAATAAAGAATCCATTATCATTGCTGACTGTGCTGTGATGGTGAGTGTCTCTTTCATAAGGCCACAAAAATGGACATTTAATCATTTACTGAGTCGCGGCAGACCCTGGGCCAAGTAATTTAGGTGAACAACTTCCGGTATGACTACCTACAAATGGCAAAATGTTATAGAAATCTGGTTATTTCCTTTAAGAGTGTAAATCTGATACTTCTGCCTCCTTGGAAAAGACATTTTCTTGAGGTACTCGGAAAGAGAAAACAATTTCTTATTTTATTCTATAACACCCTCTAGTTATTTTCATATTTCTCATCATCCTTTCCCTTCCAGATTGCTAAAAGAATGGGTCTTCAAGCCCTTCCTCTTTTTCCTCACCACCTATTTTTTTCCTGAACTCCTGATTTTTCTTCCCACCAAACTAGAACCGACAAAGTTTCTAGTAGCCTACTGTAATAGCTTTTTAATATTTGTTTCCTAAATTAATTTTAGGAAGTTGGCCATTCTCATTCTTTCTGTCCTCTCTACGGCTTTTAGTTTCACAGAGGTCAGCCTGGCTTGACTCCAGGTTTCAGTGTCAGTGGTCTAGGGAGATTTTCTTTTTCATGAGAAAGGCCTCTGGATTTTAGCTGCCTGTGTCTAAACTCCACCAAACTCCAAGGTCCAACCTTGTCTTGATTTTTCTCTCTAACTTTCTCCTTCAGGGTTCTCATTCATCTTCACATTTTCAATCACCACCTGTTACCAGTGATTCCCAAAATGTTCTCTTGCACTTAACTTTCTCCCAGAGGATCAACCTCACAGCTTCATCATCTAGTTAAACATCTCTACATCAATGACTGTCTTGCTAACATGTTCATGTCATGGTCCCTGTTTCCCTCCAAGTCAACTTTTTCCACTCACTGAGACTTTAAATCTTCCTTCTCACACGATCTGTATCCCATAGCTACTAAAGTCTTTTCTATATGCCTCTAATGTCTGCTCTGCTTCCCACATCCACTGCCACCAATAAGGTCCAGAATCTTTTTACATCACATGTAGATTGTGGCCATAAGCTTCTCATTGGTTTCCCAATAATGCCTTCCCCACCTGCCCCCCTACAATCCATCTTGTCCCCTTAAGTTAGAGAATCATTTATACATTTGAAAACATCATTGTCAAAAATAAGAACTCTAAGCTTCTCATCTAGGTGTGGCAGGAAGAGTCTTGAGATATTAATTAATAGGGGATACCCAAATGCTACCCCTACCCCTCTATTATTAATATCTCCTATCCCATTTCTCAAAGGTAACCTAGTTTTTTGAAGATAGCGTTAATGTCTTTGAAGGTAGCTAGAGGTGAGAAAGGGTGATTGCTACAGATTCAGAAAAAAGATAGGGAATACAGTGTGTCTTCCACGGCAATGCCCCCCAAAGCAGTTAAGACTTCAGAAGCAACGGCTTTAGGGTCTACCCAAGAGATGGGACCATATTCACATTCTTAGCAAAGATTCCCAGATGCCACTGTTCAAAAAAAAAAAAAAAAAAAAACAGCAAGAGAGTCACAGGACTTCAAGGGGCTGTAAAGGACTTCAATGAGCACAGTAAATAAGAATGGTCAGCATCTTCACATTGGAATAGGCAATAGAGATCTGATCCTTTTTTTTCTGAGATTCAGACAAGTTTTCCAGATTCTAGTGTATTTTGGAATGACAGACAGCAAAATAATAACTAAAATGGACTTTCCCACCACGCTTAGTAGAAGTATGCTCAGAGTGGGATCTAATTTGGAATAAAATTCATATCCTTTACTCAAAATCCAATGCCCTCCAAAGTCTGCACCCCTTCATTTAGTCACTCATCAAAACTACACTGTGTGTTATGATTTGAAGGTGTGCCCTCCAAAATTCATATATTGCCAGTGTGATAGTATTAAGAGGTAAGGCTTTTAAGAGCTGATTCGTTCTTGAGTGCTCCTCCCTCATGAAAGAGATTAAGACCCTTATGAAAGAGTCTTCATACAGCCTTCAACTAGCTTGCCCTTCTGTTTTCTGGCATGTGAGGATGTTGCAAGAAGTCCCTCCCAAGACAGCAAATGCAGTGCCTTGATCTTGGACTTCCCAGCCTCCAGAACTGTGAGAAATACACTCTTTATAAATTACACAGTCTGTGATATTTTATTATAGTAGCACAAGTGGATTAAGATACTGTATATGTATTATGCTGCCTGGAAAGACAAAGGTAAAATAGGACACTTTCTGACCTCAAGTTATAATAGTGAGAAACAGGCAAATTCTCTCCTTTCTCTTCTTCAGGGAAACCTTCCCTAGCCTTCCCTGATCTTGGTGATATACCCTATGTGCGTTTTTAATAGTATGTGTTCCTGTGTTAAATGCTCCCAAGAAGAGGTAATTTTACATTTATTTGAGTGGTTATTTTATTAATTTCTGTCACCCCCCAATAGACTAAATTCCATGAGTACAGGGGCCATGTCAGTTTTTGTGCAGTCAATGTTTGTAAGGGACAATGCCTGCAGTGAACACTTCTTTTTCCAACATTAATACCTTCTCCACTGTACTTCACAACCTCTGCCATAGTCTCACAGGTCTCCTGTGAACACGTCATTGCATTTTTTTTGCCTTTAAACCTTTC
This sequence comes from Homo sapiens, assembly GCF_000001405.40. NCBI lineage: Eukaryota > Metazoa > Chordata > Mammalia > Primates > Hominidae > Homo > Homo sapiens. The sequence goes on along the minus strand of NC_000005.10, from coordinate 107,740,963 downwards.
TTCTACCATTCTCCTTCAACTGAATGCCAGCCCCCACTCTCACTATCATTCTCGAGGCACAGGATATATAGAGTCTGACATTTCAGTTATACTTTTCTCTGTAATTGTCCTGTCTCTCCAGTTGGTTAGCAAGCATCTCAGTTGTCAGTACTGTATTTTATAATAGCCCCAAATAAGGTACACTTAGTGTGTACTCCACTAGAGACCACTTTGCATATGCTTTGGGGATTGCATTCTCTGCAAGAGACTTCTCTGATGGTTAAATATGCATGGTAGCCCTAATTAATTGATATTTGTTGAATGAATATGGTCCAAAGCAGGACATCTTTGTGAGGCTCATTGCACTCAATTCATTTCAACAAGTTGATTCATTTCAACAAATGTTTCTTGAGTTCCTACTATGTGTCAGGAACTCTCCTAGGCAACTGGCATACTTCCAAGAATAAAACAAAGATCATTCTTTCCCTGGGGCTTATAGTTTAGTGGGAAAAACATATAGTAAGCCATAAATAATAAAAGTATGAAAATTAGAAGATGGGAAATTCTGTAGGAGAAAAGAAGAGCACAGGATGAATGTTTGGTGAAAGTTAACTTCTTGCCTCCAGATCTGGTCTAGTTATTGTCATGTCAAAAATGAAGGTCAACCTGGAGTAGGTCCTTATAAATCAGGTGAGGATCAAATCACCCCTCATCTAAAGGACTCAGAAAGAATCTGGAACAATTTGGAAGCCCACGTGGAGTTAATTGACCATAACTAAGGCAATTAGGCAGGGAAGTATTCAATGATAATACTAAGAAATTGCAAGCTGTGGCACAATAATGTTCATTTTGTAACCACATTAATCAAAGTTAATAGGATTATTTTTATTTCAATGATAATAATTAACAAATACTTTTGAGAGCCAACTATGGACATTGTACCTAGCTTTTCTTACATTATCACTGTAAATGTTTACAAATAATGGACTATGCATGATGTGCGGTCTATTATTTCTTCCATTTTGTAGATAAGGAACCACAGACATAGAGACTTTATGTAAGTTGTCTAAGGTAACACAAATAGTGCATGACAAGGCGGCGATTTGGAGACAGCAGCCTGACTGTTTAGTCATACTCTCAACTGCCACACCCTACAGCCTTGTGTTGATAAGAGATTGGGAAGTCAACCAATGGGAGGTTTAAGTACTGAGTCTACACATGTGCAACAATAAATAATTAGGAAATTACATGGGTAAATACAACTAAAATATAGTGTTATTGTTTCCATCAGGCAAAAGAGAACATAGGAGAAAAGAAATGCTCAAAAACAAAGGTATTCATTATACCAAAACCATGGTCTTAAAAGCAAATTAAAGACTCTTCATTCATTTTTTTCACAACATGGACAGAATCTCTCATTCAGATACATCCAGAAGGCCTGGTACTAATCAATAGGAATGCTTGTAAAACTTAGTAAATGTAATTTTATCTAGCTACTTGTCTTGACTGATTTTGATTAGTTTAATTCAAACCTCAACACTGTGGTTGTGGAATACTCTTTGGAATTTCTCAAGACATTCACTTTCCTTCTTTTAAATACGGTATATGTTTCCATTTTTATTGGATTGTCTAATGCACTAATATATTTAATTCCCTGTGATCTTTTTTATATAAGGGAGTTATCTTATTCTACTGATGTTTCTGTTGGACAGGCTGGGCTGCCCTCCAGGTGCCAATTGCCTGGTTAGAGGTCAATTGGAAATTGTACGGGACATCTCACTGGCCATTCCCTGAGCAGAGCTCTGGTGGGATCTTTAGAAAAATACATACCCAGTTCCATGAAATACATCTTTTCTAAGTTACAAAGAGCATTCCCTAGTGATCTTTTAAATCCAAAGAGCGCTCCTACTGCATATTTGAACTGAGGCACTCTTTCTGTTCATATCACATGTGGGTGCATGCAAGTTGAGGCCAAAAGATAGCCTTGTCATTTTCTTTAAATTTCAACTCAAAACTCCAAAAAGTCTTCCTTAATTAGCTTCCTCCACTCAGCATCTCTGCATATAGCTTGATAAATATTGTCATCACACATTAATCTTGGCTATTTAGTTCATGTATGTGTGCTTTGAATATCTTCCAGGTGATACACATCTTGAGGACTGGAATCATGTCTTCTGTGCCTTTTCTATTTCTAGCTTTCTTATTATACCTCTCTACCTAAGTGCTTAATGGAAACTTGTTGAGTTGAAGTGAATGGAGCTGAACTCTCGAACTGACAACTATATATCTAGATGGTTCTGTGCAGCCCCAATGCAGATGTACATCTCAAAGCCCTTTTAGCTTCAGAGCACTATAGTCTCCATGTCTTCTGCATATCTACAGCATAGAGAATTGTGCAGCCTCAAAGGTTCAGAAAGCGGCAGGAGAAGAAGCCACATATCCAACCGGGTTTTATTTTTTCTTTTCCTAAGTAGGTGCTATTGATTGTTTGGCCTCTCATAAAATACAGGTTTTAGTCAGCTAGCTGCCTACTCGATTTTGTTCATTTTTATTTATGCCTAATGAAAGCTTTCCAAGAATGTTCATTTATAATCTAGAAATATTTATTAGGTATATATGTTTTTGTGTCAGAAAAATTAAATCCAGAGGAAAATCATTCCTTGTGTAATATGGAAAAAGAACAACTCTAAAGACAAAAGTCAACTGTATTTGAATGAATTACCCATTCATGTTGGGCTCTGTCTCCCTACTCTTCATTAAGAATTTATCAATTTCTTAGAAGGAAAACCTACTATATGGTGACTCTATATCAATATTTAATGTAATAGTGCCTGGAGCACTGGATTGACTTTCTTACTGTGAAAATGGGAAAGAAAATTGAGACACTGCTCTATTTTCTAATGGTGAGACCCTTAGATAAATTACATTTTAGTTGTTGTTCTATACATTCTAGGAGTGATAATGATCAGGTTCTTTGTGTTCATTGATATGTTCTTGCTAATTTCATTTTGTTAGACTTAAGTGCAGCATTTAATGTTATTGATCAATGTGGAAAGTACCAAAATGCTCTAACACTCCCATGGCTATGTGGCTTGGCTCTACTTTGTCAAGAAAAGGTGGCTTATTGGCCTTCTTTCTTAGTTTCCTGAAATACCCGCTTTTTTCTCTACTTTCTCTGAGAGTAATACCTCACGTGCTAATAAGTATTGCATATTAACAAAAATCCCAACAGATTTTTGTGTTCATTTTTACATCTAGTACATTCAGGCCAAGCTTGATTTATTTGTGACATTGGCAATCCTCTTATTTTTTTCTCTGCTGCCTACCTATCTACCTTTCAGTGTCAGATATGGTGATTCTGTCGCTGCCCAGGTAGATGTTGACTCTGATGCAGCATCAAGTTCACCTAACACAAAAGACAGGACACCATGTAAAATAAGAACAGGAAAGAGGCAGACACAAACCACTATGAGGTATTACCTACCAACAGAGGTATATAACTCAGGCCAAGGTCATATTGTATTGTTGGTGGGGGTGGTCACAGGGGAGCGTGGGGTCCTGTCTTTGTTGCTGTTGGCTTTCCTTCTGGGACACCTGACAGTACAGAGATGAGAAATCTAAGGATAGAGTGGGAATCAATATGGTGACCTCGTCAGGCAGTCATACCTGAAGTGTCCTCACTTTGCCATTGAGTTTGGCTACAAATGATTCTTGATCAATCCCATGAGATAAAGGTTCCCAAGATTTTCTCCTCCAAAGCGTCCTCTCAAAGTGTTCCCTAAGAGCTCTTTCATCCCTGCATTTTCCCATTACCAGATTTTTGCATGGTAAAAAGTGAAACTTCTTTCTCCATGGACTTGAATGTGATTGGGACAGATTAGGGCCTGGGAGAATGCCTTGGTGATGAACGAATTTGACCATTATTAAGTGCATTTGGAGAATCCATCTCTGAAAAAGCAATTTGCAGCCCCAGATTCCCCAGATTCTGATAGTTATATTGAAGCCAAAGTATAACTCTTGTTCTTATATCTCTCAACTCTGGTATTTCCTGTTGCTTTAAGACCGCTATATTTTGGATTGTGATTACCATTGCCATCCAAATGAATCAGGACCAGGAAATTATCACTTCATAGTAGAACAGTTCACCACAGAATGCATACATGATACCCCACCTCTCATCTGTGGACAGGTTTTCTTGCCCAGATTTCTGTGGTGAGTGAGTTTGAAGTCTGTTGGCCAGCTGCAGAATGGAGAATACTCATTACTCAGCCCTATAGAAATAAACATCTGGTGATACCTTGTTTATCCAAGCATAGCATGCTTTCAACTGCTTTATAACTAGAGATTTTATATATGTGCAGGTATAGACATTATTCTGTATCTATACATATATATGGTTGATATATGTATATAAATACATAGAAGGTAATTGGTTGTATAAATATATAATGTGAATAATCCTTGAGAAAAACAATATGTTCAGAAGATACTGTGGAACCTACATTGAGAAGTAAAATATTTTTCTTGAATATGGAAAATATCTGTTCATTCTTTTTCTTTTGGTATCTGTGAGGCTTTTAAAATAATCTGTGAGTTTGTATAATTTGGGTAGAACAGAGTGCAGCTCCGTCATCAAGGGCAGGCATGTGACCCAGGGCTAGCCACTCAGATTATCCCTGGGTTTGGTTTAGAGATGGCTCATGATCTAGTCAGGGACAATGCAACTCAGTTCTAAGAGGTTAGAGGAGCTGTTGGGGAAAGAAGCTCTGTAGCTGGTGTAGCCATCTTGGCTCTAAGAGTGAAGAGGCTGCATAAGAATGGGACTCATGCACAGGGTGGTAGAGCCTAGAGGCAGAGACAGCCAGTGCTCTGGAGGATAGAATGTACGGTTAGGTGAACCTATAAATTCATCTCTTTTGCTTAATTTAGTTTAACTTGAAATTCATTTAAAATTGAAGTTGAACTGAACTATACATGGGTTTACTACTCAGGTAGGTCAAGGAAATGCTGCAAACACAGTGTGTTAGCCTTTTAGCAAAGCATCTGACAGTGTTTCTCATGAAATCCTTGTGGATAACATGCAGAAATTTGGAGTGGATGCAAGTACAATCAGGTGACTTCATCGATAATTGAAGGATCATTTCCAAGAATGCTAATTCCATGTCAACCTGAAGGGAATTCTATAGCTGTGTGCCTCAGGGTTCTTTCCTGGGCCCGTCTTTTTTGACATATTTATCAAAGGTTTGGATGAGCACACTGATGGCATTCCTATCAAATGCTACAGATGACAAGATGATTGGAGGACTAGGTAGTATGTTGGATAACAGAGAATCGTTTCTAAAACTATTCATAAGCTAGAGTATAAAAATGGAATTTTAAGAAGAACGAATGTAAAATCTTTGAATTAGATCCAAAAACTAATTATACAAATAACTGGGTAACACTGGAAATTTAGTCAAATGTAATTTTGAAATGTTGAACAACATGATATGGCTGCCAAAATAAATAAATAGAGTTACATTGGACTGCACAAATAGGATACAGTAGTGATGGAGGCAGATGTCATGTTGCACATATCATAAGGTTAGGCTTGCAGGGTAGAAAGACAGAGAGCCAAAGAAAGTAAAGTTTTCAAATATTTCTACCTGAATATGTAATGATCTTCCCCCATTGTGCCAAATCACATTGCAAAAAGGACAAAAATTACCAATGGAAATATTCACAGCCCTCTCTCTGCTCCCACCTGCTATTTGTATATTCTACATCCCCCTTCCCAGAGAGGGTTTTCTCTGAGAAACAAGCTACGTTATGCTACATAATAAAGGATAGTGTGGGAAAGAAGGATGGGGTAGAGGAAGACACAGAAAAGCCAGTGAGCACATGTGAAGAAAGAGCTGGGTGTGTTTAAAGACAGAAGGGTCTGGTGCGGTGGCACACGCCTGTAGTACCAGCTGCTCAGGCTGAGGTAGGATGATTGCTTGAGCCCAGGAGTTCTGAGCTTTTGTGTGCTATGCCAATTGGGTGTCTGCACTCAGTTTGGCGTCAATATGGTGACCTCATGTGGGTGGAGGATCACCAGGTTGCCTAAGGAGGAGTGAACCAGTCCAGGTCAGAAATGGAGCAGGTCAAAGCTCCAGTGCTGGTTAATAGTGGGATGGTGCCTGTAAGTAGCCACTGCATCCCAACTTGAGCACACAGCATACCCGGTGTCTTTTTTTTTTTTTAAAAAAAGAAGAGCTCCAGGGTATGTTTTAGAATAGGAAAGAATGGGGGAGAAAAGAAAGGGAGGAAATTTAATTTGGATTATAGTAATCACTCAAGAGTAAACCCAAAATGCATTTTTCACATAATTACCTGGCTTTAGTACAAGGAATCCATGGATTTGTGTTATCAAAGACTTTTCATTTACCTGCATTTCATTTCCTGCCACATTCTGATCCCACCCATTTTCCCACCACAGGCTGATGGAAGTCTTATGGGAAAAACTACCACATTCCTAACCAAGAGGATATGTGGTTTCATACCATGATATGTTTGAATCTGAATTCTATTGGGTGAACATAGTACTGGAGGTTTGGTCAATGCAATCACATTGAAGTAAATAAAATTTGGAAGAGAAAATTTGCCATTGTTTGTAGGTTACATAATAATTTACTTAAAAACAGAAGCAAATCAACAAACTATTAAAAGTAATATGAGAGTTCAAGTCAGCAAGGTAGAGAAATAAAATATCATCAACCAAAGAGAAATAACATTTTTTACACTAGCACTAACCACTTAGAAAATACAATAGAAAATAAAGCACTATTTACAATAACACAAAGCTATGAACTTCCTAGGAAATAACCTAATGAAAATCTTTACAGGGGAAGTTTTAAGATTCAACTGAAAAAAGATAGATTTGAATAAATGGAAAGTTACACCATATAAATGGATGTGATTGTTTTACAATGTAAAGATGTAGACTTCTGCAAATTGATCTACAAATTCAATGCACTTCAATAAAAATTCCAGCAGAATATTTGCAGGGAACTGGATAAACTGATTCTAATTAATATGGAACTATAAATTAATTAATTAATATAGAACAACTAAGGCAATTTTGAAAAAGAAGGCAAATAAGAAAACTGCCCTAGCAGACACTAAGAAATACTACAGATATTATGACAAATTATACTAGTTAAAACAATATACTACTGGTGAAAGAACAAATGACAAATACAAAATAACAGAGTTACAAAACAGTTTCGTAGGGTTATACAGAGTTTCAGGGCAACCTTTGAAGCCTCAGGGCAGAAAAGTATGTCTTTAAGTAGAACCCCCAAGGCATAATCCATAAAGAGATAAGGACTGAGTTTGACTACATCAAAATAATTCAAGTTTCCTATTCCACAAGGAATACTACACACAACATTAATAAATGACTCGTAGACTGGGAGATCTTCACATAAATAACCGACAGAACATTAGTTTCTAGAATATCTAAGAAACTCTCAAAAATCTTCAAGGAAAGGACAGAAACCCAGCAGAAAATGAACAGAAAAAGGTATGAATAGGCAATTCATGAAACTCTAATGGTGAAAAACTGTTTGAAGAGATGCTTAGTCTCACTAATAATCAGATAAATACCAATTAAGACTATCAGGATATATCACTTGATACTATTCATATTGGCAAAATTCAAGCATTAAAGATATCATCAGCTGGCAAGAATATAGAGCTATAGGAACCCTCATGCAAACCAGGTGGGAGCATAATCTGGTACATAATCCATTTTGGATTGCAATTTTGCAGAATTTTTTTTTTTTTTGAGACAGAGTTTCGCTCTTGTTGCCCAGGCTGGGGTGCAATGGTGCTTTCTCAGCTCACTGCAACCTCTGCCTCCCAGGTTCAAGCGATTCTCCTGCCTCAGCCTCCCAAATAGCCGGAACTACAGGTGCGCACCACCATACCTGGCTGATTTTTTGTGTTTTTCATAGAGATGGGGTTTCACCACGTCGGCCAGGATGGTCTGGAACTCCTGACCTCATGTGATCTGCCCACCTCAGCCTCCCAGAGTGCTGGGATTACAGGCGTGAGCCACTGTGCCCAGCCAATTTTGCAGAATGTAATGGTACTAAGTATTCGTGTATCCAGTGATTCAGAGACTCTGCTCCTGGCACAACTATGTACAGAGAGACACACAAGGAGGTGCATTGCAGCATTGTTTTTGGTACGGTGAGTTGGAGGCAGTATGTGTGTCTTTCAGTAGGGGAATAGGAAAGTATAATAGAGTACTTGCCTAGGATGGAATAATATGCAGTAGTCAAAAGAAATTAATTAGATTGCCATATAGTAACATGGCTAGATCTCAAAAACATACTGCTGAGTGAAATAAAACAAATGAAACTTATAGCACACAATAATTGTGAAAATTCCTCCCCTCATTCACATATACCAAAGAATATTTTTACAAATACACATAGATACATCTTAACAAATTTACAGAAGGTAGTTTGGAAGAGCTGACATTGCAAACATAAGAATGAAGACTTGTGAGAAAATGGGGAATAGGATCAGAGATTTGGATGAAAGAGGAAAGTAAACTAACAGGAGTGGCCATGCACAGACTAATGAAGTGCTATGAACCAAAGAGCATGATTCACTCACTGCTATATAGGCAAGGACCAAAAAAATAAAAAATGAAGAGGGGCAGGGAAGGTTAAAAAAAGTGACTTCTTGAAGGATATCAAACCAGGATGTCTTTTTCCCTAAAAAATTTGAATGAGGCTTTATTATTTAGATTTTAGGCAAAAGCTATTTTTAAATGATCCATAAGAGGAAATATCATTTTGCTCTGAGGTCCTAAGTTTCGAACTGTCTATACATCAAAAGAAATCAACTTAATTTATAAAATATGCATCCTTTCTGTCCTTTCATATTTTTATCTATCTAGTTATAACCTAATGCCTAACTGTTTACATGGTGTCATGGTATATAAACCATTTTCATGTGAACTGTAACATTTGATCTTCACAAAAATTTATAAAGTAGATGACTTAGGTATTAGTTTCCCTTTACAAATGAAGGGATAACAGTTTATAAATGCTTACTGATTTACCAAAATCTTATTGGCAGGAAGGGCCAGAGCCAGGGACTGAATCTGATCATTTTACACAAAATTACACGAACTTTCTACTATATCCACTGTACATAGGTGAGTGTGTCCAATACACTATTTTCCTTAATAATTAGAGCATCTCTGGAAGGAAGGGACCATTGCAAAATGAAGAAACTGTAGCTCAGAAAATTTTACTCAAAATCAGGTAAATCATACCTGTAACCCTAGCAGTTTAGGAGGCTGAAGTGGGAGGATCAGTTTAGGCCAGGAGTTTGAGACCAGCCTGGGCAACATAGTGAGACCCTGTTTCAACAGAAACATCATAAAACTTAGCCAGGCATGGTGGCACACAAGAGTAGTCCTCGCTACTCAGGAGGCTGAGGCTGAGTCCAGGAGTTTGAGGTTACAGTGAACTATGATTGCACCACTGCTCCAGCCTGGGCAACACAGTGAGACTCTGTCTGTAAAGAAGATAAAATAAATAGACAATAAATTTTAAAAAATGGGCAAATAACAAGTGCACCCTGCTTCTGTGCCTTAATCAACAAAAGGCCAACACTGAAACAACATCTATCCAACACTTTCTAAGAAGTGGAATTTTTTTTTTTCTTTTTTGAGATGGAGTCAAATTCCGTCACCCAGGCTGGAGTGCAGTGGTGTGATCTTGGGTCACTGCAACCTCCGCCTCCCAGGTTCAAGCAATTCTCCTGCCTCACCCTCCTGAGTAGCTGGGATTACAGGCACGTGCTGCCACACCCGGCTAATTTTTGTACTTTTATTAGAGATGGGGTTTCACTGGGTTGGCCAGGCTGGTCTTGAACTCCTGGCCTCAGGTGATCTGCCCACCTCAGCCTTCCAAAGTGCTGGGATTGAGGGCGTGAGCCTGTAGGATTCTTAAAAATAGTAAGCCAATGCTGGAAAATTCAGTAGCAGTTCTGCTCTGAGGACTATTTTTTCCTGTTGAGCTCTGCAGAGGCTCCTGCAGTCTCCAAAACTCAGCTTTGATTTGCAGGGAAATGCTGCCAGCAGTGGAGCCAGACTCAACAGCATGCCATCTTCATGTCCATGTATTAAAAGCTAGAGATCAGGGTAATGGTTCCCCTGTATTATGATTGACCACATTTGATAGACAGGCATGATGTAAGGAGAATATGTCCTAGTTCCTCTGTACAGACAACATCCCTCCCAGGATAAACAAAATCCTCTGACTAGTTCTTAACTTTTCAAACTCTCTTGGAACATCTGTAATCAAACTCAGGAACTGTGGTTCTCAATCCTGGTTGGACTTAAGAAGCACCTGAGGAACTTAAACAATGATGTCTGAGCCAATTAAGTCAGAAACCCGGAGAGTAGAACTCACATACAAGAATTTTGTTTAAAAACTTCCTAGATGGTGATGAAAATGTTCTGGAATTATACAGTGGTGATGGTTGCATAATTTTGTGAATAAAAAGAACCACTGACTTTAAAAAAGTATGCATGTTAACAGGGTAAGTGTTATGGTATGTCAATTACATCTCAATTAAAAAAAAAAAAACACTTTTCCGGGTAACTCTAATGTAAAGCTTGGGCTAAGAACCACTATGACACTAGGCAGTATCCCAATCAGGCCTGCACATTAGAAACTATAAAGGAACTTTAAAAAATATTGAAGTTTAGTCATGAGCACCATAGATTCTAATGTTATTGGTCTGGGTTATGATTTGGACATCAGGTGTTTTAAAACCTCCCAGGCAACTGTAATGTGCAGCCAAGGTAGAGACCATTGGTCCAGAATGGTGGTCCTCAATGGGTGCCCCCTGATGAGCAGCATCAGCATTACCTAGGAATTGTTAGACATGCATGTTCTCAGCCCTACCTCAGACCTGCTGAATCAGTAGGGCCCAGCAATCCATCTTAACAAGCCCTCCAGGTGGGTCTGATGTACACCAGTTTGAGAACCACCACTTTAGCACATAGGAAAATTACCTTCCAACCCAGTGGTTATTCTTAAATTTCCCTAATCCCTAAGAATGTGTGCAGGGTCTGTCCCATACCTAGAAAGAATTTCATACTTAGCACTATGCTAGGCAATAGAGACTGAGGAGCCAGCTGGAGATCCACCCAAGTGGAACAAATTAGTGAGAGAAAAATATGTAAGATGCTGGGTTATATACATTTCTTCTATACATAAGACTGTTGATTTTAGCTCTCACTCAAAATCCTTGAAATTATAATTACAAAATACTACCTATGTGGTCTGTTATTTCTTTACTTCCTGCATTTTCAAACTCCAAATGCATTTTGTAATCTCAAATCCTTCCTTAACCTTATCCTGTTGAGCCAATGATTTTGTTTTTTTCTTGGTTTTTGATCAATAAATGATTCTTCTTTTCCCTTTCTGCAGCCATTTGAAAATGTTATTGGAATATCTATCACATTTTAGAGAATATATTGTTTAGAAGTTTGTCTTCTAAAAGTTTGTAGTGAAAAGACTAAATTTAAATATATTCTGAAGATTTTGAGATGATTTTTTATATGCTAGCTTACAGTTATGAGGTAGTTACTGCATCATTAGCTATGGACTCTTAATGAAACGGGGTTTCCTAGATTTTCAGCATCTATGGGGTTATCCCTTAACAATATTGATCTAAAATTAGGCTGTGAAGGAATGGCTGGATTATTTGTCCTATGCTAAGGCACTTTGATATAACTAAATTGCTAATAATTATTCCCCCCAGCACTAATTACTCTGAAACTACCCCTACAAATAGATGACTCAAACCAATGTTAAGCTTAATTTATTTGAGAGCATTATTATATTACACACACATATATGTCTTCAGGTTCATTAACACAGATGACACAGCAATATTTCTGGGGCCTGAATTTTGACTATCTTTTTATCAGAATAGAGATATAAGCTGCAAAACCAGGATTTATTTCTTTGAAATAGTGAGTTAAATTTGGCTTCCAAGGTCTGTCAGCATCAGAATATAGCTTTGTGTACCTTTATCTCCTATTCTTTTGCAACTAAGAGGACTTAAACTCATTCTGCCAGAGGTATGCCTCACCCCTTGAGCACTACCCATTCCCAGTAGGGCCCTGCTGTGGTACCCTATCACTATGGTGACATTCAGACATCCCTCAAGGGGCCTGAGCAGGTGAGTCAAAGTAGGGAGCTCATTATCCCTACAGAGTCAGAAGAGAGAGTGAGGCATAGAAAAATAGTTGGCAATCATGGAAGATAGGTAAAAGAGAGTTATTAGGACCATTTGTGGGAATTCTTTGGAGAGTAGACAATTAAGTAAAATCAGAGAAGAATGGGGTTGGAAATAATTGGAGGTAAGGTCGACAAGTTTGGTATGAAGGAAGTGCTCTCTCTCTAGTGGAGAATGAAGTCTTGAAAGATTGGATGGTCATTTCTAGAAATATGTTGGGAGTTACTTTTTTAACTTACATGTGAAAAATATCTCAGTGAGTTGTTAGACTCTTTCGGCCTTGCAGACCCTGGCAAGTCCTTTTAACGATGCTCCCTCACTGGTTCCCAGGACTTCCCAAGTCTTGAGAATCGATTTCTTATGGAGTTTGTTGTTCAAATCTTATTGGTAACATTTCAAAAAATTGCAATCATGCAAAGTGACTGATCCATTATCTTTCACTCATAACATAGCAATAATCATCCAAAGTAGATAATTATATCATTATTTGGAACATGATCTCTGAATAGAGCAGGTGCAGTTAGAAGGGGGCACAGATTAGTGTAACAGCAGAAGATCTGCTCAGGGATCAACATTAAAAAGAAAAAAATGCCTACTTCATAAATATTAGCACCTGCAGATAATCAGAAAAATATAGCCAATTACATCCATTATGCTCTATTTCTCTTCTGGTACTCACATTATTTCTTCTGTAATGAAAAAAAATTTGTTTTGGTTTATATAACCAATCTAAACACAATGTATTATGTATTAGCATTAACGGGAAATTACATATACTTTTATTTTCATGCTAGCCTAAATAAAAGAGATTAATGAAATAACTATTAGGACATATTCTTTTTAAAGCCTCAATGGAAATACCCAAAAGCTATATTTTAACACAGGTAAAAAAATATTTTTCTCTCTAGAAATCTAAACATCAGAGAGGATTATATAAAACTATGAAATTGAAATCTTCTGTTACAATGGAAAATGGTGTGTATTAACTCTCAACTACCATGAGAGAAAGAGGGTTTTTCTGTATTTCTGCCACGAAGAAAAGCATTGACCAAGGTTCATAAAATGAGACCCAAGTGGTGTTAATGATTCTAAAAGCAACTGAATAAAACAATTTTTCTCTAGTTTTCATAGTTTAATGTCTAAGGAAGTTCTAAATGTGAGTGTGAAAATTGGCTTATGTTTTCTGACCCTACTTTAAAAAAATAAACATTATTTTTAGAGTGGTTTTAGGTTCACAGAAAAATGGATGCAAAGTACAGCGAGTTCCCATATAGCCCCTCTCCCTACACACGCACAACCTCCCCTACTATGAAACCAAATCAGAGTGATACATTTGTTACAACTAATGAACCTACACTGACACATCACTGCCACCCCAAATCCATAGTTTACATTAAGGTTAACTCTCGGTGTTGTACATTCTATGGGTTTTCACAAATGTATAACGACATATGCCCATCATTATAGTATCATAAAGAATAGCTTCACGGCCTTAACAATTCTCTGTTCTTTACCTTTTCATTTCTCCCTCCTGTCCAACCTGTGGCAACCTGATCTTTTTATTGTTATCATTTTCAGGGTCATCTTTCTGAAATACTATGATGTCACCATCCATTAGTTCATCAAGGGCTTTTTCAAGAGACACGTCTTAGTCCTGAATTCTCTCTGTTAAATTCAGTTTAACTTCCTCATAGAGGATAAGGCTAGTATCTTGAATAAATCCTGCTCTGTTACACATAACTGGGAGCAAGTCACGTATTTCACAGGATATTGGTGTGTAGATATGCCCACAGTAATTCAAGCTCCGCATTTTGGGATCATACATCTTCAAAAAAAACATTACATCATGAGCTTTATCAAACTTGGGTAAGGTCACTCCACTAGCAGCCAGCTCGAGATCGACTGTTTCCAGGAATATTGTCCAAGAGTTTTCATTATCACTGACCTCAATCATTGCTTTATTGCCATCAGCTTCATTATCTAACATTGCTGGCCGTTTTGTTCCATTACTCCTTGCTTGCATGGGCCACAATTGAATTTGATCTTGTGGAAATTCCATGATCTGAGAGAGGTTCTGAACAAACTCAGCAAGTGAGGAGTTCTTCAATACTTTGAACACAGTATATTTCACTTTTTCTTCATCGTACATGTCATTTCCCTGGTGGCCACAAAACTGGTCCTCTGAGGCTACCTGCGCTTGCATATAGAGATGGACTTCCTGCCATTCTGTCCACCTTCTGAGCGTTGATCCTTTTCTCTTCTTAGAGTCGTTCCACCAACTGGAATATCATGGTTGGTGACTACCTGTAAAACTTCCACTCAGTTTTGATTCCCTGATATAGGCTAACACGTAAGCATTAGTGCAGCGTCGGACAGACAGGTTGTCATCGTGACCCCCATAATTGTGCTCAATTACTTCCTTTCTAGTACACCTTGACACCACATCATCATCAAATTTACACCATTTGCCATCCCCTTTGGGGTTTAGATAAACCACATAATGTCTACCATGATTATCTCTACTATGAACCAGGACTGCATGAAGAATATAATTTGCAGGGTCCTTAGGATCTGTTTTTTTTCAAAAATTCATCAAATGGTAACTGCTTTGGGAATTCACACTTATCATTGATCTTGATATTTTGGTTCGTCTGAGGGTCATACATAAATCTCATCAGTTGTAGATGTAACACTGGTGGTGATGTTAGAAATTTCACCTTTCTCTGCTTCCTGTGAGCCATGTTCCCCAGCTTCCTATTTATTGTCCCCACTGAGCTGTTCTTCTGCCATATAATTCACAAATGATTCAAATATATTTTTATTTCCTTCGATACTTAGCTGGATATCATAATAATCTTCTCTTCTATCAGACCGATAGTCTACTTCTTTACGCTGGATATAGGACACCATTTTGCCTCAGAATCATCTGGGTATGGTGCCCTCTACACAGGTGCCTTTCACCTTCTTTTCCACATTATCAAGCAACACTCCACAAAGCTGCTGAACATCGTGTTGCATGAAGCTGTCTAAAATTTCCCACCCAAATGACTTTGTTAGCTTTTTTTTCCTACGGGTTTATCACTGCGCTGTAGTTCATAGAACACTCTTTGTAATGCTTAAGGGACGCTTTTAGACGAATCATCCCCCTCGGTTTGCATCATGTACACAGACTTTCGTAGCTGATTTGTGAAAAAGAACGTCTGTAGCAGGCTGTTTATGTAACAAATCGCTCTCTGATTCTTCAAGCCAACACAGCCTGTGTGCTTCTTTGAATCCCACGCAACTTCATCGGGAGCATCCGCCTGTACAAAGACTTCAATGGCTAAACTTTGTCATCTTCTATAAATCCTTTCTCAGGATCAGTCACTTCACTCCAGGCCATAAAATTGGAAAATCCCCAATCGTTTTCTTTATGGAAGAACAAATGACTAATACGACGACTGAACGATTTTCCGTCATCTCCATAATTTATTATCTTCAGCATCGCTTGTGCATGACAAGTCCGTGACGTGGAGTCAGATTCAGCATTGCTCTGGAGAAAGAATCCTACACTTTTTTGGTGTGGTCTCTCTGGATAAAAGCGTGGCACACCATAATCTTCCATGGCAGATTTCGCACAAAACACGGAGGACTAATGACCGACTCACTCAGTCTGCTGAAGAGCTCCACAGTGAACTGAAAGGTCGCCTCGGAGCGCTAACTGGTTTCGTCCTCCATGCCCTCCTCCTTGTTGTTGTGTCCATCACGCAGGGCCACGTTCCCATTGATCACAGCGTTCTGAGTAATTCTTCATGGGTCATCTGTATCTCCAGCTTCCATCTCCACGTCCTCGGGCTCGCTCAGCTGCTGCTTGCCCACTTTCTGCTGCTGCTGCTGCTGCTGGTTCATGCTGGCCGCCGCCGCCGGGGGCCGGGGCTGCGGGCAGGTGGGCGGGAGGCGGCAGCGGTGGCGGGGCGGCCTCCTCCTCCTCCTCCCGCGCGTCATCGGCAGCAATTTTATTGATCTTTTCAAAGAACCAACTTTCGGTTTTGTTGGTTTTCTCTGTTGATTTTCTGTTTTCAATTTCATTGATTTTGACTCTAATTCTTACTAGTTTTTCTCTTCTGCTTACTTTGGATTTTATTTGCTCTTCTTTTGCTAATTTTCCAAGGTAGAAACTTAGATTATTCATTTTGAATCTTTCATCTTTTCTAATATCTACCTTTAATGCTATAAATTTCCCTCTACACACGACTTCCACCACATTCCACAAATTTTGATAAGTTGTGCTTTTGTTTTCATTTAATTTAATATATTTTTAAATTTCTCTTGAGATTTCTTCTTGACCCATGTGTTATGTGGAAATATGTGATTTAATCTTCATGTATTTTCAGATTTTTCAGTTATCTTTCGGTTATTAATTTCTAACTAAGTTTCCTTATGGTCTGAGAGCAGACATTGTATGATTTCCACTTTTTTTTTTTTTTTTTTTCTGAGACGGTGTCTCGCTCTGTTGCCCAGGCTGGAGTGCCGTAGTGGCTCGATCTGGGCTCACTGCAAGTTCTGCCTCCTGGGTTCACGCCTATCTCCTGCCTTAGCCTCCCGAGTAGCTGGGACTACAGGTGCCCTCCACCACACCCAGCTAATTTTTTTTGTATCTTTAGTAGAGACAGGGTTTCGCCGTGTTAGCCAGGATGGTCTCGATCTCCTGACCTCGTGATCCACCAGTCTTGGCCTCCCAAAGTGCTGGGATTACAGGCGTGAGCCACCGCACCCAGCCCATTTTTTTTTTTAAGTTGTATTTATGTCACAGAATGTGGTCTATCTTGGTGAATGTTCCATGTGCTCTTGGAATAAATGTGTATTCTGTTGTTGACGTGGTTGATAGATGTCAATTATATCCCGTTGATTGATGGCGGTATTGAGTTCAACTGCATGTCCTCAATGATTTTTTTGCCTGCTGAATTTGTTTATTTCTGGTAAGGTGGTGTTGAAGTCTCCAATTATAATAGTGGATTCATCTATTTCTCTTCACAGTTCTACTAGTTTTTGCCTCACATAGCTTGATACTCTTTTTAGGTCCATATACATTAAGGATTGTTATGTCATCTTGAAATCTGTACCTGTTTATCTTTTTTAATGCCTCTATTCTTGATACCATTGTTTGTTGTGAAGTCTGCTCTGTCTGAAACTAATATAATTACTGCTGCTTTCTTTTGATCATTGTTAGCCTGATATATTCTCCTGCATCATTTATTTTTAATCCGTATTTATCTTTATATTTAAAGTGGGTTTCTTATGAACAACATATAGTTGGGTCATGATTTTTAATCCGTTCTGACAATCTCTCTCTTTTAATTGCTGTATTTGGACCATTGATGTTTGAAATGATTATTGATATATTAAATTAATGTCTATCATATTTGATATACTTTCTGTTTGTTGTCCTCATTTGTTTCTTTTTAATTTAACTTAATTTGAAGTTCACAGGATGTGCAGGTTTGTTACATAGATAAATGTGTGCCATGGTGGTTTGCCACACCCATCAACCCAACACTTAGGTGTTTAGCCCCGCATGCATTAGCTATTTATCCTGATGGTCTCACTCCCTCTGATCCCCTGACAGGTCCCAGTGTGTGTTGTTTCTCTCCCTGTGTCCATGTGTTGAGCTTTTTGATGTGCTGCTGGATTCAGTTTGTCAGTATTTTATTGAGGATTTTTGCATCAATGTTCATCAGGGATATTGGCCTGAAGTTTCTATTTTGTCGTATCTCTGCCAGGTTTTGGTATCAGGATGATGCCGCCCTTATAAAATGAGTTAGGGAGGAGTCCCTCCTTCTCAATTGTTTGGAATAGGTTAAGAAGAAATGGTACCAGCTCCTCTCTGTACCTCTGGTAGAATTCATTTGTAAATCCATCTGGTCCTCGGCTTTCTTTTGGTTGGTAGGCTATTTATTACTGCCTCAATTTCAGAACTTGTTATTGGTCTATTCAGACTCCCACACAATAATTCTTCCTGGTTTAGTCTTGGGAGGGTGTATGTGTGCAGGAATTTATCCATTTCTTTTAGATCTCCTAGTTTACTTGCATAGAGGTGTTTATAGTATTCTCTGATGGTTGTTTGCCTTTCTGTAGAGTCAGTGGTGATACTCCCTTTATCATTTCTTATTGTGCCTATTTGATTCTTCTCTCTTTTCTTTATTATTCTAGCTAGCAGTCTATCTATTTTATTAATTTTTCAAAAAAATAGCTCCTGGATTTGTTGATTTTTTGAAGGGTTTTTCATGTCTCTATCACCTTTAGTTCCACTCTGATCTTGGTTATTTATTGTCTTCTGCTAGCTTTGGGATTTGTTTGCTCTTGGTTCTCTTGTTCTTTTAGTTGTGGTGTTAGGGTGATGATTTGAGATCTTTCTACATTTTTGGTGTGGGCATTTAGTGCTATAAATGTCCCTCTTAACAATGCTTTAGTGCAGCTAAAATAGTGCATCCCAGAGATTCTGGTATGTTGTCTCTTTGTTCTCACTGGTTTCAAAGAACCTCTTGATTTCTGCCTTAATTTCATTATTTACCCAGGAGTCATTCAGGAGAAGGTTATTCAATTTCCATGTAATTGTGTGGTTTTGAGTGAGTTTCTTAATCTTGAGTTCTACTTTGATTGCACTGTGGTCTGAGAGACTGTTTGTTATGATTTCAGTTCTTTTGCATTTGCTGAGGAGTATTTTATTTCCAATTGTGTGATTGATTTTAGAGTAAGTGCCAGGTGGTGCTGAGAAGAAAGTATGTTCTGTTGTTTTTGAGTGAAGAGTTCTGTAGATATCTATCAGGTCCACTTGATCCAGAGCTGAGTTCAAGTCCTGAATATCCTTGTTAATTTTTTGTCTTGATGATCTGTCTAATATTGACAGTGGGGTGTTAAATTCTCCCACTATTATTGTGTGGTAGTCTAAGTCTCATTGTAGGTCTCTAAGAACTTGTTTTATGAATCTGGGTTCTCCTGTATTGGGAGCATATATGTTTAGGATAGTTAGCTCTTCTTGTTCAATTGAACCCTTTGCCATTATGTAATGCTCTTCTTTGCCTTTTTTGATGTTTGTTGGCTTATTAAAGTCTCCTTTGTCAGAAACTAGGATTGCAACCCCTGCTTTTTTCTGCTTTCCATTTGCTTGGTAAATTTTCCTCCATTTCTTTATTTTGAGCCTATATGTGTCTTTGCATGTGAGAGGGGTCTCTTGAAAACAGCACACCAATGGGTCTTGACTCTTTATTCAGCTTCCCATTCTGTGTCTTTTAATTGGGGCATTTAGTCCATTTACATTTGAGGTTAATATTTTTATGTGTGAATTTGATCCTGTCATCATGATGCTAGCTGGTTATTTTGCAGACTTGTTAGTGTAGTTGCTTCATGGTGTCATTGGTCTTTGTACTTCAGTGTGTTTTTGTAGTGGCTGGTACCAGAATTTCCTTTACATATTTAGTGCTTCCTTCAGGAGTTTTTGCAGGGCAGCTTGGTGGTGACAAATTCCCTCAGCATTTGCTTGTCTGGAAAGGATTTTATTTCTCTTTCACTTATGAAGCTTAGTTTGGCCAGATATGAAATTTTTGGCTGGAAATTCTTTAAGAATGTTGAATATTAGCCCCCAATCTCTTCTGGCATGTAGGGTTTCTGCTGAGAGGTCTGCTGTTAGTCTGATGGGCTTCCTTTTGTAGGTACCTGGCCTTTCTCTCTGGCTGCCTTAACATTTTTTTCCTTCATTTCAACCTTAAAAAATCTGATGATTATGTGTCTTGGGGTTGATCTTCCCATCAAGTATCTTACTGGGGTTCTCTGGATTTCCTGAATTGGAATGTTGGCCTGTCTTGCTAGGTTGGGGCATTTCTCCTGGATAATATCCTGAAGTATGTTTTCCAACTTGGTTCTGTTCTCTCCATCTCTTTCAGATACCCCAATCATCCATAGGTTCAGTCTTGTTACATAATCCCATAGTTCTTGGAGGTATTATTCTTTCCTTTTTATTTTTTTTAATCTAATCTTGTCTGTCTTATTTCAGCAAGAGAGTCTTAAAGCTCTGAAATTCTTTCCTCCACTTGGTCTATTCAGTTATTGATACTTGTGGTTGCATTGTTAAGTTCTTGTGTTGTATTTTTCAGCTCCATCAGATCATTTATGCTCCTCTCTGAACTGGTTATTCTGGTTAGCAGCTCCAGTAATGTTTTATCATGGTTCTTAGCTTCTTTACATTGGGTTGGAACATGCTTCTTTAGCTCAGCAAAACTGGTTATTACTCACCTTCTGAAGCCTACTTCTATCAATTCATCCATCTCATCCTCTGCCCAGTTCTGTGCCCTTGCTGGAGAGGTATTGCAATCATTTGGAGGAGAAGAGGCATTCTGGCTTTTTGAGTTTTCAGTGTTTTATCATTGATTCTTTCTCATCTTTGTGAGTTTATCTAGCTTTGATCTTTGGGGTAGCTGATCTTTGGATGGGGTCTTGGTGGGGACTTTTCTGTTGATGTTGTTGTTGTTGCTTTCTGTTTGTTTGTTTTTCTTTTAACAGTCAGGCCCCTCTTCTGTAGGGCTGCTGCAGTTTGCTGGGGGTGCACTCCAGACCCTATTCATCTGGGTC
Source organism: Homo sapiens (assembly GCF_000001405.40). Classification (NCBI taxonomy): domain Eukaryota; kingdom Metazoa; phylum Chordata; class Mammalia; order Primates; family Hominidae; genus Homo; species Homo sapiens. The sequence goes on along the minus strand of NC_000005.10, from coordinate 107,720,080 downwards.
CCTCCTGTCACCAGTGGAGGCTGCAGAACAGCAAATATGGCTGCCTGCTCCTTCCTCTGGGAGCTCTGTCCTAGAGGGGCACTGGCCTGATGCCAGTGGAAATGTTCCTGTATGTGTCTGGTGACCCTTGTTGGGAGAGTGTCACCCAGTGAGGAGGCATGGGATCAGGGACCTGCTTAATGAAGCACTCTGGCTGCGGGTTGGTGGAGGGGGTGCATTGCACTGGGCGGTGGGGAGCTCACTCGTCTGAAATGCCTGGATTCTTCAGAGCCAGCAAGGGGAAAGCTTAAGTCCACTGATCTGCAGCCACTGCAGCCCTGGCTGGGGTTGCTGAAATTCCCAAAGGGAGGCCCTGCGTGGTGAGAAGGGATGGGTCAGGGTCTAGCCTAAAGAGGCTGTCTGGCCATAATCTGTCACAGCCACTGTGCTGCGCTGTGGGGAATTCCTCCTGGGTCCAAAGTGCCCAGTCTCCCTGGCACTGGCAAGGGAAAACTGACAGACTGGAGCTGCAGTGATAGCTGATGCCCCCCTCGCCAGGTGCTCAGTCTTCTTAGGCAGCAGGCAGCTGCAGTGATAATGGTTGCCCCTCCACCTGGGAACTTGGTTATGTTAGGCAGCCAGCAGCTGCTGTGATGGCTGCCACCCCTCCCTCTGGGAGCATAGTCATCTTAGGCAGCAGGCAGCTGCAGGGAAAGTGGCCGCCCCCCACCACCCGAACTCGGTCATCTTAGGCAGTCTCCAGCTGAGTGGCTGCCAAGAATCTGCACAGCTCTGTGCTTGGGACCCAAGGCTCTGGTGGTGTGGCTCATGAGGGGGATCTCGTGATACTCAGGATGCACAGATCCGTGTACAGAGTGTGGTTTCCTGGGTGGGGTAGCAAAATCACTCACCACCTCCTCTGGCTAGGGGTGAGCCCTGTGCAGTTCCCTGGTAGGCTGTTACTCCATCCTGCTTTTCCTTACTCTCCATGGGTCACACCAACTGCCTAGTCAGTCCCAGTGAGAGAACCTGGATACCTCAGTTGCTGGTGCACAATTCACTTGCCATTTACCTTCTTCTCTGTGGGAGCCTCCCACAGCTATTTCTAGTTGGCCATCTTGGCCCCTCTCCAAGTTATTTTGCCCTTATTTTTTGTTTTTATTTTTGCGTTCCATAATTTCCTTGCCTTTTGTGGTTTTAATTAAGCACTGTATATTATTTCATTTTCTGTCTTTTCTTACCATATAAATTACACATTTTTAAAACTTGTTTTAGTGGTTGCCCTAGAATTTGCACTATACATTTACAACTAATTCAAGTTCATTAACAAATAACAATGTGCTACTTCATGGCTAGTACAGGTACCTTGTAGTAACAAAATATTCCCTCCTATCCCTTGAATCACTGCTGTCATTCATTTCATGTATGCACAAGCAAATATATATATATAACATATATATTTTATATAGGCATATGTAATCAAATACATTGTTTATATTATTTTGAACAAACTTTTATCTGTTAGATCAATTAAGAATAAGAAAAATAAGGTTTTTATTTTACCTTCACTTATTCTTTCTTTGACACTGTTCTTTTTTTAAACATAGATCCAAGTTTCTGATCTATATCATTGCCCTTCTCTCTGAAGAACTTCTTTTAACATTTCTCACAAGGCAGGTCTACTGGCAACACATTCTTCCACTTTTGTTTGAGAAAATCTTTATTTCTCCTTCCCTTGTGAAAAAGTATTTCAGAGTAGTCTAAGTTGGTGATTTTTTTCTCTCAACACTTTAAATATTTCACTCCATTCTCTTCTTGCTTGCATAGTTTTCGAGAAGTCAGACAGAATTTTGATCTTTCTTCTCTATAGGTAAAGTGTCTTTTACTTCTGGTTTCTTTCAAAATTAAAAAAAATTTTTTTTTGATTTCCTGAAGTTTGAATATGATATAACTAGGTGTAGAAGTTTGGAGCATTTATTCTTCTTGGTGTTCTCTGAGCTTCTGGATCTGTGGCTTGATGTCTGACATTAATGTGAGGGAAATCCTCAGTCATTACTGCTTCAAATATTGTTTCTCTTCCTTCCTCTGTTTCTTCTCCTTCTGGTATTCTCACTACATGTGTGTTAGACTGTTTTAGCTGTCCCATTATTCTTGGAATTCTTTTTTTTTTTTTTTTTAAGACAGAGTCTTGCTCTGTCACCCAGGCTAGAGTGTAGTGGCACGATCTAGGCTCACTGAAACCTCTGCCTCCCAGGTTCAAGCAATTCTCCTGCCTCAGCCTCCTGAGTAGTTGGGATTACTGGTGTGCACCACCACGCCTGGCTAATTTTTATATTTTTAGTAGAGACGGGGTTTCACCATACTGGTCAGTCTGGTCTCGAATTCCTGACCTCCTGATCCACCTGCCTCGGCCTCCCAAAGTGCTGGGATTACAGATGTGAGCCACTGTGACCTGCCTATTCTTAGAATTCTGTACTGGCTTTATTCAGTCTTTTTTCTCTTTGCTTTTCAGTTTTAGAAGTTTCTATTGTTGTTAAGAGATTCTTTCCTCAGCCATGTCCAGTCTACTAATGAGCCCATCAAAGTTACTCATTTATTTTACAACGTTTTTAATCTTTAGCATTTCTTTTTGATATTTTCTTTTTACATCTAGCATTTCTCCTTGATTTTTTAAATCTCTCTGCATACGTTATCTATCTGTTCTTGCATGTTGTGTACTTAAATCCATTAAATCCATTTTAATTAAAGCATATTAATTATAGTTGTTTTTTAATTTCTGGTCTGATAATTCCAACATTCCTGCCATATCTGACTCCGGTTCTGATGTTTGTTCATTATCTTCAAGCTGTTGTTGCCTCTTTAATATGTCTTATGATTTTTTATTGATAGCTAAACTTCAGTGATGTAGTAATAAGGTGTTGGGGGAGAGGAAGTGTTCTATAGTCCTATGATTAGGTTTCAATCTTTTGGTAAGTCTGTGCCTTTGGGCTGTGAACTTCATGGGTGCTTCTCAGTTTTTCACCCCTTAGGTGGGACAGGATGGCTAGAAGGGGCTGGAGTTGGATATTTCCCTTCTCCCACATAGAAGGCCAGAGGGAGCTGGAGCTGGGTATCTCCCTTCCCCCAGGTCAGTTAGGCCCTGAGAATACCCCAGAAGTTTGGGCTGTAGTAAAATACTTTCCCCTGAGGGCAGGCTGTGTTAAGAAGAGCAGAATGCTTTGGTATGTTTTGTATATGTTTTTTTCTCCTTCCCTCCAGAAGCACCAGGGGATTTTTCTTACATATTTACCATGAGAACCTAATAGAGCTCCAGGTGGTAGGACTCACAAAAGTGTGGGGCTTCTCTGTGATTGGGTCCTCCTGGAGTTTTTAACTCTGAGGCTTGTCTACACCAAGCCTCCAGCATTTCATCGGTTACACTTTAGGTTTTCCTACCCCAGCACTGCTTCCTACAGAGGCTCTGTCTCAGGTAAGTTGTGATTCTCTGTGTCTACCTTTCTGTCTCTCCAGTTCTGGGGGTAGCAGTTTGCCCTGTGACCTCATTTCCCTGATTAATCTAAGAATTATTGATTTTTCAGTTTGTTCAGCTTTTTACTTGTTTGGACAGACTGGCAACTGCTAAGAATCTTACATAAGTGATGAGAAACTTCCAGTTTTGGTCCTACTTTCATGGGGAAATCTAGAATTGTCTCTAGATAACGTTTAAGGGAAGAAGGTCATGTTTTTATTTATTAAAGGTAAGTGAAGAACATTTATCAGTCTTGTAGTCCTAAAACATGTACTTGCAAAGCTGCTAAATTTCATGTGTATTTTTACATCCTGGTGACTATGATGGCTAATAACACAGAGGCCTAACTCTTTCTTTTGATTGCAGATGTAATATGCTTATAGGGACTTATCACTGTGACAGGAGGATTTTATAAATGTATCTTTTTTCTTTCCAGCTGATGTACAGTTGGATTCATTTCATTAACATGCAAATTATATAGCATTTCAGTGCATTTTGCTAGTATGTACATATTTTATGTAAAATTTTAATCATAATTTGACATACATGGAAAAGAATGTACAGATCATAAACATACAGCTGAATAAATTTTTGCAGAGCAAACAAACCAATTTAACCAGCCCCCACATCAAGAAAAAAAACATTCTCAGAAACACAAAAGCCTTCCTGGGCTTTCTTGATCCTTCCTGTGCTACTCTTTCCTTCCATTTACAAAAGTAACTACTATTTTGTCTCCAAATAGCTTTGGACTTGTTATTATGGAAGCATACAATATTTACTCTTTTGTCAGGCTTCTTTTTCTCAGTGTTACATTTATGAGATACATTTTTGCTGTTAAAGATAGTTGTAGTTTGTTCATTTTCATTGCTATATAGAATTTCATTGTATAAATATACCAAAGTTTATGTGTCCATTATACAAATGACATTTGGGTTGTTTCAAGTTTGGGGCTATCACAAATAGTGTTGCTGTGGATATTCATTTACATACATTTTGAAAACATATGTATGCACTTTTATTGGGAATATACCTAGGAATGAGAGGGCTGGGTCATAGTGTAGGCCTTATCCACTGTTTAGCTTTAGTAGATATGACAGTGGAGTCTTTTAGTCTCCCAGAAACTCCCCCTGAAAACAAAGCAGACTAATTAGGATTGTAGGGGGAAAATTATGGATGATGTATTCAAAAAACTGGGAAAAAGAATCCCTACATTTTCCAGAATAGAAGGGAGCATGCACAAAGCACCAAGATAAATAATTGTGTGGTAGGGCTGGTAGGGAAATAAAAAAGATGTCTACCAACGTATCGTACAAGCCAGGGAAATAAAAAAAAATCATCAACACATACCTCCCAAAAGAGGGGACACTATGCTACCTGGGGGAAGGGTCTGACAACAACCAGCAAAAGTGAGGAAAGTCCTCACAGGATTCAGATTGTAAGTAAATGCAAAAAACTGCACAACCCTGGGAAGATTCCACCATGCTGTGTCAGGTTACATCTTCCAGAATTTCAGGGATACCTGACAAATCTTCCTTCATGAGTTTTCAGGATACACTAGGAGGAATCAAAATCAAATTGACTAGAACATAAATATTAGGGACAAATAAAGAGAAAAGTTTCCGATAATAAGGGAGGAGTGTTGCCCTGGAAGCGCATCCCAAAATATACCACACAAGCAAAATAAAAATCTAAAGCTGAGAGCTCTGTGGAGCTAAATTCAACACTTTCCAGACTGTAGGCTGTAGATCTGATTTTGTCCTTAACCAGATGTGCCATCACAGGAAGTTCCGTGCCCTCTTTCACCTCCAATTTCCAATGAAAACAGTAATCATTTTGTTATTTATTATTTACTCATGAAATTCATGAGTTTGTTGTAAAAATGTAATGTGGTAATTCTTGTCAAGTGTCTACCTACTCCCTGAATGTAGCAAGTACTATAATTAATGGCTATGATTACTGTTGTCACCTTACTGTACTTCTTAGTTGCATTGGATATTGTTGTCTATTTTCTACTTCTTAAAATACTTGCTTCTTCTGGCTTCTATAATGCCATTTTCTAGTCCTTTTTTGCCCTTATTTCTACATTTCTATGATTATCTTTATGAGTTTCTCTTTTCATGATTTAAAGTCAATATTCCTCAGGGTTCTGACTTTGACCTTTCTTATTTCTGTATATGTGTAACAGTGGTTGACAACCTTGATTGATTATTACAAGCACTGGGGAGCTTTTCCAAATCCTGATTCCCAGGCTATACCCCAGATCGAGTAAATCAGATTCTCTGGGGAGAGGAACCAGACATCAGTATATTTTAGAGTTTCCAGGTGATTCCTTTATGCAGCCAAGGTTTAGAACCACTGCCATACAATCTCTTTGGATGATCTCATCCACTCTGGTAGGTTCGATTACCATTTATAGCCATGGTTTTCAATCCTGGCTGCATATCAGGATCACCTGGGGACAGTAGTTTTTTTTGTTGTTGTTGTTGTTGTTTGTTTGTTTGTTTGTTTTAAATCAAGGTGTTTGTCTCTAACCTCAGAGCTGCTGATTTATTTAGCCTGAGGTACAGCATTGAGTGAATGTGTCTGTTATAGTTGTGGAAACCAGATTATCAAGTACAAAAAAAATGCATTCGAAGAGCAAATAGGCATTTCATGAGAACCTGAGGAATTCTCCAATAAATAAAATGAATTTGTTAGTGCGTGAATTCTTGACATATAATTTGGCTGCTAAGAGCTCTAATTTGCTTTCTTTCTAACAATTGTCTATATGACTTTGAAAGTTTGACTGAATGGATATTGTGCTTTAAAAAACATTTTATTTTGAAATAATCATAGATACACAGAAAGTTGCAAAATTAATACATAGAGCCTCATGAGCCCTTCAAGCAGTTTCTTCCGGTGGTGACATCTTATATAGCTGTAGCACAATATCAAAACCAGGAAACTGACATGGGTACAAAACATTCAATAGACAACAGACTTTGTTCAATTTTCACCAGTTTTTAAATGCACTCGTGTGTTTGTGTGCATGTGTGTGTGTTGTTCTATGCGATTTTATTTCATGTATAGATTTCTATAACTACTACCACAATCAAGATACAGAAGTATTCAAGCAACACAAAGAAAGTCTGTCATGCTATCCCTTTATTAGTCACACCTACCTCCACCCCTAACCCCGACAACCACTAATCTTTTCTCCATCTCTTTGTCATTTCAAGGAGGTTGTACAAATGGAATCATAAAGTATATAAACGTTGGGTTGGCTTTTTGTATTTAGCATAATGTCCTTGAGCTTCACCTAAGTTGCTGCGTGTAATACTATGTTTTTAAAATCAGAAAATGCAAAAGAGATACAAATTGAGTTTGAACATTTGGAAAAAACTTCTTTTATCTAAAATACATTGACTTGGGTCATTTAAAAGTCTGTATTTATTTAAATAACTGGGATTTATTCATTTCAGCTAATGATTTAAAAATGTAATTTAAAATTCAGGAGAGGTTAATTTTTACCTTGTTGGAGAACTATTAATGAGAGTTTCAGGTATCATTTGGAATGAAACATAAACTCAGATTGTGCAGTTTTGAAATTATGCCCTGCAACTTGATATATACTTTCAATATAAAAATTCACAAAGTGAACTCAATTTGCCAGTGCTACAGACTACTGAGGGCCAGTAGTATTTTATTGACTGTTATATTTGGTGGAAATATAACTCTGGTAAGACTGATTTGGGATTTTATTTAATTTGAAGAAAGTTTTCTAGATTTTACTATTACTGAGGGGTTTTTTTTTCTTGTCTGCCATAGCCTATTATTACTGTCACCTCTCTACAAAATGCTATTATGATTCCCATATTCAAATGCATTTTCAATTTTATTCATATTTTTGAGCTACTGACAGCTATCAGTCTTGTGACAGGTAGTATTTATGGTAATATACTCAAAAACTGTTTGAAAGAAGAGAAAAGTGAGTGATTTACGTCTTGGGTTTAAGAGGTTACATTTGATTTCATTGTAATAAGACACTTTGAGACAGACTTAGTTTTGCTGCTGTGAGCCTGCTGGAGTTATTATGCCATATTGAGCAAAAGCTTTTATCCATGTTTAGCCAAAAGACATATTCATTCCTGAAAAGAACAATTTCCATTGTCGTTCAAAGAATTGACTTCTTAGTAGGTTTTTGGGAGAGACTTTATCCTGTTAATGCCTTGCTTATGTAATACAAACATAGGAGAGACTCCCAAAAATACATTTTAACTGTAAGAACAATTCTTCCAGACTTCTGCTTTTTGATTTAGTGATGAACTCTTCGGCTATGTTTTTCAAACACAGCCATGTTTAAAGTAGTATATGCTTCCTGTTAAGCCTTTTGACCCTGGTGTTTTCACTTATCTTTCCATTCACAAATGTTCCTTCATGTTGACATGTATAATTTGTTAAACAAACAAAAGTAACAACAAAAGAGGAAAAGCGTTTGAAAATTGTTTGTCCTGATATGCTTAATTTATTAAGTTTTTACACATTAATAAGAAAAAGAGAAAAAAAAGCCACAATTGAAACTTGGGAAAACATCATGAATGGGCAATTCATAAGAGGAGGACATAACATGGCCAATAAATATATGAAGAAATGTTCAACAATATCAGAAACATAGAAATTCAAAATTAAAAACCAACAAGTTACAATTTTTTTCCTTTTGATTGTTGAGGATTTTATAAAAATGATAATTTCCTTGCTTGGCTACAGATCAGTAAAACAGCTACTTTATGCAGCACCTAGTGTATTTGTGACAACATTTCTAAAGGCAATTTGGCAATAAGAGCCAAATACTTTAAAAATGTGCAAATATTTCACATTGTTGTTATATTTTATATCATTTATCATAATTTTTAAATTGAAACAAATTTAGGGATTAACAATAATAGAATGGCAAGTAAATCATGGAGGATCTATATGATGAAATATTATGCATTAAGGGTGATATTATGGCCAGGCATGGGGGCTCACTCCGGTAATCCCAGCACTTTGGGAGGCAGAGGCAGGTGGATCACCTGAGGTCAAGAGTTCAAGACCAACCTGGCCAACATAGCAAAACCTATCTCTACTAAAAAATACAAAAGTAGCTGGGCATGGTGGCATGCACCTGTAATCCCAGCTACTCAGGAGGCTGAGGCAGGAGAATTGCTTGAACCCAGGAGGCAGAAGTTGTAGGGAGCTGAGATCATGCCACTGCACTCCAGCCTGGGCAAGAATGTGAGACTCCATCTCAAACAAAAAAAAAAAAGTGATTTTATAAATCTACACTAGCTACATAAGAAGAGATCCACAATATTTTCCACTATTAAAGGAAAAACATTTACTTAATTTTTCTGTATGATATCAGTTTTGCCCTCCAAAACGTGTATATGGTGACAGAGAAAAAAGAACATAGAATTCTTAACTATCGATAGTAATCATCTCTGTGCTGAAGAATCATGGTTGATTTTTTTCTCTGTGTCTTACCATATTATCCAAATTTTTATAATGTACAATGATTTATTTAAGATGAGCAGAATTGATTTTGAAATGATAACATGCAATATTTTAAAATGGATCAATACAGAGGGTTAAATGATAATAAGTACTGTGACATATCAAAAGGTCTGGGTCAAACTATTCCCACTTCTCTTACCATTTTATTTTTGTTAACCACCAAGGACCATATTTTTTATGTTCTTTCTCAAATAGACCATCTTTTGAAACTTCATCTACCAAATAAAAGTATGTAAAAGTTAATGAATATGTTTTCTCAATTTTGTTCAAAAAATTATAGTGGCCAATTATAGGTGAAGAAATAGTTGTTATGAAGTGTGATGAATGAGTATATGTGGCATCTTGACTGGGCCATAAGGTGCCCAGATATATAGTCTAACATTATTCTGGATGTATCTATGAGGGTGCTTCTGGCTGAGATTAATAATTGAATCAGTAGACCCAGGCAGGCAGATTTGCCCGTCTCTCCCAGTGTGGGTGGGCCTCATTCAATCAATTGAAGGTTTGAAAAGAATACAAGACTGAGTAAGAAAAAGTTCTTTCTCTCTGACAGTTTTCCAGCTGGGACATAGTTTTTCTTCTGTCTTTCCACATGGATTCGAACTAACACCATCAGCTCGCCTGCTTCTCAGACCTTCAGACTCAGATGGAACTACACTATAGGTTCTCCTGGGTCTGGACTTCTCAGCCTCCATAATCATGTAAGCCAGTTCCTTGTAATAATCTCTCTCTCTCTCTCTCTCTCTATATATATATATATACACACACACACACACATACACACATATGTATGTGTATATAACTATATATAATGTATGTGTATACATATATACATATAAACGTATATCTAAACATGTATGTATGTATATATGTATAAACATGTACAAACACATATATGTATATATGTATACACACACATACTATACGTATATATGTATACACACACATACTATACGTATATATGTATACACACACATACTATACGTATATATGTATACACACACATATATACGTATATATGTATACACACACATATATACGTATATATGTATACACACACATATATACGTATATATGTATACACACACATATATACGTATATATGTATACACACACATATATACGTATATATGTATACACACACATATATACGTATATATGTATACACACACATATATACGTATATATGTATACACACACATATATACGTATATATGTATACACACACATATATACGTATATATGTATACACACACATATATACGTATATATGTATACACACACATATATACGTATATATGTATACACACATATATACGTATATATGTATAGCATGTATACACGTACACACACATATACGTGTATGTGTGTGTGTTTGTGGTTCTTTTACTCTAGAGAAATGTACACCAGCCAGGTGTGGTGGCTCATGCCTGTAATCCCAGCACTTTGAGAGGCTGAGGCAGGAGGACTGCTTGAGCCCAAGTCCCAGTCTCTACAAAAAATAAAAGAAATTAGCCAGGCATAGGGGCGCATGCCTGTGGGCCCACCTACTTGGGAGGCTGACATGGGACGATCTCTTGAGCCTGGGAGGTCAAGGCTGTAGCGAGCCATGAGCATGTCACTGCACTCCAGCCTGGGTGACAGAGCAAGACCATATCTTAAAAAAAGAGAGAAAGAGAGAAAAAGAAACATACACGAGGATGAGTTGACAAAAATGGACCAAAAAACACATCGATAGTATTGTAGCACTCAGCAGCCTTGTTTTGGGATAGTATGCGCAAGTCCTTTGCAGGGTTAGAAGAGTGAAATCATCAGTGGCAAGGACTACTGTGACATGTGATAAGCATGTTTGCCTGGAGAAACTAAATTTTTAAAAAATCTAATTTTTTATTGACTATCTCACAATATTTTTTCTGCTTTCTAGATAACTTTAACTTTATTTTATATGAAATGTTTACATTTTATTTATCCTTTTTTAAATAACTATCTCTTGTTCTCCATCTTTTTAAAAAAAATTTCACTATTTCATAGATGTCATATATGTAGCCTCTTGACTCTGTGAGAAAAATAATTATTGTTTTATCTGTGTTCTGTTTTAGAGGTTTTCCTCAAATGTGTGATGACCTTAGCTGACCATTTTTTTTTTAAAGAACTTCTAACATTTTTCATTAAGGAGTAAGTAATGTATATTCATTAATGCACGATGATCTTAAATGAACAGTTTGATAAATTTTTGCATATGTATAAACTTATATAACAATATCCAATCAAAATATAGAATATTTCCACCCAGATAATAACCTCCAGAGGTAATCACTATCCTAACTAATAATACCATAGATATTTTGGGCTTTACTTAAACTTCATATAAACAAAACATAAAATATATATGTTTTTCTAAGTAGTTTTTTACTAAAAATGTTGCCTATGAGATTTATCCATGTTGTTACATGTAGTAATAGCTGATTCTTTTTTTAAAAATTGTAATTGTGATTACAATTACTATTATTATTCTAAGTGCTGTTAATTTAATAACTATTGTATAAATATTCCACTGTGTATACATGTTATAAATATTTTATCCATTTTCCCATTGATATTTTGATAATTTTCAATTTGAGGCTATTATGAAAAAAAATACTATGAACATTCTTTTACCAAGTTTTGGTAGACGTATGTACCAAATTCTCTTGGGTAAATACCTAGGAGGAGAATTCCTGAGTTGTGTGGTAGGTATGTGTTTAGATTTGGTGACACTGATGAACAGTTTTCCAAAATAGTTGCATCAATTTATGCTCACACCAGGTAACAATGTGTAAGAGTTCAAATTACTCCAGATCTTCCCCAACACTTGATGTTGTCAGTTTTTTCAATTTAAGCCATTATGGTGGTTTTATGGTGACTTCCCATTGTCATTTTAGTCGTATCCCTGATGACCAATGTTAAGTGCATTTTCCTATGTTTTTAGACATTTCCGTATACTCTTTTGTTGTATTTGTTTTCAAGTCTCTCAGTCATTTTTACAAATTAGGTTGTCTTTTACTTATCTGAAGGAGTTCTTTGTATGATCTCATTAGCGTTTTGTCAGACATCAGATATTTATTACAAATATATCCATCCTATTTGTGTCTTTAGTTTTTATTGTTAATAATATCTTGTGATGAACCAAGTTCCTTAATTTTAATGAAGTCCAACATATCAATTTACTTTTTTTTTTGGTTAGTGCTTTTCGTGCCCTTTAGGAAATTTTTTCTACTATAGGATCATGGATATGTTCTCCTATAAATTCTTCTAAACACTTCATTTTTTTATAATTAGGTGTATGATCCATCTTTAACTAATTTTGTGTATCTTATGAGATAGAGGTAAAGGTTTACTTTTTTCACATACATATTCAAATGATGTTTTCCTCAGTCTCCATTGGTCTTCTGCACACACTACCTAGCATTCAATCAAAGATAATAAGACACAAAAAAGCAAGGGAAAAGCAACCTACTATCAAGAGATAAAGCGGTCCACAGAAATAGACATCAAGAGTGATGCCGTAAAATCTAATTGGAAGTTCTCTGTACATGGATAGGATGTGTAGACAGTTAGGCACTTTGTGGGCTTCAGGTATTCAGCTGGCTTTTATATAGGAACCCATGATGTCAGTTAGTGCAAGTATTGTTTTAAGGAGATTCAGTTTCTGCCATAAAGAATCTTCCAATCCTCTGCCCCACTTGAAGGGGTAAAAGGGAGCTAGTAGCCTGTGTTTTCTTTCTAGTCTTTCACCTAATCACTCTGTTTTAGTCCTGTCAATCACTCCTTCTACCTTCCAGTGAAAGTGCCCCCAATTACAGAGCCTTTTCAAGGTTTGGAGGGGCAATTTAGCTTGTTTGTCATTGATACTCCCCTTTGTATAGCCGTGAGAGTTAGATTCTCTGGATTTATGTACCAGTTCTACCACTTAACAGCTTTCTTGTGAACTCGCTCTGCCTCAGCTTCATCACCTATTAAATGGAGATAATGTTACTTACCTCACAGCATTATCATAATATTAACTAAAATAAATTATGTGAAGCTTTGTAATAATGCTTAGCACATAATGAATGTTCCAAAATTGTTAAGTATTATCAGCTCTTTCATTCAGCTTATTTATTTACTATTCCATTTGCTTTTATCTTCCAAAAAATGTGTGTGTCTTTAGTATCTCCTCTCACATTTCTTTTGTTTTTTTAAATTCCTTTCCTATAATTTTTAGAAGATTTATAAAGAAATTTAAAGTAAAAACATGTTCAATACACATATTTAATGAAAACTTATTCAACTGACAAATTCAAAAGTTTAAATTGCTGCAAAGACTCTTTTTATAATTATTCCAGACCATGACTGTAAAGTCACGGAGCTACATGATCTCTAAGGTTTGTTCCAGATTAAATTTTATGAATGAATGATATAAAAAATCATGCCCATGAAAACAATGAATTTCATACTTTGAAGAAAGCTAAAATCATTTGTTTACATTTTTCTCTGTTTTCCGAGTACTCAGATTCCTACCTGATTGGATATTGGCTGGTTGATTGACAGGTGTGAAAAATACTTTGGGGCAGCTCTTTGGAAAAGACATGGAAAGCTATATAAATTCTTTGATCAAATTTAAATACCCTTAAGCAACCTCCATTAACCTTGAATACCTCAAGCTGTTCCCACAGGCTCTCAAACTTACTCAAAGCTCAAACCATATTTAGTGTAAGAACAAGTCCATCCATAAAATTATATATATATGTGAGTCAGTGTTGTTTCAATGGATTTAAAAAGTTTGAATAAAATATTTTTTATAAATATAATTATGGTATTAGTACCATATTTTATATCTATATTATTTATGCTAATTATGCTAAATAGATTATAGTTAATATAATACTATATTAAAAGATCATATTATTTTATTCATGTTAAAAAATATTCACAAGCAAAATAACATTTAGGTTTTCTCTTTGTTGCCTCTATCAGTTTTAAAGCAGTAGGTTATTGATGTTTTTGTGATTTTTAAAAAATCAATGAATGATCTAAAAGTTAGGGGCCTTTATTAATTTTTCTCATAAAACTTTTCTTAAAAAAATCACATTGTGGCTGCATAACATTTTCTAATTGTGTGCGTATGCATGTGAATACGTGTGTGAATGTATGTATGTTTGTTGTATGCATATGCAAATATTCGTGTGTGTGTGTGAAAGAGAGTGAGAGACATAAACTGAGTCATAATGACCCAGCCTCAGCTGGGTTTAGTCATTTTGTGTTGCTCATATGCACTTAAAATTAAATTCAAATAGTTTTAAGGTGAGTCGGGGAAATACAAAACAGAATAATGGAAATAAGGCAAAGAAAAATAGGAGGGGGGATCTCCTAGCAATTAGCTATTTCAGACTCAGAAATGATATCCCAAGAGAAGCTGAGAAGGCTCGATCACTTGAATCATTCAAAATTGGACTGGACTAAGCCTGGAAGAATATCCCATTGGGAGTAATCATGCTTTGACAGAGAAAGACTGAAAGATCTTTTCCAATTCTAATTGCCATGATCCTGTGTAATTCAATTTGAAATGGCCTCACTATTCTAATTCACAAAGATCCTATTTTTACTAACTCTTTCTTTTTCATAATCCTGCTTCTGATATCACTACTCCTTTAAAAGGAAAAAGAAACCCTCGAGCTTGGTTTCCAAGTATTCATTGAATTACGCCCCTTATTTCCTTTTTCTTTTTTTTTTTTTCTCCAGACGGACTGTTGTGCAGACTCAGGCAGCTCACTCGGGGCTGGGCAGCAGACAGTGATTATCGTCACCCCCTGCTTTCATCCATTACGGCGGGTGTTAGCAGGTAAGGGTGAGGGCTGACAAAGAGGTTTTCAAAACTGGTCAGCATAAATGCTTCCAGGAGGCCAATTCAGGATAATCTATTGAAATATGGATCGGAAATATGGCTAGCCCAGGCTGAATACCTCTATCTGTTGCATTTAAGCCAAAGTAACAGAATGCTTTCATGGGGGAAAAATAACAAAAACCATAATTACATGTGGAGAATTGTCTGTTCATATCGTTTGGGGTTAATTTCGTGAAATGGTTGCCATTCTGTCTGGGTCCAGCGTCTGTCTCAGCCACTTTATTTGTTTTGAGATGCTTCAGGGGTAAGGTCCCTGGAGACTTGAGTCCTGGAGGCCTTCTGGTTTCCAGGAGCCAATTTGTGACAAGATCAAAGGGGTCTAAAGTCCCAAGAGCCTGAATTACACTATGGAATTTACTGGTATATCTCATTTTACAGAGCACTTCCATGTTTGAAAGGTATTAGGGAGTAAATTTTAGTGAATCGAATTTTATTAACCCACTAACATACTATACTTCCCATTGGTAATGGTCCCTGGACTCTAGCTTTCATTTTTCCTTGTC
Organism: Homo sapiens; assembly: GCF_000001405.40. Taxonomy (NCBI): domain Eukaryota; kingdom Metazoa; phylum Chordata; class Mammalia; order Primates; family Hominidae; genus Homo; species Homo sapiens. The sequence goes on along the minus strand of NC_000005.10, from coordinate 107,704,635 downwards.
TATCTAGTAATTAATGATCAAAATTGAAGTGGAGCCATGCAGTGAATTTCTTTATAAGCCAAGAATGCTTTGTAACATCAGTGTTTTCTTTCATATATAATTTTTATTAAACAATTTGAGGAAATGAAGAACTAAAACAAAAAAATTCTGAAAATTTGAGGTAGAATTTCCAAACACTTCCAAAACAGTAATAATAATACCTTAAAATTCAAACAATTATACACAGATAATATTTAAATTCCTGGAGTGAAAAAAGCATGCTACTAATGCTAATTTTTTATCTTGAAATATTTCAAACATATAGAAAAACATCAACAGTAATATAACAAATGTGTATTACATACCATTAAGAATTTTAATATATGAACAGATTTTCTTTATTAATTAAAAAAATAAAACCTTGTGCTTAGAGTTGAAGAATGTTTAATCTCTTCCCTGGTATTATTTTTCCTTCTCCCTCTCTAAAATAACTTCTGTCCTGAAGTAGAAGTATATTCTGACCATTTATTGTCTATATTTTTACTATACTTATATGAATCCCTAATTGGTATATAGTATTTTTTCGTGAGAATTTTATTTTCTACATCTTATTTTCATTCAATATTTTATTTTTAAGATCTACCCATATCAATACATGTGGATTAAGATTTTAAAAAATTTAATAGATATGGAACATTCCATTACTATTGACTTATCCTATTCCATTATTATTTACTTATCCATTATTTTAATAATATGCATTTAGGTTGCATCCAATTTTTCACAGCTGTACTGTGCAGCATGTCTCCTTATGCATAAATGTTCAAATTTCTTTAAAGTCTATAACAAGAATTAGATTTTCTGGATCTAGAATATATGCATCTTCACCTTCACTGTATACTACCAAATGCTCTCTAAATGTATTGCTCTCACCAGCAATGATGTAGTCAAATTGATAAACCTTTCCCTTTAAGATTTATGCTTTCTGTGTTTAGTTTAAGAAATCCTTCCATCCCCGAATTATAAAAATATATTTGTTGTGTGTTCACATTTGTGTCTTTAATTCATTTGGGATTTATTTTGGAATACGACATGAGGTAGGGTTCTAATTACATTATTTTCATATGGATAGCAAAGTTACTTACAACGCCCACTGTCTTTTAAGGTCTCATCTGTATATAGTGAGGTCTGATGTAAGAGCAGGTTCTGTGAATCCATTCATGGATGTGTTGACCCTCTCCTAACACCACATTATTTTAGTTGATAAAGTAGTACACGAACTCATGATATCTAATGGAGTGAATCCGTCCTTTTTGTTTCTCTTCTTCAAATTTGTCTTGGCTGTCCTTGGACCTTTGTGCTCTTATATGAATTTTATCAGTTTTTAAAAAAAATCTTCAATACAATAAATTGGTAATAAAAATGTGTAACATCTATCCTACTTATATCAAACCACTAAATCTAATTTATTGGTCATTCATCAATATTAAAGATATCCTGCCATGTCCTGACACTTAACATCTTTGAAAAATAAGCTTATCATATTCCCTTTCCTCTACAAATAATTACTTTCTGTTTCAGCAATTTTCATGTGATTGCCACTCTCTCAATTCATGGGCCTCTAATATCCATTCTGCACCAAGTTTAGAGATCCAGTCCTTTCTGTTGTGCCACCGGGAGATTACTTTGTAAATGTAACTTCTTTTCAATCCTCTATTATTTTTCACTTCAATCAATTCTGCACAGAACTGGTAAAGCAATTGCTTTACTGTTTTAATCATGCCACTTTTCTGCCCAAGCATGTAGATTCATATTTGCCACAAGGCTTGAGTGACTCTCAGAGACCACACATCCTATCTCATGGATGAATGACTTGAGTCCCAGAGAGGATTTGCCCTGCCCAGAGTGTCACACAGCTAGCCAGGAGAGGAATTAGGACCCGGAAGGTAAAGCCTAGTCTAGACTTCAGGTCTTCTGATTCTTGAACGAATTCTCTTTTTGCCTTTTGCACTGCTCTACCAAAGCTTCGGATAGCATTCCCTACATTATAACACTGGATCAACTGTACTTCATATAAATTCCTCAAATGAAATTCCCTTTCTTAGTCTTACCTCAAAACATTGACTTGTTCCTTCCTACTGCCTTGGAAATACAAGCTTCCATCTTGTAAGCCAGCCTCCTTACTTTCCACTGAGTTACGTCTCAACTTCTTGGAAATGTGCACCTTTTTCAGGATGTAACTACTGATGCTACTGCTACTACTACTCTTAACAACTGCAATATGACCCTCACTTACTATACTTTACCTGGCTCTTGAGAGACATGACCTCAACTTTTCTCATTCCACAGATGTGGGATTTGAGACCCAAAGAAGTGAAGTAACCTGCCCAAGTTTACACAGCTTGGAGTAGAACCCGAGTTTCTATGGACTCCAGAGCTCATGAGTTCACCACTTTTCTGTGCCTCCTAACTCTGTAAGTATTTGGCACTCTTCAACTCCAGATTGCTCTTGAATTCAGTTGCCTTTACTATTAGCTGCTTTGGGTATGTGCTGAACCTTTGTCATAAATGTAGGCTCTAGCCTTGCAGCTAGACAGTCTATCCTCTGAATACAGGATCATTGAAAACTTTCTTTAGATTGTCTAGCTCCCCTCAGGGCAGCTACTATGAAGCCCTGCTCTGAGCCCTCCTCTGACTGATGAGGGTTTAATTAGCCTAGAGATTCCTCTGTGACAACCAGCCAAGAAGCTTCTATGTTGAAAAATCTCCCATTGTGCCAGAGACTAAAACTGAGACTTATATATATATTTTTACAACAAGGTGAATAGAATGCCACTGAGAAAACACACTTACTGTATTTCAGCATAATAACTTCTTTGCTGTTGCATAAAGACCAAGAAAAAGCTCTCTCTCTCAACATAAGTTACTGTTTCTCTAGCTAGTATTATATACCATTAATTAGAAACCCAAATTCTACCTATCGTGTAAAATGTATTACAAAAATTATGAGGAAATATTTCTTCAAAAGTAATTCTGTGAGAGTAAAACATAAAAGCATATAAAATTGCTGAAATGAAGAAAACACAAAATATAATGCAGTGTGAGGTCCACTATTTGCAGTACTCCAATTCTATTTTCCAGGAGCTTGGATGAGAGTGCTCAGTGGCCAGGCTTGGACAAGGAAGGAAGTTCTGTCCTCATTCCACTTCATCTTGGGCAGTCATCTTGCAGCAAGGAAGGGCAATGAGCAATGAGGCTCAGTTCCCAAAAGCCTGATTTAAAGGACAATTTTAATACTGTTGGGGTTTTTTATTGTAAAATTTACAAAACAGATTTTTAAACTAATAGACTGTTTTTAAAAATTAATTGATTTTTTAAAAAAATTAATAGACTTTCATTTTTAGAGCAGTTTTAGGTCTATAGAAAATGTAAGTGGAAAGTATGGAAAATTCCACCCACACCCTCTCCTACCTCACCTTACAGTTTCCCCTATTTTTAACATCTTGCATTAGTGCAGTACATTTATTATAACCGATAAACCAATATTGATACATTATTAACTAAAGTCTACAGTTTACATTAGGGTTGACTCTTGTGTTGTACATTTGATGGGTTTTGAGAAATGTATAATGAAAGGTACCTACCATTACAGTATCATCAAAACAGATAGTAAGCTAACAAAATTTCACAAAAAGAATACTAAAAGATAGCATGTTGAAACATTTAACTGTGCTGAAACATGTTAAATCAACTAAAACTCAACCCAAAACTTAGTGAACTTATTCTTTATAGTTCCTTTCAGACAGAAAAGCAATATAGTAAAAATTAAATAGTCTTTTCTTTGAAAATTGTAGTTATTTTGATAAACAGTGCTGTCAAAACAGAAAATATGAACACCACATACTCTAGTTCATTCTCTTTCCTGTGCTGCTCTCATGGTTTGGTGTGAATACTTCATAGTTAAAGTATGTCTTCCCTTGAGGATCACACAGCCATTTAATTTCTGTTCTGGCATTTGACCTATTGTGTTTATGAGGTTCTACTGAGAGATGGAATTGATGATTTCTTCCATAACCACAAAGAAAAAATTGAGAGTTACTGATTTCAAACCACTATTATAACCTTTCAAGTTTTTCTGGAAAAATGTTTTCTTTCCAAAATGAAAAGAAAAGGAACTCCTTATTAAATGTCTAACTTTTCTGTATCATCACATCTTTCAATATGTTAAATTCACCTCAGACTTGGCTGGAGGAAAGTTGGAGTTCCTCATCTGTAGTTTGGAATCTACCAGGAGATGTCACTGGCTGGCCTAATCTCTATTGGTTCCTGCCTGTTCAGGCATTATTTTCAAGGAGAAGAGTGGATTTTCCATCTGGGGCCTACCCCTCCTGTCCTCCACAATAACTTTCTTGTCAGTATATATTCACTGTTCATGCTTCAAAGACTGTCCTTCTCAACCCCCAGATGCCGCTGAGGACTCAGAAGAAGCCAGTGCTAATGCTTTCTCCAGTTTCTCTCCTCTTGTGTGAACTGTGTGAACTGCCACTTTAAGACTCTCTTGGAGAATCATAATCCAAGTTGCGAAGTCCAACAATTCCTCTGGAGAAATGGTTCTCAACTGGGGGCAAATTTGGGCCCCAGGAGACATATGGCAATGTCTGACAATGTTTTTTTGATTGTTACAAACAGGTTGGGGAGAGAGTCCTGCTAGCATCTAGTTGGTAGAGGCCAGGGATAATGCTGAACAGCCTGCAGGACACCCCGAACCCCATCAAAGACCCAAAACGTCAATGGTACTGAGGTTGAAAAACCCTGGTCTGGAGTTTTAATCAGTTGGCCATTTTTCCCATCCCATGTTGAAATATTTGTATTTAAAACATTACATCTGGTTTATTTTTTCAAGATAATGTCCAGTGTACAGTGGAAAATGATGTGTTTTCCTATCACTTTGCTCAAGAATAAAGCTGTAATATTTGCAAAATAGATAACCTTAGTTGTCACTCAAAATGTAAACTGTCATAAGGGATAAGAGATTAACTGATTTCACTGTCAACCTTTACAGTGTCATTATTTTTCCCTGTAACTGTCTGCTTGATATCCTTGCTGACGAAGATGTTTTAAAATGGAAGACAATTAGAGGCTTTATGTTTATGAAAAATGAAGTGTTCACACACAAAAGAATGCACAGTGGACCTTTTATGGGATGTTTAAAATATCCTTTCATTAAAAGATTTTCTTAAGTGGCTGTTTGTCACTTAATAGGAATCCCCGTTGTTGCTACTGTTGTTTTCATGCATAAATACCAGCATCTGTAGGTTTCCGGGGTGTTCTTTAGAATTTCACACCACTTGACTTCATGTTGGGTTGCCTCAGATGATTTTTCAATCTTAAAGTCACATCACATAAAAGCATATCTTTCAATACACTACAAAGACCACTGGAAACTGGCAGCCAGAGAACAAGATTCTACTCACTGATTAGATGGAATTCAAATCTTTTTAAATGAGTTGCCAATATTCTTAAAAATTAGTAGATTGCTCATAAGAATCTAAATTATTTTTCTTTTCTGAAAAATGAAAAGATATGGCTTTTTTGGCCAGCATTCCTCCATGGCAACAGTCTACTACAGGAGAATGTATGCTTTAGACAGGTCTGGCACCTGCCAGCTTGCTCTAGTGTGCACCCAGCCTATTGGACACCTGTGGGTCTGCCCACTACAGTCATTTAAGGGGATAGACCCCTGCTCCATTGCAATTGAGTTCTGCAACTGCAAGTGCTTGTTGGTAAACGTAACCCAATCCTTGCTGCATAAACTAATAGAGCAATTCATATGAGAAGGAGCTGAGGCCATTTTGGAGGGTGGGAGAAAATGCGCTGAGAGTAGAGATTGAGCTGTGACTAAATGGAAGGGAAGGAGTCAAGGGAAGAGCCACACTATAAAGTAAAAGCAGATTCAGAGGCTCCGGTCTGCTTCCTAGTATCACCCCTGCAGAGAAATCTGAACTTTGGTGAGTAGAGGACAGACCAGGTAGTAAAAATGAAGGAAACTCGACTACATTTATAACCATGTCAAAGGCTCTTTGCCATTGAATTAGACTGTGCATCATCTTTGCCCCAAGTGGTGAGTTCTTAGTCCTGGCCTATGTTATTGAGAAATCACCACAAATATAAATGGAATCCAGGAAGAGCTCCATGAGGTAAGCATCAGTCCAAGCTGGTGGTATTATTAATACAATGTGTGGGAGTTAGGACATGAAGCAAAGGTAGAGAAAATGCAAACCCAGAATCAAAGGGCAAGAAATATCAGACACAGGCTTTTGGATTGAAAGTATAGAGTCCAACTCAAGGAGAAACGTTGAGCTCAAAACCTTACAGGACAGGTGGGACCAATAAGATGGCCGTTTCTGGCCCTTGCATTCCTTTGTGAGAAGTCTGTGATTTCGCTTAATCTAGAAGACCCATGGGTCAACTTGTTCCTCTGCTGGTAGTGGTCTGAGCCTCACACTTGGCTCAGTCTTCATTTGACAGTGCCTGATTCGCTCGTCAGCCATAGCACATTTCCTGTACACATCATGCTTGATAGACCATTTCTCTAGTCTTCCAGGGTCTGGGGAAGAGTCCAGGGTAGTCTGGCCACACAGAGCTTCAGGACACTTCCTTCTCTCCTTGCCCCCAAACAAGGCAAACAAGATAAAAAATCTTCAAGCTGTAGTCTCAACATGGACTCCAGAAACATGGAGATGAGAAGAAAAATTTCTAGGGGATTGGGATGAGGAGTGAGGTGAGGAAATGAGCTGTTTGGAGGATATTTAAGCCTTATCTGACGAAAGAGAAAGGAGAAAGACTGGAAAGAAAGACAATTGAGGAAGAAAAAGAGTGAAAGAATTTTGAAATTGTTGCTGGAAGACATCCTAGGTAAACATTATCCTAGGCTTGGCTTTCCTTAAATGTTATGTATAGAGTGACCATATAATTTACCATCCAAACCTGGACTCTTCTAAGAGTAAAAGTGGGAGCTATTAATAATTTTTCCAAGATAACAGCATGACTTGGGATTGGCCATGGCAAACCAGGGCATCAGATCTCCCTAGTTAGGGTCAAAGTAACAGTAGCAAAGCTTCCTTTAGATTCACAGCCCCAGGCTACTAACTAAATTGTAGAGGCCTAGAGGCCTGCAGGCATAACCAATTGCATCATGTGGAAAGTGAAGACTCCAACTTGGTTAGGAGGATGAGGAGAGTGTTTCTGTCTCTGAAGTCCCTGGGACTTTAAAAAATTTCAGATGCCCAGGAATTCAACTTGAATTTTCTGGATTGGGCCTAAACAAGTGTTTTCATTTTTTTAAGCTGCCAGTGATTCCAATGTGCAGCCTACCCAGAACTCTGCAGCTTCTCCCAGGCTTCCAGGAGACTATACCTTCTTTTGCCCTTTCCTTAATTGGCCTGTGCTGGCAAAGTGGTGGGCAAATCCCGCTACTAGGGAATTTCCTCCCTGTTTACCCGGCCCCCCACAATTCTGGGGCAAGAGGAGGTGGCGGCTGCAGCAAAGTAAGCTTGTGCATTTGAGCTGAGAATATGTATTTATTGTGAAGGACAACTGAACATTTAAAACAAACAAGAAACCTGAGTAAAACCTGTAAACCAGGTCTGCAACAGCTGTCGGCATCACAAGCACAAAAATGTAGGAAGTTATGCTTGCTTGGCTTGGTACTTTATCACGACATAGAGCCACACAGACACATTTATGCAATCGGTTGCTGTGCCTATTTCGTTTTCAGAGATGCCTACAATGAATCCACTTCCAGACCCTGATGATTTAATTCAACCTGTATTTATGGAGCATCCCCTAGGGTTCGGGTGCTAGGGTCCACCGTAGTGGCTGCTGCACTGCAGAGAAGTTTAGCAGAGTCTTCACTTTCAAGACTGAGTCCAGTAGGGAAGTAACACAGAACCAGAGAAACCTGGGCTGCGTGGAGCTGCTCTCACCCACAGTGTCACATGGCTACATAGCCAGTAGCAGCACCAGTCTCACAGGATAAATTAACAAAAGCATTTTAAATCCTTGTTGCAGTGTCTCTGAAAATCACCTAGAGCTTATACAACCCTCAGCAAGGTTTCTAGGAGTCTTCCTGCCTCCACCCACACTGCCTTCTTCCCTCTTCTCTCTCCAGATCTCAGTATCGCCTCAGCCCTTATCAATATCTCAGTATTTCAATTTCGTCTCAGATCTCAGCATCTTGCACAGCTCGCCATGGTAACAGTTCACTGTTTCCTTTTTCTCTCTTCACTCCCCCAAACTCTAATTCCTAACTCTGGCTTCTGTAAACCTTTTCTTCTGTCTTCCTCCTCCCTCTGGGATTGGTCAGGGCCAGGGCTCCATTTCCTTTAAAATGTAAATTGTGCAGCTCTGCTCTTATTCTCATCACCAGGACAAAAGGCCAGGCTTGGAGCTGCCCAAGCAGCAAGGCTGCTTCTTAGAAGCCTGGTGGAAGGGGAAGGAAAAATGTTATGACTGCTCAAAAATTAACGTATTTGCTCTCTCACTCATGCATATATACAAACATAACTACATAAAGGACCATAGTATCATGAAGTATTGTGGAAGGATTCAGGGATGATTTTGTGTGAGAATGATAGTATGATGTAGAAATAAATGCCAGATGAGTGCCTTTAAATTAACTTTTATTACTGAACACCTTTGCAGCATATTAGTAAATAACATTTTTTTTTAACCGAAGGAATTAAACTGCCTTTCAATATCCCACTGCTGTTCATTTTTCACAATAACAAAATGGAAACTATTGTTTATTGTTCTAATAAGTGTCAGATGTGGAGAGGTATGCCACACTTTTTAAAAGAAAATAAAAACAATATATTTTAGGTCCATAAGAACAATATAATATAGGATATATAAAAGTTTGCAATATTTTTTCTTGTTTGTATTCCTCATTAGACTGGGAACTTCTGAATAGAATGGATTATTTGTTAATAATTGCAACTGGAGCACCCAGTATAGTGCCTAAAATGTGAGAGATCATCATTAACAAATAGATAATACAAGCTGGTATTAACTGAGCATTTGATAAGTACCTGACATTTTTTGCCATTTATATTGTCTGTAGTAAGGATTATGCCACCATAAGATCTTTTAAGGCTTACATCTTCTAGTTTTTTGTTTTGTCTTACTTTTTTGAAAAAAAAATTGTGAGTACATAGTAGGTATCGATATACAGGGGTTACTTAAGATATTTTGATACAGGCATACAATGCTTAATAATTATAACCTCAAGCATTTATCCTTTCTTTGTTTTACAAACAAACCAATTACTCTTTAGTTATTTTGAAATATACAATAAATTATTGTTGACTGCAGTCACCCTGTTATGCCATCAAATACTAGATGTGATTCATTCTAACTGTATTTTTGTACCCATTAACCATCCCACTTCTCCCACACAACTCTACTACTCTTCCCAGCCTCTGGTAACCATCATTCTACTCTCTGTCTCTATGAGTTCAATTGTTTTAATTTTTATTTCCCACAAATAAATGAGAACATGAAAAGTTTGTCTTTCTGTGCCCGGCTTATTTCACTTAACGTGATGACCTCCAGTTCCATTCATGTTGTTGCGAATGACAGGATCTCATTCTTTTTATGGCTGAATAGTATTCCATTGTGTATAGGTAACTGATATGGTTTGGCTCTGTGGCTCCACTCAAATCTCACCTTAAATTGTAGTCCCTATAATCCCCACATGACAAGGGCAGGACCAGGTGGAGGTTATTGAATCCTGGGGGTGGTTTCCCCATGCTGTTCTCGTGATAATGAGTGAGTCTCATGAAATGTGATGGTTTTATAAACATCTGGCATTTCCCCTGCTTGCACTCATTCTCTCTCCTGCCACCCTGTGAAGAGGTGCCTTCCACCATGATTGCAAGTTCCTGAGGCCTTCCCAGCCATGCAGAACTGTGAGTCAATTAAATCTCTTTCCTTTATAAATTACCCAGTCTCAGGTATGTCTTTATTAGCAGCATGAGAACGGACTAATATGGTAACACATTTTCTTTATCCATTTGTCTGTTGATGGATGCTTAAGTTGCTTCCAAATCTTTGCTATTGTGAATAATACTGGAATAAATGTGCAAATATCTCTTTGATATACTTATTTTCTTTCTTTTGGGTTTATACTAAGCAGTGGGATTTCTGGATCATATGGTAGTTCTATTTCTGGTGTTTTGAGGAAGCTTCAAACTGTTTTCCATAGTGGTTGTACTAATTTACATTCCTACCAACAGTTGACAGGGATTTCCTTTCCTGTATATCCTCTCCAGCATTTGCTCTTGCCTGTCTTTTGGATAAAAGTCATTTTATATGGGGTGAGATGATATCTAATTGTGATTTTAATTTGCATTTCTCTGATGATCAATTATCTTGAACATCTTTTTATTTGCCTGTTTGCCATTTGTTTGTCTCTTTTTTTTTGAGAAATGATATTTTGCCCATTTTTAAATTAGACTGTTAGATTTTTTCTGTTGAATTATTTGAGCTCTTTATATATTTTGGTTATTAATCCTGTGTCAAATGGGTAGTTTCCAAATATTTTCTCCCATTCTGTGGGTTGCCTCTTCTCCTTTTCTATTGTTTCTGTTGCTGTGCAGAATCTTGGTCACTTGATATGATCTCATTTGTCCATTTTTGCTTTGGTTGCCTGTACTTATGATATATTACTCAAGAAATCTTTGCCCAGACCAAAGCCCTAGAGAGTTTCCCCAATGTTTTTGTTTAGTAGTTTTATAGTTTGAGGTCTTAGATTTAGGTCTTTAATCGACTTTTATTTTATTTTTGGATATTAGCTACAGGTAGGGTTCTAAGTTTCGTTCTTCTGCACATGGATAGCTGGTTTTCCCAGCACAATTTATTAAAGAGACTGTCGTTTTCCCAATGTGTGTTCTTGGCCTCTTTGTTAAAAATGAGTTCACTGTGGATATATGGATTTATTTCTGTGTTGTTTATTCTGTTATTGTTCTGTGCATCTGTTTTGTTTGTTTGTTTGTTTTTTGAGACGGAGTCTCACCCTGTCACCCAGGCTGGAGTGCAATGGCGCAATCTCGGCTCACTGCAAACTCCACCTCCTGGGTTCAAAAGATTCTCCTGCCTCAGCCTCCCGAGTAGCTGGGATTACAGGCACATGCCTCCACTCCCAGCTAATTTTTGTATTTTTAGTGGAGACAGGGTTTCACCATGTTGGCCAGGCTGGTCTCGAACTCCTGACCTTGTGATCCACCCATCTCAGCCTCCCAAAGTGCTGGGATTACAGGCGTGAGCCACGGCACCTGGTCCCTGTGCATCTGTTTTTATGCCAATACCATGCTGTGTTGGTTATTAAAACTCTGTAGTATAATTTGAAGTCAGGTAATGTGATTCCTCCCATTTTGTTCTTTTTGCTCAGGATAGCTTTGTCTTTTCTGGGTCTTTTACAATCCCATATAAATTTTAGGATTTTTTTTTCTATTTCTGTGAAGAATGTCATTGGTATTTTGATAGGGATTGCATTGAATCTGTAGGTTGCTTTGGGAAGTACGGACATTTTTAATAATATTGATTCTTCCAATCCATGAACATGGAATATCTTTCTATATTTTTATGTCCTCTTCAATTTTTTGCATCAATGTTTTCTAGTTTTCATTGTAGAGATCTTTCACTTCTTTGGTTAAGTTTATTCCCAAGCATTTTATTTTCTTTGTAGTTATTGTAAATGGGATTATGTTCTTGATTTCTTTTTCAGATTGTTTGCTATTGGCAATAGAAATACTACTGATTTTTGTATGATGAATTTTGTATCCTACAACTTTACTGAATTTTTCAGTTCTGATAGGATTTTTTTTTTTTTTTGCTGGAGTCTTTAGGTTTTACCAAATATAAGATTCTATCATCTTCAAACAAGGATAATTTGACTTCTTCCTTTCTAATTTGGATGCTCTTTGTCTCTTTATTTCCTTCTCTTGTCTGAAAGCTCTAGCTAGAACTTTTAGCGCTATGTTGAATAACAGTGGTGAAAGTACACATCCTTGTCTTCTTCCAGATCTCAGAGACAAAGCTTTCTGTTTTACCCCATTCAGTTTGATACTAGCTGTGGGTCTGTTAAATATACCTTCTATTTTGTTCAGTTGCATTTCTTCTATACCCAATTTTTTAAGAGTATTTATCATGAAGGATGCTGAATTTTACCAAATGCTTTTTTAGCATCAATTGAAATTATCATATGGTTTTTGTCCTCCGTTCTATTAATATGATGTATCACATTGATTGATTTACATATGTTGAACCATCTTTGAATTCCTGGGATAAATCTCACTTGGTCATGATGAATGAACTTTTTAATGTGTTGTTGAATTTGGTTTGCTAGTATATTGTTGAGGATTTTTGCCTCAATGGTCATCAGGGATATTGACCTATAGTTTTCTATTTTTGATGAATCTTTGTCTGGTATTTGTATCAGGGTAATACTAACCTCATAGAATGAGTTTAGAAGTATTCCCTACTCCTTTATTTTTTGGAATAAGTTGAGTAGGATTTGTATTAGCTTTTCCTTAAATGTTTGGTAGAATTCAGCAGTGAAGCCATCAGGTCCTGGCTTTTCTTTGCTGGAAAAAGGTTTATCACAGCTTTGATCTTGTTACCTGTTATTTGTCTGTTCAGGTTTTGGATTTCTTCATGGTTCATTCATGGTAGGTTGTGTTTGTCTAGGAATTTATCCATTTCTAGGTTTTCTATTTTATTAGCATATAATTGTTCATAGAAGCATCTAATGAGCCTTTGAATTTCTGTGATAACAGTTATAACATTTCCTTTTTCATCTTTGATTCTACTTATTTGGGTCTTCTCTCTTTTTTCTGTATTTCTACTCTGATCTTTATTATTACTTTTCTTCTACTAATTTTGGGTTTGGTTTGCTCTTGCTTCTCTAATTCTTTAAGGTGCATTGTTAAGTTGTTTATTCATAGTTTTTCTACTTTGTTGATGTAGGCACTTATTGCTATAAACTTTCCTGTTAACACTGCTTTCACTGAATCTCATAGGTTTTAGTATGTTTTCATTTTCATTTGTTTCAAGAAATTTTTTATTTATTTATTTTTATTTTTATTTTTTTGAGATGGAGTCTCACTCTGTCACCCAGGCTGGAGTGCAGTGGTGCGATCTCAGCTCACTGCAAACTCTGCCTCCCAGATTCACACCATTCTCCTGCCTCAGCCTCCTGTGTAGCTGGGACTACAGGTGCCCACCACCACGCCCATCTAATTTTTTTTTATTTTTGTTTAGTAGAGACGAGGTTTTACCATGTTAGCCAGGATGGTCTCGATCTCCTGACTTTGTGATCCTCCTGCCTTGGCCTCCCAAAGTGCTGGGATTACAGGTGTGAGCCACGCACCCAGCCTTGAATGTCTTTCTTATTTTTTAAATGGCCCACTAGTTATTCAGGAGCATATTGTTTAATTTCCATGTGTTTGTATCATTTCCAAAATATCACTTGTGACTGATTTCTAGTTTTATTCCACTGTGATCAGATAAGATACTCGATATAACTTTAATTTTTTAAATGTTTTAACACTTGTTATATGCTTTAACATATGGTATCTCCTTGAGAATAATCGATGTACTGTAAAGAAGAATGTGTTTTCTGTTGCCATTGGATGAAATATTCTGTAAATATCTATTAGGTCCATTTGATATGTAGTACAGATTAAATTCAATGTTTCTTTGATGATTTTCTGTCTGGGCAATCTGTCCAGTGCTAAAAGTAGGGTGTTACAGTCTCCAGCTATTATTGTATTGAGGTCTATCTCTCTGTTTAACTTTAATAATATTTGCTTTATATCTGGGTGCTCCAGTGTTGAATGCATATATATTTATAATTGTTATATCCTCTTGCTGAATTGACTCCTTTATCATTATGTAATGCCCTCCTTTGTCTCTTAAGGTTTTTGTTTTTAAATATATTTTGTCTGATACAAGTATAGCTACTCCTGCTCTCTTTTGGTTTCCATTGGCATGGAATATCTTTTTCCATCCTTTTATTTTCAGTCTATGTGTATCTTTATAGATGAAGTGTGTTTCTTGTAGGCAACAGATCACTGGGTGTGGGTTTCTTATCCATTCAACCACTCTATGTATTTTGATTGGAGAGTTTAGTCTATTTACCATCAATGTTATTATTGATAAGTAAGGACTTACTGTTGTCATTTTGTTATTTGTTTTCTGGTTGTTTTGTGGTCTCTTCTTTCTTCTTTCCTTCCTTCCTGTCTTCCTTTTAGTGAAGGTAATTTTTTCCTGGTAATATGTTTGATTTTCTTGCTTTTTATTTTTTATTTATTTGTTTTATTTCTTTTTTTTTATTTCAAGTTAACATGAGACTTGCCAAGACTATCTTATAACCCACTATTTTAAACTGAGGACAGCTTAACACTGATTGTATAAACAGACTGATAAACAAGCAAAGAGAAAGCTAGTAAAAACTATATGCTTTAACTTTATCTCGCTGCTTTTTAAGTTTTTGTTTTTTCTATTTATATCTTATTATACAATGTCTTGAAAAGTTGTAGTAGGTATTATTTTTGATAGGTTCATCTTTCAGTCTTTCTACTCAAGATATGAAGTATACACACCACAATTACAGAGTTAAAATAGTCTGTATTTTTCTGCATACTTACATTAACAGTGAATTTTGTACCTTCAGATGATTTCTTATTGATCATTAATGTACTTTTATTTCAGATTGAAGAACTCTATTTTTTCTTGCAGGACAGGTCTGGCGTTGATGAAATCCCTCAACTTTCATTTGTCTGAAAAAGTCTTTATTTCTCCTTCTTTCATGTTTGAAGGATATTTTTGCTGGAAATACTTTCTGGAATATATATTTTTTTCCCTTATCACATTGCCACTCTCTCTCGGCCTGTAAGGTTTCCCCTGAGAAGTCTGTTGCCAGATGTTTTGGAGCTCCTTTGTATGTTATTTTTGTTGTTGTTGTTGTTTGTTTTCTTGCTGCTTTTAGGATCCTTTCTTTATCCTTGACCTTTGGGAATTTGATTAATAAATAAATGCTTTGAGGTAGTCTTACTTGGGTTAAATCTGCTTGGTGTTCTATAAGCTTCTTGTATTTAAATATTTATATCTTTCTCTAGGTTTGGGAAATTCTCTGTTGTTATCCCTTTGAATAAACTTTCTACTCCGATCTCTCTTTCTCTTCCTCCTCGTTAAGTTCAATAACTCAGATTTGCCTTTTGAGGCTATTTTCTAGATCCTGTAGGTGTGCTTCATTCTTTTTTCTTTCGTCATCTTTGCCTCTGACCGTGTATTTTCAAATAGCCTGTCTTTGAGCTCACAAATTATTTCTTTTGCTTTGCTGTTAAGAGGCTCTGATACATTCTGCAGTATGTCAACTGCATTTTTCAGCTCCAGCATTTCTGCTTGATTCTTTTAAATTATTTCAACCTCTTTATTAAGTTTATCTGATAGGATTCTGAATTCCTTCTCTGTGGTACCTAGAATTTCACTGAGCTTCCTCAAAACAATTATTTTGAATTCTCTCTAAAAGGTCAGCTCTCTGTCTCTCTGGGTTTGGTCTCTGGTGCCTTATTTATTTTCTTTGGTGAGGTCATGTTTTCCTAGATGTTCATCAGTAAACATGCTTGTGGATGTTCGTTGGTGTCAGGGTGTTGAAGAATTAGGTATTTATCATAGTCTTTGCACCTTGTGGTTGTTTGTACTCATTCTTCTTTGGAAGGCTTTCCAAGTATTTGAAAGAACTTGGGTGCTGTGATCTAAGTCTTTGGTCACTGTAGCCATATCTGCATTAGTGGCCACCCCAAGCCCAGTAATGCTGTGACTCTTGCAGACTCATAGAGGTACTGCCTTGGTGGTCTTAGGGAAGATCCAGAATTCCCTGGATTATCAAGCAGATTCTTGTTCTCTTCCCCTACTTTCCCCCAAACAAACAGTCTTTCTCTGTACCGAGCTGCTTGAAGCTGGGGGAGAGGTGTCCCCAGCACTCTTATATTCACCACCACTGGGACCGTGCCTGGTCAGAGCTGTAACCAGCATAGAACTGGGTGTCAACCAAGACCCTTAGTGTCAACTGCCTTGCTACTGCCTATGTTCACTCAAGGCCCAAGGGCTCTTTAATTAGCAGGTGGCAAATCCAGCCAGGCTTGTGTTCTTCCCTTCAGGACAGCGAGTGGGTGCAGAGATGTCATCCAGGAGCAAGGGTCTGGAATCAGGGACCCCAGGAATCTGCTTGGTGTTCTACCCTATTGTATTCCACAAACTTGTGACTAAGCGGGTACCCAAGCTGCAAGACAAAGTCCCCTCTACTCTTCCCTCTTATTTCCTCAAAGAGAAGGAGTCTCTCTTCATAGCCACCACAGCTGGGAATTTGCTGGGTCACACCTGAAACCACATGGTTCTAAGAATCACCCAAGGCCTGCAGTGCATACTGCCAGGCTACCACTGCTGATTATTCAGAGCTGAAGGAGTCTTCAGTCAGCAGGTGATGAATCCTGCCTAGACAGGGTATTTCCTTTCAAGGCAGTGGATTCCCTTCTGCCCAGGGTGTGTCTAGAATTGTCACACAGGAGCTAGGACCTGGAATGAGGGCCTCAGGGCCCTGCCTCGTACCGTATTCAACTGTAGCTGATCTGGTATCCAAGTTTCAAGACCAAGTCCTCAGTAATCTCCCCTCTTGTTGCCTCAAGCAGAAGGAGGAAGTCTCTCCCAGAGCTGCAAGCTGCACTGCCTGGGGTTGGGGGAAGAATGACACAAGCACTCCCTTGCCATCCCAGCTGGTGTCTCACTACATTGTGTGACCCCCAAGTCCACTGGCTCTGAGCCCAACACAGCACCAGGACTTGCTCAGGAATTGTGGTCTTTGTGGCCTCAATTGCCTTTCAAGTTTGTTTAGAACCCCAGAGCACTTTAGCCTGTAGTGGCGGGGCTAGCCAGAACTCAGGTTCTGACTGCTGGGATGGGCAGTTTGCCTCTGGTTGGGGCTGGCCCAAATTCTCTGCCCATGTTCCTTTCTGCTGTGACCAGGGCAGCACTGAGTTCTAATACAGTCACTGCACTCTCCCTCTTGCAAGATTCCCTGTGCCACATGGCCACTGCTGGGTGATGGTGGAGGAGTGGTGTAAGTGATTCAAGACTATCTTTCTTACCCTCTTCAGTGCCTCTTTCCTTAATATGATGTTAAAACCAGGTACTGTGATTGCTCACCTGAGTTTTAATTCTTATGAAGGTTCTTTTTTGTGTGGATAGTTGTTCAATTTGGTGTCCCTAGGGGTGGAGGTGTGGGTGATCAACTAGTGGAGGTATTTATTTGGCCAACTTGATCCACCTCCTCTCTCCATCTTCTAGTTAATAAAGATTTTTTCTTTTCTTTTTATTTTCCTTACTTTCTTTCTTGTTATAAGAAACCATCACTGCCTAATAGAAACATGATGCAAGCCACAAATTGGGCAAGAAGCATTTAATTTTTCTAGTAATCACATCAAAAAAGCAAAAAGGAGATAAAATTCATTTTAATAATATATTTTATTTAATCCAATACAGTTAGCCCACTGTGTCCAGAGATTCAGCATCCTTGGATTCAACCAGCCATGGATCAAAAATATGTTTTTAAAACTAAAACTATTTTTATTTTAAAAATAAAAGTAACAAAACAACAATTAAAAATAACAGAAATAAAAAACAATTCAGTATATCAACTATTTACATAGTATTTACATTGTATTCGATATTATTAGTAATCTAGAAATGATTTAATGCATATGGAAGGATGTGCTTAGGTTATATGCAAACACTACACTATTTTATACAAGGGACTTGAATATCTGTAGATTTTGGTATTTGCTGGGTTCCTGGAGCCAATCCCCTATGGATACTGGGAGTCAACTGTATATACAAAATATTACCATTTCAACATGTGATCAATTCAAAAAATATTTTAATGAGAGATCTTGCAGTCCTTTCTTCATACTGGGTTTTCAAAGTCTTGTGTGTATTTTACATTTTCAGCACACCTCAATTTAAAATAGCCATATTTGAAATGCTCAGTAGTCACATGTGGCTAATAGCTTTTGTATGGAACAACATAGTTTTAGACCATCAAACTTAAAGATCAAAATTGCTAACCAGTCATTCCAAGCCATTTTCTGAATAATCCATCTTTTCCTTACTTATATCCAAAATGACTCATTTATTTATGTAATGATATCTTGTATGTATGCATGGTGCTCAATATACATTGGTAGAATGAGTGAATGATAGAATGGCATTGAGATTTATT
The DNA here is from genome assembly GCF_000001405.40 of Homo sapiens. Taxonomy (NCBI): domain Eukaryota; kingdom Metazoa; phylum Chordata; class Mammalia; order Primates; family Hominidae; genus Homo; species Homo sapiens. The sequence continues at coordinate 107,686,319 of NC_000005.10, read as the reverse complement.
TTAGAAGGATATTAAAGAACTTGAGTGAGGAGGAGGACTTAACACTAATAATACACACAGTATTGAATATGTGTTGCATCCCTAACATTAGACAAAATACCTGAAAATTATTGTATCATATACTGCTCATTGCATATTTTACAAGATTGATATGATTAGCCTCACTTTTAGAAAGAATTTGAGGCTTAGCAATGTTTAGTAAGTTGCTGAAGGTTAGGATCACCATTAGTTGCAGAGCCAGATTTGAAACTACATTTGTGTGGTTCCAAACTGAACTCTTTTTACTACACCACACTGCCTTATATGATAAGACCACGAGGCTGAAGAAATAGCAGAGTGTGAATTCATTCTATCAAGTTAGAAAAGAGATCATTGCTTCCTGCAGTCACTGAAATTTTTCACTTTAATGTTATTTATAGAGAGTAGCAAAATTCTTTGTTTCCACAAGTTTTTTAATTTGTTTCTAAAACATTCATTGAAAGGGTATTTAGAAAATTATATTTCATTAGAGGGAGAGGAAGAGAATATGTAACCAATATTTTACAGTGCAAAATGGAAACAATAAGTGATTAAATAGTTTCACAAAGATATTAGTAGTAGAATCATGAAGTTACTATTATTACATTCCTCTTCTCAACCTCTTCTAATCACTAAAAAATGTCCTCATTAGATTGAGGTTACAAAGTAGGATGCTAAATTAGGTAAGTCTCTTCTTTACCTATTCTGTAAGGTAGGCTGCCTGTTGAAAGTCAGAAAATAATGCATTCCTGTGCATATGTAATTGTACAGATAATTGCCTCTATCATTTAAAAATATCATTTGCCAAATGGTGTGTATGATTAATTATGTACATTTATCATTGAGTAGACTCAGGTATATTATAAAATTCTCTCCCTATGCTCATGCATCTTTCCTCCCTTCTTGCTTTTTTTCAATGTAAGTCATTTAGTAATTCACAATTTCTTTTTATTATTTCTTAAGCCATAATTCACCTGCATAGGAACCAGCTGCTAAGTTACCTTGTGGCTGCAGAAAAGTTGCTTTTTTAAATTAGGACATCAAGGGACAAGGATGATGTTTGAAATCTCCCCTCTTGATTTATGGATGCTCCTAAAGCTAAAATCCTGGGGAGAGGTCCATTTACTGATATCCAGGTATCTCCAGTGACATTTCTTCAGCTCCAAACTGTACATTGTTGAGCTTCAAAGTCAAGTGCTACCAGGCTGGGAGCGGCGGCTCACATCTGTAATCCCAGAATTTTGGCAGGCCAAGGCAAGCGCATCACCTGAGGTCAGGAGTTCGAAATCAGCCTAGCCAATGTGGTGAAACTCCATCTCTACCAAAAATACAAAAATTAGCCGGATGTGGTGGTGGGTGCCTGTAATCCCAGCTACTAGGGAGGCTGAGGCAGGATATTTGCTTGAACCTGGGAGGCACAGGTTGCAGTGAGCCAGGATCAAGCCACTGCACTCCAGCCTGGCCTACAGAGCAAGATTCTGTCTCAAAACAAAAAACATAAAACAAAACAAAGTCCAGTGATACCAAGGAAAGAAAAGAATTAATGAATTAAAAGTATATAGTAATCTTGAAATCCTGACATGTAGAACTTATCTATAATTAATGTAATTAATGGTAGTAACAACTATTAGAGAACAGCCTATATCTTTAACATAAGGCCTCCTGAGGGGCTGTATGCTTCTGCCTTGCCCTGGAATCTCAGAAGAGCATCTGGAATGATCCTATTAGACCTAAGTCTGATCCTCAGCTCTGAACTCTTCACTCTTTCCCCTCATTCTGGACTTTATTTATTTTTTTGAGATGGAGTTTCACTCTTGTTGCCCAGGCTGGAGTGCAATGGCATGATCTCAGCTCACTGCAACCTCTGCTTCCCAGGTTCAAGCAATTCTCCTGCCTCAGCCTCCCAAGTAGATGGGATTACAGGCATGCACCACCATGCCCAGCTAATTTTTTTTGTATTTTCAGTAGCGACGGGGTTTCACCACGTTGGCCAGGCTGGTTTTGAACTCCTGACCTCAGGTGATCCATCTGATCCGGCCTCCCAAAGTGCTGGGGTTACAGGCATAAGTTACCACGCCCGGCCTGTTCTGGACTTTAAAAGTCTGTTTTGACAAAGGCTTATGATGCCTAGAAGATCTGGTCCCTGCTCCCCCTAAGATATTATCCTTCTGCTTGTTTCTTCACTGGCTCTTCCCAGCCACTGTGGCCTCTTGCTGTTCCCCAAATACTCTGTGCACTCTTCCCTTTCAGAGCCCCTGTGCTTGCAGTTCCCTTTGCCTGGACCAGCTGTCTCTCGTATTGGTGTGGCTGCTCCCTTACCCCTCTGAGGTGTTTATTCAAATGTAATTTTCTCACAAGGGCTTTCCCTGTCTTCTTGCTCTAAGATTGCAACCCTCTCCTCCATTAGAAACTGCCTATTCCCTTTCCCTGCATGCTCGTTTCCTTTGTATGTATCACTCTTTAATGCATCATAGATTTTACTGATTAATATTGCTTATTAATTTCTCTGTCTACTAGAAAGTAAGCTTCATGGGGCAGAGATTTTAATCTGGTTCACTGATGAATTCCTAGCTCCTGGAACAGTGCCTGGCATATAGTAGGTGCCCAATAAGTGTTTTTTGGTTGCATGAATGATGACATCTTCTATTTTTATTTGTCAACTCTGGAAACCCTACTCTCCAGCGTAGTAAAATTTCTCAAACCTATATCCACATAACTCAAAATTCCAAAAGAGGGCAGGCCCTTGCAATCCCAGCTCCTTTTACAAATCTCAACAAGTACCCTGAGAGGCCTAATTTAGTAACATACTCTCCCCTGTAGTGGTGATAGGGCTGTGGTGGTGTTGCAGGGTGCTAGGCCATGGCAATGGATAACTTCACTAGGATCAGAAAGATAGGAGAAAAAGTTCTCCAACTGAAGGATGTTAAGCAGGCAGGCAGCGTTAGTTCACAATAGGATCCAACACTTTTATAATAAATTGCTTTTTTAATTGTCTGTGCTACCTGTTAGACTGTAATATAAGCTCTGTGAAGTTAGGGAACAGCTTGGTATTGCTTGCCATTATATCCTAAAAGCATGGCACACGTTAGAACATACTTGTTCTCAATAAATTTATTAATGAATAAATGATTTTATATATTTATGATTGAATACATGAATGAATGAATAAATGAGTGAATAGCAAACTACATTGAAGGCAAATTATTAACAGGTTGTTTGGTGGCGTCAGTATAAGGGGGATGTTATGTGACAGAAATGTTTAATGGTATTTTGTTGAGACAGCTAGGTGGAGCCGTCTATAATTTGGATTTAGCTGTCAACCTGCCCAAACAACACTTTCCTCGAGTACTCAGGAATGAAAACTGAATTTGCCTCAGGTAATTTTGTTTTCTTCACTCCATTTCTGACTGGCTCCGTTTGAGGTTATCACATTCGTTTTTTAGAAACAGAAAGACCTTCAGTTAGATCTGGATCTAGGTTGCAAGTATTTCTTTAAGGTGGGTTTTGTATCTCTCTGCTGGGGTCTATTGTGTGGAGCTTCTCTGCTTAAACCTTCTGAGGGAAATCCTTTTCCAAATCTTTGAGAGTCACTTGACTGTCCCTCCCTCTTATCTCCACTGCCTTTTGTATAACCCTGAGATCTCGTTCCTAATAGCAACCACAAGAGAACACACAGTGTAAGGTACTAGCACTCTCATTCATTTATTCATTCATTCAGTGTATATTTATAGAGTGCCTACTACATGCTGTGCACAATGCTAAGCTTTGGAGAGATAATGGAAAGCAATTGAACTAGAAGAGGAAACAGATGAAATAGCCAAACAAGTACGGAATTTCAATCAGGGCACAGGTGGTATAAAGAAAATGACCTCAGTGCCATATGGTTATTTAGAGTAGTCTTGGTCTATTCTCTGGGGTCAGAAGAGATTTGACTGAGGAAGTGACATCTGAGCTGAGGTTTGAAGGATGAATACAAGTTAACCAGGTAGGACCCTAAATGTTTTGGACAGAGGCGATAGCATAAGCAAAGACCTGGAGACAAAGAGATGCATGGCTTCTTTGAAGACATGACAGAAGGCCAGAGTGGCTGCAGTTATTGATGTGGCAACAATTCTATGAAAAGAGGTGAGAGGAAGGCAGGGATCAGCTTGGCCAGGGCTTGGTATCTATGTTAAGGGTTTTGTCTTTATTTTGAAAGATATGGAAAGGCATTTAAATGGTGGAAGATGACATCAGGATTTCCCTTTGGAATAAATCAATCTGATTGCAGAATGGGATAGACATTGGACAGATGTAAGATTACATGGCTGAGACCAGTTAGGAGGCAACTTGATATAGAAATGAAAATTTGAAAAATGAATTTTTACATTCCTTGACAGAATACTGAGTCTTCTGCTTTATCAGGCCTGTCAGCTAGAAGTTCTCATTTGGGAACTGGTGGGGGATTTTATTCTGATCTTGGCATGCTGGAGAGCAGGAATGCCCAGAGCAAGGCAGCTCTGTCTGTTGAAAGAATAGATGCATTTTTTGGACTTGCTGTCTTTGAGGTATTGGAGTACAGTTATGCTGAAAAGTCAACCAGAAGCCTGGGGAGGTGGTTCTGATAGTGGCAGACAATAAGTCCGAGAGCTGAAGTTGGGAGACAGCCATAAAGAAACTATAATTGGAGCTGTAACTGTGGTTGGAATTGTTAAAGAAGATCATGTTGGTAAAGAAGGAGTCTAAAGAAAAACACCTATATTTAAGGAGTGGGTACTATGCATTTATTCATTTCACAAAGAATTATTAAGTTGTTTACTATGTGCCTGGACCTGGGCTGTGAGTGAGAGATGAAGTGGTGGAAAAAAAAAAGTTGGAGATTAAAAACAAACAAACGAACAAACAAAACAACTCTGCAAGTGTGAAATAACAAACTCCAAAGGATAAGAAGGAAGCGTAGCCAATGGTTCCGTTGCTGCAGAGGAAGAAAATGCAGTGAGAGCTGGAATGATGACTTTGAGTTTGTGGATTAGACTCCACCCTAGATGGCACACATTAGAAACTTGGATGAATAAACTTGGGCTAGTAAACAGACCTGGGGGACTGCATATAAGCGACCCTGACAAAACCTTCCTCTCATTTTAGAACCTTACAGGAAGAGGCGATTTGACATATAATATTTCCCTTTATAATCTCACTTCCTTGAAATACATCTATTCCATCTACAGAAAGAGAGCTGTACTTTCCTGGGCCTGCCATGGCTGTCAGCCAAGAGCAGAGATGTTGTAATTTGAAGTTGACATCAAGATGACCCTTACAGGGTCACTATAGTTTCTGTCTTGTGGCAGATCCTCCTGCTGAAATATGGAGGTGCCATGACGTTAAATCAATAGTAGTGAGTGATGCGGAGATTTGAGTTGAAGCTAAACATAGCTTCCTTTGATTTTACCATTTCATTTTTCTTGCTGGACACCACTTTAGAAGAAGAATCACCTCTGGATAAATCGTCTGCTCAGGTTTGCTCTTCTAACCAAATGACATTATCCAAAGAGGATCAGAAAAGCCTGAATGTTAATTGTATTCATTTAGGGTTCCAAGTAAGGCTTGTGTTGAAGACAAAGTCTCCCTATGAAATTTATAACGCAGCAGAAACAAACATTGTTGTTAGAGATATTTGGAAAGTTGTGATTACCAATTACAAATTTAACACAAAGTAATTCAGTAATGAAAAGGTTGTGAAAAATAACAACATTTGAGCTAAATAATATTCAAATTTTTATTTCCAATAATGTAAGAAAAAGATGTATCTGTTATTTGTTGCTGTATAACAAACACCTCAAAATGTGGGGACTTACAAGAACCATTGGCAGTTTAGGCTGGGCTTTGGTGCACAGTTCTTCTAGTCTCAACTGGGCTTCTTCATACATCTATAGGCATCTGCAGGCAGCTGCCAGTCATCAAGGTAGCCCTGTTTCTGGGGATTGGATTGGACACTGGGAGTGACTAGGCTACATGCCTCTCATTAACCAGAATGCTAGCTTAGGCTTGTCTGCATGGCAACTGGACAGCCTTCTTACAGGAATGCTTGAAGACTGCATGAGGTAGGGCTCAAAATTGGTACAGCATTGCTTTTGCCACATTCTGTTAGCCAAAGCAAGTCACAACATCAGTTCAGGTGTAAAGGGTAAAAAACAAAACAAAACAAAACAAAACTCTTATCTATTGATGGGGAGGAGGACTAATTGCAAAATTACACTGTAAGGAGGTGATCTGGGCCATTTTGCTATCTACCACAGATGATGCATCATTTTTATACCATTTGATTTATATATAGGTGGATAAAATGTACAATATTTGAACACTATCTTTGGAAGGGAAATATTTTTATTCTTTTCCTTGATGGCAGTTTCAAACTAGGACCGTCCTTAAAGCAACCAGTGAGGATAGTATTGTGTTAACGGAATCATTTTCTACTTCATTTTTGTTTCTGTAACTGTAAGGAAAATCCTCATGTTTTCAGTGGCTGTTACTCTAGGTCTGTGTGACATAACCAATCATAGACAAAGCAGAACTTCTTAATGGCAAGAAACACTATCTAGCTGCTGGCCTGGTAATCTTGTATAAAAATTTCAGAATTGCCATTGGGAAAAGAACATTTACTTGACAAATGGTGCTATTTCCATTTTTGTCTGCCCAATTTTAAACTCTCTCTTATTAAAATGGCAAATTCAGTCCCCAGAATATATTGAACAAGTGAAATGTGTAACTGGAAGGTACACACTTCACCACTTCACTTTGTAACATGTAGACTTATGGATGCAAGGACATTTCATGGAAAGGGAGTTTTAAATTATTTTGCATGCATATAGAGAAAATAAAACTTTTTGATGTCTTGGCTCAAACTGAATGGGATCTCAATAGCCCAGGTAGTACTTTAAGATGATTTATTATTATGCTAATATTGTAATGTAATATTTATTAAGCATTGGAAGTGTGCAGAATACTAGATAGTCCACATAAAAGATCCTGATGGATTTCAAGGAAAAGGGCTAAAAATGCACTCTCCTAATCCACAGGAAAAGAGGGTAATTCAGAATCTAGCTGAACCAATAAATCCTATTTAATTTAGCATACATCACATGCCAAAAAAAGAGAGACTAATGGAAATGGAGAGTGATAATCTCTGATTAAAAGGTAGTCATCTTAAGAGCACACGCTCCTCCCCAGACTTGAGTTTAGAAAGAGTCAATTCAGTAAAATATTTCTCATTAAAAAAAAAGTTTTGGCCAATAATCCTCTGCATTATTACCTGGCGTTCTAAGATCATAAGTTAAAATGGTTTCTATAGAGACCAGCTTTATAACTATTATCCCAAACTACAAGATGAAATGCTTTTAAAAAAATTATACCTTAAACTGTAACTTAACAGCATCACAATAAAATTTACAATGTTGGCATAAGGCATTTAGAAGTCTCAGACTAGAGTTATAAATCTGCAGTAGGAGAACAATTTTTCCCAGACTCGAAAAATACTGACACCAAAATCCCCCTAAAGAAGTCTTTTACCTAAAAAAAAAAATACACATAATATGAGGAAAGAATATCTTAGTTTGCGATAATTCTACACTTACTTTGCTTAGCCAGTTTAGATCTGGAGGGGGAAAAAAAGTAAAGCCAAAGCTAAAACAGGGGCTTAGAAACAGCATTTTCTATTTTATTTAATCATGCTTACTAAGGGTTATATCCTCTATTGATCTTTAAGTAGAATTCTCACAGAAGTTGATGAAAATATGTGGCAAAAATTGATGGAAAAATAAGTTCTTTCTCTTTCTCTCTCTGTCTATATGCTTGTTACAGATGTTCTGTGTGTGTGTGTGTGTGTGTATCAACATATATTTTTTTTAAAAATCAGGTTTTTGGAAGGCTCTAAGCAAGTAAAAGAATACAAAAATGCATACTTACATGCTTTTCTTCGACCTGTTGGGAGAAACATATCCTAATTATTAGTTTGAATGCAGAAAAAAGTACAAATTAAGCTTTTTTTCTGAAAATCCTATTTATATTCCTTTTTTAAAAGCAAGTATGCTGTAGATATCTATGATTACCATTGTAATAAAACGTAAATACCAACTTTTATTTTCTTTGATAATATACATTCATGGTAATATGTATTCATTTAAGCAAGGTATATAGTGTGTTATTTAAGAATTTGCAAAGAACAATTCAGGAGAGTATATATATATTTTTTAAATTTATTTTTATTTTTTAGAGACAGGGTCTTGCTGTGTCATCCAGGCTGGAGAGTGGTGTGATCATAACTCACTGCAGCCTTGAACGCCTGGGCTCAAGAGATCCTCCCGCCTCCGCAGAGTAGCAGGGACTACAAGTACGTGCTACCGCAACTGGCTAATTTTAATAATATTTCCTGAGACAGGGTCTTGCTATGTTGCCCCAGCTGGTCTTAAACTTCTGGCTTCAAGTGATCCTCCTGCCTCGGCTTCCCAAATTCTCTGGGATTATAGGCTTGAGCTACCACACCAGCCAGAACAATATACTTTATGCTGATTGATCTATTAGATTCGTAAAGTACAGATAAACTTTACTTGGTAATTTTAATTAAAAAATCTGATGAGGGAAATACAGAGGTGTAGAATGTATATGCACATTTTGTTAGCAAAAGACAACCTGAAAATGGCTTATGGGAATAAAATTACTTACAAATGTAAGTTTTTTGGTTGAAAACTGGTCACATAACTGTATGTATGGTATATGTACTGAAATCTAGATAATGAAAAGTGATGTGGAAATTGGTTACATTAACCAGTCCTTGCTTGCTTTTTAAAAAAATTTCATAGGAGCACATACGCATTTGTGATACATAGAAACATAACACATATTTACAAATGTGCCTAATTATATGGTTTATGTTGTTTACCAAAATGACTGCTGAAAGTTCTGTGTGTTTAAGAAGTTTACTATGTTGGTTTTACTTAAAATATGCTTTGAAATGGGCAAAACAACAAATAGACTAAGTTCATAGATAAAAAAATTTTAAAATGCCTCTTTCAGAATATTGCAGCAACTTGCAGGACTGCTTCTGTTTCTCTGTAGATTTAAGGAAATAAATTCTAGCAAACCCCAGAAAAGGAAGGGGAGAATGAGGAAAAGGGAGAAAATCCATGATGGAAGTTGAAGGTCACAGGAATGAAAGGAGAGATGTAATACTTTATAGTCTTTTTTTTTTTTTTTTTAAGATTGTACACAGAAGAGATAACTAGATCAGGGATAGAAAAGGAGCTTTTCTTAAAGTCTCTGAGGAGAGAAAAGTCAGCAAAGAGTTATTTCTGAAGATTCTTAGGAACTTGTTATAAAAACAGGTGGGGAAGAGAGAGTGCTTTATTGGTAACTTCAAACATTCTGTGGGCAGGACAGCTGAGTCACAGTTTGGTGATAGGATCTTAGCTTCTTGGAGCTTCAGAATTTATTCTAAATGTTCTAGAAAAATAGCAGAGTTAGCTTAAATACCATTATGTTAGTCATCTGTTAGAAAGTTTTGTGTTTAATTATTATTTAATTTTTGCTCTAGAGTTTATTTTCTTTATGATCTCTTCTGGATACTAGTTCTAATTTAACTGCTATATTAAAAGTTGCTTAGGACTGAGGAATTTGATTTGCCAGCTTATTTCATTTATTTGTCTAGGCACCCTGAGACTATAGAACTCTACTTCTATTGGGTGGCAGCTAATTCAAATTAAAAACTAGTCTAAAAAATAAGATTAATCCATATTTAAGCTTTGCCCTGCAACCACATCTTGGAGTTGGCACTCACAGATAATTTTGTGCCATGTAAAAATTATTTAAAAGTATCAGTGTCACTTCACATTAATAGAGATCATGAAATTCTCTAAGGTATCAATATTCTGGCCTTAATGGTGAATTGGGCTACTTCTCCAGATAAGTAAGTGCAGAACTTACTTTTGCCTGAAATATTAGTTAAGGTAAAAATAACTTACCAGTGGTTATTTATTGAGATCAGTGGTTCTCAATCCTCTATGCTCACTAGTATTCCCTGGAGAGCTTTTAAGAATTGTAGATCCCAAGTCCCCCTCCTAACCAACTAAAACAGGAAGTGGAGCCCTGGTATTGGTTTTGTTGTTGTTGTTGTTGTTTGTTTGTTTTTTAACGCTCCCTAGGTGATTCTAATTTGTAGCCAAGGTTAGAACACTGATCAAGGTAGTTCAAGCCCCAAAAATTAAATAAACGCATAAATTCCTATTTGTGCTTTAATTTGGGGCATATAAATTATTGCTTCAATGGCACTTGCTTTAAACCCACCAGCGCACCCAGTGGCCTATAGCTTTAAATGGAAACAGAATTGCAGATAAGCCCTTTTATCGTCCATTACCAACCTATTTTTTCAGGTCTCAGCTCCCTACAACATTGTCTTGTCAAACTCGAAGCGTTTGAACACTGTCTGCATTTTTTTGTCCCCATGTTTTTAGGTTCTTGCTGTTCTCTTTTTGTTATACGTTCACCTCCTCCTATACCTGGCAAAATACTTACATTCTAAAGGGCATTTAAAGTCGTTTAAAAGTCATTGCTTCTGTGACACTGGGCGAATTATAATAAAATTATTTTATATAATGTTGATTTGTATAAATTTAAATCACATGAATGCTTTCCTGAAGAGACAAAGTCACATTATCTAACGGTAAGTGTACAGTTAATAATATAGCTCTTCAAACTCTGTTCAAGTACAGCAGGTCCTCAACGCTGTTTGGTTGAACGTCACTTCGTCATAATGGTGATGAGAAAAAAAATCGATTCCAGGCCATGGCCACTGTCTGTGAGTAGTTTGCACATTCTCCTCATGTCTGCGTGGGTTTTCTCCGGGTACTCTGGTTTCCTCCTACAACCCACAGCTGTGCTCGCTAGGTTGTGTCTAAGCTGTGCACATATCTAAATATTCTCAGTATGCGTGAGTGTGGGTGTGAGTGTGAGTGCACCCCAGGATAGAAGGGTGTCCTGTCCAGGGTTACTTTCCTCCTTGAGCCCTGAACTCCGGCCACCTGCAATCCTGAAATGGAAAAATTGGTTACATGATCTTACTTGTTTTTATTAATCTTTCTCAAATGTATGTCTAGCTCACATTTATTTCAATGTTTAACATTAGAAGTGTTTTGGTCTTTATCTGGAAGTTTGGTGATGTTTTTGTGACCGGAGATATGCATAGGAATTTAACTCTTGTTTGTATCAAGTAGCCTATGGTGAAATTGTTTTCCTTATATATGCCACTTCGCTTAAAGTCACAATTTCCAAGAACATATCCCTGACATTAAGGACTTACTGTATCTATCATCCTGCTGACTAGTAACTTCCATACCAATAATTACTTAGGCACATAATCCCAGAGTCATTTGATTTAGGTTTATGAATTGTTTCACATAGACATTTGAGTTATGTTATGAACAGCCGCGAATTTCAACATCTTATTCCAATCTTATGAATCACTTTATGGAAGAGGACAATGTATACTTTTTTTTCTGTTTAATATGGGACTATTCAAACTTTAAATAGTAGAGATATTTAAATATAAGGACATCCATATTTTTGTGATATAATTGAATTTTCCCATTTGGTTATTGTATGTGTTTCAAACGGGAAATGAGTGGATACCATTTCTTTTTCTTCACCTTTTTTTCAGCTTTGATGCCACAGGAAGCCAGCTTGCTAGCTCCCTGTTACCTGATAGTTCCCTGACTAAAAAGACTCTTCAGTGAGGATCAGCATTTTACCCTAGACAGGAGTCGTGAATTTTCTTTTTAAAGATACACATATCTCTTAAAAGGGTCCAGAATATTTCCTGCAAAACTGTCTCTGTCATATGAGCACCTATTAGAGCCACTATAAGAAAAGCTAAGGAAACAAATCCATCTTTCCTGCAACAGAAAAAACACACACCCTAAAATGGGCCAAGAACTTGAACATCAGCAAGATTACAGACCAGGGAAAAAAGCAAATAACATTTTAACTGAAAATTTGATTTGAAAAATAAAAGCTTATCCATTGGTTCTCTCACTTCTTTCCCCACTTCTTTCTCACTGCTGGAACTTTGTGAAACATACAGATGATGGAGGAGCATTTGTGTCGACATTCTGAATTTCAATTTTTAATAATTAGGCAGATGGTTGGTTTGTGGTAAAGTCCATTATTGTACAGATTGCAATTTGTATCTAGTCACAAAATATAAGTTACTTTCCTAGGACGATTTCAGGATCTTTTCAGATAGGAAATATTACTGTAATTGAAAAACGACTTAACTTTTAGCCAAGAGCCCATAACATCCAGGTACCTCCGTGCCCCTATGAACTGTTTCTTTTCCTCTCGAGTCTTTATTGGTCATAGCCCTAGATTTCCCATCAAATTCAACCCGGCCTGAGCGGCAGGCAATGCCCCTGCTGGGTGCGGATTGCAGGCCCACCACTGGAGGGCGTCTGGACGCTTCTAAACAGCTCTGAAGCGCCTGGAAATCCCGTCTGAGGACTGGAAAGCGCAGGAGGGTGAACGTGAGATTTGATTTTATTGGGCTAATAAGTAAAAAGGAGTGCAGGCAGGTGTGGGAGCAAAAGTAAACTGCCTTTTTTCTCCTGGGGATCTGCCCTTCCCACTAAGGCAGAAAACTCCCTAGGGAACATGAGAAAAAATACCGCTGCTCCCGAGCCCGCGGACCCCTTAAGGGCGGGTCTCGGGGGCCTGTGGCCCCGCAGAGCAGGCGTCGGGCTCACTTCCTGGGCGCTGGACGACAGTGGGGACGCGTCCCGAGGCGCTGGGACAGTCTCGCTGCCAGGAGATCGCTCTTCAGTGGCGGCTGAAGACCAGGCTTGCAACCTGCCCTTGAAGTCCAGGACCGAGGGGCCTTTTCCAACAATAAAGGAACTGCTTTTCTTCCCACAGCCCCCGCCCCCGGCCCTCATTTCTTTCCGCACCGGGTTCGATAAAGGCGTTTATTCTTTGGGGAGTGGGCAGCAAATCACCCTCAAGGTTGAAATGGAAGAGGTGTGAGGTTATTTCTGAAGGGCTCGTCTGCCGCATTCATTTCCTCTCTGTGGAAGGTTCGCGCTGAATTGTAATCACTTTAAACTGTGATTTGCCTGATTTTTAAAAACGTGTTTTCAGAGCATCACTTTAAAGAAAACTTGCTTCCTGCCCAAGAATCTTTAAATCCCAAGTGGGAAGAGGAGGGCTGAAAGGCACAGGAGGGGTGCTCAGACTTCCAGATAACCCAGCGCCAGGCAGCGTGCGGCGTGGAGAGCGGGTGGAATGGACAGGAACGCGCACTCCCTGAGGCTCCGTTCCAGCCCATCCGTCACCTGCGGGGCACCAGAGACAGATGCCGGCTCTCCAGCCAAAGGGTGGGCACAGGTTCCTTTAAAATCGAAAGACCCTACTCCCAGGTAAAAAGATGTCAAATCATTCCTTAGCCCAGACGGAATTCAGCACCCAAAGGGTTACACGTGGCTGCCGGGCTCCGGCGCAGGAGAGGGCGCCTCGGCACTCCCAGTAATTCAATTAGTCAGGTTTCTAGAAGGTGGGGCGGGGGAGGGGGTAGGAGGCGTGGGGAAGGGAGATTAGGAAAACGCCTCTTTCTCGTGGAGCAAACCAATCCGGTTGGAGTAAAGAGAGAGGAAAAACCCCCAATCTGTAAGCAAACAGTAGGCCGTTCCCTGACTGGTTGCTCCAGCTATCCCCCCACCGCGCTCCCACCCTTCCCAAGTAAACTGCTTGGAAGGAGGAAAAAAAAAAAAAAAAAAAAAAAGACAGTCCACATGACCCGGGCCGCAGCGGCAGCAGCGCTGGCTGGGCGCGGGCTGGCGGCACCTCCCCCTGCTTCGTCCGGAGCTCACACCCGCGCTCGCGCCGCCCGCCCGTCCCGCGTCCCGCGCAACACGCCCGGGCGGAGCCCCATCCCCCCGCCCACGTCCACGTTCACGCGTGCGGCCTCGCGCTCTGCTGAGGCTGCTGCCACTGGGTCGCCGCCGCTGTCGGCTTTCCACGCAAGTCATTAACGAGGGGGCGTGCCCGAGGAGATTTTTTTTCCCATAAAGCATTTTTTCTCTCGCTCTCTTTTTTTCCCCCTCTTTTGCAAAACTGACTTTTACAAAACCCTTTCCACTTCTTGCCAGTCGTTTCAATTCCTCCTGGGCTGCTCGTGCTGCTGCTGCTGCACTCAAGTTTATTTATTTTCCCGCCTGGGTAGGGGTTTTAGGATTCGGTTTGTGGTTTTCACCTCTGTTGCTGCTGTGCCTAAGGAGGGAAAGAGGAGCAGCTGCGGGAGGATCGGGAAGGTTTTCTGATGTAGTCATCGGGGAGGTGCCACTCGCTCGTGCGCTTTTTTTTTTTCCTCTTTTCCCATTTCAAACTGATTGATGCATCTCTACAAGTTGCTAGGCTTGGACCCGCTGGAGTCGCAGGGACACTTCTGAGAGCTCACCCCGGGCTCTTGGCACCGCGTGTGGGGGCTCAGTCTCCCTCTCGGAAGGCGATCGGAGACTGACATCGGCCCATCCAGGAGTTGGAGGGATCCATTTGAAAGTGATTGTTTCCCCTCCCGCTCTCCAGCCGAACAGTTGGGTTGGCGTCGTCTTGCAGGTTTAGGAATCCCAGCTCTGCCAGGCCGGCTGGTCTTAACCTCTGCTCTTCATTCACTGTGGTGCACCCACACCCAGCCAAGGAAAGCACGCGCGAGAAATCCCCGAGGCTCGGCCAGCCCCCGGGGTGCCCTCTTCCGCTACCGCCGCGTTCCGACTCTGCTGGGGGACCTGCCGGAAGACGCGAAGAGCCAAACTTTTCTTTGAGGTTTTCGAGGCAAGACCGCTTCGAAAGCCGGCGCAGCTGCCGCTTAACCAGTTCCAGGACACCGACAAGGCTGGGTTGCGGCTCCGGATCCCCACCCTTCTCGGCGCACCGCCCGGTACCGCAGCACTTACGACTCCTCTGAGATTTCTGGGGGTCGCCCCGCTAAGGCACAGAGGAGGCTGAGGAAAGGGGTTCTCAGACTCCCGGGACCACAAGCGCGAAGCCCTCTATCAGCACGTCGCCCTTCTCCTGCAGTTTCCCACCGGCCGCCAAAGTAACTTGGAGCGAAGCGTGGCGCAGTGCGAGGGCCCCGGGCGGTGGCGGAGCCGTGCGTAGCCTGCTGCGCCGACGCTGAGCCGGGCCCGGCGGGCCGGTGTATGTCTCCCCGCGGCTGCGGCGCGCAACTCCCGGTGACTGTGCAGCGCGCGCCGCCGCCTGCCCCGACCCGCGCTGCAGCCGCCCGGCCCGGCGCGCACCTCCCTCTCCCGGGGTGACCGGCCTGCCGCCGCCGCCCGAGACACAGCTTGGCACCTCTTCCCCCGCCCTCGCCGCCGCCACCACACACACGCACGCTTCTCTCCATCTTGTGATTCCTTTTTCCTCCTGAACCCTCCAGTGGGGGTGCGAGTTTGTCTTTATCACCCCCCATCCCACCGCCTTCTTTTCTTCTCGCTCTCCTACCCCTCCCCAGCTTGGTGGGCGCCTCTTTCCTTTCTCGCCCACTTTCATTTTTATTTATTCATATTTATTTGGCGCCCGCTCTCTCTCTGTCCCTTTGCCTGCCTCCCTCCCTCCGGATCCCCGCTCTCTCCCCGGAGTGGCGCGTCGGGGGCTCCGCCGCTGGCCAGGCGTGATGTTGCACGTGGAGATGTTGACGCTGGTGTTTCTGGTGCTCTGGATGTGTGTGTTCAGCCAGGACCCGGGCTCCAAGGCCGTCGCCGACCGCTACGCTGTCTACTGGAACAGCAGCAACCCCAGGTAAGCCGATAACAGGCGGAGAGCCAGGGCTACCCGGGCCTCGGGGCCCTGCGGAAGGAGCGGCGGCGGGGATCGGCGCGCACCAACCGCTGGCGGCGCGCACCCTCGGAGCCTGCGTCGCCCGGGCGCTGATGGCTTGAGGCGTCGGCGGGAAGCGCTCGCGTCGCGCCCCTCTTTGTTAAGCCGCCGCGGAAAGGCCAGGTACCCCTGGGAGTCCCCGGGGCTGCCTAGACCAACTGCTTCTGCGGGGCGCCGGGAGACTCGGAAAAGGGCGGGAGCCGGGGAGTAGGGACTTCTCTGCTTCCCAGCCCCGGCATCTGGCTGGCATCCGGTTCCCGGCGCGGGGAGCCCCCAGTGTGCGCAGCCGGGAGCTCCTTCCTGGAGCGTGGGTCCGCAGGGACTGCGGAGAGAACCCGCCAAACATCCCCCAAAGTTTTTTTTTTTTTTTTTTTTTTTTTAATTTTAATTTTCCCTTCTCTTTTCCCGGTGCGCGCAGAGAGAGCGCACGGGCTGGGGGAAGTGAGGGGGGCTGGGAAGCGGAAGCTTTAGGTTTTTATTTTCCTCTTCAACTGCGAGGAAATCATTCGGCCCCTGAGTCAGTCTGGGCCCGGCGCGCCTGGCAGTGGAGAGGATTCTCCCATCTTCTCCATCCCTCCACCCACCCCAGTGGGTTCAAGGTGCCAGAAAGTTTGATCTAATGCCGGGTTACGTCATGTGTGCAGAACAAGCTGCCAGAGTTGGCCGAGCCAGGAGGTGGGAGCCCTTCGCCCGCGGCCTGGCGATGTGCTGCCGGAGGAACGCGCGCGATTACCTGGAACCGATTTGTAGGCGTCCCGAAGCCCGCCGGGTATGCGGGAGACTAGAGGTGGGCGCCGGGGGCGGTCCTAGTGCGCGTGCTGGACACCGGCCAGTCGCAGACGTCCCGTGTTTTCGGACCCTGGAAGTGGAGTGGGGAGGTTATCCAGAGTGCCCGGCGGGGTCCTCCGGGTCTGGAGCAGTTCCGAACCTTTATTGCTTCCCGGCCTGTGCACAGAAGTCGGCCCCGCTAGGCCCATACCGCACTGCTTTCTCTGGGACAGAGGCTAGCTTCCAGCTGTGTGCCGGTCTCGGTGCCCTCCTAGGTGCTATTTATTAATAGTACCGATTGCATCTAAAGTCACAGGTTTTTCACTGGGCTGGAGTGGAAGTTGGGAAGAGAGAGGCGGGAGGCCGAGGGGTTAGCCTAAGAGTTGGTGCGCGCCCCGGGCTCCAGGAGAGAGGGTATCGGTGGGCGCCTCCAGTTTTTTCTATCTCCTGCGGGCCCTCTCCGCCTGCCTCCAGCCTCCCCTCAGCATGCAGGCAAGAGAGGGATTCCCTGCTTGAATAATGTCAGCGCAGATGAAGATGGGAAGATTTCCCCACAAGCAGTCCGCCGGTTACAGAACCAGGAGGGAGTTCCCCCTATCCCGCTAGTCCAAGATAGTCTTACTCAGGTAGCCGCCCAAGTCCTAAATGAACCGCTGAACAGGAGTGGAGATATTCCTGAAAGTTTGGTTCAAAAAACAAGAGTCTCCTGGAGGTGGGTGGTGGAATGGGAAGCGATTTCTTCTTTGACATGCCACTTACCACTATTAGGAAAAGAGAAAAAGAAGCCATCCTGCCAGAGGAGAGATGCCTTTTATTAAAGCTGACAAGACAAATAGAGCAAGCTTTCCAGTTGTGATGGTGTTAAAAGCCAGTCTCATTATGTTGGTTAGTTTTTTTTCCCCGTTTGTGCTTTATTAGGCAGCATATACGAAGCAGAAATTTGTATCTCTGAACTTTAGCACCTTATTAAATAAAGCAACACTGAAATAGTTTCTTTGAATTTGGGATATCTTGCTCTCGGTTGTCTTTTCTTTCCCACACCAAGCTCCACATTGTGATCTTTTTCTCATGGCATTCATTTATTTGGATACTTGGGTGTTCCAGTCTTCCTGGGTTAAAACGGAAAGAACCAGCAACACCCCTACTTTAACCCCCCTTCTTAACCTGTCAAGCTAGTCTGAGTTAGTTTGAGGACATTTTATCTTAGGTTATCTCTGTTTTGTGCTTTTGATACTGTTGTTTGGTTTGAGATTAGCACATTGATTTTTGTCACAGGTCATGTTTTTTAATAGATCTGCCCTGCCTGCAGAAAACTCTTCTGCTCAGGATGCCATGGAGGCTTTGAACCTGCCCAGACAAAGTTAATCTGCAGAATTTTAAAATACCAAGAGTATTTCTAAATCGGTATTCTAACTTCAGGTTTGTAGAATTACCTTTCTATTTGATCATTATCAGTTTGATAATGGCCAAAAGAAAGAATGATGTACCCCTCTTAACCCCAAGAGATACAGCCCTAACACTTATTATTCTTAGGAATTTATGGACACATTTATCTTGGTATGTTATCACAGTTAAAAACTTACTTTAAAAACAATATTTTAAAAGTAGGCAGTTTTATCTCTGAAGTGTTGAATAAGATGTTGCTCTTTTGATGCATTAAGAAAAGTCAACTTGGATATAAGAGGCCACATGCCAAATAAGTATTTTAAAAATAAAAACTAACAGTTTTCCACAAACAATAGTAAGAAAATATTTCAGAAAATTTCCACGGGTTTAGTAAATTTTATAAATTCACTGTTGTGCAATTCCTTTTCCTGTATGTTATTTCATAAAGTAAGCTAGCCATGCTTTGTGTCTTTATATAGAACCTATCTGTTAAAATTTTGCTAAACTAGTAAGACTTCAATCTTTTGAAAAAAGAATAGAGGACTTTAATTGCAACTTAAATAATTTTTTTTATTTTTCCCTCAGAATATAATATGTTCAGTGGGCACGTTAAACTGATGATAATGTACACTGTGTCTAAACGAAGTAAATCTACTTTAGCTTATACTAACAGATTCAATTTGAAATTATGTTTAGGTAAAATCAGAATTAAATGTATCTTGATCACAGGGATTAAGTACAGTATCTTACTGTGTAACTTGTGTCACTTGTGTATCTGGTAGGAGTTTATCTTCTACATGGAGTTTCATTACTGCCTCTCCATTGATAAATGAGCATCTATAGATGTAGTTTCACG
This sequence comes from Homo sapiens, assembly GCF_000001405.40. NCBI lineage: Eukaryota > Metazoa > Chordata > Mammalia > Primates > Hominidae > Homo > Homo sapiens. The sequence goes on along the minus strand of NC_000005.10, from coordinate 107,667,400 downwards.
GGAAAAAATATTAAATTTATTTGCTGTCAGAATAGTTTTACTGTTACAATCTATGTACCCAGGTATTCACTTCTGAGAAGTGGATACTGAGTTTTCAAATGCTGATAACTTTTAGTTGGTAGTATTTATTGGATAGGGGACCAAACTGATTTTTTTATGTGTTGAATTGGCACAAATTTGTGAAATAGCCACTCAGAACTATCAGTTTGAATAGAAATATATGATAACATTTGCCTAAATAGATCTTCTATATTTCCAAAATTTGAAAACTTGTATAAGTTTTACCTAAAAGTGTAAATAATCAAATCATCCTTTTAATATTATTCTGAATTCTAAACTGGAATGTCACCAAGTAACTTTGAGTAATGAAAATCCACATCAAGAAGAATATAACTATTTGTCCTTAATTTCTTTAAGAATGTAAAAAGCTTTTAAATAAAGTTAAAAAGACTTCCAGTAATAAAAGTTTATTTACATTCTCCTTTAGTAGCTATGCTTATAAAGAGAGTCATAATACTAAGAACATGCCTCTTCATCTGAAGTATGCCATAAGCAGTTTGGTGCTTCTAATAAGAATATACTTTTAAACATCATGTGCGTATTCTAAGTTCTTCTTGGATTATTTTGACTATTTGCTGAAATGATATTAGGGTAATTAAACATATCTCCTACTGGTTGGCATTATTGATGCAATAGTCAAATAATACAGCAGCAAATATGACCAACACACTTTTAGGAATACCAGTCGTCCTCAACCTGGTGCTTTGCTTCTGTTAAGGTTTGAGTATCATCAATTTAAAAGGTTATACTCTTAAGAGGAAAATATCTGTGTAAGTCATGAAGGATTTACTAAACTTTAACCTAATCATGTTTTCTTTGGACTTTTTCAATTCTTGTAGGGACTTGTATATTAAACATTTCATATTAGAGTAGCAGGTAATTGACACCTTTTAGTTTTGTTAACACGTAATCTTGGAGTTGTGAAAGTAATGTGAATTCTAGGTCAACACTCCCAAGTCCTCTGGCAGTACAGGTCAAATGTATGTGGCTAAGAAGAGAGAAGTAGTAACATTTTTTTTTTCCTAATCATATTCCCTTGAGTATTTTTCTTCTTTCAAAATTTAGTTGCTCCATTTAAAAAAAATCTGAGCCATCATCATTTTGACATATGTATACCAGTATGCCGGCACTGTGACCTTTTCACTGACAAGTAAATGAAATCAGCATGGTTTAAATCTAAGAATTTGTTGTGAGTAAAGATTGAAAGTTTATCTTGGTCTTGAATGAGTTTCATCACAAAACTTAGATTGTCCTTACTTTTGAAATTTTAAATATTTTAAGTAATATTTTGTATGTTAGAAACATAAATGTTTTTCAAGTAAAAGGCATTAACTTTAAGCCTCAGTGTAACGTATCACATTATTAGATGTATTGGTAGTAATTTTGTTACTCTGAAATTTAGATCAGAATTTATGCAAGTACCAGGCTAAAAATAAGGCAGTATGATTGAGGTTTATAACCCATGTTTTTATGCTTATATGTTTATAAGAGACGTGAATTGACCCTCCCCCCTTTTTAATCTAGAAATTTGTAAAAGAGAAGTATGATTCCTGTTTTTTGGTGAGTTTTCCATAGAATTTTGAAAAGCAGAGTTAGCTACTAAGATATGTTCTACCTATTTGATTCATTATTTTATATATTCACAATAAACTATCAGAAATACTCAACTGTCTGATTTTTAGATGATAGGAACATTAGAGCTATTTGAGGCAGATTTGGCTATACAGTCTAATTTGGCATTTTCAGGGTAAGACCAAGGTCAGTAAACTACTAGTGATTAAAAGTATCAGAGTCTTCAGTAGTTTATTACTCTCTGTTAGGTGATTTTAGTGGTAATAACTAAACCATCAGCTCACTGAACTAATATCTTGTTGTCATGTGTGTTGTGGCTGACAGTAGCTTCAGAAGCTTCCACCTTTGAAGGCTGAGGATCAGGTTTGGAGGGAACACTTAGTTACTTGGGTGCAAATTAACCTTGTGAATTTCTTGCCATTTAATCTTGCAGAATACCTTCTGAACAGGCATTTCACTGCATTCTGTCCACTGGCCTGGTTTCCTGTTGGATAAGGACATAAAGATGGGCGCCTCCTTTTCTCCCCTGTTGCTATGAACCAAGCAAGCTACCAGCTTCACGCTGGGCCAAGAAAATGAATGAATACAATTAGTCCTTCAGGAGTTCTGGCCTTTGCTAGCTTGGGATAAGTATATGCCAGAAAATTTACCTTTGAGAGAGAGAAAGCATTAAAATAAAAATGAACAAAATATGAGAATATGTTAAGAATAGAATTTTACATGTTGGGTAGCATTTGGTCTAGTGGCTTATTGGTTTGTGTTTTCAATATAAATTTAAAAATTTTTTATAAGATACCACTCAACCTTCCTCATTTTTGTGCATGTGTTGAATAACTTCGGTAGCAATAAAGACTTAAAAAGCTGTGATATTTTGTTTGAAATAATGAACGACTCTGTGTTGACGATTCTATATTATCAATTTTCTTTTCAGAAGCAGTATACAAACTGTTAAAATAGCATTCCGGATTAGAATATCCATGTTGCAAAGGAAGCCTCAATTTCCCTAAGCACAGTGAGGAAGGTCCTTGCCTCTTACCCAGGACAACTCAGTCAGATCCGCTTTCTGAACTGAGGAAAAAAATTGCCCTTTGATCATTTGTGATGGATAACACCTTCATTTTCAGGTATAAAATCCTCAAAGAGGAGTATAAGAAATGAGGTATTAATATTCACTTTTAATAATTTGTCTTACGATGGTGGTCTTAGACAGCCAAACATCAATAAATTACTGTCTCTTTTAAGGGCCTGATTTATATTATCAAATTTATATTTTAGTCTGCTTTTCAACCTATGTCCTGAGCTGTTTTGTAGAAAAGTTTCTTGTGATTAATGTGAACTTCCAGTGCTTCTGAATAGGATATTACTCACTACTAGGAGATTTATTTCCTCTTAAATTTGTCTGCATTTATGTTTTCAAAATTTAGTCAGTCATAAAGGAGCACAATGACACAGGACCATCTAGCTTAAAATTAAAAATTAATCAAGTTTTTTCTGACTACAACTATTTTGCATGATCTTGAGTAAAATCATTCCTAATATCTTCATATTCTTGATAGTACTTTTTATTGTACTCTCTAAAGGATTTATTGTAAACTGAAATCCGTGTGCTATTTTCTAATTGAAAAATTTGAGTGGATGCAAATTCTTGTTTTTGAGGCTTCTGAATATAATTTTCAAACAGTAAACCATATAGTTCAATGAAAACATTATTTTAAAATATTGAAAACTCTTATTTAGGCTAGCTAGTTGCTGAGAGACAGTAGTGTACCACAGTGATGGTTAGCTCAGCTTTCATTCAGGTAGAATTCTATCATTTTCAATAAGGAAAAATAAACCTTTGTCATCTTTAGAAACATCCTTCATACAATTGACAGTTGACAGGTTGAAGAAAATGTTACTGTCAGGTCTTATTTTCCACTCAAGTGAGGAATAAAAATACGTTTGAATGATTTTTAAAAATCTATTTTAAAATTATTTCAAGATGGATAAAATGCTCTTAATTTTTATATGCATATCAGAATTGATCTTCCAGTTGCTTTAGGGAGGGTCAGCAAAGTGTAGCTCAAGGAGAGATCGTCTAACAGTAAAGTTCCTATGATTTTTACTTTTAAAAAGTCAAGTACAGTTGATTTGATTGTAATAGGATATTGCTGCAAGTTTTATGATTGGATTCTTAGGAGATATAAGATATAAATATTCTTTCTATTATAGCTTATCAAGTGACCTGATTTTCATGACTGATGATCACGATTCTGGTGTGAACTAAAAGTGGGAGTTTTGGCATATGCTCTGGACAGTCATATATGTTAGCAAATATGTATATGCCTTGGACAATCATGTTGTTAGTACACATTGATTAGACCTGTTTTAAAAATCGCTTTGCTATTAATGATTTAAAATAACCACGCAGTATAATATATGGATTACCATGTTGGAAACACATGAATACCTACTTAGAGATTAGAAAAAATATGATTAAGTGCTTATTTCCTGATTTAGAAAAGCTTGTTTTTTGGCTTTCAGTTAAATCAGCGTGTTTTTTTTCCCCCCTAGAAGCAGCCATCTTGTTTTAAGACCGATTTTATTTCTTTCGTGAAATTGGTTCGGAAATGAATATGGACGATAGAAAAGGACTAAACCACTTTATGATCATTTTGGCAGGGCTCTCTACATTTAAAGCGCTATCTTATTTGCGAACTTACTAAAATGCTATCTTCTTATATTTAGTTGACAGAAAAGGATGTTTTAACTTAGTAATAATATGCTTAAACCCAGGCATATTATATATTAATGTTAAATGTTGGGCTGTACCATGTTTCCATACATATTTTTTTCTCGAAGCTTATACTTTATGGCTAACTTCAAAGTGATATATTAATAGCCCCTATTGTCACCTCCACCCTCAAATCCTGATTTCATTTTTCTGACTATGCTAAGTAGTTCTTTTTATTTGTTGGTTGCCTTTTTTTTTTTTTTTTAATTACTCAAGTCTACCCGGAATCTTTCTCCCGCAAAAGGTACTGATAAGAGTATAGGTACCTCTAAATATGAAGCAGTTGGGGTTAAGATGCGTTATATTAAGTCAGAGCCTTTTTGTCTCTGAAATATAGGCTCTTCCTATCACATTAGAACAAATCTTTCTTGTGGGTTCTCATAGATTATTTTACAAGTAAATTCATATTTGTTACTAAAAATTATGAGAGTATATCAACTGACTGCTATATTTTCTGTCATGTTTTGTATTTCTGGATACATTTGGAAAACCAAGTGACCTAATAAACTTTACTAAAAATTTATACTATACTGCTTACTACTGCATGTGTTTGATGATGGCTGGGAACATTATTCTCATGTACTGCAGTAAAAGCAGAGCTTCCGTAAGATTAATTTCAAAAGTAACCTGACTTAGCCTGATTAAGCTGGGCACAGTGAAATATTACTTATGTCACTTATGAAAAACTGCTTCAGTTCATTAGAGGTAGGATTTTGGGTGGTTGTAGATGTAGTGTAAAGGCAATAAATGCATGTTTTAATAACAGATACATGTATCGCGGTTAAAGTTCAGGTACGAGTTGACCATTTTTGCGCAGAAAACTTTCCTCTGATATCTAGCATCTGTTTTTCTTTGGCTAGTGAGAAGACTAAAATAACTTGAATGTTCAAAGTGACCTTTTGTTTTTAAATGAACTAACAAATACCTTTTGTTTTTTTTCTTGCTGTTTCCAAGCTGTCAGAGTTTCCATTTTAAAATTTATTAATTATTTATATATGTAAAAACTATAATTAAGAATTAGCTCTTGCCTCTTTCCCTGGAAATTATAAAAGTAAATGAAAGTATTTTTATATGAAACAGGCAGTGTTGTGGTTTGAATTAAATGAGGTTATGGCATAGTTAGGTTGGATAATTATAGTGCAAATTGTTATCTAGGTTGTGATGATGACAGACATGATACTTGATGTTTTATATTTTGTAGATGTCAGTGGGATATACAACTTTGTTACATTTACTGAACTCAATAATGTATAGACAACTTCACGTGCTTACATTTTTAATAGTTTTTAATTTTATGGAGACAAATGAGAATGGGGGGAAAAGGAAAAAATAATTCTAAGTATGGGAAATTATCTTTTGTGTCTAACAATTAGGTTAAACAAAGTGGGAGCAAATGAGCCTAGTTCCCCTTCTATTGTTTCAGGGCAAGAAAATACAGACAGATGTCGGAATGTGGAAGCGGTGACCTCTGACTTGCACAGCATGGCCACTGCCCTGGCACACAAGTGTCCTGAGCCACCATCGTAGCAGGATGCGTTTTTGAAGTGACTGACACTTTGAGATGGAGATCTTGAAACTGATTCTGTAGCTATTTGCAGACCTCCAAAGTATCAGTCTTTTTAGTTTTCATTTTAAGTTTCTCACCTTACCATTTATGAAAATGTTTCTTTGGCTCAGACAGAGCTTTTGTGGCTTCCGGATGGCTTCTCTGTCCATATAGTCGCTATAAATCTTTGCCTCCCAATAATTTTATTCAACATGTTGGGATAATGGAGGCTAAGGGAAGCTCAGATGTATGGTTCTGCTGCAGCAAAGTGTTTGCCTGCTTTATTTAGCTAATACTTTTTTTTTCTTCTTCTTCTTCTTCTTTTTTTTTTTTTTAACAGACAGATGAAAGCAGTGGTTTTGTTAAAGGCCTTTTCTTTTAGCCTCTGCTCTGCAATCTCGCCAGTAACCCCTGGGTTCAGACAGACCATTAATGTTTTAGATACTGTGGCATTCAGTGCTTTCTTCATATATTTGTTTACTGTTACTGCTTCAATAAACTTTTACGCCTATTTCAGTAGTTTTCTGGCGGGAGCTCCGTTTATTAAAATTTAGTGACCCAGCACTAAGAGGGGTACAGTTCAAATAGTGGTGCTTCTGACAGGGTTTTGTGTCAAACTAGAGAAAATAATGGGGAAACGAAAGCTGCCAAAATGTGTCTCCCAATTACTAATTAATAAGGAGAGAAGGGACCTCAGTGATAGATCTGGTGTCTGCCATTGCAGCAACTTGGGATACTTTATTTTAAATACTGTATAAAACAAATTAAACATCAGAGAATGTAGCACCCAGGTATTTTGTATCACAAGTGATAATTTTTTTAAAGTCTGTGAAAAGCCAGGCAAAAAACAAAATTTGAAATGAAATCTTTGTACTCTTTACCTATAGTATCAAAATATAAAGCTATTCTAAAGAGTATTTCCCTGATTAATAAGCAATTCCTTTATTCTTATTAATATTTTAGTTACAGACATGATAGTGTTCTTCTTGGTTTCAGTATGGGTGTAGCATTGTATACATACTTTATTGTCAACAAAGATTCAAGGAAACATTTTAAAATTTTCCCACCATATGCTTGTCATTAATATTTTGAAAATTACTGTAATTGAAGAACAGAACCTCCCCCACTTGCCAAATATATATATATATATATATATATATATATATATATATATATATATATATATATGTTTTTGCCATCTCAGAGGTTCCAGTCTTTTTCTGGCAGTGTTCCCACTGTGGTTGCTAGAACCATAATTAAATGCCTGTTATTAGTGTATTTTTTCCATAGCATTTACAGCATCAAAAGCAAAGGGTCTTGTATGGAACTATAGCTATCAAGGGAACAATGAAAACTAATTACACACTTTGACATCACCATAGTCAACTATACTCTTGGGAAGACAACATGACAGAGGTGGTGTGTGTTGAGGGGGTGGGTATATGTATACACGATATTCCATAAGAATATGTACACCTAAGGTCAGACATACCTATTGGTTTACCTTCATCCTCTGTTCTCTGAAGGAAAAAAAATGTAGAAAGGACTATTAATTTAGTTAATTAAAATGAAAAAATGCAGTTCTTTGTTAGGAAGGGTCTCCCTATTTTAGCGTTCTTCCTTTGTAATATGAACTGAGAGAACCAGCAATATCTGTGAGTCTGAATATCTCGTTATTTTGAATATTATTTTGGCATGGTCTTGTTATCAATACATATATTAACATATCTGACTATTATCATTACGTCTTTTGCAAATTATTTTTTTTTTACTTAGCTCTAGATTTTTCATTGACATCTGGTTATTTGAGAGCTAATCACTTCATTTATTATGTAAATCTCTCTATTGCTATTTTTCTCTTTTGATGGCTTTTAGCCATTTTATTGTCTCTGGGCCTGTAGACCTATGGAAGATTTGAGAAAGAAAAGGAAACTAAAAAAAAAAAAAAAAAAAGGAAAACCCAAAAAACTCAAACTTTTAGCAGCTTGGATAGAAGATTTGGTAAGGGAAGACCTTAAAGCTATTGAATAACATGAAGTTTTGGAATCAATTTTGGATTTCAGTCATCCACGCCATCCCTGTTCTCTGGTACCACATAGAATCAGAACTTGGTCCTATATAATGTTTTCCATTACTATTTTCATTCCTAGGGTGAGCACTCTTAGCTGTATCTAAAACCAAAGCCAAATAGATGAATTCAGCAATTACATGTTGACTTGAACTTATTTTTCCAAAGTTTTCACACTGAAGAAATTCTATATTCCTATATTGAATATCTAAAAGTTATCATTGATAAACTATTGAGTGATATTTGCAGAACACTGGGAGACATACAGTGGATTCAGGGATAAGATAACATTTGCACCTGTAAGGAACTTAAGACCATTGTGCAGATATAATAATTTTATACATATAATTATATTACAGAGTATAAAATAGTACCATAAATGTGCACATGTAGATTTATTTGACAGATATTTATGTCAGGTGTCCACTGTGGGCCAGGTACTGTTCTCAGTACTGGAGATACTGCAGTAAACAGCATATATACAGCATCCCTGTCATCATGAAGCATTCGGTTAGTAATTTCTAGGTCACTGTTTCTCACACTGTAAGGTGAACACAGACCTGGAGATTTCGTTGAAATGCAGATTTTAATTTAGTGGGTCTGGGCTACATAGGGCCCTGACAGTCTGCATTTCTAACAAGCTCCCAGATGACATTGATGCTGCTGGCCCATGAACCGTGGTTTGCACAGCAAGGTTCTAGATAAAATTAAGTGGGAGAGAGATGACTTCTGGCTCTTCTTCAAGGACTCTTGGTTGTATTTGCGCTGAACTTTTCATAGAGTTCTGCAGTTTCTAAAATGGCTCCGTATTTATGTGAAGGAAAATTATTTGCCATTTAAGAAGCCCAGAATGCCTAATGTTCCTTTCTAACCACTTTCCTTCAAAACTCAGACAAATAAAACAGATTTTTACATTGAAGTTTATGCTTCATTGAAAATACACCACTAACAAAGGTAATGGGACAGGGATTTCATTATAAGATTTGGTCTCTGTAGACAAATTCCACTGGAATAAAAATACTACCTTGGTCCAAAAAGTTTAAGGAGGATCCTGTCATAAATGTCTAAAGATATTAAGCAAACCCTCCCAAGATGTATTTTATGTGGCAATGCCAGAATTACACCGCAGAAACAGATTTTTAACACTTTCCAACTTAAATCCGTATGGTTAAATTAACCCCAAATGTTCTTTTTACATTAACATAAAAGATGACTAACAGTTTTTCTACTTTCAATGTCTGGGTTTCTTGTGGGTGGCTTTCAGGAGCCTGTAATTTCAATGGAGTTATAAAAGACTTGGGACAAAATGCGTTCTTTCTGTAAAGTTCTATGATTCTAGTAGTCTTAGTGAGAAACTTTTGCTCCTGTAGAGTCTAGGTAATATAAGATCTGCAAATATGCTTCTGCTTTCCTCACAGCGTATGTATTATTTGCTTTTTCAAAGCAAATCTTTGTATTAACAAGTAAGGAATGGAACTAGTTAAATTCAGAAGATTACTCTGCGTTTTTTGTTTTTTGTTTTTACTGATCTTCACTCTGTGTATATAAATACAATATTACTAATCTAAATGAACTTTCAAGTCTTTGAAAGCATCAGTTAAGTAGACTGACTTAATTGAAATGTACCTCTATGGAATGATTATTTTTAAAAGAGATAAAACGGTTTGTACTTTAAGTCAGGTGTATTTTTATGAAAGGAAACAGATGAACAGGACAGTGACCACTTAAGTATAATTTTATTTTAAAAAGAAATTTTTACCAACAATTTTTGATAGTTAATTTTAAAACAGAAGCAAATATTTTTCTTTTTAAATCCTCAATGGCTTTAATTAGAACATTGGGTACTATTTCATAATAACTATGAATATTATTAAGAATAGTAAATCAAGACAGTACTGTTTTCTTTGTAAGTTTATGTTTATGTTCACTGTGGTGTAAACGAGGGTTCTCAAACAGTGAATTTGGGGGTGACAAGCACTTAGCGTTTCCAGTTTTATGATTCTCATAGATCCTGAAATGCTAGAACCTTCTGTGACTCTGTGTGAACTTAAGTGGCTCCTAAAAAAGAACTATGCTATATGCTTCAAAGATTGTTAAATTTAGGAATAGGAATGGATTTGTTGAAAATAGAGTTGATATACCTAAGATTTGTGTTTTAGATGAAGTAGAAGATGCTCAGTAGTTCTTAATACTGTTTTTCACCTCCATTTTTAAAAAAAGAAAATAAGCACATTAAATTGTTTTTATTTAACTCAAAGTTATTAACAGTGACTTGTCATCATATTAATAGGTTGTAACCAAGTTCTTCCATATACTAATATATGTTCCTATACAGATTTAACTGCGTATAGTAAAAACATTGTGTTTATGTACTTTTTTGTTTTGAATTTTTACAGTAGCAACTATTACAGATCAAACTTTAAATTTGTTTGGGTGTTGGATAGGCAAGGACTCAGAAAGTAAGATATTAAAAAACCTATATCAGATTAGATTTGTCACTTGTCTGTTAAAATTTTTTGGTTTTATTTCAGAGCTAATTAAATTTCAGCTCTATTTGAGTTGTAAGTATGCCATTTATAGTGGTGAATCTAAGCCTCAGTTTCTTCACCCTAATAAATAAATGGGTATAATAAAAATATCTCCCTCAGACTTGTGAAAATTTAAAGGAATGTGTATATGTGGCAGGACTTTAAAAACTGATATAAAACTTGTAAAAAGAATAAAGTCAATCATACTTCAATAAATTGGGGGGGAAATAGAGATTTAAGGGGAGTTACCTCACTTTGAACCTCACTTTATATATATTCTTGTGAATCTCACTTTATATATATTCTGGTAAGTTGCATAGAAAATACATTCTTACAAATAAAACTTATTTTAAAAGCATCACAGAAGAGTTGAATTTTTAAAAGGTAGACCAAATTGTATCATTTTGTAATATATGTTGTTCCTGAGAGATGATTTGTACATTTACATTGGGTTTTATTTAAAGGAATTTACATTTTAGGTTTTATCTTGTGATTTCTAAAAGAGTAATAATGTGTAAAGACTGACTCTTGAGAGGCAAGTCTTCCAGGACCTTCTTCCCGGGAAAGGGATTTTGAATCTCCTTTGTAAAATTGGCCAGGTTTATTTTTAATGTCCTCCCTTCTCCTCTCAGTTTGTCTCTGCTATATTGTTTCTTCTTTGACTTCTAAAACCCTGATATTCTACTTTGGACTTCATAGTTATAATGAGATATCTCCATCTCAAAGGAGAAATTAATGAATACCGACATCCTCTTGGAGAATGCTTGTATTTCCAATGAGGAGCTTGTTGAAACAAATCAATTCCTGTCTGGGCCTGCTCCTTACGGGCAGCTGGGCTGTCCCTGGGATCCTTGGATTTTTCTGAATTCTGCTGCCAGAAGAGCAGGGTTTAACCTCTTGACGCTCTGCTTGAGAACTCTTGCTATTGACTATCTTAAACTTAGTACATATTATACACACATTGATGTTAGAGGTATAAATAGATCATAACAACATGTAGCTGAGAAAGGAAACAGGATTTGTCAAGGAACACATATTTTAATGCATTGAAACCTGAGTAATAGATTACTGCCAAAGGGCTGCTTTCCTATAGCATTGTCAGGTGGTTATTCAAAGCCAATTTTACTTCCTATGTTTATAGTTATTTAGATGGATAGCAAATATGCCTGTTACTTGTTAAAAAATTTCCATCATATACTTACATAATCATTTTGTAATGTTGTTTTACTCCTGAAGGTACAAACCTCATTTATGCCAGGAAAAAGTAATTCATAAGGGAAATTATCAATGATCCTTATGCGCTGTACCCAGAAATTTAGTGATGTTGGTGGGCAGAACTTGGCCACTAGTAATAAAAATACTGGGTCTAACATAAGCCATACCAAAATTATTTGAAAGAACACTGTGAACTCTGCATAACAGATTTCTCTTAAAAGTACAGCATTTTAATATTTACAATCGCTGTGCTCATAGGAAAGCTAGATTTACCTTTGTTGCTCTTATATCATTTTGTACAAAAGCAGGTTTCTTTTTTCCTGCTAAATTGGAAGTTAAAATTTGTCAAGGGAATGAGCTTGCTATGAGTTTATTTCAAGTTTGAAGCTTGGTAATTTTATGTTACTTGGATTCCATGTCTGATGAATGATATTAGTTACAGTCACTCCCTTGCTCCAGGCTTACTTTCTTGGCAAAAGGGTAGTCAAGAAGTTTAAATTTTGATAACTTACTTATTGATATTTTGTGTTATTAAAATACTAATTCCTTATATTCTTGTACATCAGTTAAAGAATATCAGCCAAAGACTGCATCTTAGCCAGGCTTACTCAGCATTTTTTTTTTTCCATGAGCGCATGTTGATTGATCAGATTGCATGTGTATAGCTATCCAGTAATTCCTTAAGGTATTGAAATGATTGGATTGAGTTGCAGCTTAATTATTCAGCTTTTATTAATATGGTAAATAATGTACTAAAGGCTAGAGCTGAACAGATTCCAGTGCATGTGATGAATTTAGACAGTTGAACAGGCTAATCCTGGTGCATCACCTTTTACCTCATTATTTTTTTTGGAGGGAGGAATGGGTTGAATTATCTCTATTTCTCTTTGTGAAAGGCTGAGTTATGTCAATGTATTTTACATGTTTAAAATACAGAAGATGCTCTTTAGTACTAAGGTTGTCATAAACTAGAATTTTAACTTTGGACAGTTGTAAATTCTCTTCAATTTCTCTTTTTAAAGTTTTTAGATCATTTGGCTCTGTTCTTATGGAAATGTTGCAAAATGTGAATGGAATATACAGTTGAGTCTTTAAGCAAAAGGAACAAAGTCTACTTAATGATTTGAATGGAATAATGAGTATTATAGTTGGTTATGGCAGACAACTATGAATTTCTTCCTTAGGTATCTAACAAATCTTTAGTAATTTTATATAGCCTTAATCATTTTAGTAAAATTTCCCAACTGTCACTTTGGGTTAGTTCTATGGCAATTGACCTTTAAAAAAAAAGTTTAAACCCACTGGCAAATACAAAAATCCTTATGGTTAAGTAGTTTCATATTTAATATAGAAGGTCTGTCTATATTTATGTCAACAGAAGGCAATGTAAACCCACAGGGAAGCTTTATTGGCTCTAATATGGTATTAGAACAAACTATCCATCTTACCTCTCACATGCTGTCCCATAGTAAGCCTCTTTTACTGGTGGGAAGAGAGTATTTGTGACTTTTTTTTCCTAGTCACTCCCTTCATAGCCATAGATTAACCTTTCCAATCTACTGCAAAGATAACAGGCATACTTACTAGTGTTTATCATAGCATACTCTTAATTCATGGGGTTTGGTAATCACAACTTCATTTTGTAATCACATATTAATAGTATACATAAGACCTGGTTTGGAATTCAGTCGTGGAGTTTGGGTTAACTTCACCTAGAGCTCTTGCATTACCATTCTGGGCAGAGTAGGCAAACATTGGCAAGCTCTTGAGTGGTTGATAGGATCAGGACTCTGCTCACAAGATATACATGGGTCACATTAAGTAGATTTGCACTGCAGCCTGAATATGGAGTTTTAAGACTGCAATAATCAGTGTTGGAAGACGATTGGTTTTTCTTGTTATAAATTGCTAATTAGTATTGAAAATCTAACCTGTTTTGTTGAACAGCCTCTCTTATTTTCTCTGAGAAAGTGGTTTGGACAGTAATCTATTTATCTCCATACCCCTCTTCCCTCTAGTTAAAATAAAATCTAGAAACCTCTGGGGACTCCCCCTGTTGAGTTGTGCTTGGAAGGAGCTTTAAAACAGTGCCTCCAAACTGAAGTAAATATTGACTGGGTCTGGGGCTTGAGCCCTGCTCAAAGCCTCCTATTGTTCCTCCTTAGTCAGCACTCCAGAGCGGGCTCAAGTATGCATGTGTTAGGAAGAGAAGAAAGGCTGTGGAGGGAAATTAACAGGGCCCACAGCCGAACTCATAAATGCACCATATAGAGGAAAGGGAAGCTGACTACAAAGCCAGCTGGAGCTTACACTGGGTTATGGAGAACTTAGGAGACTGAAGTGCAGAAACGCTGACCAGTCTGTCTGCTTTAGTGAAGTTTAAGGTACACAAAGCTGCTTGTCTTGGTGGGTCCAGCCCATTTCTGAGTGAAACCTTTGGGTCAGTGATGCTGTCTTCTCAAGGAGATGTAAATTGCAGCATTTTGGTGAACTTGGAAGAAAGTAAAAGGGTAAACCCTCAGATTCCAGAATGATGCTTCTCCCTCCCTGGTACCTGTTCTGATGCCTCTGTCAGCCTTCCCTCTTTCAGCTGTCATGTCGGATTACACACTCTCTTGGGTCTCCTAAGTGCCTTGGCATCCCTGGGGCATCAGATGGGTGAGGGAGAACCATATGCCATTTGAAATGAAAGTTCTGAAGAGGAGATGTTCTTATTATATGAAAAATTTAAACTATTTTTTTTTAGAAAAAGAAAATTAAATCATTTAAATATGGAACAGATTCCCTTGTTTAAAGTGGAGTACTTTGAGAAAAAGCTGCTTGTATTTTTACCATTCAGTTTAAGAACCCAAACAAACAGCTGGCTGACTTATGTTTTAGTGAAAACCATCCCGTACATTTACTAACTAGAAAAGTAAACATCCTTAAAAAGAAATTATTGTGTCTTGACTACAAAGTAATTGTTAATAAATACACAGTAAAACCAATAGCATATTTGGATTGTTAATTCATTTCCACTGATATTGTAAGCATGCTTTTAAATTTGTAGTCTTCTGTGATATTTGATGTGAACATATCAGTGCTAAAGACCACATGCAGGCAAATACCAGGACAATTAGAAAATTCTTTGACTGCCAAGGCAATCATCAAACTGTTCTGCTTCATTCAGGCCACTAATATATTAGAACAATAGTGTCACAATAAAGCATGAAATGCTATGGACAGAGAGAGAGAAAGCACATCTGTTCAGGGGTATCAGAAACTACTTTCTGGAGAGGAATAATTTAGTCTAGACCTTGAACAATGGATATGATTTTAAAAGAGATGGGGCAAGTAGCTGAAGAATATTCCAGGGATCCTTAGGAACAGGAGCAAAGGCCTACTGGCTGTAACCTTGTATATGGATTTGGGGAATAAACAGAAAGTAGTTTATTCAGGGTGGAGGGGATCTAGTGAAAGTACCTGCAGCATGGGCTGAAGAGGTAGGTTGGTCAAGTTGTGGAGTGTGAATTTAAGGTTGTGATTTTTGTTTTTGACTTTTTAAAGACTTTATTTATTTAGAGCAGCTTTAGGTTCACAGCAATATTGAGAGGATGGTACAGAGATATCTCATATACTTCCTACTCCCACACATACACGAGGCTGCATTTTTAGTAGGGGAAGGAGGACCATTATATTGCATTGTTCTTTGTAACAGATGGATTAACAGGGTCTTAATATGTATTAGAATTGTTCTGCACTGTTGTATATCTTAGCCACTGTTTAATTGCTTTGTAAATATAACAGAATACTGGTAAATGTTGAAGATCTTCAAATTAGGCTTCATTTGTAAGTGGTTAAGTGGTGAGATGATAAAAATCAGAGTAATTTTAATATTTCCAGATGAAACTTAGGGTGCTCTATTATATCTGAATTGTTTCCCTGACATGTGGATTAAGCAATTGTTTTCAAAGCTTTTTTTTTTTTTTGCCAAAAAACCATTGTTCACAAAAATCATTAGCGAAAGTCTAATGTGTAAAACGGAAAAACAAATGCCAAACCACCAAGCAAACATCAAGTTGTAGTTGGAGAGATTGGGCGGTCGGCTGTGCTCTGTTCCCAGGCTTCTTGAGAGGCCTGCGAGGACCCCCTATGGCTCTTTGAATCATGTTTTCAAAACCTTCCTAGTTAGAGTACAGGCTTTGGCATTTACTTAGGGGCGAATAGAAACAATGCTGTGGAAGAGATTCATTTTTGCTTTATAGGCCACAGAAGTACTTATGTGCCCCTCTAGGAATTGACTTGAATAGCTCCCATTTATTGAGCACTTACTGTGTCTGAGCACAGTCCTTTATAGACTAAATCATCATTTTTAAAAATCCTGACAAAAGCTCTTGTGAGGGAAGTATTATAATTCTTGTTTTGCTGCTGAGAAAACTGATTTTTACATACTTTATACTAGCCAAAGGTCCCTTGGCCAGTAAATGGCCCTTACCACTCAGCTGGGCTATGTGGAGTGATACAGTTTGTCTAACAGAACTTGATGAAATGTTGAAGGGTGACCTTGGGGCAGAATTTCCGAGGAGGTGTAGTGGAGGAGAATGGTAGGGACTATATGCTAATATGAAAAGAGCATTAAAAATGCACATTTTTATTCCTCTTTGTTGAGCATTTAATGGACTGAGGTAGCAAGCCATAATTTGGCATCCACTACAAATAACTAGTATAACCGGAGGTTAAATGTTTCGTGGACTGGTTCTTTGGAGCTAATTGTGAGGCCATGTGTATGTACAATCTGTATATACAACCAAATTGCTAGGGATTCACATACCACTGGCCCTTCTTGCCTGCATGCAGGTAAGCTTGGTTCCTGAAGGCTGGCAAAGGTATAGAGCTATTTTTGAAGACGTTCAGAAGAAATTCTGGATATTCCCTGAATAAAAGTTTTAGAATTTAGCAATCATACAGTCAGGAAATTTTCCTCTATAGTCAACCTAAATTATTTCACTTAAAGTCAGTTTTGGTTTACATAATAACAATATACCTTTACTTAAGAATTTTAAATGCAGATTTTGCTTTCTGTATTATAAGCACATTTTGAGCAAGAAATAATCATTTTTAAGCTATAGGGAACAATACATAGATGCTTGAAGTGACTCTGCGTTATTTTGTGTCCCAAATCCCTCACTTTCATCTTAGTTTCCCTTCCTTTTGTTTCATTCCTTCACAAGAGTTCTTGCCATAGAGTTTAACAGCCAGTAAATTCTTCCTGATTAGTTTCAAAGACAGAAGTCTCCTGATAGGCAGTGAGTGGATCAGGTTCTCACCTAATCTCCAGAGAGACAACAAGTAAGGGGAAGAAAGGGTTTGACACTTTATCCATTATGTACCTCTCTGCTTTGCCAGACTAACCCAAGTCTTTTCGTTGAATTGCGTGTCTGCAAACATTAGGCAATTCATTCCTTAGCATAGCTGTTTGTACCTCTGCAGTGGAAGTTGTTACCCCATCTTCTAATTTAGTTGTTTATATGGGTAATATTAGTATATGAGTTATACTATAGTTTATATATGTTATCTGCATTTTTGCATGTGTTCCCATTACTAGATTCTAAGATTCTTGAGGTCAGAGATTGAGTCATGGCAAAAACACCATACTCAAGGGCTGGCCCATGATGCTTAAGAACTTGAGGTGGGTTGGTTCTGGGTACACTTCTCTGCTCCTCCACTGACTACTTGCTGTGGTCCTAGACAAGTTACTTAATCATTCCCTGTTTCATCTTTCTCATTTATATATGGAAATACTAATCTATTTGTCTGATAGAGTTACTGTGATGATTAAATGATGTATTATTAAACATAAAGCATAGAAAAATGCCTGGCGCATAGTATGTGGTCAATAAATTTTAGCTATTAATACTTTCAAATGTATTTCTGTATTATTATATAAAAATACCATATAATTATACAGAGATATGTCAAAGAGAGAGCATAGTCTAACTTTAGAGTTGAGGTGACCTGGGATCAAATGCTGCCTCTTTTCTCCAACCCTCAATTTTCACTTATGTAAAATAGGATGTATAATTTGCAAAATTGTGTTGATTCAGTGAGAAAGTAAACGCATGTAAAATGCATGGTGCATAATTTTGGATCCATGAAATCTACATATTATTCATTTTTATTATTCTGATTCATTAACATGGAGAATTAGTCATTTGACGATTAGCCTATGAGTTGTCTGCCCATAGTGTGCCTCTCTTCATTTCAATTTATTGGCTACCTGTTGCCAGATGTTTTGCCAGCCTAACTAAATTCATGTATTGATTTGTGAGAAAATTATTCTTTTTGATTTTATCAGTTTGGAAGATGAAAAAATATCTTTTAAAAAAATACCAAGGCCTGGAGTCAGGTTTTTTATTTTCTACCAACTAGATGTTTACCTTAATCAAGTCATCGATTGCTCTGGGACTCTGTTTTTCATCTTTACAAGGTGATTGAATTAGTCGATCTCTTAGGCGAGAGCATCTCACTTAGAAGATCCGAGATGTGGTAAGGCCTTGACACTATTTAACTGTTTGACCTTGGGCAAGTCACTTAACCTTGGTCAAGTCGTGTTTCCTCATCTGTGAAATGAGGGGATTGTTGTCTTCTGGGAGGTCATTTTCAACTTCATTAATCTATCAGCCTTTAAAACTTCTTTTTTAAAAACTTATGATTTACTTCTCCCCAACCCTCCAACTTTGTTTTTTCAGTTAAGAGGAACTAATACATACATATTTACATTGTGTAAACTTTTGAAGAGGACACAGAAGTTTTCTTTTTTACTTTCAAACATGACTCTAAAGATTTTATTAAAAGGATTTTTTTTTCTGTTTTGTTTTCAGACATGGCTTTAAATATTTATATCTGGAAAACCACACTGAAGTTACAATTAGTCAGTAATAAAAATAATGTGTGACATATATTCAACTACCCAAACCATCCAACATCCCTTATCAGAGTTGATGAGTTGAATCCTGAAGTTTGACGCAGGGAGATCGCAACTGTGCTGTATCTGAGTAAACTCTTAATTTAGACTAATTCTAAGAATTAAAAATGGTTTTAAAAAATCTAAGTGCTTCAAAAGAAGAAAAAGAAGAGCCTAGAATAAAATGTTTTCAATTCACAGCTATAAAATGTACCACAAGTTGAAACTATTTGGTTTTCATTTGTTTTCCCTTTGCATTTGGAAGGAAGTAAGAAGTAGAATAAGAATTTTTAAACATTGGGTACTTGTATATAGTATTTTAATTCAGCAAACAATTATGCAATATAAGTATTTTAGTTACATAAATATGACTCCATTGTCACACCCTTTTATTGCATGTTTTGACAAAGCTCAACTAATTTTATACATATCTTTCATGTGATTATTAAAAATATATAAATAATGTCATAGTAAACTTTATAATATGAAATGAACTTTTCAAAACTTGCTTTAATAATCAGTGAGAACCTAAGTGAATAAGACATGTTGGTTCTTTAAAGTAAGTTCCAAGATGCCAGTTCTCTTTGCAAGAATGATTTAGGCAAAAAATCAGTTAAACTTTTTTTCAGTGAAACTTTAAGTAAGTTACTAAATGCGTTTGCATCAAGATGATGGTAAGTATAGAAATAGATATATAAACAGAAATGCCTAAATATTATCTAATCCACCTGTTTAATGCCCTTCTTGCTTTGGACAGCTTTGCTTATAGACCTCATTTATTGGAGTTGCCTGGCCCACTCAGGGTCTGTTTTCTCTGCAGTTTCTAGTCAAATTATTCCTAATCAGTTTCATGGGTAAATTGGACTGGATTCACCCCATTTCCTGTGACAGTGTGAGTTTTCGGTGGACTAATCACAGTCACAGAGCACAGTGATGTGTCCTCTTAGAGGTTAGGCTTGTTCTCATCCAAGTAGATTGATTTGTGAGCAGCAGCCATTACCGACAGTAAAATGTGTGTTTGCTGGTGTTTCTGCATTTAGTAATTTGTTGGACATGAACTGAATGTTTTTCATTTCCTTGTTATCTAATAAAAGCTGTTCAACTTAACTTAATCCAAGTTGAACTTTTGTGGAATCTATTTTATTCCTCTCCATTATTTTATAATTCTGTAATCTTAAATTTTTTGATTATCAGAATGAGCATTAAAGTAGGTCTGTTTTACTAATAATTATTTCCAGTTACCAATATAGCTATTTTCATTGAAAGATATTCATAAAATAAGAGCTCATTATAATTGCAATGCCAGTTATGGGGCTATGATTTTGAACTATGTTTCTCTTTTATAAATATTGAGTTACTGTTAATTTATTGTAGACAGTTATACCCACGATGCATTGTGAGATGCTGAAGAAAGTGTATATAGTAGCTACATATTTACACCAAGAAGTTTGCTTGTCTGGCTCTTAAATTTCCAGAATTGAATATGATAGAAATAGGTTGATATTTTGTTAAGATGCAAAATAAATCATTTTACTTAAATACATACATATACTGCATTTTACATAATCTTATCAACTATATTTCATTTTCTTGTGTTTTATATTGTCAGGGTGATAACATCACAGAGATGCTATTTTTGAAAAAATTTTGCATTATAGGGGCTTTATGCATTTCATAATTGTCTTTGATATGTTATTTAAAATATGCTTAATAGTTGCCTACAATGTACTGACAGTCATATTCAAAAGTCTCAATTTCAGTGGAATATATATAATAAAATACTATTTCTGGAGAAACTTAGAGAACTGACCCAAATGTCTGTACTTTTCTCATACAGGAAAATCCCATACAATGAAGCTTTTTAAATAAGCTTTAAAAAAATTTATTTGTGGTCAAGGACATTCTATATTAAGAACCACTTTCAGTGATAGTACCCACTGATAGTAAGTAGAAGTATCCCCCTCACCATGTAAATATTTTTTTCAGAAGCAGTTGAATGTTTTCTCAACAGCTTCCCATTTCAATAAGATATGCACAAAATGAGTCAATATGTGTGACCCTTTCTGTCTCAGTGTTTACAGGGAGATCCAGGAACTCAAGTAGATTTGTAAAAGGAAGAACTAGTACCAACATGTTTAATCAGTATTACCCTTTACTATCCCTCAGTAATATTTATCTCACCTCACTGGACATTAATACCAGATACTTATAATCTACTTGGTTTCTTTTTGTTTACAGTAGTCAACATAGTGCTTGGCACACAGTAGGCATGTTGTAGAATTTTTAAAATATGAGAATGATAATGCCTTTAAGCATATAGTATCTTTAAATTTTTCAAAAATATTTTGTATATAAGATGTACGACATGTACACCATGATATATGTATATCATGTTTTGATATACAGAGTGAAATAATTACCATAGTCAAGGAAGTCAGTTTATCCAATCTATCCCTTTTAGCATACTTTCAGTATACAACACAATATTACTAACTATAGTCATCATGCTGTACATTCCATCTCTAGACTGCAACTGCGTACTCTTTTCCTATACCTTAGATACTAATTACTAAGCATATAGTGTCTGTTAGATTCTGCTCACCTATCATTTCACAGAAAAAGAGCTGTGCTTTAGTTAACCAATTTTTTATTTGTTAATTGGAAGCCAGAGCTAACCTATGATTATTCTTCACAGCAGAAGTGTAAATAGATCCTTATCCATTGTTTCTCTCAGCTGCATTGGTCTCAGCCTCTTAGGTATTTGAAAAGATAGATTGACGATGGCAAAACAGGTGACGGCTTCAGGCCACAGGGAATATGTGGTCAAATGAGTTTGGCTCTATTACTGGTACTGAATCCATATTTATCTGGAGAAAACAATAATAGCTAAGTAGCTAATTTGATCAAGGTTTAGAATAAGTCTTTTATTGTTGTTTTAGCAATCTCCAAATCAAGAGTTGCATCTTTAAACATGCCTAACACTTTTAAACATTTGGGGGCTGTTCTGTAAAGAATTCATGACTTTAAGTATATGTAATATCCATAAGATGTGAATGAAAAGAACTACCCCTGCCCAATCTTTCTGAAGTGAGAATCAGACAAAAATATTTATTTGTTCTGGTGTTTTAGGGTAAATTTAATGACTAGATTGACTATAAAACTTGATTCAGTATAGTGTGAATAAATTGGTTTAAATGGCACTAAAAACACTCTTATACATACCAAGATTTGCTAGATATAAATTTGGCAGAGTTATTAACATGTGAATAGTGAATGCCACTTACAAGGACTTTTAAACAAATTATGAAGGGTAGTACAAATTTAATTCGGTCAGTTGGGAAAAATACTTTGGATAAAATACAGGTGAACAGTTTAGTGCTACACAAGTTTAAAGGTAGCCCGGAAATTACTTCAACTTCTACAAGGCAGATTTACTGATCTTTATGTCCCCTTGTTTGAAGCTTTTCACATAATAGATATATATTTTCTGGATGTATTTAACCCATGTCTGGATAGCTGAAGACATTTGTAAGTCATGGCATTATATAATTGACTCTAAATAACTAATGCATGTGGGGCTTAATACCTAGGTGATGGATTGATAGGTGCAGCAAACCACCATGGCACATGTTTACCTAAAAACCCTGCACATCCTACACATGTATCCCAGAACTTAAAATTTGAAAAACAGAACAGGCCAGGCGTGGTGGCTCACGCCTGTAATCCCAGCACTTTGAGAGGCTGAGGTGGGCAGATCACTTGAGGTTGGGAGTTCGAGACCGGCCTGACCAACCTGGAGAAACCCCATCTCTACTAAAAATACAAAATTAGCCAGGTATTGTGGCACATGCCTGTAATCCCAGCTACTCAGGAGGCTGAGGCAGCAGAATTGCTTGAACCCAGGAGACGGAGGTTGCAGTGAGCCGAGATTGCACCATTGCACTCCAAACTGGGTGGCAGGGCAAGACTGTCTCAAAAAAACAAACAAAAAACAAAACAGAAAAAAGTAGACAGTAGTCACTTAAAATTTGTTGAGGAAATTCACTTCTTAAACTCTTGATTGAGCATCTATTATGTGTCAGTTACCAACTAGGTAATTAACAAAGATTTTTTGATGACAAAATAAACAGTTATTCATGAAAAAATAACTGGATTTGTCTGCTTGTTACAGCAAAAAATATACAAGTTTCTATTTACATATGAGATTTCTTTGGATGCAAGTATTTTTTCTGTTTAATGAGCCTATTCCGATAGACCATGTTTTGTTCACTAATTTGAATAAATAATTTTTGAAACGAAGCAAAATGTTCTCATTTTTTTCTACATAATGATTCTTTTTTTTCCTCATTTTTTAAGTAAACACTAAAGTTTTTCTGAAGGTTACTAGAAGATAACAAGTAGCAATATAGTATTTGTCTGACGAATCTGAGCCAAGGTGACTATTTATCACTAATGGAGGATGACGACGACGGATTTAAGAAGTCATCCCCTGTATTGTCTCCAGCACAAAAACCTTCCGCCTGCATCTTTCAGCTTGTATCGCCACTTCTAAAGGATCCATGGGCAAACTGCTGAATTTTTATTAATCAGCTTAACTTAATGAGATGAAAAGACTTTTCCCAAAGAATGGAGAAGGGAGAGACAGATACTGAGAGCTACTCTAATTCTTTTCCATGAAAAAAACATTTTCCTCCCTGATTTTCTAGGGAAGACATGTTCAGTTGTTTCCAGGTAATTCATCCGAAAAGTCTTTCTAATTTTCACACACAGACTTTCTCTAGCCATGTGCTGCCTTTATTATTATTATTATTATTATTATTATTAAAGAAAATAGACAGCTATAAAGAAGAATTAATGAGAGTTGAGGGGGGAAATACCTTTGGGAAAGAAGGCAGGAAAGCTTAAGCTGATAAAACATGACTCTTTTTTGATGGGGGCTCTCTTTGGATAACTTGCCCTTGTCTAAATTCTTCTCTCTTCTGGTCCTTCCTGTCCCCACTCCCCCATTCACTCCCCCTCTCGTCAAGCTTACTTCATAAATGGTACCAGCTGGAGATCTTTTAGTGGCATTCAGGGATTACTTCCCTTCGGGGTTTTAATAAGCCCTGATGCTTGAAACACAGTGAAGGTGCTTCTGGAGACAATCACCTTTCAGGCTGGGACCATGGGACCCTTTTGGGGGCCCAGATGGTTGTGTCTGGAGAGCACCCCAGGATGTGCTGCAGATGGCAGATCACTGAAGCAGGGTGTCCACGGGCCTGAATGATCAGGAAGCAATCAATAGAGGGATGGGTTTCTGTGCAGTCAATAGAGGGTGCTTCCTATGATTTCTCAACCCACTTGACTCACAACCCACAAATCCTCCTGTAAATGGTTGGATTTGAATCTATGACCAGCCAGAATTGCTACCACTAAAGTCCATACAGTCCAGTGCTTATCAGAACCCCTATGATGGGACCCCCACCCCTGCACAATGGGGGCACTAGCATGGCAAGATTCTGATTTCATTTGTTAGATCTACTTAGGAGTTATTTAAAGGACTAAGTCAGCCGGTGCAGGGGCATCCGTGTTAGAAGAGAAATGTGCTGTTGCCTCCTGTTGTTTTTTGAGGCCCTCCTAATAGTTTTCTTATATTACCTACTGATTTGTCTCAATATATGCCTTTTAAAATTTAGTTCTGAGACTCAATCAGGAAAAGTATATAAACATGGTACCACATGGGGCCTTCAAGATCGTCTAGATTAGTTTTTTTTTTTTTTTTCAGGTGAGGAAATGGACAAAATGACATTTTAGATGACACACAAAACACAAATCTGTCTTCTCATCTATAATTTCTAAGATTTTTCTTCTTCCTACTCTCCACCATGGAACTCTGTTTAAAGTGATCCCTAAAAGACTTAATAGAAAATCCTAGTGCCAAGGAGCTTCCTTTAAAAACCATGACCACTCCCCGTATTCTTTCTTTCTCTCCATTTTGCGAACATTTTACTTTTTCTTCTCTCCTCATACCATCTTCTACCATCTTGGTTTCATGTCCTTCAGGAAAGTAAAAACACACATATTTTAGAGAATGCTATAACTGCCCAATTAAGTGGTGATTAAGTGGTGATATTCTCCAGTCTATGAAATATTTTAGAACTCACTTGCGTTCCAGGGAAAGAAGTCTTGTTTTGGAGGGTTGAGAATCGATCGATTCACTCTTGACATTCCTTGGCTTTTTTTTTTTTTTTTTTAGTTGACAAAAATTGTATATATCTATGGTCTACAAAATGATATTTTGATATATGTGTATACATCATGGAATGGCTAAATCAAGCTATTTAACATGCATTACTTCACATACTTATTTTTTGTGGTGAGAACCCTTGAAATCTGCTCTCAGCAAT
This sequence comes from Homo sapiens, assembly GCF_000001405.40. NCBI lineage: Eukaryota > Metazoa > Chordata > Mammalia > Primates > Hominidae > Homo > Homo sapiens. Next base: position 107,642,309 of record NC_000005.10, on the reverse strand, counting down.
TTTGAAGTATACAATATATTATTAACTATAGCCACTATAATGCACAATAGATCTCTTGAACTTATTCCTTCTGTCTAAGGGAAAGTTTGTGTCCTTTGACCAAAATCTCTCCAATCCCTACAGTCCCCTCCTTGGCCTTTTAAACAAAAGTGAAATGTCTCATTAAGTAGATTTGGGAACACAGGAAATAAGATTGATTATGATTTTACTAAGTCATTGAATGATGGTGATAGAGGGTGTCTCTTAAAATGCCATCTGTTTGGGCCAGGCCTTCTCTGCCTTGTCTCCACTTAATCCAGCTCATGGCTTTTAGATACTGCCCTTTTTTGACAGTTTTGACTGGGGAAAACGAGAGTATGGGCAGTTTTAGGCTAGCCATTGGGTTGAGCATGGGCTTGATATGGAGCTGGAATATAGGAAACAGCTGTTCTTTGTCTGGGTGGACAGTCATTGATTTTTAAATACTTGGGCCTCCTGTTGGTATAAAAACCCATTTGTGCCTCTTTAGATTAAGGCTAATTTTTGTGGTAGTGAGTGCAGATGCAATGAACAGATGCTGTACACTTGCTTTGGCTTTTATACATATTTATACTTTAAAATGAAATTTAATTAAAAATTAAATGCATCATTAGGTCATAAAAAGAAAATCCTTAAATAGAATGTATTGCATCAAATAAAATCATCATCCCAGAATACCTTGGGAGTTGATGTATTAATAAACTTCCTAGACAAAAGTGAACTGTCTATTATTTACTAGGATTTTATTTTTCTCCCCTGTAGGTAGTCCACAGCCTACCATGCTCTTGTGCATACAGTGATTTCCTGAAACCATAGTAACCTTAATCAGAAAATTATAAGCACTGGAAATTGATGATTACTCATTTTCTCCGACACAAGGAAAAGCAGTTTCCAGAATGTGTGTGAGCTTTATTTCTACATTTTTTTTTTTTTTGAGACAGAGTCTCACTCTGTTGCCCAGGCTGGAGTGCGGTGGTACAGTCTCTGCTCACTGTAACCTTTGCCTCCTGGGTTCAAGTGATTCCTGCTCCTCAGCCTCCCGAGTAGCTGGGACTACAGGCACGTACCACCATGCCCAGCTAATTTTTTGTATTTTTAGTAGAGATGGGTTTCACCATGTTGCCCAGGCTGGTCTCGAACTCCTGACCTCAAGCAATCCACCTGCCTTGGCCTCCCAAAGTGCTGGGATTACAGGTGTGAGCCACCGTGCCCAGCCTATTTTTAATCATATCCATACATTCTATCTATCTATCTGTCTGTCTGTCTGTCTATCTATCTATCTATCTATCTATCTATCTATCTATCTATCTATCTACCTGCCTACCTACCTACCTACCAGGTTGCTAAAATTGAAACTCAGAAATGTAAGAGAAGTGACCTGGTGTGGCCTGCTTGGGTATACCCACTGGCTCCCTAGGTCCTGGTCTCCTGGGGAAGGAGAGACACCCAGGTTGTTTGTGATTGACCTTGCATGTGGCAGCATTCTCATTTGTCTTTCAAAGTATCTGTATAGCGGTTACCTCTGTGGTTAGGAAAGCATTTGTAGCTTAGAGCTGTAATACTGCAAGACAGTCCGCTCACCTGCAGATAATGTTTCATTAGCCTCTTCCAAATTGACAGGGCTGGCTGCCTCCATGTATTCCTCTGGTGAAGCTGAATGATCTCTCTGTTTGTTTTCTGTGTTCTTGTTACTGGTCACTTTCAGTAAGGATTCGCCCCTCAGGCCTTATTAAAGTAACCAGATAAACAAACTGTACTTCCAAATCAGGAAGACAGAAGACTTGCTATCACTAAATCACATTGGTTTTATAATGTCACGATTATGAACTTGTTTTCACTATAGAAGTAGCTTCACATTAAAATAACATTTACACATAATTCTACAAATCATTTTGGGATTTGAGCTTTTCTCATATGCTTAGCTATTAATTGACTGAGTCTAGCCTTTTTTTTTCTCTTAACATTGATATAATGAGTATTCTTCTCATACTTCTGGAAGCAGGCTGAATGATACTGAAAACTATCCTTGTCAAGGGCTGCATATATTATCATCGAGATTAGCCATCCTGTTCCTGGGCACTTTAGTTCAATGGGAAACCACCTTCCCCCAAAGTTTCCGTTACCCAGTGTGTCTGGGAAATGCAGATTAAAAAATGGCGTTAAGTCTCAGCCTCTCAGTATCTTTGATATATTAATAACCACTGACAGACCAAGATGGAGAAATCTAGTTATATGAGGCATATCCCAAACCTCCTATTTTCAAATACTGACCTACTGTTCCTTATTGTTAGACACCTATATTGTTTTCAGTTTTTCATAAGTGACACATAAATAACTTAAACAATTTTTTTGGCTTAAAGCTTTTCTTATATTTTAGTATATCTCTAGGGTGCAGTATTAGGATTATGGGATCAAACTATTAACATGGTATAATTCTTAGTAATATTGTCGGTTTATAGTTTCATTACACTCTTACTGGCACTGGGTTTTTTTTAAGAAACAAAAAATGTGTTTTAATAGACATTTGTTTGATAATGAAATGGAGGCTTATTTGTTTACTGTTTACAAAGGCACTAATAATTGGTAACGCTTGCTCTTATTAACCTATGCCATTAGAAAAAAAATACTACTACCAGCTACCACACTGCTGAGTTGAGCCCTGTGCTGGGCACTTAATACATTTATAGTCTGCACAATAGCCTTAAGATAAACAAATAAAAATTACATAGCACTTCCCATGTGTCAGTCTCTTTTCAAGCACTGTGCATATGTAAAGTCATGTAATTTGCCTAATGACCCTATGAGGTAGGTACTATTACTGCCATCTTCATTTTGCAGTTAAGGATACCAAGGCATTGAGAGATTATTGGATGAAAGTTACACCTTTAGTAAGTGACAGAATTGGAATTATGAACCGTGGAAGTTGGTTCCAGAGTCTGTGCTCTTAAGCACTTCACTGAGCTTCTGCTGCTAGCACTATTGTTTAAGCAGGTATATGTCATCTTACCGAATTTACCAAATGAATGCTGCCAATTCACTGCTGCTCCTCTGACTTTTTCCAAATTAGTTGTATTCTAGAAAATGTAAATAATAACCCCCCATTTTAAAATTCTAACTTATGTAGGTTATTCTGTGTGTGGTGGGTATGGGATAGAGAAAAATGGGAAAATGTTAAATCACCGAAGTAATATGTTGTGTTTTAAATGAAACGCTTTTATAACTGAAGGCTGAATTTTTACTACCTGAGTGCTTTCTATATGCTTTTACAGTATTCTGCAACACACCACATGTATCTTTTTTCTATTTTATTAAATCCATTTATTTTAATTGACAAGTAAAAACTATGTATTTATGGTTTACAATGTTTTGATGTATGTATACATTGTAGAATGGCTAAAGCAAGCTATTTAACATATGCATTAGTTCACATACTTATTTTTTTGTGTGTGTATATGTGTGTGTGTATGTGTGTGTATAGTGAGAACGCTTAAGATCTATTCTGTTAGAAATTTTGAAGTACATTCATCCCTCGGTATCCGTGGAGGATTGTTTCCAGAAACTCTATGGATACCAAAGTCCTCAGATGGTCAAGTCCCTTATATAAAATTGAAATGGTATCATGTTTGCATATAACATATGCACATCCTTCTGTATAATCTAGATCATCCCCAGGTTACTTATAATACCTAATACAACATAGATGCTATGTAAATAGTTGTCATACTGTATTTTAAATTTTGCATTTTTGTATTGTTATATCTTACTTTTTTAAAAATATTTTTGATCCATGCCTGTTTGAATTTGTGGTTGCAGTAGGTCAACTCTATACAATGTATTGTTATTAGCTGTAGCCACCATGTTGTATAATAGATCTCTTGAACTTATTTCACTTAACTGAAATTTTGTGTTCTTTGACTAACATCTCTCTACTTTCTTCACCCACCCGCCCCAGTCCCTGGAAACCATCTTTTTACTCTCTCTCTATGAGTTCTACTTTTTTAGCCTCTGCATATAAGTGAGATCACGCGGTGTTGTATCTCTGATAAGATTTCTTGTGTGGATTGGAAAGCAGGAACCCTTAGGTTATCTATGATTAGAAGTAGTTGAAATGCAAAAGTGGACTAAAAAAGTAAACTGTTGGCCGGGCACGATGGCTCAAGCCTGTAATCCCAGCACTTTGAGAGGCCAAGGTGGACGGATCATGAGGTCAGGAGATCGAGACCATCCTGGCTAACATGGTGAAACCCCGTCTCTACTAAAAAAAAAAAATACAAAAAATTAGCCAGGCGTGGTGGCAGGTGCGTGTAGTCCCAGCTACTTGGGAGGCTGAGGCAGGAGAATGGCATGAACCCAGGAGGCGGAGCTTGCAGTTAGCCGAGATAGTGCCACTGCACTCCAGCCTGGGCGACAGAGTGAGACTCCGTCAAAAATAAATAAATAAATAAATAAATAAAAATAAACTGTTAGCTTAGTTTTTTGTTTTCTCTGTAGGGGCTTTTGAATTTAAACTGATTATATATATTATTACATATGTGATTATATATTATGTATAATCATAAATTATATATTATATATAATCTGTAGGGGCTTTTAAATTTAAACTGATTATATATAGTATATATATAATCAGTTTATGTATATATACACACACACATACACTATATGTATCTTTTATTTTGAAAAATTTCAACTAAAAATAACCTAATCCATATACTTTAAAAACTCAGTACCATACTTGAAAAGCAAACCCACACACACACACACACACACACAGACACACACACACACACACACAGTGCCTTGCTGTGAATATTTGGTCTTGAACCTTTCTAATAATATGCTTTCTCTCTCTGAAGCCTTATTCATCTCCTGTTAGCATTCTCCAATGAATTGAGGGTTAGGTTTGTGATTTTCTTGACAGATGCTGGAAGCAGGCTGGAGTCAAAGGACTTCTCTTGTCATTCTAAATATTATAGATTGAAATGACTTATTTTAACCAAAAGTCATTCTTGGGAGTGGATTAAAGATTGGAGAAGATATGGCTGTACTCTTGTTTTTTCTGGACTTTTGATTTCTCTTATAATTATATTACGATTTTATTTTTGGTTATGGTTTATCAAAAGAAAGTGACCAATAATGAACTCATTTACTGTCATTGGCTTTATAAAAGAAATTTAAGCCTCCCACACAAAATTTAGGGTTAGAATTCTTGCTTAGTTCAGCATTTAGGTATTTGTCATGGTCATTACTGGCCTGAATAAAATTAAATAAACAAAAAGCAGGCACATTTTAGAAAGATTTATAGTAGGTTATTCTTATAAAACCAGAAAGCTTAAATCTGGTTGATTTAAACCTGAAATGCTTGCTTTGCTCTGAAATATTTGTAAAACACTAAATACTTTTCATGCTCGTTTCTAATGGTTTACAGATTATTGCCCTGTGTCATCACGCCACTGCCCTGCCAGAACCTTATCACCTTCACAGCTGGTTATTATGGGACCATGTTTGCCCATGTTTCACTCTTTCCCTTTAAACAGTTTTCATGGGTTTAGCTTTAATAGAGGAAGTGTTATGCAAGATACGTGGCTTATGCCATCTGTATTCAAGAACATGATCTGATCTTCTTGAAGAAAAACTGCATAAGATATTCCAAGTTATGTTAGCTATAATAAATAATATGATGGGATATGGTAACTCTTCTGGAAATACATACCTTAAACAGATAAATCAAACACATCTTTCAGATTTTCTGTTTCATTAATAGCTTGAGGGTGTCCAGAAGAAACTTACATGTCATTTGGTTAAAACTTGTCATGGCTTCCTGAAGTTTCTCACCGTTTTGGATTATTAATCTATAAAGGATGTGATAAAGCATTTTCTTGTATTGAATTTGAACATGCTTTGTGCTTTGGGCTCCATGAAATATTAAATTCTGTTCGCCATCCTTGCAGGCAAGCTGGGCAGGAAAACTTTTGCACGCATATGCAGCGTGTGGGGAGGGGATTGAAGTTATGCATCTTGATTCAAGGACTTTTTTTTTCTCATTTAACAGTGATGTTAATCTGGAATACCTCTTGAGGAGAGTCTTAGGAGTCACACACATATATGCAAAACAGATTTATGTACACACACATATATAAAATATGTTTTCATGGTAGTTTTATTACTAGCATTAGTTAAGAACTTTAGATGCCTTTTGTCTGATACTCTGATTTCAGCATCAGTTATAGCATGCAGAATATCTAATGTGGTAGCTTAAGTGACTCATTTAAACAAAAATATTTTAAAGTCATAAAAAGGATAAGAAAGGAGAAAATATTTTAAGCATTGATGCTTTAATAATATTTTCAACCCATGTCCCTTAGGTTTAACTGTCCCTGAGAAGTTTCATTTGCCCACAATCTGGGTGAACTAGCATGACCTTGTTGAATGTTGGCTCACTCCTGAGACCATCCATCCTAAGGATGAATGCTTTTACTAACCTGGACTTCACTGTCAGTGTGTCTGCACAGAGCTGAATTGATACATCTCCATTTCTTAATGAGGAGTTTGGTCTTAAATGTAGTGAACCCTCTCACTGTGAGGCTGTCTGTTACCTAAGGCTCAAAATCTATCATAATTACCATTTCTCTTAAACACCCATCATTAAGGAGTGCACAAAATGCTTGCCTTAAAAGGATAGTTTCATGGAGATTGCTTCTTGGGTATGTGTCAGCACAAAATGAAATCCCTGGGGTTAAGAAAAAAGAAGCACTTACACATTGAAAAGTGGTGAAAAAATCTACAAATTCAAATACTGCCAACTGAAAAGCAGTTAATGGGTTGCATGTTGGTGCAACCAGAGGCAGCCAGCTCTGTGTCCTGCTGAACCGCTGGGGGAAGATTTCCTTCATTCGTGGTGGTTTGACATTGAAAACCAGGAACCCGTTATGTGAGAAGTAGCTTGTTTTGCCTAGACAAGAATATACATTTAACTTTGGGCTAAAAATTATAAGGAGTTGGCTCAAAGCAAAAAATAAAATAAAAGCAGTTATACATTAAAGTAAAAACCCGGCATCATGATTTATTGACTTTGGCCGTATCAATTTGCTAAATCATATGGATGCGATTTAAGAAGAATGTTATTTTAAGAAGCTTTGCTCCGCTTTAATTTGACATGACTAAACCTGAAGCCTTCTGGAAACCACAGTTCAAAATGGTTTTTCCCCCTAGAGTTTTCATCAATTTGCATTTAGAAATGTAATATTAGCTCTCATGTAGACTAAGAATTAATTTTGGAATATTTCTAGATAATGGAAGTCTCATTCCAGAAGTGAAGTTGACTATCATTTGACGTAAGTTAAATGCGTTTCTTTTGAATTTCGTATATTTTAAGGTCACTTTTTGATTTGTCAACATCCTTACTGGTATCTAGTTTTATTCCTTTCCCTTTCACTCTTGTATATGCTATTGGGGTTGTTCTACCTTTTTTAAACATTAGAAATCTTGCATTATACCTTGGAAATTATCTCCATGAAGATCAATAGACTTGAGACAGTTATCTGAACTTCTCCCATTTGAAATACTGTCATTATTTTTGGTGTGGGTATACGCCCTTAAGGACTCAGGTTAAAACTTAGTCTGCCTATGTGGGTAAAGAACATCCACCTGATATCAGATACTGTCAGTGTTACTGAGTTTTGAACTCCCCAGGGCGTTGGTAGGAGGGTACCTGTTTTCCTGGAAGTTTTTGAACATATGAAAGTTTCCTCTTTGTTGTGAACTTTCTTCTTTTTTTGTGAGAGGATCTCATTTGTTGTCCAGGCTACAGTGCAGTGGCGCCATCATAGCTAACTGCAACCTCAAACACCTGGGCTCAAGTGATCTTCCACCTCAGCCTCCTAAGTAACTAGGACCACAGATGCATACCACCATGCCCAGCTAATTTTCTAATCTTTTGTAGAGACAAGGTCTCTCTAGGTTGCACAGGCTGGTCTCGAATTCCTAGCCTCTATGCAAACCTCCCAGCTTGGCCTTCCAAAGTGCTTGGATTACACGAGTGAGACACCATTATGAATTTTCAAATCACAATTAAAAAAATAGGATACTAATAAAGAGACTTGAAGAATTTCTGCATCACAGTTGAGAAATGGTGAGGTGTCATTTAAAAGGGGGTTAGACCGGTCACCTCTACTGTATCTGTTATCCCCTGCCAGCTCCCAATTACACTTTACCATTAAACATACTGTGTGGTAAAGAGATCATCAAGTCTGAATTTTGTTAAAGTCTGAATAACTTTACATGAAACTATGTCTTTTCTCTTAAAATCTTTTTGTATGGAATTGTTTCCCTTTTTTTTCTGGAAGATATAAGATGCCACCCACTGCTAAAATATTGTTCCCTGCACTTCCTGGGCTAGATCTAGGGCCAAAAATAAAAGAAAGAAAGAAAAGTTCTTTGGATCTGTGGCCTGTGATTCTTAGCTAGTTTTTTCAAGTGTGAATACGTTTGTGAACAGTTCATTCAGTTTGCCCCTTTCCTCCCTGTGGGCAGTGAACAGGAGGTTCATGGGTGAATGTGCTCCCTGCTGTCCCCAAATTGGTCATTCTGGGACATTCAGACCTTCATTGTGCATCACATTCCCCTGGCCTCCTGTCACTGATAAAAGGAACATGGCACGCAGGTGTTTAAATTATTTATCATCATAATCGGCCTTTATGTTACACTGCCTGGCCAGCCCCTGTTATTCTAGTGCATAATTGATGGTGCTCACAAGTGGAAAAGTTAGAAAAGCGGAAGTAATGTGACGCAGCAGTGCCATGAGGCGCGGGGCCCCGGCAGTGAGGGCAATGCAGAGATGGGCTGCTGCTGGCTACCGCCAGGATGCCTCAGAAGGGCCTGGGCTTACTTGGCATCTTGTCAGGAGACTTTTCCCTTCTTGCTTTGTCCATGCTGAAAGGGACAGGAAAGGTGGAAAGAGCACATCGGGTTTTTACAGCCTAATTGCATGTCTCATCCTGGCTCTTGAGTAGAACTGGCTGGCTTACTTGTAATTCATCATGAAAAACACATTCATAATGTTTTTGGAGGAGTAGTTCACTTCGGGAAAGGACCATGAGTCTTGACCCCATTGGTATTAAGGATAACAAATGACTCACAAATAATGAAAGCAGGAAGAAATTTTTAAAAAGCAGAATGCATTTTAAAAAATGACCTCAATTTAGACTACTGAAGGACTTCCCTCTTGTTATATCTCTGTGTGTCATTTATTGGAAAGCAAGAAATAAAAAAAAATCTGCATTGTACACAAAAGTGCCCTTGTAACCAGAATTAGTTTAGTGCAGATTAAAGGCATAGAAAGAAAAGTAAAATACTGAATTATAAGGTGAATTCTACAATGCAATCTTGGTGGAGTTATTTCAAAAGGATAATTTTAAAACGTAAATATTTTGGGGTGCATTAGTAGATTAGGAAAATATTTTCAAAGAATATCCTCAGCAATTATATTGGAGATCTCCTATAATAGTTAAAAAGTTTGATATGCATAAGGAGAGTGTTTGAGACACAGCCTCTGAATTTTCTGTTATAGGCTTGCTAAGGAGAGGCAAGGAGATGGGAGAAAACAAAATTTCTCTGGGTAAAATTTGGTGAGATTTTGTTTACATTTGAAGGGACAGGTTGTGGAGCACTTGGTTACTGAAAGGATGTTCTTGAACTAGAATAATAAAGATGAAGAGAAGAACAAGGAAGACGGGGAAAGGATGCTGGAGGGGAGAATAGATGAGAAGGTAGATAACAGTATGTTAAAGAGTAAAAAAGTAAATAGTTGACAAGATGGGGGATTGGAGGTATAGTAAAGAGAATGATGAAAGGTCCAGTATTTGTGAGTCTTGCTTACCTAATGTATCCACACTATTCCTTGTTGGAATTTTGCTAACGTGTTATAATTTTTTTATGTGTTCTTATAAGTATATCAGAGTTTTTGTGGATGGATGCAATTTACAAATAAAATATGTTGGAGGAGAGGAAAAAAGACTGGAAAAGGGAGCAGCGGAAAGCAAGTGAGGAGAAAAAGGAGAAAGGAATAAGAATGAAGTAAGAATAGTGAGATAAAGATGGGGGAAATGGCAAGGCTGTTGAGAAGAGAGAAAGGAAAGGAGACGGGAGAGAGGTAAGTAAAGAGAAAAGAGAGAGATGAGAAGGAATTAGAGAACCAGTTGTTTATAAAATGCTGGTGCCTGCCATTACTGGCTCGTTCTTCCCTCTCAGCCATGTGCTGGGCAACTGGTGGCTGGAAGGCTGTGAAGTGTGGCCAGCATCTGTCTGTTGCAAGAATCTCCTGGGAGGTACAGCGAGGGTTTCTTTTTGGGTGGCTGGCCTACTTGCTTCCTTTCTAAACCAGCAACCATCCTGTGATGCAGCAGTGAAAAAAATCAAATTGAAACCTAATAAATTGCATATAAATACAAAACATCCAAATATATGTATTACTTTGAGAAAGCAGACCTCAACTAAAGCCTTGATAAACTATTCTGATAACTTTATTTCCCCCCTCCCATTTTCTTTCTAGGAGAAAATTAATACTTTATGTCAATGCTTTTTTAAATTGAAAATGATCAGAATATTTTATGCTATAAAGATAATTTAATAAGGTATAAATATTTATGTTTTTTGTAGGAAAATAAACATGTCTACATCTCAAAAATTATACAATTATATAAAGAAATTACTTATTTCATATCCATCAGTGTTTTATGGGAAGAGTTGTTCTTGTATTTTCATATAAAACAATAATTTTTTGGTATCCAGAAAAACTATTTGCTCAATGAGTGTCTACAAGGATACTCTTTTAGTTTTACCATAGGCAAAATTTGTATATTGTGTGTGTTTGTGTATATGTATATATATGAAAGACACATGTATATATATATATATGTACATGTGTATAAATGTACATTCATATATATGTGTAAAAATATTCCATATATATGAAAAGGACAGGGCATATGAGAGAGACAGAGAGTGTGTGTGTGTGTGTGTGTGTGTGTGTGTGTGTTTGTAGTCAGGCCCTATGTAACAATGTTTTTAGTCAACAAAGGACTACATTTATAATGGTGGCCCCATAAGATTATAATGGAGCTGAAAAATGCCTATTGCCTAGTACTTACTGTACTGTACTTCTTATCATTATTTTTGAGTATAATCTTTGTACTCACATATAAAAAAAGTTAACTGCAAAACAGCCTCAGGCAGGTCCTTGAGAAGGTATTCCAGAAGAAAACGTTGTTACCATAGGAGGTGACAGTTCTGTGTGTGTTATTGCTCCTGAAGACTTTTCAGCAGGACAAGATGTGGAGGGGGAAGACAGTGATATTGATATTTCTCACCCTGTGGAGGCCTAGGCTGATATGTGAGTTTATGTCTTCGTTTTTAACAAAAGTTTAAAAAGTAAAAAAATAAATTTTCATGAAAAAGCTGATAGAGAGGATATAAAGAAAATACTTTGTACAGTTGTACAATGTATTTGTGTTTCAAGCTAAGTGGTATTACAAAAGAGTCAAAAGGTTAAATGAAAAGTTTATAAAGTAAAAAGTTACAGTAAGCTAAGGTTAATCTATTATTGAAGAAAAAATATTTTTAATAAATTTAGTGTAGCTTCAGTGTCCAGTGTTCATAAAGTCTACAGAAGTGTACAGAGCTGGGTCTTCATATTCAGTCACCACTCACTCACCGACTCACCGAGAGCAACTTCCAGTTCCACAAGCTCCATTCATGGTAATGTTCTATATAGGTGTACCATTTTTTAATCTTTTTATAACATAATTTTACTGTGCCTTTTCTATGTTTAGATACATTTAGATATGCAAATATTTACCATTGTGTCACAATTGCCTACAGTGTTCAGAACAGGAACTTGCTATACAGGTTTGTAGCTTAGAAGCAATAGGCTATACCATATAGCCTAGGTGTGTAGTAGGCTATACAATCTAGGTCTGTGTAAGTACACTGTATGACTTTCACACAGTGGTAAAATCACCTAATGATTTCTCAGAACATTTCTCCTTCATTAAATGACACATGATTTTTTATTAAACAGACTATAGTTTAGAGCAGGGTGTTCCATCTTTTGCCTTCCCTGGCCACATTGGAAGAATTGTCTTGGGTCACACATAAAATACACTAACACTAATGATAGCTGATGAGCTTTAAAAAAATTGCAAAACAATCTCGTAATTTTTTTTTCTTTTTTTTTTTTTGAGATGGAGTCACGCTTTGTTGCTCAGCCTGGAGTGCAGTGGTGCCATCTCGGCTCACTGCAACCTCCGCCTCCCAGGTTCAAGAGATTCTCCCGCCTCAGCCTCCCTGGTAGCGGGGATTACAGGTGTGTGCCTCCATGCCCGGCTAATGTTGTGCTTTTAGTAGAAGCGGGGTATCACCATGTTGGCCAGGCTGTTCTCAAACTCCTTACCTCAAATGATCCACCCTTCTCAGCCTCCCAAAGTGCTGGGATTACAGGCATGAGCCACCATGCCTAGCCACATCTCATAATGTTTTAAGAAAGTTTACAGATTTGTGTTGGGCTGTATTCAAAGCCATCCTGGGCCACATGTGGCCTGTGGGCCATAGGTTGGACAACTTTAGTTATGAGCATTTTTAGATTTGCAGCAAAATTGAACAGAAGGTACAGAGATTTCCCATATACTCCCTGCTGCCACAGGTGCACAGCTTCTCCCATTATCAACATCCCTCACCACAGTGGTACGTTTGTTACAATTGATGAACCTACACTGACATATCATTGTCACCCAAAGTCTACAGTTTACATTAGGTTTCCCTCTTGGTGGTGTACATTGTATGGGTTTGGATAAATGTATGATGACATGTATTCCACTATTATAGTATCATACAGAGTAGCTTGATTGCCCCCAAAATGCAATGTGTGTGTGTGTGCCTGTTTGTATTCCATTAACATATATATGGAAAGGACAGGGCTTAATGTATTTTTTAAATACAGTTTCATATTTTTCTCCTTGGGTAATTGCTTTAAATGTAGAATATTTAGAATCATTTAGTAATCATTTATTAATATTTTAAATAACTAACTTTAAATTGGGTTTGATGAATTTTTTGTGTGTGTAGACTGACACTTAAAATGTTAGTTTTATTAAACTAATAGGTAATACATGCACGTAGTAATTTTTAAACAATATAATGGAAGTTCAAAGGTAGAGATTAAAAACATTCTATGCCTTTGAACATTCTTTCCTTCCTTTCACTAGAGACAAATAAATGACACTTTAGGAAAATCACTTAGGATGCCGAAGAAACTACAGTTTCAGATAAAATAGAGCTCTTACCATTTATTTTCTGTATTTGCAGAAAATACAATGATTATATGAGATAGTTTGTCCATCCTTTCTTCTTCGTCTCCTTATATGACTTGTTTTTAGTATTGTAATAATGAACAGAAGTGATATCAGCATCTTCCCCAGACCTCAAAAATACTACCTTTCTTTGTCCTAAATAAGGCCTTCTCTTTTCACAGCCTTCAGAAGACTAAGGGACAGCTTGCATGGGATTCACATCCATTTTATTTTGGCTTCATATTCCCTCTTTGAGTTACATTGTAGTTTTGCTTTCAGCCCATTACTCATTATCAATGTAATATTTAGTATTTATCTATGGTTCCCCTGGTATAATATGTTGTGGTATTTTCAATAATGTATAGATTAGCTACTTTTCTAGACTATGTCTAGCTTATAGTCTAAATAGGAAACAGTAACAAAAAAACCCACTTCCAATGTTCTATATACTTAGTGACAAATTTTCATAATGAATGGATTGGGGAAAGTGGAGCAAAATATTAATTCTAGGTACTTTTTGTTTTGAGTTTCATTTTATATGCTATAATATATTTTTAGGCTATGTCTAACAGGAACTGTCTAAAGTATTACAATATGTGTAACTTAATAAGCCTATTTATTTTTAAAATTAAAGTTCTCCAGGTGCTGGTAATATAGAGCATTTGATTCATATGAGACTTCTTAAGAGGCATCATGACATAACTGGCTTATTTTAGATGTTAGAACATAAGCTTTAGAAGCAATTATCTTCCACTAGCTGTGTAGTCTTAATCAAGTTCTTTACCTTCTTGGTGCATCGTTATTCCTATCTGTAAAATAGATATGATAACAATACCTATCTCACAGTGTTATTTTATGGATGACATTGAGTTATTATATGTGAAGTGCTTAGTACTGTACATGGCATGCAGTAAGAAATTAATAAGCATTAATTTTTATTATTTGAATGATATATTACTATAGATCTAGCCTAGTTAATCTTGATGCTTTATTTTAATTCATTCTCATTGAGTAATGACATGTATTTTGAAACTAAGTATCGTATAGCTCTGATGGAGATAATAAATGTATTTCATAATTGACAGTGAGCAATGCTAATGAATAGGACTTAGTCTCTTCTAGTAAAAACAAATGTTTGCAACTTGTGTAAACATCATTGTGGTAATTGAAATGGAAATTCATCAAATATAAAATACATGATTCAACAAATGAAAGATTACACTTAAATATATTTAAGTATATTTACAGCTGAGAATTAGTGACTTATGACAATGGCTTAATACTCCTTTTCCTTTTTTTTTTTTTTTTTTTTTGAGATGTGGTCTTGATCTGTCACCCAGGTTGGAGTGCAATGGCACAATCATAGCTCACAGCAACCTCGAACTCCTGGGCTCAAGCAGTCCTCCAGCTTCAGCCTCCTGAGTAGCTGGGACTACAGGCCCGTGCCACCGCATCTGATGTGGCTTAATACTCTTTAAACATTATTGTATTCTTATCTTAAATAGCATCCTCATTTATTTTTGGTGTGTGTTGTAAATGACCAGGCAGTAGTTAATGAAGACTTGCCTTGCATTTTGTTGAGAAAGAAGATAGTTCTGATATAGGAATTTGTATGCTCAGCACTCCCTCAGTAACAATTCCTCAGGTGAGAAACTGGCTGATAACATTTATTATATCTATGTGAAGAAAATGAATGTTTCATCCCCATTTGTTGGGATGAAGAGAGCTGAGAGCTCAAGTCATTCATCCAGTTACTCTAATGTGCTTTTTTAGTAATAGTATATTAATTTCACCAAAGTTAACAAACAGAAAGATTCAAAATGGAAATAAATCACTCAAATATTATGAGAAGAAGATTGAAAAGGTAGCACATACCTATTTTTTAATAGAAAGCAACCCTTAATGAACAGTTCCTGTTAAGGAATTATTAAATTTGATGATACTACACAGAAAATCTTACAATATTAGCCATGAATACAGCCACTGTTTACAAATAAGACAGTTAAGAGTTAGTTCCACAGCTTTGGTTTGGGGAGGAAGGAGGAATGGTCTGGGGTGGTCTAGGCATCCATTCATTTTTGCTCAGGGCACCACCAACTGTGAAAGTCAAAGAAATGCTGATAAGAAAGAAATACTTTTCACTTAAGTTAAAAAAAATCAAAACCAAACTTAAATCTAAATGTACTGAAAATAATGCTGAAACAGTCAGAGTTTAATAAAGAAACATGTTCTTTGAGGCTGTTAATTATATATGTAATGCCAGAGTTATGTTTTATTAAGGCAAAGGACCCAGCATGGGCGCTAGGTCCAACAAGGCTTCTGTCCACAGCATACATGTTTCATTCTCATTAGCAATTTACAGAAAATATAGCTGGGCATGGTGGCTCATGCTTGCAGTCCCAGGGCTTTGGGAGGTGAGGTGGGAGGATTGCTGGAGGCCAGGAGTTTGAGACCAGTCTGGGCAACATAGAGATATCCCATCTCTAAAAAAAATTTTTTTTAAATTAATTAGCCAGGTGTGGTGGTGTGTACCTATAGTCCTAGCTACTACCTAAGGGAGGAAGATCCTTTGAGCTCAGGAGTTTGAGGTTACAGTGAGCTATGGCTGCGCTACTTCACTCCACTCTGGGTGATAGAGCCAGAGTAAGAACTTGTCTCAAAAAAATAGTAAGAAAAAAAAAGAAGACATACTGTGTACTATTCTGTTTGCTAGGATGATGACTTGTGAATTTCAAATGGTGGTTCTGCATTTACTAAAGTTATTAACAACCATTTGTACACAGCACCACATTTTAATTGGACTAGGACTTCTATTTCACTCCAGTACCTAGGTGCAGCCAGTGCTTCATTAAATAACACTGATAATCAGTTCATAAGATCTTACTTCAGTGAGTGATCATCTGTCATGACAGACTTGAAAACAGGTTTGTAATGCATGAATTTATCAGTTGTCATAAGCAAGCAAAGGAATTGGCTTTCAATGTGTCTGTAGCTATAGTAATGAGGAGATTTGTTGAGCCTATACTTAATCTTCTATATTGTAATTTAAGAAAACCAACTTAACTATGTTCAACTAAATTGTACATTTCATTAAAATTTGAAAATCATAGTAACAAGACAGGGATTTCTGAGTTATAATCAATAAGACTAATTTAATTTAGGGGTAGCTGAGGAGAAAGATGAAAATCAAGTACTGTAGTTTGAATTATGGAAAGTGTCATATTTTAATTTCACAATTGGTTCTGGTGTGTTTGGGGATTTAGAATAATTTTATACCTTAACATTCAATCTTTATTTTCCAGTGAATAAGCTAATTTTAGATGATTGCTAAACCTGTTTCTGCTTGCTGTTATGCAATATTAGCTTTGGAATAATCTGGTAATTCTTACTTAACACCAATTAATAAGGAATTAGAGTAATAATTTTAGATGTGAATAAATTGCTTCAAATTATAACATGTTTTGTAGTTTATATAAATTGTTATTAGTGATGGGAAAATAATCAACAAGGCATGCTGCCTGCTGGTGATTTTTTTTTTATTTTTCTTTGTTCTGCTTTGTACATATATATTGGGAGAAATTGGTGATTGAATTCAATAATCATTCTTTCTTACTTATTGGTGGTAGCTGCATATAAGAATGCATAGACAATCTCAAAAACCTCACCTGTGAAATTAGAGTATATACCAGCTGGCCACCTAATGTCAAAACAGCCAATGAAATTTTCTCAGTTGAGTCAAACCAATGGCTATTCAGAAATAAAAATTTTAAAAAGTTTCCTTCTTTATTAGCTCTGCATAGTATTTCAAAAATTAGTTGCTACAGCGTAAGTTTGGAAGTTATTTTGGTGAGTTTCCGCTACTTTCAATTAATAAATCTCTCAGACATATTTACATGTTCACATTTTGAATTGCGTTAAGGCCAGCATTGTGCATGCATGCTGGATAAAAACACAGAAAGCTACAGGAATGTTAAAGTTAACCCAGTACAAATTACTGAAGCTATTTTTGTTTGGCTGAAATTGTATTAAGTAGTTGGTAAATGAATGTTTATATATAAAATATAATTTTTGTGAAAACCGTATTGTTTTCTCTTAATGTTGTTCAGAAAGGAGGTTTTAAAGGTAAACAATGAATACCTCACATATACTAGACACAAATTTTTTTGGGACTATTATATATGTTGTTACTTAGCATAAGAACACTAAAGGGAATTAGCTAAGGTTATTTGTGATTTTGATGGGTTCATTTTCAAAATGGCTGCTCTTTTGAGGTGGAGTTAATCCATGACTTTTATACAGGAAGACTATTTCTGCTGCAGATACTCACTATCAAGTTGTTGAAGTTTATGGAGAGAATATTTTTAGTCAACCAAATTAGTAAAAGTGATAACCAGAATTTGACAAAGGAATATAGACACCTGTGCTGGACCACATGTCTAGAAAAAGAGGAAAAAAACAATCTTTTAGGCTAAGCCTAAACCAAATAAGTGATCTACTTTATAGTAAAAATTGTGCCATCAGCATAATTATTACATTATGCTTAATGCACTGATAGTTAAAACTTTTGAATTCTATTATGTCTGCCATCATGTAGTGAAAGAATGAAAACCATGAATGTTGTATAATGTTCCTCACTGTCTGATTGGGCTGTTTTAAAGAAAATGTGTGAAGGATGTTTCTTATGCAGGTCGGAAGGCTAAACTTCAGCCATTGACTTTTGTCATTATAACTTAGTCTGTGGGTCACTTTTGCCTTTGAGTTAATATTACCTTTTAATTATAGATCGTTAGTGTCCTCATTTTACTTATTAAGGTAGGATGAATGCCCTGACAAAACTAGGGTGACACTTAGTGATATTGTAAAATCCAGATATACTAGATTAAGGCCTATTTCGGGTCTTAACTCTGCATATTTCTAGAGCAAAAGAAATTCTATTTTAAGAATGTGAATTGGATGAAGTAGGCGACTCCCCCACTTGTGTATTGGAAAAAAAATTCTACCTTTCTTTAGTTTCATTTTACTGATAATCTTTGGAATTTGGGGAGGAGGTGACTTAGAAACAATACAGCCCTGTTCAAAGAAATGAATTTTTAAAATCCTATAAGTCTTTACCACAAAACTTCTTTCTTGTCATTTTTTGGGTGACTGGAGAAAGAATTAGCACATCCTTAGGATCATAAAAGCTCTTTCTGCCTTTGTGATTTATAGTATTGGCAAAGTGGTAGTTGTTTTTTTTTTTTTGAATCTCCCCCTCCTCTTTTAAAAAATGTTTTTGGAAGTAATAAGGCAAAAATTACAAACAATAAATTATTGTAGTGATGGCTGTTCACCAGCCTGCCCACCTATTCATGCTGTACAGTACTTCATGGAAAGTTATGTTTAATGTCACTTAATGAGTCCTTAGAACTGGTGTGCTCTCAGACACTTTGATGGGCTGTTAAATTTACAAATGTTCTAGGGCTATAAATTATCATTAAACATTAGGAAAGAAAGAGTTTTTCTATGTATTTCACATGATTTATTTAAATTTATAACCCAGGAAGCTGAAAATAGGTAAGGATTTGGTGCTTCTTCTCATATATTGGAATTTAAACTGTATTTGGTACATTTCTGGATCTAGATCAGAGATAAATTTGCATGAAAACAAATGCAAACTCTTAATAAGAAGTCAGGTTAACTACTGATTATTCAGAGAGATGAATCTTAACTATTACGTGTCCTCTTTCTTCTCCTCCCTGCCCCACCATCTCACTGCTCATTAGCATCTTCACTGGTACCTCTAGATGAAATAAAAGGAAGTAAAACCCATCTGGGGAGGCAGTACTGTGTGATGGTTAGGACTGCCTTGCATTTAGTCAGTTCTGGGCTTGAATACTTGTGAGTATTCAACTTTTTTTTTTTTTTTTTTTTTTTTTTTTTTTGAGACGGAGTCTCGCTCTGTCACCCAGGCCGGACTGCGGACTGCAGTGGCGCAATCTCGGCTCACTGCAAGCTCCGCTTCCCGGGTTCACGCCATTCTCCTGCCTCAGCCTCCCGAGTAGCTGGGACTACAGGCGCCCGCCACCGCGCCCGGCTAATTTTTTGTATTTTTAGTAGAGACGGGGTTTCACCTCGTTAGCCAGGATGGTCTCGATCTCCTGACCTCATGATCCACCCGCCTCGGCCTCCTAAAGTGCTGGGATTACAGGCGTGAGCCACCGCGCCCGGCCGAGTATTCAACTTTTGAGACTCCACGTCTATTACTGAAATTCAATCCACCTGAATTTTCTAAGGAGTAAAATGAAAATAATAATATTGACATCAGGATGTTGTTACAAGGCTTGACTTAGAGAACGTAGGTAAACCGATTTGCAAGGAGTTGAGCATAGTAGCATAATGGAGATATTCAGTAAGTGGTAGCCATTATTACCCTTTTAGTACTAGTTATGCCATTCTAGCAGAAGTCTTGATAGAATAAGATACTAAATAATATTAGATGATAATGATGTGTGATTTTTCAACCATAGCTTCATATTTTTGTTCACCTGGAAAGGTTTTAATACCCATACTCAAATATCCAGATGTTGACCCCAACCCAGCAATTCAGTCAGGACATTTGAGGGTGAGACATGGGGATTTTATTAAAAGCTTCGTGGGTGATTCTGTGCAGCTAGGGTAGCAAAGCAGTTGAGAATCCCACTACTGTGCCATTCCTTAGGATGTAGTTTATGTCCTTATGGCTCACAATGGCTGCTTGGGCTCCAGACATCAGACTTACCTTCTAGGCAGCAGGATAGAAAAAAGAATTAAGAGGAACATGTTCCCTCCCTCTAGTAGGTCCCATATTTAGACTTGTCACATTGGTAAATACTTGATCACCTACTTGCCAGGGGAAATAACCTATAAAATTGAGTCTTTTTTTTTTTTCTTAAGGCAGTTATGCATTCAGTTAAAAAGTAGAAGAGTGATACATGGTTACATTACAGTTCTGAAAATGATCAAATCAAGGCAAAGTCAAATAGAGGAGGACAATATTATCTCCTGTTTAAATGCCTCTGTCTTCAACACCCATCTCTTTTCACCTTAAAAAACAGCTCATCTAAAACCAAACTCACATCTTGTTTCTTTTATGTTAATAGCAACTAAAATCTACCAAAATAGTACCTGTGACATCCTCTTTTCCTTCCTCTTTTTAAATCCCCCGTTATTTTATCCATTATTATTTAATAGTGATGGTGATAATAATTACATGTTTTCTAGTTTAATGCTCATTTAATCCTCATAATAAACCTGTGAATTAGGTATTAGTCCTATTTACACATAAGAATAAACTGGAAAGTAGCTCTCTCATGATCAGCTGCCTCAGGGGGGTGGAGCCAGGAGATGGATTCAGGATTTGCCTGTCTCAAAATGCGTTTTCTACAGCTTTGTGTTCCATGGCTTCCCTCATATAATCAGATATGAAATTTTGTTGACTGGACTTTAAGTAGGCCACATTGTTTTAGGGGGATCCTTTTGGTTGAGAGACTAAAATTGAAAGTCTCAGCATTTATTTTTCTTTTGCCCTTCAATGAGGTACCCATCCCTACTGTGAAGAATGACCACTTCTAGGCAGAGAATGGCCCAGTGCTGCTTTCTGTTGCAAGGATTCTTGCCAGTGCTGAGGGCTGGAAGCAGAAGCCGGCTTCCCAACCCTGGGCCTGTCTGGTAGCTTCTTTGTGCTTCTTTGTCCTCTCTTACTCCAGCCCCCCAGTCTGTTTTCTCCTAGATGTTTCTGCTAAAGTTATCTTCTGCCAGGCCTGTCTGCCACAGTTGCCTTTCAGAAGTGTGAATATGATCACATCTTTCTTTTGCTTAAAATTCTTGGATTGTTCCACATTTCCTAAAGGATGATTCTTTACCTTCTAGCCCCATCTTCTCATATTAATATTTACCATTGTCCTCCCATCCACTACTTTCTAGACATAACAAATTACTTTCCCTTCCCTAATGTTCCATTCTTTCTCACTCTCTTACACGTGATGATCCAAATATGGATTTTTCTTACTCCTCTGCTCCACCTTATTGGTTCCTGTTTATTCTTCAGTTCTCAGGTCACATTAGTTATTCCTGCTTCTTTGCACCTAAAGTTTTGCACATAAAACTCCATTATCGTAGTACTTATTTTATATTGTAATTATTTGCCTGTATTTTTTTCCTTTAGCCTGTAAGTTAATAGGAGGGACTTTTCAACTCTATTTTACCCCATCCTATTTTCTTAATTATGCATGGTAGGGGGCACTTAGTTCATACTTAAGAAATATTCACTAAAGAGTACATATCCTGAAATAATTAACTCTTGGAATACATTGAATAAGGGTCTTTTGCAGTGTTATCTTATGTTGCATTTGCCAAATATAGTGAAAAACAATTTGCTCTCTTGAAAAGGAAGCAATACTGAAAATACAGAACCCATTATTAAGTCAGAAAAAAATGTATTTTTTAACCATCTCTTTTAGCTGACTTGGTACTTCTCTCATTGGGAGACTGTATGTATAGACTTAGGCAAAAGAGAAATGAATCTTAACTTTCTGTGTATAACGTTCATAAATATGTAAATGCACAATCAGTTTGAAATAAGTAAGTTAGAGTATTTGGTAATTTACGGTACAAATATTGACAGATTGCTGCTGAATTGGTG
This sequence comes from Homo sapiens, assembly GCF_000001405.40. NCBI lineage: Eukaryota > Metazoa > Chordata > Mammalia > Primates > Hominidae > Homo > Homo sapiens. The sequence goes on along the minus strand of NC_000005.10, from coordinate 107,620,289 downwards.
GTGAAAGTAAATGAAACGTGGCCAGCACAATTAGGAGTTGCCCAAATGGGAATCTTGTTTTTGTTTTTTAGAAAATGAGAAATGCCAAATGTTAACAAAGATTTTGTCAATATTCTTTATTGTTGGAGATTTGTGCAACTTCATTTATAAATGAAAATCAGATGAAGGTTGACAGAGCTGGAGTTGTTAGAGGGCTTGGAAGGAAGTGTCTGAATAAGGCACTCTGTATCTCCTATCTGAGAAGCTCACTGAGGTTTGCTACTGTCAGCCTACAGTGCTTCTGCAGAGATCTGTAGCCATTTAGTGCCCTCGGGCTGATTTCTTTTGGAGATCTATTTACAAATGGGAAATTGGAGGAGTCACAGTTTTGTAGCCAGAGGTAGAAACAAAGGTCTTAGCTCTGTGTACTGTCTCTTAGAGAAACGAGTAAGCTGTTCTTTCTGTAATTCACAATTAGTAGAATATGATTGTGTGTGGGGGCCTAAGGATTGTGATGCTACTGAAAGACAGAAGAAAGTCCAGCTGATAGGCTAGGCGTGGTGGCTCATGCCTGTAATCCCAGCACTTTGGGAGGCTGAGGTGGGCGGATCACAAGGCCAGGAGTTCAAGACCAGCCTGACCAACATAGTGAAACCCCGTCTCTGCTAAAAAATATATAAAAATTAGCCGGGTATGGTAGCATGCCTGTAGTCCCAGCTACTTGAGAGGCTGAGGCAGGAGAATCGCGTGAACTCAGGAGGCAGAGGTTGCAGTGAGCTGAGATCAGACCACTGCACTCCAGCCTGGGCAACAGAGAGAGACTCTGTCTTAAAAAAAAAAAAAGAAAGTCCAGCTGATGTAGAATTCAGAAAGGAGCATGATTTAGATTAGAATTTACCTTCTTGCATTTTAATTTGCTTTGATTTTTTAAATATTTTATTTGGCAAGGCTTGCATGGATGACATGCAAGGTCAAGTGGAGGTATGCTATGTAATATATTCAGTTACATTTTGGTTTCTCAACAGTTTCTCTCAATGCTGTTGGTTACTTCACTCATGAGACACATATTTATAAGAGTACACAACTGGCCGGGTGCGGTGGCTCACACCTGTAATCCCAGCACTTTGGGAGGCCGAGGTGGGTGGATCACGAGGTCAGGAGATAGACACCATCCTGGCTAACACAGCGAAACCCCGTCTCTACTAAAAATATAAAAAAGAAATTAGCCAGGCGTGGTGTCAGGTGCCTGTAGTCCCAGCTACTCGGGAGGCTGAGGCAGGAGAATGGCATGAACCCGGGAGGCAGAGCTTGCAGTGAGCTGAGATCGCACCACTGCACTCCAGCCTGGGCGACAGTGCAAGACTCCGTCTCAAAATAAAAAAAAAAAAGAGTACACAACTGGCATAGGCACATTGGGAATGTGAAGAGGAATGATTATGGGTATATCCCTTAAGAAGGAGTTAGGATGGTTTTCTAAGCAAAAATATGAAAAGATACCTCATTCCTTTTTAATCTTAGTGGACACTTTCCCAAGTTGTGTATTCCATTAATTAGGCAGTCAGGCATTTTATAACATGTTAGTCAGAGACTCAAGTGGCATGTCATAGATTTCCTCTTGTTTTGTATAAGTTTTCTCCAAAATAGCAGACAAAAGTGGTTATTTTCCTTCTCATTCTAACCCGGACTCTGAAACTTTGGTGTGCTAAAACTGTCAGGAAAACTGTGCCTATCCTGTCATCGCCAAATCTGACATTTCTGAAGATTATGCCAAATGTATTTTCTGACACATTTCAGTTGATTGAAGCTGAGAGGTACTTCTTATCTTTTGATTTGTCAGTCTACTGGCCTGAGGAATATAGCTACAGTCCCTAGGAATCATATGACATGCGGAAGCTGAATCACTGTTTTCAAGTGCTGTCAATTAGTGTTTGGAAATGGAAGAAAAAAAACCCAGTGCATGAGAATGTCACAAGTTCATATAATGAATTTTGTTTAGAATTTCATGCTCACACATTTTTTTACTATTATCAAGTAACAGAAATACATCAAGATTTTATTATCAAATTAGCACTGAAAGCCTCAAATATTTCTTCTTTGGCCTTACTTTTTCAAAAGAAACAGAGGAGAATTTCTGATCAGGCTGAATATTTTGGATTGCATATATACTATGCACATAAAGATATTGTACCAAGAATGGGCATGGTACATAGTAGGAGCTCAGAAAATCTTTGCATAATGAATGAATGAAAGATTGTAGGTTGTGTGCTGGGTCTTTTTTTTTTCTTGAAATCCATGATTTTTTTTGTTTTAAACAGAGACAGCGTCTTGCTATTTTGTCCAGGATGGTCTCCTGTGCCTGGGCTTCTAGCAGTCTTCCCCACCTCCGCTTCGTGAGTAGCTGTTATAGTAGGTACACACCACTGTGCCCAGCTTGAAGTGCATGATTTTTGAATCTGAGTTTTTTATAGGTCCACTTACTTTAAGTAGATGCCCTCCTATCAGGCAAAAAATTAAACTGTATTGTGTTTCCACTTCTATTTGAATTTCACTCTAGCCGCAACAGAGCACTTCAGTCCAAATCCTGCATTGCCCATCTCAAGTTCTCCCACTAGAAGGTAGAAAAGAAGAATAGTACTTATATTATTAATAGTTATTAATTCTTCCTATTTCCTTTTGAACAAGTGGAAACTCTTCAGGCAAACTTGCCTCTCAATACGCATTTTCTTTTCTTCCTATTTTACTTACTTTCCCGCTTCATTGTCATGTCTGAAATTGCAGATAATGGTGGCGGGGAAAGCTGTTGTGAGCATTGGGTGGTGGTGCTGGTGGTGACTCTTTACCTGCTTCTCTGATTAGAAAGCAAACTTCCCCAAAACAGGCAGAAATCTATTCTATCAACTTTGATATCTCTCCAGGTTTTTAAAACAGTGACCAGCATCTGGTTGGTGCTGAATGAATGTTCCTAGAATTAATGGTTAAGTGAGTAGGAAATACTGTTCCAGTTCCATTTTCTCCTGTATTTGGAGACTCTGTGGTTCTCTCTCTCTCTCTTTCTCTCTCTCTCTCTCTCTCTGTGTGTGTGTGTGTGTGTGTGTGTGTGTATGTGCACATGTAAGTATGTGTAATGTTTAGTTTTTTTATGGGTTTAAATTTATGGTAAGGTAGGATAAGAGTAGCGGTATCTGCTGAATTAGGGTTAATATTTTCTGTGTTAAAGCTGAAGATATGCAGTGGGCAAAAGCCTTTAGATTTGGTTCTTGGTGATCCTTCCATAAAAGTACATTAAGGGTGGGTCAGAGTTTCCTCCACAAAACTGCTAATGTGCTCTCTGCCCTTAGACATAACAATCAGGCAAAGGAGTAGAAATTGATCCCCTGATTGGCTCCTGGAAGAAAATGAAATGTTAGGTCTGGCTATTTTCAGATGTAATCAAAAGGACCTGAACTCATTCAAATTAATATTTGGATTTATAAAAATGTGATTTTTGTTTGTTGAGTAAAAAGGATTGGCTCCTAAAAGTTCTCACAGTGTGATTTTGTAAGATTACAACTTGTAGTGAGTTTTTACTGATGAAGCTAACTGCCCAGATATAGCTACTGTTCAGATACTTGTTATAATTGACAGGATACTTTCTACTAGCAACTGAAATGTGGCTCTTTTCTTTCTTCCTTTGTCCAGAATACACACAGACACACATACACACGCACATACACACACACACGAGCAGCTCTGGAGCTTTCTTTTTATTTATTATTTTTTAAAAAGAATGTGCATGGACTTTATTCATGTATATTTCCTATACTGCATCAGCTCTCAGTTACCCACATGTGGTTTATTCAGCCTTGGGATTTATCTGCAGAAATTTTTCAAGTCCCAGGCTGCTCTCTGCTATCATCATTTGTATGAATTATGTTAGTGTCATCAGTGTGTGCTGCGGTAGTGCAGCCTAAACCAAGCATAGCTGGGAAGGCAAATCGACCCATCCCCTCTATATTATATTCTAAAGCAAAACATTTATCATTTTTGTCAATCTTTTCCCCTTTGGAATCATTCTACCCATTATTAGCACACTTGACCATGAATTATATGTGCTCTGATTAAAGATAAAGTACCACATAAAATAAAATCTTATAATTCGCTTTCATTCTCCAAACTTCTTTATTGAAATTAAATCCTATTGACTTCATCAAAGATGCTACATGGAAAGGTTTTATTGAACTTGGGTTACTGATTTCAATATAATACTTATTAAATCCAAACATAGTTTTTCTGTCTCTCTAACCCCCTGCTTAAAATATAATACCAGATCTTGAAATGAAATATAATTTGAAGAATAATTTATAAATGCAGAATTGTTCTTTCTTGTTTTGGATATTAAGTATCTTTGGGTTTTAACCATAGTCTATTTATCTTTCTTATTTTATGTAAACAAGGTGTGTGTGTCTAACTTCTGACCCATTCATTCAGTGTAAAATACAGCTTTTGCTGTAACTGGAGGGAAGAAAAGATGGACGAGCGACCCCTCCCTTTGTGTTGATTATATCTCCAACTGACTGAGGTTTCTCGTCATGAGCTAAAAGAATGATTAGTCAGATTTTAAGTGAAGCAAGCTTTTAGAGTGCAAGAGAATTTTTTTGTTTGTTTGTTTTTTGGTCTGCTCTCTAGAAACCAGAGAGGAAAGGATGCATAATGGGAATCTGTACTTGTGCATTTCGGCAAAGATCTAATCTTTTTGAATTCATTGCTTGTGAGTTATTATTTCTAATCATACGCTTGATTGACTCCAGCTAAATGACTGTCTGACTGCAAAGGCAGGGGTGTTAAATCCAAAACTGTAAGTGCGCATTTTAACTGAAAATAGGGATCATCACGGAATGCCTTCTCAATCAGTAGTGCCTGATACCACTCCCCCCTCCCCCTGAATGTTTTTTTAAATAGAAATTCTCTTGCATCCTCATGATGGAACAGAGCATCACAGAGCATGATTGAGCTCCAAGAGAGAAGATTGAAACCCTAGAGGGGATATCGAAATGATAAAAACTGAGGCTTCCATGGTGCCACAATGAGTGTAGTTAATATGCTACTTTAGTCTGACAAGCCAGTCAGGTGCCCCTTAAAACTCCAATTTGTGATTACCTTGTCATTTTAAAGATTTTTTTTTTTAAAGGTGGAAGAGAAACAAGGTTAGTGGTAATTTCTTTTTAGGAGCAGAACTTGGCCATTTCTCTCAATACTTTTTGCATGAAAATCTAGTAGATAACCTAATTTTCTTTTGGCAGTTAACATAGGTATTTTCCAACATCAAAACATTTGTGGCTCCTAAATAATTTGTTTAAAATAGAACAAGATAAAGTAAAATCCCATGTCTGAAAAGGAAATGACAATAAAAGCTGAGCTTTCTAAACATATGGCATATTTTTTTGTATCACTTTAAAAAATAGTTGTTAAAGAATTAAACATTTATATATAGTGCTCATTATATTATCATAACTTCTTAATAAGATCTGTTTATTATATGACTTGGATCTTTGCCTTTCTTGCTTTAATATGGCACAAATACTCAAAAGTTCCTTCTGGATTTTTGAGAGAGAAAATGTTACACAACCAGGAGTCTTACAAGAAATTCATGTGAAAATCTTGGCATGACTATCCTGAAAGCTAAGACAACCATTGGTCTTGGAGAAAAGACTCCTCTCCAGAGGGAGTTGCAGGTACTCAAAGATGGTATGTGTGTGTTGTCTTCAAACTAGGCAGAATGATAAATGGACACATGACAAATGGTCTGAACACCTTCACCTGGGAGAAAACCATCTAAAGCTGAGTGTTATCTCATATGACTAACTTATTTTTTAACAGTATATTTCCATGATAATTTAAAAATAAATTGCACATTTTACATAAGGTAATACTTTGTATATGATTTGACATTCTTTAAAATACTACCTGATGTTATGAAAACACTTGAAATTTAAACATTGTCAACACTATGTTAATATGTCGAATATTCAGTTGGTTTATGGTTTAAGAGTAAAATTTTAATTTTTTTCTCAGTATCACAAAGCTTCCTTCTGGAAGATCCATCCAGTTTTGTCTTATGCCTGGGGAAGAGACTGAAGTTGCTGTGAACTAGTTCCAGCAAGAAGTATTATCCGTGTAATGAGCAGAGCAATGATATTGTGGGGATATGGATTATGTGTGTAAACTACACAGGGTGTGATAGTTGGGTGTTAATCTGTTTTTGAAGGTTCATTAGATGGTGAGTAGGAACAGGTTCTAGGACGACTGAGTTCTCTGAGGATCAAAAGGTTAGATAAACTGCTTTTAGGATTTATGCAGGGTACTGATTTTCATGTCAGTTTAATTATCCTTATATTTTACAAAACTGTCAATCAGGATGCCTAGAAATCGTATGGAATTGGAGGCTCTGAAAACTTTTGAGTCTTTTCTGATTGGGTTTATCTGATAATCATTCTTTTCATGATGACCTTAGTTGAAATGAAGAGCTGTTAGAACTACAAGGCCTGCTTTAGTGTCAGAAGAAGATTTAATCAGGAGTCTTATCATCCAGTGAGAAAAATGCCTTTCATTCTCTTTTCATTTATTTGAAATTACTTAGTGATTCAGGAATCTCTTATTGGGGTCATTTACTTTGATTTTTAACTTAGCAATGTAACTCTTGAAATACTTTATGTAAATGATTTCCTTCAAGGTGCACTGTGTTTAAAAAGCTATCAATCAATTGAAAATTGTTTTTAATTTATTTCACTCTAGAAGCATGATCTGTCAGGAGGAAATGGAGAGAGAACAGAAGTTCATATAGCAAGGGTCATTCTATGCCATCCAAGCATCAGTTTTTAACGGGGTTTTGGTGTTTTCATCCATTTTAGGATACTTAAAACATCTTGAAGATTGTTTTAATTTGGTGGTAGTAATTACATTGGCCATATTATAGTTAATAACTTACATATCATTTCTTTAACCCCATAGGCATGAAAAAAGCAACTTAGATGATATTAAAAAATACCCTCAGCAATTTTTTCTAGGCCCATTACTTTTATAAAACACTTGAGATTTTATTTTTATTAGTGTAAGACACTTAGAAATGAGTAACTAGCAAATAAACTTAGTGATATAATTCAAGTTTATGTTGCTTGGTTAATAAAATGTACAAAATCACAGCCTTTCCCAAGGTTTTCCTTCATCTTTTTTTTTTATTGCGAAAGAAAATTGTTAAATTTATAGAGTTTCAAGTCTTTCAGGAAATTATCTTTAGTTTTCTGTGTTACTGTATCACTGTTCGTAGATGATGAAGCAATTTTTTTGGCTTTTGCCAAAGCAATGAGTCTTTTAGAAATTTTATTTGGAAACTATTTATTTTATTCCCTGTTTTGCTACTGAGTTTCTATGTCTAGAAGGTTATTTCCTTTAACTTTCATTCATCTAAGAGGATTCTGGGATCTTATTGCAGATTTTACAGTCTGGTAAACACAAAATGTATTCTCATAGTGACTCTGTTCCATTCTCAGCAGTTCATTAAGTAGGCTTTCCCTGTATTAATACAGTGACTGACGGGAATATCACAACCCTGGTCTTTATATTGGAGAGCTGCTCACAGCTTTGTTCCAGTTCTTCACTGTGCATTGCAGTGATATGCTTCTGTTTGCTTCTATATCCTGACTAAACAAAGAACATGCTCTCACTGATAACTTTTTAATACTAATTCTGTATGGACCTTGACAGTTACCAATTATGTTTACTGTCTAATCAAGGTAGATATTTTGGATGAACTTTTTTTTTTTAAATTGCATTTCAAATTATATTTTAAAAAGAATTTTTACTTGACCAGTGTTTTGCTTGCTTGGGCTATTGATGATTGCAGTTTCTAGCAACAAATAGGCTTTCCTGGTTGTAACCTGTCTGGTTTTAAGAGTTCAGAGGAGGCCATATAAGATGGTCTTACCTGACATTCCTCAATAATTCATGTATTTCTGGATTCTATATAATTTTATTATGTTGTTATAATGCAACTCATTATACATGATATAGAAAGTATAATTAATCAACTTTACATATTTATCAGTAAAATTTGCCTCCCAAGAAACATCAGAAAGTAATAAGAGAAATAAATGTAGTACTAGTAAAATAACCTGAGATAATTTTTGTGCAGATGCTTTCTATTGAATGGTGCTATTTGAGACATGGTAGAATTTATGTTCAAATCCTTTGTTAACTTCTGAAGAAAGTACATATATTTGAAGAATATCTGTTAATCATTGCTAATTCCCACTTTCCATCCTATGTTAACATTATATTAATATGTTGTCAAAATTATTGTGCAGATAGGAACAGAAGCAGTTACCCATTTAGTTTCCATAAATGAAAACGAGCAGAGAAAATGATTTGAAATAACTACTCCTTACATATTCGTTTTTTCCTTCACTGCTAACAGTGTGCTTTGTGTTACTAATCAAGTCAAGGACTTGGGTTCATGCTGCATTCAACTAGCTAATTTAATTCCTTTTCAGTACTAAAAATGCCCATCCGAGCCCTGGCCTGCTGCCTCACCAATATTTATCTTTGGAACCAGTTGAAAGATCACTGTGACTATAGTAGCACAAACTTAGATCTCCTGTGAATAAAAATTATAAGCTCATGCTCTGTGTCCTGTCATATTCACATATTCACAATTAGAACCCAGAATCCTCAAAGAGAAAAATAAAGGAAATAACCTTCTGGATGTATGTGTGTCACTGAAATAGAATAAAGAAAACCTAATATATTTACATACCGGACTTGAAGGGTCATCAAAGTAATCCCAACCCTCTTTTACTATATTGAGGAATACGCTAAGGCAAGACTTGAGCGAACCGTTTTACCTTGTTTCCCGTGGAATTTTACAAACATAGGTTTTTGTGGGAAACGTGTGATTTTACATAGCAAAAAGGTGTATGCTGACACAGTATTTGCTTCATTGTAGGTTAAAATATCAACTAATGTTTCATTTGTACTTACTGGTTGAATGTAAAATGATTTTAAACAGTCTCTTCTGTGATACGATTTTTGTAGCTTTTCTTAAACTATAGCATTTCCAGCTTGGTTTTTATGTCATTATTTTTGTCGGTGGGCTCTGGCTTCATATGCGTGGTGGAGTGATAAAGCTGTGTTGCTAGGCAGAGTTCTTCCAGGCAGTTCATGCTGGGCTTCATATCTGTCATTGCCCCACTTTCATGTTTCTATGAGGATGGAAATGATTTGAGACAGAATATCATTGGGAATAGGCGCATAGTTAAATGCCCAGGTCGCCTGATTCTCCATTGAGTCATCATGAGTGTCTCTGAACAGCGCCAGTGGTATTCTTGGCACGCGAGGCTCAGCGGGAATAACACTGAAATAGCAAAGATCGAAACCTGCGTTGCTAGAAAATTCTCTGCTTGCTATATGACCTTTTCAGTCTTCTACCTTTGAATATGTGCCTATGCCTCCGTGCCGCTATGGAAGGCTCAGGGCTGCTAGAAAAAGTGCCAGGGAGAAGGCGAGAAGAGATGTGAATAAAATGAACAATGGGTGACACAGTTGTATTAATTTTTCAAATATTCATGGAATTTATATCAGGAACTGGGGACTTTGACACTGTATGCACTGAAAAATAATCAAAAGGTAATTGTAGTTTTTCAATTGCAAAAATTAAGAAAGGATTAAAAAAAGAGATACGTTTTGTGATGATTCAATGATAGCATGACAGTTTTATCAAAGGAATAGAGTGGCCCCAAGTAGTCTGCCTTCATAGAGACAAAGTATCATGTTGAGTCTAATAGTTGACAAAAACAACTGAATCTTGGCTTTTTCACGTAACGTGTTTGGCTGTATTAGTATATAAACTAACAGTCGAAGTGCTATGTGCTTATTAGGCTTTTCAAAATGTCTGCCAGGCTGTGGAACTTCTTCAAGCGGGGCGGGTGCGCCGTGAGGCTGGGTCTGCTCAGCTTGTCTCTGTAAATGCTCCCCTCATGATATGCCTGAAAACCTTCAATATTATAATAATGCTAATAAAAATGGAAAACTCTGAATTCTTTATAGATGCGTAAAGAAGTGTAATTTCCCTGTGACCTGAATAACTCTTCGAAGGGCTGCTCTGGCCCCTTTGAAAGAAGGCAGCTCTACTATACTGCTTTGTGTTCCTTTGAACATCTTGCTATCTGACTATTTTAAGGACGGAAATAATAGAAGAGAATTTAACTTGGGGTTACACTTTGAAGGACAGGTGGGATTCCCTCCCATTCCCACCCTGCAATTTTCCCCCTTCCCTTTCTATTGAACATTCCTATCTGTCTCATTCTTAAATGAGAGGTGATCTTGTTGATGAATACAATTAAATGATAATATAATTTTTCACTGATTCAGACTCTTCCACCTTTTGGTTTTGTCCCTTTGATAATCGTAAATTGGATTTGTTATCACGACCTTTCAAGAGGCACCATTCAGTCATCTTATTCTAGTCGGCGG